>NC_000009.12:120095552-120720552 GCF_000001405.40 Homo sapiens | reverse complement strand
TATAGTGTTTCTACATAGAAACATCATACAGCACAAAGTACTCAACTAATCCTTTGTTAACTGTTTAGATTTTTCTAATTTTTGTAATTATATAACACTCTGGTGAACATTTTTGTACATACATATTTACATCTGATTATTTATTTCCTTTGGATAGATTCTTTTTTTTTTCTCTTTTTGGGACAGGGTCTTACTCTGTTGCCCAGGCTGGAGTACAGTGGCATGATCATGGCTCACTGCAGCCTCGACTTCCCAAGCTCAGGTGATCTCCCACCTCAGCCTCCCAGGTAGCTGGGACTACAGCTGCATACCACCATGCTAATTTTTAGTAATTTTTTTTTTTTTTTTAGTAGAGACGGGGTTTCACCATGTTGCCCAGGCTGGTCTTGAACTCCTGGGCTCAAGTGATCTGCCCACCTAAGCCTCCCAAAGTGTTGGGATCACAGGCATGATCTCCTGTGCCTGGCCTTTGGCTAGATTATTAAAAGTAGAAATAATGAGCCGGGTGCAGTGGCTCACGCCTGTAATCCCAGCACTTTGGGAGCCCGAGGCAGGCAGATCACCTGAGGTCGGGAATTCGAGACCAGCCTGACCAACATGGAGAAACCCCATCTCTACTAAAAATACCAAATTTGCTGGGCATGGTGGCACATGCCTGTAATCTCAGCTAATTGAGAGGCTGAGGCAGGAGAATCGCTTGAACCCGGGAGGTAGAGAGTGCGGTGAGCCAAGATCATGCCATTGCCCTCCAGCCTGGGCAAAAAGAGTGAGACTCCGTCTCAAAAAAAAAAAAAAAAAGTGGAAATAATGGGTCAAAGAGTATAAACACTTTTAAGGCTTTCTGGAAAGGTTGTATCACTTTATATTTCTATCAACAGTGAGAGACCATAACAAGTATTACCAGTTTGTAAAAATTTTTGCCAAATCAATAGGTTAAAAAAATGGCAACTCCTTATCTCAACTTGCAATGCTTTAATTACTCAAGTTGCATATGCAGTATTTCATATTTTTTAGTCATTTGTATTCCTTTCTGTGGCTTGTCTGTTAGTGTCCTTTGCTGGGCCGACTTTGTGAACAGTGGCCCCAGTAATCCTACAGTTGTCTGCAGAAGATGCCAAACCTTGCATTTAGCCACATCTGATAGGAGGCCAGCCTCCAGCAGGATTAGAAATAGTCCATGTCAGCATTGCTGTTTCAATGAAACCAGAAAGGGGAAAGGTGTCTGTGTTTTATTGGAATCTGGGAGATGAAGTTATTTTGCTGAGCCCTATGTATCATATCATTATACCTTCTTTTCTCACTCCCAAAGCTTCTCTTTTCTTAAATGCTTTTCTAGCAGAAGGGTTAAATTTGGTGCATGTGTGTCCTTTCCTTCAGTATGTGTTCACTGACCTCCTAGTATGTGCAACACATAGCGGCCACATTAACGACTGTAGTGTATAGAGAAGAGCCTGGGCTTTTGAGTCACAAGGGCCTTGGGCAAGTCCCTTAAGCTCTTGGAGGCTCAGTTTCTTCTTCTTTGAAGTGCAGATGACAGCCCTGTCTTTGAGGAATAAACGTGTTCCGAATATAAAACTCCCGGAACAGCATCTGCCACATCATAAGACTTCACAGACAATTTTTTAAAAAAATTTTTTCAAGATGGAGTCTTGCTCTGTCGCCCAGGCTGGAGTGCAGTGGCACGATCTCGGCTCACTGCAACCTCTGCTTCCCAGGTTCAAGCAATTCTCCTGCCTCAGCCTCCCAAGTAGCTGGGATTACAGGCGTCCGCCACCACGCCTGGCTAACTTTTTTGTATTTTTAGTAGAAACGGGATTTCACCATGTTGGCCAGGCTAGTCTTGAATTCCTGACCTTGTGATCCACCCACCTCGGCCTCCCAAAGTGCTATGATTACAGGCATAAGCCACCGTGCCTGGCTCACAGACAATTCTTGAGCCATTTCTGTGTATTTGACACTGTGCTCGGTGCTGACTAATAAAGTGAGAAATCAGTTGGGGCCCTTTAGAGCACCTCATTTGCCTAGGAGAAAAGTCAGGCTGCACATTGGCTCCAACAAGGCCCACTCTGACCCCTGCTGTTCTGTGGTCCTTCCCTAAGCCTTTGGCTCCAGGTCTCATGGGCCTTAGCTACAGTTCTGGGGCAAATAGGAAAAGTGCCAGTCAATGTTCTGTTACACAGAGTGTCACAGCTATAATTTTTATTTTTTCTTTTCTTCTTACCATTATGAGGATTTTCCATTTATAGTTAAGGGTGTCAGTGGGAGCCAGCCAGCCTCAGTTTGATTTCTAGCTCTATTATTTACTAAGTGACCATGGGCAAGTTGCTTAACCTGTGACCTAGTTTCCTTAGCTGTAAAATGCAGATAATAATAGACTATAGACTGAATGTTTGTGTCCCCCTAAAATTCACACGTTGAAATCCTAACTCCCCATGTAAAAGTATTTGGAAGCGTTTGGGAGATGATTAGGTTATAAGGGCAGCGCCATCATGAATGGAATTAGTGTCCTTTTAAAGGACACCCAGGGAGCTCACTGAATCTGCTGGTGCCTTGATCTTGGACTTCCCAGGCACCAGAGCTGGGAGAGATATATTTTTTGTTGTCTACAAGCCACAATCTACAGTACTTTGTTGCAGCAGCCCAAATGGACTAAGACATAATAGTACCTATTTCCTGGGGTTTTTAGGATTAAACAAAACAATTCATATGTAGCTCTTGGTATAGTGTCTAGCATAGACTATGAGCTCAATTATTTACTATTAATATTTGCTATACTGTCTTCATAGCTACACTTACAATGACTTTCTAGGATTAAATTTAACAGGTATAATAATACCTTTCTTTGATGACAGATATGTAAGGTATTTCCAATTTTTAAACACAAACATAATTCCTAAGAAAGTCATCTTGTAGTTTAGAGATTAAGGAAGATTTAAGATTAAGGAAATTTAAAAATTAAATGTTGAATGGACATTAACACATTTAAATTACTGGTATCTTTCAAAAAAATTCAATATTTTCTATACATATGACAGGCTAATATCCCATCTTAAAAGCCCCGGCATGGATGATCCTTGCCTAAGGCAGAGAGCTGACCTGAATCACTCGACAAGGTCTCCTAGTCATTTGCTCTGTGGCTCTCCTGGCCAAGAAGCTGCATCAGCTTTTTTCCCCTTGCCAGAGAACCTCTGATACAGCAAAGCTCAGGGCCAACCCAGCATTTTTCAGATATCATTTGGAAATATCAGGTAGGGCAAGTGTCAGGCCATGTCACCTGATGGGGAACTTATGGGGCAGGGGTTTCTGCTCTGGTCCTTCAGCCAACAAGTCTCAAAGTTAGCAATGGTATAACAAAAATATGAACCTACACAGCTTGAGCACCGTCTGTGTGCTAGGCTCTGTAAAAACATTCTCCTCAATCCTAGTCAACAAATGAGAGACTATTTATTGGCCCCATTTAATAGATGAGAAAAGTGGCCTGGCGCGGCGGCTCATGTCTGTAATCCCAGCACTTTGGGAGGTCTAGGCCGGAGGATAACTTGAGCTCAGGAGTTCGAGACCAGCCTGGCCAACATGGTGAAACCCCGTCTGTACTAAAAATACAAGAATTAACTGGGCCTGGTGGCAAGTGCCTGTAATCCCGGCTACTCGGGAGGCTGAGGCAGGAGAATCGATTGAACCTGGGAGGCGGAGGTTGCAGTGAGCCAAGATCACCCCACTGCACTCCAGCCTGGGCGACAAGGGTGAAACACTGTCTCAAAAAAAAAAAAGTGGGGGGGAAAACTGAGGCTCAGAGAGGTGAAAGGTTTCCTCCAAGGTCACAGAGTTGGCAGTCATGACCCAAGTCTGTCTGACTCTAAAGACACAAGCTCCTCCCACAAGCACGACAAGACCTCAATTAATTCAATTTAACCAGCATGGGTTGGCACTTACATGTGTTGCCCCTGCTAGGTTCTCAGAACAGGGAGAACATCTGACGTAAGAGACAGACACATAAATAACAAGTTCTAGTATTAAGGCTGATGCATGCCTATGAGAAGTAATAAAGCCATGTGGGCAATACAATTTATCCTGTTGTATATATTTCTGAAAGCCATCCTTAATCCTTTTAGGAAGAGGCAACGGAGAGGTAGATTGGTAGATCAGGGCTGTAATCAATGCATAAACAAGGGGTGGTGGGGAAATGAGAAGGGAGAGATTAATTCCCACTCAAATCCAGGAATGTCTTTTAGAGAATGTGACATTTTGGTTGGGGTTTGAAGGGCCAGGGAGGGTCAGCAAGGGAATATGGGGGACTGGCATGACCTGTCCACCCTCCCAAAGCAAAGTAAAAATAGAACCTTGGTTAGTGCTTGCTAAATATTGGTCCTGAAGACAGAACACTCACATTCTCCCTCATTCCCGCTGTCTTATATACATAGACCTATCAAGACACACCCATAGATAACCACAAATGCAAAAACACAGAAAATACACAAAAACACACACCAGTACACATGCACAGATTATTAAGACACAATATATGAAAATAGATACTAGCTCCCATACTCATAAACTCACACAGATACATACAACACTCATACACACAGACTCACAAACATGTTTATGCATTCATACACAGCCTCCCCCACCCACTACTCATGCAGGAAAATAAATGCATGCTTTAATTAACATACACGGGTTCACACATAAATCTCATCCTGCTGGTCTGGTTGAAGACCAATGACTAATGGGAAACCATGCACAAAGCCAAACATCACGTAGGGGAGGCCGGGATTGGGTTAGCAGTGGGGCTTGAATTAAGCCCCATCAGATGACAAACCCGCCCTGCCTGGCTTCCTCTGGAAGCTGCTGAGCCGAAGCAGCAGCGCCTGACCTAGCTCTGGATCCTGGGCGGATGATGCGAGGCTGCGTGCCCGAATTCCAGCTTGATTCAGGGTTTAGTGTCATCCAGGGTCAAGCTCGGCTATTAGCCCCACCCCAACCCCTGCAACCAGCCGGAGGCTCTGGGGGCACTGAAGGGCTGTGGCCTGGGGCTGCTTTCTAATCCTGGGCTTGCCCTGGCGCAAATGCTGAGAATAGTTAGCATTAATGAGGGTTACAACAGTGGGCCAGGCTCTGGGCTAAGCCCTTTACGTCCATGACTTAATTCTCACAACAGCTCTGTGAGGGGGGTGGGGGGTGAGGGGTGTCCTATCATCTCCATTTTAGTGGTGAAAAAACCGCGCTCAGGCCACAAAACCATTCAGCAAAAGACATCAAGTTGAGGTTCAACCCTGTCTGATCCTATTCTTCCCGGGGTTTAGGTAAGTGTGCTTGCGAGCCTGTCTCCTCCACGCAGGAAGCTTGCACCTTCTGCCCTCAGGGGTCTCCACCGCCCGGTCCCGCCCCCTTGTCCAGTCTGGCACAACACCTGGCCCACAGCAGGTTTCTGGTGAGGGCGTGGGTCTCGGTTCAGGGAGGCCCTCAGCAAGGGCCTCAGCTTCCCCATCTCTGAAATGGGAATGGCGGCAGAGACCTCGCAAGGCTGCGACCAGGCTCTCTGGAGCAGCAGAGGGCATGCCAAGCTCTACATCGTCGCTGCCGCTGCCCTCTCCCATCGCGGGGTTCCCGCGCGGTCCCCGCCCGAGCTGGGGTGCGGCGCTGGCGCCCCATTGTTCAGGAGGGCGGGGATGCTCCCGAGTGCTGATTCCACCCCCCGCTCGTGCTCGCAGCCCGGTGGAGCAGATGACTAGGCCCGGCGTCTGCCGCGCGGGGCGCATCCTTTGTCTGCTCCGCGGCGCCCGGTGCCCGAGGCCCGCGCCCCACTCTTTGGGCAGACAAAGCCGGGGCCGCCGCGAGCCCGGCGGGCTAGAGCTGGGCTCGCACCACCCTTCTCCCGCCTCACGGACCGCCCCCTCTCCTGGACGTCCTCTGATTGGCCTACGGGGCTACAAAGAGGCCGGGAAGCGGGCGGATCACGTGGGCGACTGTGGCTTCCCATTGGTTAGGCGCGGCTGCCAATCGAGGAGGGCGGGCGGTCCGCGCTCGGTCCGGTCGCTCCCTCCGCGCTGGGGCCCGCCCGCGGGGCCGGCCGCCTGTCAGAGGGAGGTGGCGATGGTGCGCCCGGTGGCGGTGGCGGCGGCGGTTGCGGAGGCTTCCTTGGTCGGATTGCAACGAGGAGAAGATGACTGACCAACCGACTGGCTGAATGAATGAATGGCGGAGCCGAGCGCGCCATGAGGAGCCTGCCGAGCCTGGGCGGCCTCGCCCTGTTGTGCTGCGCCGCCGCCGCCGCCGCCGCCGCCGTCGCCTCAGCCGCCTCGGCGGGGAATGTCACCGGTGGCGGCGGGGCCGCGGGGCAGGTGGACGCGTCGCCGGGCCCCGGGTTGCGGGGCGAGCCCAGCCACCCCTTCCCTAGGGCGACGGCTCCCACGGCCCAGGCCCCGAGGACCGGGCCCCCGCGCGCCACCGTCCACCGACCCCTGGCTGCGACTTCTCCAGCCCAGTCCCCGGAGACCACCCCTCTTTGGGCGACTGCTGGACCCTCTTCCACCACCTTTCAGGCGCCGCTCGGCCCCTCGCCGACCACCCCTCCGGCGGCGGAACGCACTTCGACCACCTCTCAGGCGCCGACCAGACCCGCGCCGACCACCCTTTCGACGACCACTGGCCCGGCGCCGACCACCCCTGTAGCGACCACCGTACCGGCGCCCACGACTCCCCGGACCCCGACCCCCGATCTCCCCAGCAGCAGCAACAGCAGCGTCCTCCCCACCCCACCTGCCACCGAGGCCCCCTCTTCGCCTCCTCCAGGTGAGTCCGGCGCTCCCTCTCGGGCAGGACCCGTCCTCACCTCAGCCCCGGCAATCTAGGGTTGGGCTCTTGCCTATAATTTATCGTTTGTTACCCCAAAGACACCCCAGGTTCCGGCTCCCGAGGGGGGATCCCAGGTCCAGCTAGTCTCCCTCCCGCCCCCGATCAATCTGGAAAGTCTTTTGTCCCCCGTGGGCTGTGCTCCCTCGGGAGGGGGTGGCTGCTGGGTGGAAGGCATCTCATCTTCTTCCCAACAGGGCTTTCTGGCCTTTTTCAGAGACCAGAATGGGCGCAAACTTTTGGGTTGGGTTCGCGCACCCAGCCTCTCTGCCTGGGTTATTTGGGGAAGTTTGAAAGCCCGCATAGTACCTCCTTCAACCACTGGGTCAAAAGCTGAGGGTAAGGAATTCCTCCCAAAGCTCCAGTTTCCCTGTTCATTTCTTCTTGTTTATGTAAATATCAGATGTGTGTGTATGACAGGTGGAAGAGAGGTAGTGAGAGGATTTTGTTTACAAACAGTAGTATGGACCACTTGAGGGCAAAAAATAAAAACAAAAAAGGCATTGTAATCCATGTTGTCCCTGCAAATAAGTGGATTCAGTAGGTCATTTGGGACAGGTGTGTATCTAGGCTGAGCACATTTACAAATTAGGTTAAATCTCTTCCTCGCACCATTTTTTTCTTCCACAATTATAAGGTCAACATGTTTGGCCAAATACACCATTTAAGCAAGGATGCCTATTTTTGTCTCCTTAAGCCAGGATGTTCAACTTTGCTGATGCTGATATATGCCAATTTCTGTTTGAGCCCACGTAGAAAAGGCTTTTCTTGCTGAAGTCTTCAAGCAAAGTTAAAGACAACTCGTATTCTTTCCCCGTTTAAATCTTAAGTGGGCCTAGGACTAAAACAAAACAAAACAAAAGCCTACTTTGTCAGAACGTTTGGACAAAAGTTTCTGAATTGTCTTGCTTTGAGTTGGGGTGGAGGTTTGTCCAAATCCTTTGTCTAGCTGGGTCTCTGACCTAAATCTTAGGCTTAGTGATTTACTGTGGAGTCAGGTATGGACTTTGGACTATAATTGAGTGTGTAGAGAATTTTCCCACATGGTTATGAACCTTAATACAGTCTTGATCCTTGGGTTGGAGCTTGGCAATGACATAAGTAGGATTATTCACCCATAAAAAGCCAAGTGTGCATCTCTTCCAGCTTCAAGGAATGCATTAGCTAGCTGGGTTTTACCTGTAACCCCTTTTGGCTTTCATATAGAGAGATTGACATATTACTGAGAGACAGGAAGCATAGTGGTTGAGAGTATGGACTCTGGAGTTTATTCTTAGGTTTGAATCCTAGCTCTTCCCCTTGTTAGCTGTGTAAGCTTAGGCGGCTCACTGAAGCTCTTTGGACTCAGTTTCTTTGATTGTGAAATGAAGATAATATTATAGTAGTACTTAACTCATAAGGTTGCTGTGAAGACTTTTTTTGTTTTTGTTTTTGTTTTTTGAGACAGGGTCTGGCTCTGTTGCCCAGGCTGAAGTGCAGTGGCACAATCTTGGCTCACTGCAACCTCTGCCTCCCAGGCTCAAGCGATCCTCCCACCTCAGCTTCCTGAGCAGCTGAGACTACAGGCGTGGGTCACCACACCCAGCTAATTTTTTGTATTTTTTGTAGAGATGAGGGCTCACTATATTGCCCAGGCTAGTCTTGAGTTCCTGAACTCAAGCAGTCCTCCTGCCTCGGCCTCCCAAAGTTCTAGGATTTCAGGCATGATTCACTTCACCAGGCCTGCTGGGAAGATTAAATAAGTTAACACTTACTGTGCTTACAACAGTTCCTAGTGTAGAATAAGCACCGTGTGTGTTAGCTATGCTTATGACCAGGCCTGTGGGTGTGTGTGTGTGTGTGTGTGTGTGTGTATGTATGTATGTATAGAAAGCATTTGAGAAAACTAGTAGGGACTTGGGGTGATTTTTATTTGTTTTAGTAAAATATAATAGAAAAAGAATGAATTAGATTCTCTGGAGTTTTAAGCATACAGTAGCATTTAAGTAGAAAGATCACTTACTTTGGTTAGTATCTGATAAATAAATCTGTGTAATTCATGTTATTTTACTTTTACTATTTTTGTGTTGTTATTTTTCAACCCCAAAGGTAACCCCTACTGGCAAAAAAATATAAACAACCAGAAGTCCACAAAGGAAAAAGGGAAAGTCACTCCTTCACTGCCTCCTAGTTTCAGTCAGTCCCTAGAGGTTACTACTGTTAGCAATTTGTCAGATCTTTTTTCAGCTGTTTTTGCTGGGCATATATGAACATACACACAGGGTATTTAAAAATAGATTTTAAAAAATCAAAATGGAATAATTCTATACATGTTTTGCAACTTGTGGTATTCACTTAACTATGTATCATGGACTTTTAAAAAAAATATCGGTATCTAGGGTCTACTTTATTCTTTTTAATAGTTGCATTTTCCAGGGTAAGAATGTATCATAATTTATTTAACCAAGCCCTTATTTATGGACACTTAGATTGCTTCTAGGCTTCACTTTAAAAAGCAGAGAGGAAGCAGCACAGAGTATTTTTGTTAAATCCATCATCTATTTACTATATTCTCTAATACTTTCACTGGAGTTGCTTAGAATCCAATTCAGTATACACTGCAGTAAAGCTGGATTGAGTAATATTTGTCATCTGAACTGTTGTTCAAGGCTTTTAATAATTTTCATGAACTAACATTATACTTACGTCTGTGATGGTCTTTGGGTGAAAAAATCTTGGAAGGATGTCCAATTTCGATAACTTTCCTGTGTTTTAAATATTAGGTAGTTTGTACTTCTCTGTGAATTCACTCTAGATTGCCAATATCTAGTTCTCAGCAGCTAAATTGACTTTACAGTGATCTGATCAAGTATGGAGCATGGGCTCCAGTCTACTTTAAACAGAAAACATATCTCTTTGGCAGAAGGAAAACTTATAATTGAATTTGAGACAACTGGTTTGGCTTGCAAAGTTGGATTCCCTGGCATTTGAGAAGATGGTTGTACAGTATTTTTTAATTTCAACGTTCCTGTAAGAACTAATGCCACTGATAATATATTATTTGATTGAATAGGTCTTATAGATGCTTTTTGAATTAATAATAATTTCTTTCATGGAGATCTAGCTGAGAGCTCTTGCCTGCCCCTCAGTTAGGGCCCTTTTTTGTTTACAAGGACACTGATCTGCAAACTGAAACTAATTGCCCAGCAAGCAGGCACTTTTTCTCCCACAAACCCAGCAAAACATTCACTGATTGGTTGGCTGGGTAGGACTTTTTTTTTTTTTTTTTTTTTTAAGACGGAGTTTCGCTCTTGTTGCCCAGGCTGGAGTGCAATGGTGCTATCTCGGCTCACCACAACCTCCACCTCCCGGGTTCAAGCGATTCTCCTCAGTCTTCCAAGTAGCTGGGATTACAGGCATGTGCCACCATGCCCAGCTAATTTTGTGTTTTTAGTAAAGACAGTGTTTCTCCATGTTGGTCAGGCTGGTCTCGGATTCCCGACCTCAGGTGATCTGTCCACCTTGGCCTCCCAAAGTACTGTAATTACAGGTGTAAGCCACCGTGCCTGGCCCTGGGTAGGACATTTTAAGCAGGGTGAAGAGAGATGCTGTGATACCAGAGGTAATAATAATCAGTAAGACACTAAGGTAATGACAAATGTTTGATTTTTTTTTTTTTTTTTTTTGAGACGGAGTTTCGCTCTTTTTGCCCAGGCTAGATTGGCTCACTGCAACCTCCACCTCCGGGTTCAAGCGATTCTCTTGCCTCAGCTTCCCAAGTAGCTGGGATTACAGGTGCGCACCACCATGCCTGGCTAATTTTTGTATTTTTAGTAGAGATGGGGTTTCACCATGTTGGCCAGGCTGGTCTCGAACTTCTGACCTCAGGTAATCTGCCCACCGCGGCCTCCCAAAGTGCTGGGATTATAGGTGTGAGCTGCCGCACGCTGGCCCAAATGTTTGATTTTAAAAATTATGGACCCTTAGGGGTAGATAGGACTTTAAATGCCACTACCTCCTAATGTGGCTCTACATTTGAAGAAATATTTCCATAGGCTTAGCTGAAATTTCTTACTTTAGTTAACTGATTGATCTGGCTCTGCCCGTTGGGGCCATGCAGAAAAAGTTGGCTGTCTCTGTGCCATGACAGCTCTTACAGGTTAGGGGACAGGGATCATGATCCCTCTCTGTCTTGGCCAAATAATTTCAGCTCCTTCAACTGATCTTTATGTGACATGGTTTCAAATTTTCTTACTGTCTTGGTTACTTCTCTTCTAGTTTTTTTTTGTTTTTTGTTTTTTTTTTTGAGATGGAGTTCCACTCTGTTGCCCAGGCTGGAATGCAGTGGCACCATCTCAGCCCACTGCAACCTCCGCCTCGTGGTTTCAGGCAATTCTGCCTCAGCCTCCTGCCTAGCTGGAATTATGGTGCATGCCACCACACCCTGCTACTTTTTGTATTTTTAGTACAGACAGGGTTTCACCATGTTGGCCAGGCTGGTCTCGAACTCCTGATCTACCCGCTTCAGCCTCCGAAAGTGCTGGGATTACAGGCATGAGCCACTGTGCCTGGCCCTCTTCTAGTCTTTTTCAGTCTTTCTGTGTCTACCAAAATGTGAAACAGAGCTGAACATAATACTCCAGATGTGCTCTAACCAGCTTGTAGCAGAGAGGGCAGTTGCCTCATTCCTTCTGGATGGGGTACTGATGTTGATGTGGTTAGTTCCTAATCACAGTAGCTTTTTGGCAGCCGCATTATGTTGTTGACTCATTGAGCCCATTAAGATTGCTAAGCTCTATTAAAATTTATTTATTTTTAAATATGTGCTAGGTGAGTCTTCTTTCATTCTGGACTTGGAAATTCTTATAATTTTCTAAAGTGTAATCTGAGACATTAACTAAATTTATAAGATTGATTGTGTTAAATTCAGTTATCCTTTTAGATCCCAGGTTTGTCAGTGTACTCCACCCAGTTTATTTGCATTTACCTGCGGTGTGTTCCTATAGACAGAGTCTACGGACAAGTTAGGGCAGATTATTCTTACCTCATAGGGCAGAATAAATTTACAGATGATAAAACAATTTGGAAGATAAAGGATAATAATTTAGATTAGTTTTAAAGGGTCTCTTTCAGCTCTAAAGTTCTGTGATGATTTGGTCTGCATGATTCAAGGCATATTTATGTCCCCCAAAGAACCTTAATTATTTATTTGTTATCTGAGTGATGAGAATAGACTTTGTTTAAGCAAGCCCTAGAATTTAGAACTTGAAAACTCTGACTACCATGACATGTAAACAAAATATTACAGATGGATTATTTATTTTTGTTTGTTTGTTTTGTTTTGTTTTGTTTTTGGAGACGGAGTTTTGCTCTGTTGCCAGGCTGGAGTGCAGTGGTGCCATCTCGGATCACTACAACCTCCACCTCCCCGGTTCAAGTGATTCTCCTGCCTCAGCCTCCCGAGTAACTGGGACTACAGGCGCATGCCGCCACGCCCAGCTAATTTATTTTTCTTTGTATTTTAGAAGAAACAGGGTTTCACCATGTTGCCCAGGCTAGTCTCAAACTCCCAACCTCAGGCAATCCGCCCACCTCGGCCTCCCAAAGTGCTAGGATTACAGGCATGAGCTACCATGCCCAGCCTGTTTTTGTTTGTTTGTTTGTTTGTTTGTTTGAGACAGAGTCTCACTTAGTTGCCCAGGCTGGAGTGCAGTGGCACCGTCTGGGCTCACTGCAACCTCCGCCTCCCAAGTTCAAGCAGTTCTCCTGCTTCAGCCTCCCTAGTAGCTGGGACTACAGGCATGCGCAACCATACCCAGCTAACTTTCTTGTATTTTTAGTAGAGATGGGGTTTCACCATGTTGGTCAGGCTGGTCTTGAACTCCTGACCTCAAATGATCTGCCTGCCTCAGCTTCCCAAAGTGCTGGGATTACAGGTGTGAGCCACCACGCCCAGCCAAGATGGATTATATTTGAAAAGAACATCCTAGGAATATAGGACTCTCTTAACTGTACTGGAAAATGTTTTCATCATCCTAATATTCTCTAATACTAGATTCAGGATCTTACTTACTCGTGTTTCTTTAAGAAGATGCCATTTATTTTAAGGAAATACAAACTGTCTAGGCTTCAAAGTTAATATAGACCCCACAGTCTTTTATCTAAAACCTCTGGGTTGGATGTGTTTCAGAATTTAGATTTTTTCATTTTTTCATAAATACATTCCAGTGAATTGGGAGCAGCATCCTGTAATCAAACACATTAAGATATCTGCAGCAAACTGCACGTATCTTTACAGTGAGTGTGATAAATAAAGACTTTCAGTAGCCTTTGCTCAGGTCAGGTTTTATTTGCATTTGCTCAGGTCAGGTTTTGTTGCCAAATGTATTCGGAGTAGGTCAGATATTTGCCACCAAGTGAGTTACAGGAAAATTTGTAGTTTCATAGCTTCTGGTATTGAGCATCAGATTTGAGGGATTGTGGACTACTATAATAGTAATTACAAGCACACTTACTATGTTCCTGGCACTGTTCTATGTGCCTTATATATATTAAGTCATTTAATCTCCAAAACAGGAACTACTAAGTTAGTTACTATTATTATCCTCATTTTATAGATAAGGAAATTGAGTTCCATAGAAGCCCAGCTCTGGCAGAACCTACATTCAAACCTAGTGGGTCTGGCTCCAGAATCCATATTATTGGCATTTAAAGAAATACAGCTACCTAGAAGAGTAGGAAACCATTTTGCTAAAAATAATTGGTCCTTGGATATTAATCTGGGAAAACTTCTACTCTTCCTTGGCGTTTACTGTCTTCATTCCACTGTGTGCTATTCATTCATCTCCCAGAATTTTCTTTTCTTCTTTCTGTTTTTTTCTTTTGAGACAGGGTCTCACTCTGTGTCCCGGGCTGGAGTGCGGTGGCACAATCATGGCTCACTGCAGCCTCAACCTCCTGGGCTCAAATGATTCTCTCACCTCAATCTCCAGAGTAGCTGGGACTACAGGTGTGCACCACCACGCCTAGCTAGTTTTTGTATTTTTAGTAGAGTTGGGATTTTGCCATGTTGCCCAGGCTAGTCTCGAACTCCTGAACTCAAGTAATCCACCCACCTTGGCCTTCCAAAGTACTGGGATTACAGGTGTGAGACACCGTGCCCAGCCACCTCCCTGAATTTTCTGTTTGACAACGTTTTACAATTGTTATATTAAATTATAGCTCTTATTGTTTCATTAATTAGGTTCTAAGTTTTTCTGTGATGGAGAGATTTGTTCATATTTTTTGGGGGGCCAGGCCCCCCAAATTTATCATACCTTATGCCTGACCTAAGTGCCTAGGTTTTTGTAGAAATTCCTTAGTCTGATTAGTTTCTGGAGCAGCATAAACTCCAGAACATTAGTTTCAAATCTTCTGTATTATGTCCCCAGGAAGCCTCCTGGCTAGTTGAAAATTTACACATTGAAATAATCTAGGTCTTTTTATCTTGATTTTTAAAAAAGACCCCTAAAATTTAAGTGTGCATAATTTCTCATCTTAGCATTTCTAAACATGTGTATTAACTTCCAGACATTCTGGCACCCTTATAAAAAGAATAGAAGAAAAGTATTGCAGTGCTGTTTTTACTGATGAGTAAATTATGGGTGGAGAGAATTCTGCTCTAGGGTACTTAATAGAGCAGAAGAAAATAAAAATGTAAGACCTTGTTTAGCTGAAAGACAGTGTTAGATGATATTTTAAGTTATAAATAGCTTTAATCCTTGCTTTTTCCTTTATCTTGATTTTTGTGTGGTTTTTTTTAGGTGTGATATAAAAATCCTTATTAGTAATGTTGACATTATATTACAGGGACCTCTTCTGTGATCACTTAGGCTTTTTTTCAAGTATACATTTTGATTTATCTGTTTTTCACTAGAAATGACTACCCTGACTGCCCTGGTAACTTTAAAGGAGGATTTCTAAAAATGTGATGAAGAAGATAAAGATTATGTCTGGATACCTAGGTTTGAATCATAGTAAAGGTTTACTAAAAATATTTATCCTTTTAGATGTATCCATGTGAGTACATGTGATAAATTTGTATCAAAATAATCTCTCTAATAATGCCACTGTTCTACAGATAATTATGGTCAGAAAAATCTTTCCCTATTATTTTGTCTTCATTGAAAAAAAAAAAAACCTTTCTTCCATTCTCCTTGCTCATTTTTTTTCAATTTAAAGCCTTCTATGCGTTCCTCTCACTCATATCTTTTATTTTTAGCCCCAACCATTCTTTCCATGATCTTTAAGGAACCAAATTACCCTCTCTGTTTAACAATTTACCACTTTGTCCTCCTTCAGTGCTTCCTCAAAGCTTAATTCTTCCAAGACGTCTTTCTAGATGAACAAAAAGTCCTTAAAGATGTGTTAGTGTCAGCATGCATGGCGTTGAACAGTTTGCACTGAGAACAAAATCTGTCTTTCTCTGTGACTTTCACTTTTTTCCTATTGATTTGTTTTTGGTCTATGTAATTTAGATTATGAAGCCTTCTTAATATGAAAATGTCATCCTTTATACAATATTCAGAATGCGGTATTCTCTCTTTTTGAAAAAAAATGGAGAAAAGATTTTCTTTTTCCACTGGGGTCTTCTTTATTGTCCAACTTATGCCCCACCTACCCCCTGCCACCTTCTTCTGAGGAACAATAAAGAAAAAACTTTCATAATAGAAGTTATCTGGCTCTAAAAAAAAATCAAGAACTTTGAATAAGTAGCAAATTTATTTTCCTATTTATGAATAACATGACCTGTTTTTGTTGGTAGGTGGTTTTGAGATGCATACCAGTATATAATTAATTTCGTTAAGAAACAAATGTTTGATCTTTTGAATGACAGAATTTCCCCATTAGAAATATAATTAAAGTTAATAGTGAACAGAGTGCTTTTAATATTAGCAATTAACAAGTGTGCAGTGCATTATGGCTTACAAGGTGCTCTTAGAATGTCTAAGACCTTGCAATTCACATTTTGTTGATTTCTGCATATTATATGAATGAAAAAGGCTTATGTCCTCTGTACTTTTATTGGTGAATATTGATCAAACCTTTATAGGTTTTGTTGGGTTTCAGATTTGATATTTTGTATTTTAAACCATTGTCTTTTAAGTTTATTTTGTTAAGTGTAAATCTTGTCTTGTTTAGCTGCCCATATTTATATGATGAATAAATGGTATTTGGAGAAGAGGACTGTTTGCTTTATATTTTCTTTCCTAGACACTATACAGGGCTGAATGTTGTGGAAAGAGCCCAGAAGTAACTGAAAGTAAATGGTCATGGAGATAACAAGGTGAATCACAGAACTTGACTGTGAGGGCTCATGTGAATTTCATCTCTTTTTTTTTTTTTTGAGACACAGTCTCGCTCTGTCGCCCAGGCTGGGATGCAGTGGCGGATTCTCAGCTCACTGCAACCTCTGCCTCATAGGTTCTAGCAGTTCTCCTGCCTCAGCCTCCCGAGTAGCTGGGATTACAGGTGCCTGCCACCATGCCCAGCTAATTTTTATATTTTTAGAAGAGGTGGGGTTTTGCCATGTTGGCCAGGTTGGTCTTGAACTTCTGACCTCAAGTGATCCGCCCGCCTTGGCCTCCCAAAGTGCTGGGATTACAGGTGTGAGCCACCGCGCCCAACCTCAA
This sequence comes from Homo sapiens, assembly GCF_000001405.40. Taxonomy (NCBI): domain Eukaryota; kingdom Metazoa; phylum Chordata; class Mammalia; order Primates; family Hominidae; genus Homo; species Homo sapiens. The sequence continues at coordinate 120,704,047 of NC_000009.12, read as the reverse complement.
TTTCATTTCTTCGTATTGAAATATTTACTTCTTTCCTAGTGTAAGAATCTCTTTGGCATTATCTTTTTTTTTTTTGAGATAGAGTCTCACTCTGTCTCCCAGGCTGGAGTGCAGTGGTGCCATCTTGGCTCACTGCAACCTCTGCCTCTTAGGTTGAAGTGATTCTCCTGCCTCAGCCTCCCAAGTAGCTGGGATTACAGGCACCCACCACCACACCCAGCTAATTTTTGTATTTTCAGTAGAGACAGGGTTTCACCATATTGGTTAGGCTGGTCTCAACCTCCTGACCTTAGGTGATCCACCCGTCTCAGCCTCCCAAAGTGCTGGGATTACAGGCATGAGCCACTGCACCTGGCCCAGAATCTCTTTGGAATTATCTTAACCTGCTATTTCAGTTGTACTACTTCAAATCATTGTTTTAATAGCAAAGAGACTTACACTGTTACCTTTCATTTTTAATCTGATATTTAACACTTTGGCAGGGAAGGTAACTAATATTAACTGAGCACATATTATATGCCTGATTACCTATAAGGATTTTTTTACGTACATCGTGTCATTTAATTCTTAAACAATGCAGTAGTTAAATCTTATTAACCTTACTTTATGACTGGCAAACACTGGGATTCAGAAAGTTAAAGTAGTTTGCTCAAGCCTGTCAGGCTTACAGACTCCATGAGGGCAGGACTTCCATTTGTTTTGTTCACAGTTATACCTCTGCTGTCCAGCCCAGATAGATTCTTAATAAATATTTAGTGATTGAATTAGTGAAAAAGAAGGAACAGTTTGTAGGTATACTAGACATGCATTGTATTCTTGAGGAAAATAATGTAATCATGCCTTTCTTTTTAGTTTAGAAATCAATGTTTCTCTCACTCATAGTAATATGAGGAATAGTTTGAGAACCTGCTTAGGACAAGTGGAACTCCTTGAGATCCAGCTTATTATATTAATGATTCATTTTTTGTTTGTAACATTTTCCCTTGTATTTTTCTTAAAGGAAGAACAACAATGGACAAATGAACATTTGATGACTTTTGTAGAAAGGGTAGCTAAGTTGCAGAAGCTGAGCACTTGTCTGTAAGATGTGGGATCCTAAGTTCTTTCATTAGTTCTTTTACTAGTTATCTGTCTAGTAAAAGCAAGTAGTTTTATCTGTTAAATGAGTTAGACTAGATTTGTGATTTTTAAACAGTATTATTTGGGGACCCAGGGTTCCTCAGATGTGTTTGGGAGCCATTATAGGGACTGGAGAGGCCAACAGGTCTACTTCTGGACCTTTCACACCCAACTCTCACCTCTCACCTCCACATCACCACCCCCACTTACATCAGCTCTTCTTTCATTTGGCTTATATTTTGGATTTGTCCTTTCAGTAAAGATTTTTGAAAGAGGAATTCTCCTACTCTAACATTTTATGATAAAGAAATTTGGTAATTTATGAACTTACATTAAAATGTTTACATTATATTAAGCAGCAATATACATATGAGGAGAGAAATATACCAAAATATTAATTAGTTAAACCTAAGTAATGGGATTATGGGTAATTTTAATTACCTTCTTTGTGTTTTTCTGAATTTTTAAAGTTTTTTCGTGACTATATCCAATTCTAATTTTATAGTCTTAAAAATAAATGAATAACATTTAAAAATGAATAAAAAGTTCTGATAAGCTTGGTAAGTCTTTACTTATATAAGATCAAGTCAGATGATATTACCCAGGGCCACTTAACTATAATTTCTGTCATTGACTAAGCAAGTTTGATCTATATCAGGGTATTTGTTTAGTCTAAGTGAGTCAGGGTTTTGAATAAAGGAGACTATTCATGCAGACTGACAAATCTTGAACATACAGTAGGAATGACATATCTAAGATTTGGTACCTTTAGGCAAAATTTAACTGAGACCTTCAGCAGAGGCTGAAAATTGAGAGCTGGCTCTTTCTCCATTTCATTTTGTCTAGGTAATTTTTTTAATTAATTAATTTTTTATTTTTTTTTTTAGAGACAGAGTCTTGCTCTGTCGCCTAGGCTGGAGAGCAGTGGCGTGATCTCGGCTCACTGCAAGCTCCGCCTCCCGGGTTCACGCTATTCGCCTGCCTCAGCCTCCCAAGTAGCTGGGACTACAGGCGCCGGCCACCACACCTGGCTAATTTTTGTATTTTTAGTAGAGACGGGGTTTCAGCATATTAGCCAGGATGGTCTCGATCTCCTGACCTCGTGATCCGCCCGCCTTGGCCTCCCAAAGTGCTAGGATTACAGGCGTGAGCCACTGCTCCCCACCTTGTCTAGGTAATTTAAAGCATTCACTTGAACATTACTTAAAGTAGCTTATTGAAATAGATCTTGTTTAGATTGTGCAAAATTTGAATTCATGGCATTGTTCATAGTCTTTATCAATATATTTGATTATTTCTTCTTTAAAGTTACTGAGCCTCCAAAAGTTTGGTTTCAGTCTGTCCATATGTTTTCCAATTAGATCAGACGGGATTGCTGTTATACTGGTAATATAACAGCTGTTCTATATGATACCTTGCCAGGGAGACAGCTAAGCATTAAGGGAAGGGAAAATTTATTCATTTGGAAAAAGGAATACATTCTGCCTAGTCATAGGGAAAAAGATAAGGAGTAGGAATGTTGTCAGCCTGGCTGGAGAATGTTAAATAACCTTTATTTACTAAATTTTAGACCCTTTAGATAACTGAGTCTGAAAACTTATTTCAGTCTTACATGCTTCCAAGAAACTGGCATATTATCACAGATCTTATTAGATTTTTATCATTTATTTTTAATAATCTAGTGCTTTTACTTGATACATGTGAGCAAAAAGAAGAGATGAGAAGTAGTAGCATTGTTAACTACAAGGAGGATATCATATTTCCTACTCCTTTTTAATTTTGGAAATTGTTTTTTTTTTTTCTTTTTTTTGAGACAGGGTCACACTCTGTCACCCAGCCTGGAGTGCAGTGGCGTGATTGTGGCTCACGGTAGCCTTGACCTCCCGGGTTCAAATGATCCACTCACCTCAGCCTCCCAAGTAGCTGGGACTACAGGCGTGCACCACCATGCCCGGCTAATTTTTTTTAAACTAATTTTTTAAATTAATTATTATTATTATTATTATTTTTGGTAGAGACAGGGTTTCACCACGTTGTCCAGGCTGGTCTCGAATTCCTGGGCTCAAGCCATCTGCCCACCTCAGCCTCCCAAGTGTTGAGTTTACAGGCGTGAGCCACCGTGCCTGGCCTGGAAACGGTCTTTAAAGATGAAATTTCTTTAAAAATATTCTAGGAAAAGTGTAGATGTTATTCACTCTGAAGGAAATTGGATAACTTGAATAGATTTTTAGATTCTCTTAAGTCCTATTAATCATTATAGGGATTGGGAAGGGTTATTGGAAATAACGGGGGGGGAAGGACTTGCATTCCAATATATTTATCCTGTTGTGTTTGTTTATTGAGTCTTGATGAGAGGAAGGCATTGGGCTTTTTCTGCTGTAGATTTTTCATGTGATTTTATATTTATTGTAATCCTACAGTGTGTTTTATCAGTTCTATATGAATAGCACTAACATTATAGTCCCACCATCTATTGATGTTATGTGAGTTATTGAATAGTTATAAAGTGTACCAAAAACCCAAAGCAATCTAGTTGTTGGGTATTATTATACTGAATTGTTGGTGTATTGCCTGCAAACCTATCCTGTTCAACTGGTTTTAGTTTTTAAGTTAGTTTGTTGCTTCAACTTGTCCGCAAAGGCAGGGCTGGATGGTCCAGCTAATCAGTAGAATCGAAGTCAGAAGAACTAAATTCTAGTCTTTCTATTCACTTTTTGAGTTATTGAGTATATTTTTTGATGACTCTATGACTCAGTTTCCCAGACTATAAAATGAAACTTCCAGTCACCAAAGGTTTTTGAGAAGTAACACATGTAAACTACTTTGGGCTTTCTCAGACATAAAGGCTTTAATATTCTTTCCAAGTTACATGGTTTATATTAGCTTATAATGGAATGTGACCAAGATAGCTTTGATTAAACACAACAAAGAAATAAACACATTCATTTATATATGGCTTCTTTACACAAAATATATTTTTATGCTATTTTGTAGTTGACATATTTGTATAATTTAACAATTATGGTGTTTTCCAAAGGTTTGAGGTCCTTTAGTATTATTTTTCTTCCCCACTACCTTGAGAAAACAAAATAATCTTTATCTCATATTAAACTCACAACATATATAAGTTGTGCTTTATGTAATATTATTTTTGGTTGATCTGTTTAGAATGGGTTCTACTTACTTTTTTTTTTTTTTTTTTTTAAGAAACACGGTCTCACTCTTTCACCCGGGTTAGAGTGCAGTAGTGTGATTGTAGCTCACTGCAGCCTCGAACTCCTGGGCTCAGGTGATCCTCCCATATCAGCCTCCTGAGTAGTTGGGACTACAGGCATGTGCCACCATGCTCAGCTAATTTAAAAAAAAAAAAAATTGTAGACATGCAGTCTCGCTATATTGCCCAGGCTGATACTATACTCCTGGCTTCAAACAATCTTCCTATCGCAGCCTCACAAAGTGTTGGCATTACAGGTGTGAGCCACTGCACCTGGCCAGTTTTTTTACAATTATAAAAATAATCTATGTTCATTTTCTACAATAAACATTGTAGAAAATGAAAAATAGAGAAAAAAGCTGTCCCATAAAGCTTTTTTAAAATCACTGATTGAGTTTAATATTTTATTACTGCATATATTGCTTCATTTCTCATGATAATAAATGAGATCACTTGCTTGTTATGAAAACAGAGGTGCAAGTAGGATTTAACAGTCTTCTGAAGACCAATATAAGACAGATCAAAATGTGAAAAAATTCACCACATTTAAATTATTTATCATGTCACCAAAAAGAAAGTAAATCTATTTTGATCTAAGACCCCATATGATGCTTTACTTGAGACTTGGTACTCCCTGGCAGAATCAAGTCAGTGACTGTTTTTCTTGTGTCTGATCCAGCACAAACATGATTTGTCTTTGGTTCACGTGGCCCCTGAAAGCCCAAAGCAGCCTGGAACAAAGCCAGACATTTGGTATTTTTCAATACTGTGATGAGAGAAGACAAGGTGCCCATCTGCCTGGCTTGTACGTTGCCAAAAGGCCTAGGTGCTACCCTAAAGAATATGCCAGAGAATGACTCTGGCCTTTAGGAAACTGGTAATGATTACTCTTCTCTGAATTTTGAACTTTGAAATCCAAGCAGTAATGAATCATAGTGTTATTGAGAGGGGATTAAATTGATCAATGCATGTAAAACCCTTAATTCAGCAGTGCTTAATAGTCAGCACATACATTAATAATCAGCACATAGTAAACACTCAAAACAGTTTTTGAAAAACAGGGATTTTTCAAAGACAGCAGTGAGAACTTTGTCTGTTAATTCTGGATTAATTAATTTACCAACTTCCGTCATATAATCTGTAGACTGGTAACACATTGGTAATCAGAAAGACTTGCATATTGTCACAGATCAACTCTCTAATAGGTGGTTCTAAGGTGCAGGTTAGTAACAATATGCTTGAGGCAAAGGCTACCTCCTATCCTTCCAGAATGGCCCAGGTCAAGCTAGAATTATCCTGTGTCATGTTGCCAGTTACAGCAGTAATGGTACTGCTCAGAACTGGACTAAATAGAAGACATTTTAAAAAGGCAAATGCAAAGATGGAAATCCCCAAAACAGCCATTGTCCAGTTCTGGTGAGTATATACTCCTTGGGATCTTATGTAGGCCCTAGCTACAAATGACCTAGTAAAGTAAAAATAAAATTGGGCTCGTAGAAAGATGTGACCACTCTATTTTATGTTGGTAGCACATTGATATACACCTATTATAACCTATTATAACTTATACTTTCTAACATTACATAGTTGCATACAGGTGCAAGTCACATAATCTTCCTGGGCTTCTATACTATCTTCTGTAACATGAGTATAATAGTAACCTACCAAATAGGGTTCTTGGGTGTTGGGCCTGGAATTCAAAACTAGCCCTCTGACTCAAATCTGTGCCCCTTTTTTCCTTTGATTAAACTGTGCTGCATTGCCAAAGCAGATGGGAGTAGCAGAAAATGAAATAAAGCATTTAGTAGTTACAGAGCACATTTTGGGTTCTGTTTTTTTTTCACCTCCCCTATCCTCCCCCAGCAAACTCATACATTTTCTGTCTCAGCACTGGTTCTGAGATGTACACAGTGATCCAGGTTCGCTTTCAGTAGCTACTGTGAAAATCAAAATTAGATCAAAGAGTGTTTCTTGAAGGCAGATATGGGTGTGGAGTGGAGGTTGGGAGAGGAGATAATGGTGGAAATTAAATGAGGGTAAGCAGGTAGAAAAGCATGGCAAATGTAAAGCAGAACTGAATAGTAACTATGTGATTGTCTATTCAGCACAAAGAGGATCGGTGCTAACAAGAGACAATGTCATGCTTATTAGCATTTAGCAAGTAATACCACATACTGTGAAATGGTAGTATTGATTGTTTTTGACTTGACTATAAAACCTTTCATCTTTAACTTAATATGGACTCTAGACCAAGATGCTAATGCATAACAATATTTTGTAAAAAAAAAAAAAAATAGCAGATGACGTTTGATTATATAAAAGTCATAGAATAGACTGGGCGCGGTAGCTCACGCCTGTAATCCCAGCACTTTGGGAGGCTGAGAGGGCCAGATCACTTGAGCCCAGGAGTTTGAGACCCGCCTGGGCAACATGATGAAAGTCCTTCTCTACAAAAAATGCAAAAACTAGCTGGGTATAATGGCTTGTGCCTGTATTCCCAGCTACTTGGGAAGCTGAGGTGGGAGGATTGCTTGTGCCCAAGAGGCAGAGGTTGCAGTGAGCCAAGCTCATCCCACTGTACTCCAGCCTGGGCGACAGAGCGAGACCCTGTCTCCAAAAAAAGAAAGAAAGGTCATAGAGTATCAGACTTGCAAATGTGATTCATACTCTGCCAGTCATTTCAGGGTGCATTCCCCTTCCTTATTTTGTAAACTTCTCTCCTTACTCAAAGGTTAGTTATCTCTCAGATCAGACAAAGGAGCAGCTGTTATTCAACTATAGATCCAACTAGATTCGAATATGTTTTCCAACTAGATTACATCCTACAGGTACATAAGTACAGTGGTCAGATCATACTATACAACTATAGATGTGGAGAATACATATATAAAGTAAAACCTCATCATATTTGCCTAGTTAATCATTTAATATACTATTTATGTTTCACTATAATTCTCCTATTACTCACTGTTAAAGTGAGCCCAGCCCATAGAGCTCAAGTTCTTTGGTATGATTTAAAACTCCAAGATGTCTGCCATCCTCATTTCTTGTACTTTTCCCCTTGTGCTTTAAACTCTAGCAGACTGAAATGGCTTATATTTTCCTTCAAATACTATGCTTATTTTCATTATCATTATTAATAAAGCAATCATCTGTGAAGGTTACTCTTTGTCAGATACTAAGAGCGTTAAATGAATTTCCATGACCTCATTTAATTATCAAAAGAACCTAATAAAAAGTTTGTATTATTATCCCCACTCTACCAAGCAGGAATTGAGGTTTTGAGAGTTTGAATACACAAAGCAGGGTTTCATAGCTAGTACAATGTAGAACCTTGATTCAAATTCAGATCTGTTTAGCTTTAGAGCTGCCTCTCCTAATCACTAAGTTAACTAGATTCTCCTTATTTTGCATGTGCTGTTCCCTCTACCTGGGATGCCCTACTCTTCAGTTTCAATAGGGGTCTTAATTCTAAGCAACAGAAATCATTTATTGATTCAATCAGGATTGAAATTTATTAAAAGGATATTGAGGAGTTCACAGAATCTCCAGAGGTACCAAATTCAGGCCACGGAGTTAGAGGTAATAGTCAGTTGTGTCCATTGAATATATGCCACTGACATCACCACTCACACTGCTAACCTTGGGTATTGGATGTAAGAACAAGTGCTACTGCCACTTGTCATACTCCATCCATCTCCCTGTTTGCCACCAGAGAGAGGGCCTCCTGTTCATTCCTTTGAATCATTAGTTTCTAATTCCAAGCCAGGTAAAGGTGCATCTGATTGTTGGAACCTCAATGACTGGCCCATGCCCTGGCTGCAGGGGAGGCCAGAAAAACAAGAATCTGACATTATGAACCTACGTGATGCGGTATCAAGGCTTAAAATATGGAGAATTCCTCCAAATAGGAAGGGATTCTGAGAATGGTGGGAAATTATACTATGATACTAGGCTGACAAAAAGAATGACACGTGTCTACCCACACCCTTTCTTTGGCTACCTGCAAACTTATTTGTCCTTTAAAAACATCCTTACAGCCTCCTATTATACTTCCTAACATTACATAGTTTTTGATTATTTGCTTTTTTTTTTTTTTTTTTTTTTTTTTGAGATGGGGTCTCACACTGTCACCCAGGCTGGAGTGCAGTGGTGTGATCTGGGCTCACTGCAACCTCCGCCTCCCAGATTCAAGCGATTCTCCTGCCTTAGCCTCCCAAGTAGCTGGATTACAGGCACCCACCACCACTCCCAGCTAATTTTTTGTATTTTTAGTAGAGACGGGGTTTCACCATTTTGGCCAGGCTGCTCTTGAACTCCTGACCTTGTGATTTGCCTGCCTTGGCTTCCCAAAGTGTTGGGATTACAGGCGTGAGCTACCGCGCCTGACCTTTTGATTACTTGCTTTTTAAGGACCCTTATTTTAAGTATTACTTGTCTATGTAACTGACTCCTCTTTACCTTTTCTCAAGTAGCCTATAGGCTGTGTCTTATTGATGTTGGCACTCCCTAACATGTACATAGGATAGTGTTCAGCATGTAGTAAATACTAAATAAATCATTGAACAGCATTGGTGCATAAATTGTCCCTATTCACCACCAGCACTAGAATGTAAGGTCCATAAGAGGCAGGGGTTTTTGTCTTTGTCTCTCTCTCTCTCTCTTTTTTTTTTTTTTTAAACCACTATATGGCCAGCACCTAGATTAATTCCTAGCATGTGGTAGGTCTGTGGTAAATATTTGTTAAATAAGTGAATACCCCTAAATAGTAAATTATCTCTGGGAGTGATGCTGTCAAAAAGGCCTTTGAATGTGAATGGGAAATTCAAAGCACCATATTATAATATACAACTAGACCACAAACAGTGAGGACAGAAACTGCCTTATTCATCTTTGGTTACCTCTTCTTCCTATCTAGAAACATAACCAGAAAAGGGCAATTTGAAATTTTTTCCTAGACCTACCATGATAGTCACTAGCCACAAAAATTGCCTGAAGTACCTACCATACCTGCTAAACATGAAACTTTCTTTTTGGCCTCCTTTTGTGTATAACCAGCTGTATCATGAGATTGCATCTACTCTGGGAAGAAAAGGCTGTTGGGCAAACTGTCTTGTACTTATGTTTAAAAAAGTAGAATAACCTAGGGCAGTAGAATCTCACTTTGAAGAAATGAAGAAGTGGAGGCCCATAATTATGAAATGATTCGTATAAATGTAAAACACTTAGAATTCCTGGCATAAATTGGCCTTCTAAATATTAGCTGTACTTTTTATTGCATATTGAAAACTTAGTCCTTCGGACTTTTTACTTCACTGCTTCCAATCCTTTTAAATTCTTCATTACCTCTAATCCTCTCAATTCTGTTGATAAGCAGTGTTACCCAACTTTACAAATAAAGAACCTGAATCTAAGATGAGGTTAAGTTGTTTGCCCAAAGGTCACAGCCAAGTGCTAGTTAGCTGGGATTCAAACCCAGATCTATCTTATTTCTTAAGCTCTTTCTAGGATGGCAAAATGACATGCTAAATGTAGGTTGAGTTTAATGTGTTCTATTATATCCTTCTAACCACTGTTAGTTGTAATGCATCTTTTGCCCCTGCCACCTTTGCTTCTCTTTTCTGATTTGTAGTCATTATTTTACTGTCCATATCATATATCTGTTTACTACTCTCTTCAGTTTTTCTCCTGATTCTTTGGAGTAGAAAGTATGCATTTTACCCAAAAGAAAAAGTACATCCTCACATACTGCTCTGTCCATTTTACTTTTACCTTTATTTTTTTTTTTTTAGCCTAATTGATTTGTACAGTGGATTGGTTTCCAGAGGAGAAGACTTGGATGTCTGTTATGAGTCAGATGAGTAAAGTTATACATTAGCCAGGATGACATTTAAGGGCTAATAGCCTACATCCCCAAACTAACAGTCATTTTAGCCAGTGTAAAACATGAAACACAAGTTGGTCAGAAATAGAGACAATAGCAAATAATGGTATTGAGTTGCTACAAATGCTTTGCAACCTAGTAATGTACTTTTATATGTATCAATTATTTTTAACTTGTGAATAATACTGAAAAATTCCAAATGGATTCCAGACATTTATTGCCAACAAAAATGTTTACTTAAACTTGCTGTTTTAGAGAATTATTTTTCTTAGCATATGGTCTTTCTTGTTAATAGCAAGCCTTTTAACAGTTTATCAGAATGTAAGCATTTCTCTTTGCTATACTTCTTTTAGTTGATGATCTTGTGTAATAGAGCACTCATTTAGAAATACACACACTTAAAATCTGTGATTAAATGGTCTTCAGGGACTAAAGCCACAAGCAGCAGGATGCTGTTGCTTTCTGTTTCCTTATTGCTTAACCAATCTGCAATGGTATCATCCTCTTTTTCCTTTTTCTTCTTCTTCTTCTTCTTCTTTTTTTTTTTTTTTTTTTGGTTAACCAGACAAAATTTCAAATCCTCTTTATTTTTTCTTGCCATGCTCAAATTGGTCTTTAACAGTGCTTCACTAAGATGCTTCTGTTTGACTTTACATTCACTTTTATTTAAGTAACAAAGAAAAGGGTGTGCTTTTGTCAATAAGTTTACACTGGGCTTTCTGTTATACAAAATAAGGTTCTTTTACATTCATCAGATCTTTGTTAATCACCCACTGTGCACCTAGCTGGGCTAGATAGATACTGGAAAGACAAATAAGACCTGGTTTCTGTCATTGAGAACATAGCGAAGGATATGGAAAATTAGACTACAGAATGGTAAGTTCTATCATAGTGGTATGTACTACAGAAGCAAAGAGAGGACTCCTTACCCAGACTTTTAGGGGATGAAGGACAATGTCAGGAAAGGCTTTCTGTGGGATGTTTTCTCTCAGTGGAGTCTTGAGAACAAATAGGAATTATTCAGGTAGAAGAGGGGAAGGACACTCTAGGAAAAGGGAGCAGCAGCCTGTTGAAAAAGTACAGAAGTAAGAGAGCACATACATGGCCCATTTAGGGAACTGAAGTCCTGAGTGGCTCGAGTAGGGGAGGAAAAGGTACATGAAGGTGGAACAGGGAATGAAGAGATTTGTGGCTGGGATGGTCCAAAGTTGTCAAATCATGATGTGCTTTCCATGTCATGCTCAGAAATTGATTCTAAGAGCCATGAAGAAGTATAAGCCAGGAAGTGACATGGTGAGATTTGTGTTTGGAAAGATCAGTCTAGAAACTGCAACATACTTCTATAAGTGTAAATGATCATCAGAGAAGATAATTAGAGGGCACTTACTGTCTCTTTAAATCTTTTCCATCATTAATTTTGGATTAAATGCTAGATAACATAATAATAGAGGGTTTATGAATTAGTTTCCTGTCTTCTGTTATTAAGCAAACATTTGAAACCTATTTTACTTGTTGGTATAACACATAGACTTAGATAATTAAAATTAGAGACTTGACAAAGCTACCAATTGGTGCTGGACCTCTTGATGGATCTGATGTTAGGTTAAACAAACACAAGTGCCTTCTGTATGCCAGGCAGTGTGCTAGGAACTGAAGAGAGAATGGTGAATGACTTAGGCATTCACAATCTAGTGGAGAGACAGATTCATACACAAATGCAAGTGCTCTAGAATACTTATGTATTAGATTCCTTAATGTACATTTTCACTTTCAGTCCTTACCTTAAACTTAAATATGGATGAGGAAACCGAAGATAAGAAGTATTTAACTTACTCAAGATCATGTAATAATGAGTGGTACATAGCCACAATTCAGTATTCGAAGTACCTAACTCAATTTATTCCGTACCATATTATACTGCTTCTCTTGACAAGGCAATGCATATGTACTTTTGAGCCTGAAGTAGTTTTCTTCCTCTCTTTTCTTAATTCTTTCTAATGCTACCCAAACCGGTAATGTTCAGCCTTGAAGTATCCAGTCATTGTTGGTTAAAAGTGCAGGCTCTGAAGTCAGATTGTCTGGATTCCAATCCCAGCTCCATCACTTACTCCCTGTCTGTCAGCCTACATCATAGAATTATGAGATGATGTTGGTAAAGCACTTAAAACAGTGAAAGCACAGGGAAAGAATTCAATTGATGTTACTTAAAATTGTCATTGGAATAGCAATTCATCTACTTTCCAAACATTCAGGAAATTTTGATAAAATGCGTTTAAACTATCCAACTTTATTGAAGTTAATCTTGGTGAAGAGCTTTTGCCTAGTGTGCATATTTGAAATCTGACTTCTTGTTCAGGGCATCAGTGGCCTGTGGCAAAGATGCCCCAAAAGTATCTAGGAAAATATGCCTGTGAGAGTAACGTAAAGATACTTAAAAACTTTTGTATTGTGGAAAATTTTGAATATATACCAAAATTAACAGAGTAGGGTTATGACCTTTCTCATATCTCTCACCCACCTGCACAACCAACTATCACTCCATGGCCAGTCCTGCCTCATCCACACCCCTATCCATTTATGTTGCTAGAGCTAAATCTAGAGACTTGATTGATTGATTGATCATTTTTTGAGACAAGTAATGAAAAATGGTGGCTTTTTTTGTTGTTATTTCTGGCATTGTTAAATACCTAGTAACTCAACTGAGGATGAAAACTGGCAACATAAATACTCCTGGAATTGTTTGGATAGGGTAGGATACAGATTATTACCCAGTTTCTACATGTGAAGAAACTATGACTCAAAGAAATGCTTATCAATGGTCATATTAACTGCAAACAACTTGTGCTAAAATGTGTCATTGGAACCATGCTCATTCCATACATATTTATTGAGTTCAATAAAATATTTATATTTCTTTTTAAATGTCTGTGGCCAACATTATTTTTATAACAAGGGCATTTTTATTTTGATTACCTAATTTCTTCTTTTGTTATGTTAGAATTTAAAGTACTTCCCTCCTCCTCTGTCCTATCCTAATTTTTAGCTAGTGGAGTGACTTTAGGGATAATACAGAGGAAATTTTGGTCTCCAGCAGAGGGTCAGTTGCAACTATGAAAACAACTCAGGCAAATGGTCTATTGATAGTGGAACTTTTCATTATAAAAAGTTCTTTTCAAATTCCAGGATATTGGTTGCTTGGTCACTGAAGAGTCTGTACTACCATTCAGTAGCACCCTGGGTGTCTGAGCAGACCTGGTTAGGAATGTACTGCTCATTTTGAATGAAATAAATAAAAAGGATAGAGAAGCTGCCCCAAGCATTGCCAAACATTCTACATCTGATGTATCATTGATACAAAACATTAGTCTTTTAGAGTATACCCTAAAATACAAATAGTTTTCATTTTGAATGTTGCCATCTTTGACTATAGCCACATATCCTTTAATATATACACACACACACACTGACTCCAGGGCATTGATGAAAGTTCATTGCTTTCTTGGTCTCTGGGTGAGTAAAGTTGTTTTAATATGTCAGGTTTGGTTTTGTCAACAAAATACCCCAGTGTACTTACCTTCTTTATTCCCATTCTTTAATTTTTATGTCCTTGGACCTCGTAATTTCCCCAAAGTTTTGTATGCCATTCCCTCAGCAGCAGAAGTAATAGTGCTTGATGAAGTATGACTTTGATATTAGTTTAGTTATATATCTGGAATGTTTATTCCCCTGGGCTTTCCAACTGAGGGAGCCCAGCGTGAACTCCTTCTTTGGAAAATATCTGAGTGGGCAGACCCATTTGCCACATTACCCTCATTGTCTGTCTTTGTTTATTCAGCTGAAAAGCAAGTACTTGCCTCTTACACAGCCAGTCATGAATCTTAGAGTCTCAGAAGCTGTTAAAACGGGTAGAAAAATTGTTATGGGAAGGGAGAGGATGAAAATTGTTATCAGGTATTGACATAATGTGCAAGTAAAGGTGCTGTCTTAGAGAAGAGCATAATGACTTTAGGTGGTTATAAAGCACAACTCTGGCAACATTTTTATGGGCCCAATTTATTAGGGTCTTTGATTTTTATACAATTTTCCTACCTTCTGAGTAAGAGACAATGATAATTCATTGGCACACATGATTCATTTTTACTACAATAGGGGAAAAACTAGGTTTTTAGGATATGAGCCTACCATCTGGTGCACAGGTAATGATAAATATCCTGTGGTCATAATAACATGCACATGCTCTTGGCATTTATTTTTCTGGCTATCTTCATCTCTCAATTGGATTTTTTTTAGCAGGCTGCTAAAAAGTCTCTTTGCATTCATTCTTTCCCTGGTCCATTTTCACACTGTAGCCAGAATTATGTTTCTAAGATGTAGATCTGATTATTCTTCCTCTCTTGTATAAAATTCTTCCATGGCTATCCAGTTGCTCTTAGGAAAGTCCTTCACCTGTCACCACTTCTTACCCCATTCTGTGTCCCAGCCACAATGCACTTTTTCCAGTTCTCTATAGTACTATGCTCTCTTTTGCCTTGATGTTGTTACACATGCTGCTCCTTGCCTTGGGGATACTCCTCTCCTCTACCCTTAGCTTAGCTATACCTCCTCATTCTTCACGTCCATGCTTAGATATTTCTTCCTCTAGAAAGTCTGAATTAGGTGGTTCTCCATGTGCAAACACATGTACCATAATGTTCTATTCATATTTCTGTTTCAATACTTATCACACGATATTGCTTCTTTGTTTTTCTCTCTGCTATAAGACATTAAGCTGTATAAGAACAATGACCACGTCTGTCTTTCTCATTGTTGTATCTCCAGCACCTAGAAATTGTAGTCTGTATTTCTGGCACAACACTAGTTTGTTGATGATTGAACCAGTGATTAATGTGCTTTGCCAGGAATCTTTTCTCTAGAAACCTCAGAGAAGAATTACAGTTCTCTGGTTTTGTGCTCTGCATATTTTTCTATCTTCTATTCATACTAATTCAATTATCAACAGAACATTGCTTTGAACCTTTTAAACCTCTCTACCTTGCCCAGAAGCACGTGTAAAGAACATGTAAAATGAAAAACTCCTGCATATACTTACCATACGCTTCCTATGTCCATCCTATCTAAAATTGCACTCCCACAACACACATGTAGTTACTCTCCACCTCCATCTCCCCTGTCTCCCTTTCCTGCTGTTTTTCCTCCTTAGGATTTAACTACCTTCTAACATACTAAATACTTAACCTATTTAAGTAACTAATTGTGTGTCCATTTCTAAGATGTAAGGTCCATGAGGGCGTTAATTTTGGCCTGTTTTGTTTACTGCCACATCCCTAGCATCTGAAATAATGTTTAGCAGGTATATATGAGGCAATATATATTTGCTGAATGAATGAATATATTCATGCCCTTGGATGTATGTCTTTTTCTTTTTCACTTGATTTTGGTGCACCTGATACAGCCCTGCTGTTAGCACTACTGTTTCTTTTCCTTCCTTATTTTGCAGACTTTACAGTTAGTCCTATTTGGGTCCATAATCTTGGCTACCCCAGGCAGAGATTCTGTTTTTCCATGTTGATTGGCCCAGGTAACCATATCTTCACTTGAATCTGACCTTCAAATCTCCTAACTTGATCTCTGAAGCCCTAAGAGAAGTTGTGTGTGCGTGCGTGTGTGTGTGTGTGTGTGTGTGTGTGTGTGTGTGTGTGTTGCGGAGAGGAGATGATGCATTCAGAGATAAGTCAGATGCAAAACTTGTTCTTTTAAAACCTAGATAGGACAAATAGATGATTATTTCTATAGTACAAGTTTGAGTACGATGATATTTGTTTATGAGAAATGCTAACCAATGGGGAGAAACTTATTCTTCATTTTAAAAAATATGAAATAAGTTTTCTGAAAAGTATAAAAAGTAATATAGTGAACATCCCCTGTATACCTGCCTCCCAGCTTTGTAATATCTGAATTTTCTCCTGTATTTGCTTTGGATTGTTTTCATTTTTGAGATAAAATATTAAATATGATCATAGCCTCCTGGTGTTCTTTTTTTTTTTTTTTATCTCTTTTTCTTTCTTCCCTACCCAGATGTAACCACTATCCTGAATTTGGTGCCATGCATTTAAAAATGTTTACACACACACACACACACACACACACACACACACACACAGTGTTGTGTTCATGTTTCAAATTTTGTATAATGAACTCTTACCATGCTTTTTTTAAACTCACCATTTTATTGAGATTTTTCTATATTGTTCCATGTAATTCTGCTTTATCAAGTTTGCTGTATAGTTTCCTACTGTATGAATAGTCCACAATATCTCATTTTTCTTATTGATAATCATTTGAGCTGATTCTACATTTTTTGCTTTTTCAAGTAATGCTGCAATGAACAACATTGCACATGTTTTCTTCACTTGTAGGTGAGTTTCTCTAGAGCAATACGTCTCAATTAATGTGCATAGGAATCACCTGAGTACCTTATGATACTGCAGGTTCTGATTCAGGTCCTGATTCAGTTGTTCTCAGGTGGGCCTGAGAATCTATATTTCTCACAAGTTCCCAGGTAATGCAGATCCATAGACCATATTTGGAGTTGCAAGGCACTGCTAGGTTCTAGAATATGCACATTCTTCTCTGAAGAGGTTATACAAGTTTATATTTCAACCAGGAATGTATGAGAGATTTGGCTGTTCTAGGAGTAGCCTCTTTTAGATGATTCTATAAATTTTATGTGTAACCATTCTCTCCTTAAAATTAGATATTTTTTTTGGAGGGAAAGCATTAAAACATATAGCAGAATCACTTCAGTGGGTAGTTGGCTTAATTTCAGCATTTCTCAGGAATTGATCTAAATATATATATATACACATACACACACACACACACAAACTATTTTATTAAAAATTCACCTGTTTCCTTTTTGTTCAAATAGTTACTCTGTTTACCATTGCCAACCAAGACAGGGCTTTGACTACAAAATGAACCATCCCAGAGAGTTGAAAGGGAAGGAAGACTGTGTGCCAAGTACTATGCTATATTGTTTCATTTAATATCCACATTTGTACAGGGGAGGGAGCTGAGGCTCACAGCAAAGTGTTAGAGCCAGTGTTTGGATTCTAGTCCACCTGACTTTAAAGATTGGTGTACTACTCCTAGCTTCAGTTATCTGTAAAAAGGAGGTAGTGGTAGAGCAGATAATCAGATCTCTAACTTCCAGCACTTTAAGATTCACTAGCTTCTAGTTAGGGAAGTAAGGAATGCCTACCAGCATACTGTATCATGATAGCTCCCTCTCTCCTTTTCAAATTATGGGTTAAAAAACATATAAAGCTGACCACTGTAACCATTTTTAAGTGTACAGTTTGTTAAGTATATTCACATTGTTGTGAAACAGATTTCCAGAACTTTTTCATCTTGCAAATTTGAAACTCTGTATCCATTAAATAAGAATTCCCTCGGCCGGGCCTGGTGGCTCACGATTGTAATCCCAGCACTTCGGGAGGCCGAGGCAGGCGGATCACGAGGTTAGGAGATTGAGACCACAGTGAAACCCCGTCTCTACTAAAAATACAAAAAATTATCCAGGCGTGGTGGCGGGCACCTGTAGTCCCAGCTGCTCAGAGAGGCTGAGGCTGGAGAATGGCATGAACCTGGGAGGCGGAGCTTGCAGTGAGCCGAGATCACGCTGCTGCACTCCAGCCTAGGCGACAGAGCAAGACTCCATCTCAAAAAAAAAAAAAAAAAAAATTCCCTCAACTCCCTTTTCCCCTTCCCCCAAGCTCTTGGCAACTATCATTCCAATCTGTTTCTGTGAATTTGACTACTTTAGATACTTCATAAGTGGAATCATGGAGTATTTGTTGTTTTGTGACTAGTTTATTTCACTTAACACAGTGACCTCAAGGTTTCTCCATGTTGTAGCATGTGACAGGATTTCCTTCATTTTTAGGGCTGAATAATATTCCATTGTATATAGATGCCACATTTTCTTTCTTTATCCATCAATAGACATATGGGTTGCTTCCACCTCTTGAGTATTGTGAATAGTGCTGCTATGAATGTGATTGTGCAAGTATCTCTTCGAGGCATTGCTTTTAGTTCTTTTGGATATAAACCCATTAATGAGATTGTTGAATCATATATGGTAAATTAATTTTTTGGGAAACTGCGATACTGTTTTTCATAGTGGCTGTACCATTTTACACTTCCACCAAGACTGTGGTGATAGCTTTTAATGGTACAGAAAGTAGTGAATGGGATGTATGAAATCAGAAGTGAAGTAGAAAGAATTGGCAAATTCTGCTAGTGTGGAAATAGATATCATTTAGCCATAGTCTGTTTCCCTTAGATATTTTATCTAACATTGCCTGTTTCTCCAAGACTATTACTTCAGGAGGGGAGGAGGGAGCCAAATTATTTCTTTTTTGATATATTATTGACCATTGGTCTCTGAGAATATCCGAGATTGTTAACATCTAATAGTGCCTTGGCAATAATTAGAGGAAGTTCGACGGTTGTGTTTTGTATTTTTCTCTGAAGGAGTGTGCAAGAGTATGATGTTGATGTAAACATTGTGATGAGCAGGTTAGGAGTATGTCAGGAACATGGAATGCAATCCTATGTCTGTATTGCTTGCAGCCTTGAACAAAATCTTCAACATCTTGATGCTTCCAAAATCGCATTTAAAAAATGAAGCCTCCCGGCCGGGTGTGGTGGCTTACGCCTGTAATCCCAGCACTTTGGGAGGCCCAGGCGGGTGGATCACAAGGTCAGGAGATCGAGACCATCCTGGCTAACACGGTGAAATCCTGTCTCTACTAAAAATACAAAAAATTAGCTGGGCGTGGTGGTGGGCGCCTGTAGTCCCAACTACTCAGGAAGCTGAGGCAGGAGAATGGCGTGAACCCTGGGAGGTGGAGCTTGCAGTGAGCCGAGATCGTGCCACTGCACTCCAGACTGGGAGAGAGAGCGAGACTCCGTCTCAAAAAAAAAAAAGAAAAAAAAATGAAGCCTCCAATCTGTTTTAGTATTGTGACTTCTCAACATCAGTTTTCTTTTGAGGATCTTAGTGTATACATGGCGTATATGTGTTGGCAGGGAGGTGGCTGAGTTCCACTAATGGCGTGTGCAAGAGCAGGAATGATCAGTGGTGTTGGAAGAGGGATTTCTTCTCTACTGTGCCCTTCTTTTTGAATATAAAATGTTACTCAAATGCTTAGTCACGATGATAAAGCAAAGAATTTCACAGCTTGCAGTGTGGAGCAGTGTTTATACTGTATAAGTGTTTGATAATAGTGAAGTGTGGCAGGAGAGTGGGAAGAATTTGTCAACAAGTTTTGAGGATTAAGAGGATTAGATAGGGAACACAAAGTAAGATAACCCCCTTTGACTTCTGAAAGAAAAAAGTAGTTATTTTAAAATGTCCTTTGGAATGACTCAAGGCTCAGCTATTTTACTTGCTTCTAGAAAACTGCAAATCTATTAAACTTCTAGCACTGTAGACAACTGCAGACAGGTATATTTTCGACCTTGGAGTGTTTATTCAGAAAGCAAGCAGACTTAATTTCAGTGTATAATATACAGATAGACCCTACTTACTGTGCCATCTGTATGTTTGAAGAAGCAGCCTTTACTAGTGACTCTGCCCAAATTCAGGTTCTCCTGTCAAATTGCTACAACAGTTTGTCAATAAACCTGTAGCCCTAGTCTACCTTCTCTAGTCCTTTCTTCACACTGCTCTTAAAGATGGTCATGACCATCTGACCTTGGGAAAATTAATTTCTCTGTGCCTCTATTTTCTTATTTTATACCCTCTATGGTAAAGGTTGTAACTATCTTATAGGTTCCTTGTACATTTTTATTTGTATTTATACCTGGATTTTATTTTATTTTTAAATTTTTTTCCTTGTAAGTTTTTTGTTTGTTTTGGGGTTTTTTTTTGAAGCAGGGTCTCACTCCTGTTGTCCATGTTGGAGTGCAGTGATATGATCATGGCTCACTGCAGCCTCAACTTCCCAGGCTTAGATGATCCTTCTGCCTCAGCCTCCTGAGTAGCTGGGACTGCAGGTGTGTGCCCCCACACCTGGCTAATTTTTTGTATTTTAAGTAGAGACAGAGTTTTACCATGTTGCCCAGGCTTCACACTGCCAGTTTTCAAACTGCTATAAAGAACTACTTGAGACTGGGTAATTTATAAAGAAATGAGGTTTAATTGACTCACAGTTCCACATGCCTGGGGAGGCCTCAGGAAACTTACAATCATGGCAGAAGCCGAAGGAGAAGCAAAGACCTTCTTCACATGGCGGCAGGAAAGAGAGCTAGCAAGAGCAGGGAAAACTGCCTTATAAAACCATCAGATCTTGTGAGAACTCACTCACTATCACTAGAAGAGCATGAGGGAAACTGCCCCTGTGATCCAATCACCTCCCATCTGGTCCCTCCCTCAACACATGGAGATTATGAGGATTACAATTTGAGATGAGATTTGGGTGGGTTCACAGCCAAACCATTTCGTTCCCTTTGGCTTATGGCCAACTTTTTGGGTAAATCAGAATGAATTTTGAACTATGTAAAAATGCATATTCCTTAGTACCCCCACCAGAGATTTCTATTCAGTCGGCCTAGGATGGGACCCAGGAATCAGTGTGTTACTGTACTCTCCAGGTGATTTTGAGGCTGGTGGTACCAGAACCTTCTTTGGGGAATCATTCCATGTTGGATGAAATGCAGACTCTTTAGACTGCAGTTCAGGGCCCTAATATACCTTTCTAATATGTATATTCTCCTATTCCTCCCTATTAGTCTTTGCTGCAACCATAACAAGTACATTTTCTCTACTCACTCTTCTCCATATGCCCCATGTATTTTCCCAAGATAGTATGGCATAACTTTGTAAGCAAATATATATTTATTCCTAGTAATCTACAAAATATTCATTTAATACTATGTGTAAGGGCTGGGTGCGGTGGCTCATGGCTGTAATCCCAGCACTTTGGAAGCTGAGGTGGGAGCATCACTTGGGCCCAGGAGTTTGAGACCAGCCTGGTTAACATAGCAAGATCCTGTCTCTACAAAAAATAAAAACATTAGCTGGGGATGGTGGCTTGCTCCTGTAGTCCCAGCTACTCGGGACGCTGAGGTAGGAGGATGGCCTGAGCCTGGGTGATCTACAGTGGACCATAATCATGCCACTACACTCCAGCTTGGGTGGCAGAGAAGACCCTGTTTCAAATATATGTGTGTGCGTGTGTGTGTGTGTGTGTAAGAATTGGTTGGGGATGAATGTGAAACTACAAAATGTGGAACCAACCTTCCCTTTTTTGAATATTGGCAAATAGTTCCTAGGTTATACCACTGCACACCTTAGGATAGCATTTTTAAACTGACCTTTCCTTTTGTTCTCTTTGTACTACTTTTCTCTGAATGAATTTTCCAGGCATTACAATGAGCAAATAGTTCTAACCTTTAAGTTGCTCATCTGGCCTCTCTGTAAACAGGGACAGTAAGGCAAATCTGGTCCCAACCTCAGAAGCAATTGGCAGTACTTGAAATTGAAGTTATTTTCTTCTTATGCTTTCTGTTATATTACCTATAAGATTAAGCCTTAATCAGGCATTAATGAATTATTTTGGGTATTTTGAATTCATTAATAGGCCTCTGATGATCCCTTTTAGTTTTTAATTTTTGCAATCTGTAGTAACATCTAAGGATGCTACTTTGCCAAACAGATTGCTTATAATAAAAATGTAGGGTAGAGAAAGGCCACTGTCATAGGTGTTTTTTGTTGTTGTTGCTTGTTGTTGTTGTTTTGCCTTGTATCTTCTAATTCTGAAAACATCCTTGTAAGGTTCATTACTCTAATTTTAAGAAAAGTCTTTACAAAGAGGACATGACATTTGAGATTGCAGAGCTATAAACAACGGATTCAGATTTGCACCCAAGTCCCTTTACTTCATAAACTAATCTTCCTCTACTGTGGCCTGGAGCTGGATTTCAAGTTATTCAAATTCAGTTTCCGTGTTTGCTCTCCCTGTCCCTGCCTCCCCTTGGACTTGGGATATTGTGATAATGCTGTAAATCAAAAAGCCCATATAAATTGAAGAATAGTTACCAACATAACAGCTACTCTATATTAATAGGTATATGGTAATTAGGATAGAATACTCTTAAGCCTTCTAGGCAGTACTTGGTTAATTATTTTAGTATTACACATACTAAATTTGATAGTGGCCTGATAGAGTCAAATGCATTCTTTTTTTTTTTCATTAGGCACATAACCCATTTTTATTATAAAAAGAAATGCACATATAAGTAAACTTGTCTTGTGCCATCCCTCCCCCAACCCCAGGCAGTGCATCTCGCAGCAACAAAAGTGACTCCTTCCTTTTGTTTAAGGAGAGGATGCAAAGAGTAAAGCGGACTTTGTCTTGCATCTTGGATACAAGCTCAGCCACAGTAGTATAGGGTATCAAGCAGAGCTGTGAGGCCCCCATTCCAGGACCTAGCTCCCAGACAACATTTCTAGACACACCCTGTGCCAAAAGGGAATCTGCCGCCTTCAAGGGAAGGACCCAGTCCTGGCGGCATTCATCACCTACTGACTAAAGAGCCCTTGGGCCCTGAATAACCAGCAGCAGTAGCCAGGGAGGACACTGTGGGGCCGTGGGCTCTGAGATGTGCTGGCTTCAGAGGCGACCCAGCACATTCCCAGCTGTGGTGGCTATGGTGAAAGACTCCTTCTGTTTGAGAAAAGCAGAGGGAAAGGTAAAGGGGACTTTGGCACCTTAAGTACCAGCTCATCTATGGTAGGATAGAGCAATAAATGGGCTCTTGAGGTCCCTGACTCTAGGGAGCCTAGGCCTAGGCTCTTAGGCAGCATTTCTGGACCTGCCCTTGGCCACAGGGGAGCCTGCTGCCTGGAAAACAGAGTCCCAGGCCTGGCAGCATTCACCACAAGCTGATGGAAGAGCCCTTGGGCCTTAAATGAACATCGACAGTGGCCTGGCAGAACCAGTGGTGGTGGTGGCCACAGGAAGAGGCTCCTGTGCCTGTGGAAAGGGGGGAAGAGTGAGAAGGACTTTGTATTGTGGCGCGAGTGCCAGCTTAGCCACAGTAGAATAGAACATCAGGTAAACTGCTAAGACTTTTTACTTCTATCCCTGGCTCCCAGACAACATCTCTGGATACATCCAGGGTCTAGGGGAGCTTGCCGCCCTGAAGGGAAGGGCCTTGGGAGAGATCCAGTGCTGTGGTGGCTTCAGGTCTGACCCAGTGCAGTCCCAGTGGTGGTGGCCACAGGGGTGCATGCGTTACCACACCCCCAGTTTCAGGTGGCTCAGCACAGGGAGAGAGACTTCATTTATTTGGGAGATGGTAAGGGTAAAGAATAAGAGTTTCTGCTTGGTAATCCACAGAATTCCAGATCTTATCCAGGACCAACAAGGCGGTACCTGTATAAGTCTGCAAAAACCAGTGTTACTGCATTTGGGGCCCAAGTCCCTTCGAATACCTGGAAAGCCTTCCCAAGAAGGAGAGGCACACACAAGCCCAGACTGTGGAGACTACAATAAATACCTAACTCTTCAATGCCTAGACACCAGTGAATATCTACACGTATCAACACCATCCAGGAAAACATGACCTCATCAGATGAACTAAATAAGGCACCAGGGACCAATCCTGGAGAAACAGAAATATATGAACTTTCAAACAGAGAATTCAAAATAGCTGTTTTGAGGAAACTCAAATTCAAGATAAAACAGAGAAGGAAGTCAGAATTCTATTAGAGACGTTTAACAGAAATTGAAATAAGTAAAAATAACAGAAATTCTAGAGTTGGAAGTGCAATTGACATGCTGAAGAATGCATCAGAGTCTCTCTCTTTTTTTTTTTTTTTTTGAGACGGAGTCTCACTCTGTCACCCAGGCTGGAGTGCAGTGGCACAATCTTGGCTCACTGCAACCTCCGCCTCCTGGGTTCAGGTGATTCTCCTGCCTCAGCCTCCTGAGTAGCTGGGATTACAAGTGCTTGCCACCACACCCGGCTAATTTTTGTATTTTTAGTAGAGACGGGGTTTCACTATGTTGGCCAGGCTGGTCTCAAACTCCTGGCCTCAGGTGATCTGCCTGCATCAGCCTCCCATAGTGCTGGGATTACAGACATGAGCCACTGCGCTGGCCAGAGTCTCTCTGTCTCTCTCTCTTTTTTTTTAAATTATACTTTAAGTTCTAGGGTACATGTGCACAACGATCAGGTTTGTCACATATGTATACATGTGCCATGTTGGTGTGGTGCACCCATTAACTCGTCATTTACATTAAGTATGTCTCCTAATGCAATCCCTTCCCCCTCCCCCCACCCCTCAACAGGCCCCGGTGTGTGATGTTCCCCATCCTGTGTCCAAGTGTTCTCATTGTTCAATTCCCACATATGAGTGAGAACATGCGGTGTTTGGTTTTCTGTCCTTGTGATAGTTTGCTCAGAATGATGGTTTCTAGCTTCATCTGTGTCCCTACAAAGGACATGAACTCATCATTTTTTATGGCTGCATAGTATTCCATGGTGTATATGTGCCACATTTTCTTAATCCATTCTATCATTGATGGACATTTAGGTTGGTTCCAAGTCTTTGCTATTGTGAATAGTGCCGCAAAAATAAATGTGTGCATGTGTCTTTATAGCAGCATGATTTATAATCCTTTGGTTATATACCCAGTAATGAGATGGCTGGGTCAAATGATATTTCTAGTTCTAGATCCTTGAGGAATTGCCACACTGTCTTCTAAAATCGTTGAACTAGTTTACAGTCCCACCAACAGTGTAAAAGTGTTCCTATTTCTCCACATCCTCTCCAGCACCTGTTGTTTCCTGACTTTTTAATGATCGCCATTGTAACTGGTGTGAGATGGTATCTCATTGTGGTTTTGATTTGCATTTCTCTGATGGCCAGTGATGATGAGCCTTTTTTCATGTGTCTGTTCAGCCAGAGTCTCTTAATAGTAGAATTGATTAAGCAGAAGAACTAGTGAACATGAAGACAGGCTATTTAAAAATACAAAGTCAGGCTGAATGCAGTGGCTCACACCTGTAATCCCAGCACTTTGGGAGGCCGAGGCAGGTGGATCACTTCAGGCCAGGAGTTCGAGACCAGCATGGCCAACATGGCAAAACCCCATCTCTACTGAAATACAAAAAAATTAGCCAGGTATGGTGGTGCACACCTGTTATCCCAGCTGTTCAGGAGGCTGAGGCATGAGAATTCCTTGAACCCGGGAGGCAGAGGTTGCAGTGAGCCAAGATCATGCTACTGCATTCCACCCTGGGCGACACAGTGAGACTCTGTCTCAGAAAAACAAACAAAAAAATCCCCCACAAGTCAGACAGTAATAAATGCTGGTGAGGATGTGGAGAAAGGGAAATCTTGTATAGTGTTGGTGGGAGGGTAAATTAGTACAACCACTATGGAGAACTGTTTAGAGGTTCCTCAGTAAACTAAAATTAGAGCTACAATACAATCCATCAATCTCACTGCTGGATATATACTCAAAGGAAATCCATATATCGAGGAATATTTGCATTCCCATGTTTGTTGCAGCAACTGTTCATAATAGCCAAGATTTGGAAGCAACCCAAGTATCCATCAACAGACTAATGGATAAAGTAAATGTGGTGCATATACACAATGGAGTACTATTCATCCATAAAACAGAATAAGATCCTGTCATTTGCAACAACATGGATTTGCAACAACAACAACTAGAGGTAATTATGTTAAGTGAAATAAGCCAGGCACAGAAAGTTAAATATTGCATGTTCTCACTTATTTGTGGGACCTAAAAGTTAAAACAATTGAACTCATAGAGATAGAGAATAGAAAGATATTTACTAGAGTCTGGGAAGAGTAGTCGGGGGTTGCATGGAAGGGAGGTGGGGATGGTTAATGGGTACAAAAAATAAAATATACTCTCGAAACATGAACAATTAACTCTTACTAAGTGGCAAAATTAGTTTTTTCAAAACTTTGAAAAATGTATACTAATGGAAAAGTGGTGGCACAAAAAGATAAGTGTTTTGCCTAGGTTCAAATAGAAGTTTGATAGCTTAGTATAGTCCATATCCAGAACTCTTGATCCCAAATTAGCACATTTCTTTTAGAGAGATACTTGTATTGTTTTAGTTATGAGAGTGCATTTGAATAAAATAAATGGATGACAAATACTAACTCATGATTGTGTCTTTGGCTTTGAACAGTATGTTAAGGTGTACCAGCTGAAAACAAATGCAAGGTGTTGCCAATTGATAATTTATTTTGTAGCTTGAGCAACTGCTTCCCTCCTACCCCACACCATTTGGTAATCATTTGATTTGATTTCACTTGCTTACAGAAAAACAGATTGGAAAAAAAATGCCAGACGCAGTGGCTCTGGCCTGTGAACCAGCACTTTGGGGGCTGAGGTGGGCGGATTGCTTGAGCACGAGTTTGAAACCAGCCTGGGCAACATGATGATACCCCATCTCTATAAAAAAAATTTTTTTTTTAATTAGGCTGGCATGGTGGTGCACGCCTGTAGTCCCAACTACTTGGGAAGCTGAGGTGGGAGGATAACCTGAGGCAAGGAGGTTGAGGCTGCGGTGAGCTGTGATCGTGCCACTGCACTCCATCCTGGGCGACCGAGGGAGATCCGGTCACATACACACACACACACACACTCACACACACGAAAAGAAAAGAAAACACAACTGCATTTAATAGTATTAGGTAGAATTTCTTCTTCTTTTTGCTCCTTATCTCCTCCCCTTCTTTTAAAGGAAGAAGTGGTGAAGTGAAGTGAAATGAGGAAGGGTATTGACGTAAGATAAACCTGGATGTGAATGTTGTCTCAACCACTTACCCGCTAACTCTGGTCTTGGGCAAGCACTTAGCTTCTCTAAGTTTTAGTTTTCCTCTTAATAAACTGGGACTTGCAGTCTCTACAGTTGCAAGGTTGTTGTAAAGCTAAGTATTCATGCAAGTAAAATGTGCAACAAAGTCCGAGACATAGTTAGTAGATCATAGTAAATGACAATTATTTTTATTATAATAGTAATAAGGTTTACCTAGGGATTAAGATAAGCAGTTGTATGAAACAGTTTGCTGTATTTTATCACAAGCTGTTGTGGAGGAAACCCAGAATTATATCTGTTGTTAGCCAGATAAGATATGACCTTTAATGGAAGATCTCATAATCATGTAACTTAAAAACAGAAATCTTACTCAAGAAAATCAAGGGGAATACCATTAGAAACAATAAGAGAGTTCATCAAAATGTCTGTATGGATATCTCAAAAAATCTAATTGAATGATTATTACTAATATTGATTAGAAGATACAATGGAAAAAAAAATCACAGTTGTAACCACTACTGCCACCACTACTACTAATGATAAAAAGTTTAAAAGTCATCATAACAAGATATGTATGAAACTCATATACATATTTTTTAAGTTATAAAATTTCACTGATATAAAAGAAGACTGAATAAGTGGAGACACATGTTAGTGCTCATAGATGGGAAAATTGAAGTTTTTTTTGTAGAGATGGAACCGGTTTTGCCATGTTGCCCAGGCTGAACTTGTGGACTCAAGTGATCTGTCTGCCTTGGCCTCCCAAAGTGCTGGGAATGCAGGCCAGAGCCACTGTGCCTGGCTGAAAATTGAATATTGTAAAGCTGCCAGTTATTGATGCATTAATTTTTAGGATAAATGGAATTACTGGGGAAATTACAATGGGAATATTTTTGGAGGGAATGTGGCAATAAAGTTTAGGTGGAAACATTAGTAACTATGAACAACTAAAGAAATGTAAAGAAGGATAATACATTAGTGAAGCACATTATAAAGCTGCAGTTATTAAAACTTTTTTATGTGCTGATATAAGAATAGGTTGTTTTTTTTTTTTTTTTTTTTTTTGAGATGGAGTCTCGCTCTGTCGGCCAGGCTGGAGTGCAATGGCGTGATCTCGGCTCACTGCAGCTTCCGCCTCCCAGGTTCAAGCGATTCTCCTGCCTCAGCCTTCAGAGTAGCTGGGATTACAGGCGCCCGCCACCACACCCGGCTAATTTTTTGTATTTTTAGTAGAGACAGGGTTTTACTATGTTGGCCAGGCTGGTCTTGAACTCCTGACCTTGTGATCCACCCCCCTCGGCCTCCCAAAGTGCTGGGATTACAGGCATGAGCCACTGCGCCTGGCCAGTAATTTTTTTTTGAGACAGGGTCTCACTCTGTTGCCCAGGCTGGAGTACAGTGGCATGATCACAACTCACTGCAACCTTGACCTCCCAGGCTTAAGCCATCCTCTCACTTTAGCCTCCTGTATAGCTGGAACCACAGGTCTGAGCCACCATGCTGGAGTAATTTTTAAAAATTTTTTATATTATAAAGATGGGGTTTCACTATGTTGCCCAGGCTAGTATTGAACTCCTGGGCTCAAGGGATCCTCCTGCCTCAGCCACCCAAGTGCCGGGATTACAGATATGACCCACTGCACCTAGCCAGACTAGGTCCACTTAATAGATCAGACATAGATTCTGACGTGTAAAAATATTCTCATATGTAATATAAAAAGGACCATGGTTTAGCCATTCACCAGTCGAAGGACATTTGGGTTATTTCCAATGTTTGGTGATTATGAATAAAGCTGCTATAAACATTCAGTTACACTTATGTGTGAACTCAGTTTTCATTTCTCTTGGGTAGATACCTGGGAGCAGTTATTGGGTCATATGGTAGGTATATATTTAACTTTATAAAAATTAGCCAGACATGATGGCTGGTGCCTGTGGTCCCAGCTACTCGGGAAGCTGAGGCAGGAAAATGGCGTGAATCCAGAAGGCGGAGCTTGCAGTGAGCCGAGATCGCGCCACTGCACTCCAGCCTGGGTGACAGAGCAAGACTCCGTCTCGAAAAAAAAAAAAAAATAGAAACTGCTGGCCTGATGTGGTAGCTCACACCTGTAATCCTAGCACTTTGAGAGGCTGAAGAGGGAGGATCACTTGAGGCCATGAGTTTGAGACCAGCCTGGCCAACATAGCAAGACCCCTGTCTCTGCACAAAATTTAAAAATTAGGCAAGCATGATGGTGTGTGCTTGTAGCCCTAGCTTCTTAGGAGGCTGAGGCAGGAGAGTCCCTTGAACTCAGGTGTTTGAGGTTACAGTGAGCTATGGTCATGCCACTGCACTCCAGCCTAGGTGACAAAGTGAGATCCTGTCTCAAAAAAAAAAGAGAGAGAGAAGAAAGAAAGAAACTGTCAAATTATTTTTCAAGCATTCCCATCAACATTGTACTAGAGTTCTACTTCCTCAGCATTGTGGTATTTGGTATTGACAGTTTTTTGAAATTTGCCATTCTCTTAGATGTGTAGTAGTATGTCATTTTGGTTTTAATTTGTATTTTCCTAATGAAAGATATTGGGTACCTTTTCAAGTGCTTATTTGTCGTACATATATCTTCTTTGGTAAAGTTTCTAGATCTTTTCTCCATTTTTAAATTGCATTATTTCCTTATTGTTGGGTTTTCAGGGTTCTTTATATATTCTTGATGCAAGTGCTTTGACAGAAATGTGATTTGCAAGTATTTTCTCCCAGTCTATGGCTGTGTTTTTATTTTCTTAGCAGTCTTTTGAAGAACAAAGTATTTCATTTTAATAAAGTCCAACTTATACATTTTTCTTTTATGGATTTTACTTTTGGTGTTTTATTTGTAAGCTCTTTGCCTAATGCAAGGTCAATCATATTTTCTTCTGTGTTTTCTTCTAGAAGTGTTATAGTTTTACATTTTACATTTAGGGCTATGATCCATGTTGAGTTAATTTTTTTTTTTTTTTTTTTTGAGACGGAGTCTCACTCTGTTGCCCAGGCTGGAGTGCAGTGGCACGATCTCGGCTCACTGCAAGCTCCGCCCTCTGAGTTCAAGTGATTCTCCCGTCTCAGCCTCCCCAGTAGCTGGGATTCCAGGTGCCTGCCACCGCG
The DNA here is from genome assembly GCF_000001405.40 of Homo sapiens. NCBI lineage: Eukaryota > Metazoa > Chordata > Mammalia > Primates > Hominidae > Homo > Homo sapiens. The sequence continues at coordinate 120,673,829 of NC_000009.12, read as the reverse complement.
CCCAGCTAATTTTTTGTATTTTTTTTAGTAGAGACGAGACTTCACCATCTTGGCCAGGCTAGTCTTGAACTCCTGACCTCGTGATCCACCCACCTCGGCCTCCCAAAGTGCTGGGATTGCAGGCGTGAGCCACCGTGCCCGGCCTATTGAGTTAATTTTTATACAAGGTGTGGTTTATGTCAAGTTTTAATCTTTTGTTTATGGATGTCCAACTGTACCAACACCATTTATTTAAAAAAAAAAAAGCATCCTTTCTCCATTGAATTGCCTTTTCATCTTGTCAAAAATTAAATTTGTTAGATATTTCTGAGGGTTTATTTCTGGGCTCTCTATTCCATTGGCTTTTGTGTAGGTTTTTTCTTTTTTCTTTTTACCAATAACACCATGTCTTGATTACTATAGCTTTATAGTAAGTCTTGAAATCAATTATTGTGAGTCCTCCAGCTTTGTTGTTATTTGGCTATTGAGGTTTCTTTGCTTTTTCACATATATTTTAGAATCAATTTGTTAATATCTATAAAAAATCCTTCTGGGATTTTGATTGGGATTTATTAAATCTATAGATCTAATTGTTTGCATTATGTCTTCCATATTTTTAGATCTTTTTGTTTCTTTTTTCATGTTTTGTAGTTTTTAGCATAAAGGTCATACACGTTAATTTTGTATGTAAGTATTTCATATTTTTGGAGCTATTCTAAGTGGTATTAAAATTTTAAAAATTCCATCTGTTCATTCATAACACATAGAAATACAGTTGATTTTTGTTTGTTAATTTTGTATCTTGCAACCTTATTTTTTATTTTTTTGAGACGGAGTTTTGCCCTTGTTGCCCAGGCTGGAGTGCAATGGCGCAATCTCGGTTCACCGCAACCTCTGCCTCCTGGATTCAAGCGATTCTCCTGCCTCAGTCTCCCGAGTAGCTGGGATTACAGGCATGCACCACCACACCCGGCTAATTTTGTATTTTTAGTAGAGACAAGGTTTCTCCATGTTGGTCAGGCTGGTCTTGAACTCCTGACCTCAGGTGATCCGCCTGCCTCGGCCTCTCAAAGTGCTGGGATTACAGGCATGAGCCACTGGGCCCAGCCCTTGCAACCTTATTAATGTCATTTATTAGTTCTAGGAATTTTTGTAATAAACATTTTTTTCTACATAAGCTTTCATGTTATCTGTGAATAGAGACAGTATTTATTTGTTTATGTATTTATTGAGACAGGGTCTCATTCTGTTACACAGGCTGGAGTAGAGTGGTGTGATCATGGCTCACTACTGCCTTGACCTCCTGGGCTCAAGTGATCCTTCCATCTCAGCCCCAGGAATAGCCGAGACTACAGGCATGTGCCACCATTCCTGGCTTTTTATTTATTTATTTATTTATTTATTTATTTATTTATTTTTCTGTAGAGATGGGGTCTCACTATGTTGCCTAGGCTGGTCTTGAACTCCTGGATTCATGTAATCCTCCCACCTTGGCCTTCCAAAGAGCTGGGATTTTATACGTGTCGAGCTACTACCCCTGGCCCAGTTTTGTTTCTTTTTTGATCTGAAGACCATTTCTTTCTTTTCCTTGCCTTATTCCACTGTCTAGGACTTCTAATATGATTTTGAATAGGAGTGGCAAGAGAGGACATTCTTGCCTTGTTCCTGATCTTGGGAGAAAGTAATTAGTCTCTCACTATGAAGTATAATGTTAAATGTAGTTTCTTCATAGATACCCTTTATTAGGCTGAGAAAGTTTCCTTCTATTCATAGTTTTCTGGGCACTTCTCCCATGAATGGATGTTAATTTTTTAAAATCTTTTCTTGCATCAGTTGAGATGAGATGGCATTTTTCTTTAGTCTGCTAACAGGATGGATTGCACTGATTAGTTTTCAAGTGTCAAACCAGTATTTCTGGAATAAATCCCACTTAATCTTTTTATATATTGCTGGGTTCAATTTGTTGTTTATATATTACTGGTTATTTTGTTGAGAGGTTTTTGATCCAAGATGTTCACAAGGAATATTGTTCTGTAGTTTTCTTGTAATGTTTTTATCTGGTTTTGATGTCAAAATAATGCTGTCCTTATAGAATTAATTGGAAAGGATTCGTACCTCTTCTGTTATCTGGAAGACATTTTATAGAATTGATGTTATTTCTTATTAAAATGCTTAGTAGAATTCTCCAGTGACGCCATCTGGGCCTGGAGATTTCTCTTTTGGAAGGTTTTAAACTATAAATTCTATTTCTTTAATAGGTATAGGACCATTAAGGTAATCTGAATTAGGTTTTGATAGCTTGGTTTCCAAGAGATTGGTCCATTTCATCAAAGTTGTTGAATTTATGTGCATAGAGTTATGCATAATATTCCCCGTAGTGATGTCTTCTCCTTCATTCTTCATATTAGTGTCTGAAAACAATAACAATGATTTATTTCTCATTCTGATGGTTCTTCTCCTGGTCTCTCTTGGGCTTACTCTGGCTGTATTGGTAGATTGGCTACAGCTGGAGGATCTAAAAATGGCCTCACCCATATGTTTGGGGCCTTGATGGGGATGACTGGAGTAGCTGAGACTTGTCTCTCCCTGGATTCATTGGGAACCAAAATGATCTGCCATGTGGAAGTGGAAGCATAAGGAGAGGACTTGATCATAGTAAAATCCTCAGTAAATGCTCATGGATTTATCCAATGACGTGGAGACCAAAGAAAGAGTTTCAAAGAGGAAGGGGTATCAGTATGTCACATGCTGCAAAATAGTTAAGCAGAATATGGCCTGAGAAGGCTATTGTTTTGTTTTGGGTTAGTAACTTTTGAGAGAGCATTTTTAGTAGAGTTTAGAAAAGATTGCAGAGCATTAAGAAGAAAACGTGGTGAAGAAAAGGAGGCAGTCTGTATTTTTGTTTGAGAAATTTTATTTAGAAAATAAATGCTAGTTAAATGGAACAGGAGACTAAACAGAGAATTGTGAGAGACCCAATGCATATTTGAAGGTAAATTCTGTAAAGAGTGAAAGCTTGAAAAGGCTCAAGTAGGGGGACAATGGGAGTGGGCAGAGTAGAGTCCTGGAAAGAGCTCTGGGAGAGGATGTGATAAAGAGCGCAGTTGGAGGGATTGTTTGGTCTTGGAAGGAGCTGGCTAGCCTGAAACTGGAGGGAAGGTTAAATTGATGGGAAAAAGCAGGAAGAGAGAAAAAGAAGGTCTCAGTTTCCATGAAGTTGCAACCATTTGCTGGTTGTACAGTGGGATGGAAGACTTAAAGAGAAGCTTGGAATAGCCAATGCTGGCAATGGATATTGAAACAGTAAGATAAATCTAAGGATTTAGAAGCAGTTCTAGGGACTTAGTGAAAGTAAAACCTTTAACACACTAGGTCTTTATATTGTAACTTTCTCTAACAATGCTCTAGGAACACGGTAGAGGATACATAGTGGAAGGTACAAAGAACTTTTAGAGGCCGGGCACGGTGGCTCATGCCTGTAATCCCAGCACTTTAGGAGGCTGAGGTGGGCAGATCATTTGAGGTCAGGAGTTTGAGACCAGCCTGACCAACATGGTGAAACCCGGTCTCTACTAAAAATACAAAAATTAGCCAGGCATAGTGGTGTATGCCTGTAGTCCCAGCTACTCGGGAGGCTGAGACAGGAGAATCGCTTGAATCCAGGAAGCGGAGGTTGCAGTGAGCTGGGAGTGTGCCATGGCACTCTAGCCTGGGTGACAGAGTGAGATTTAGAGAATAAGGGTGTTTAGAATGCTAATGAGTAAAGTATTTGAGTACATGATCCTGTATAGTAAATATTTTTCTATAATCTAGACTAGACTTCTCTCTTTCTTCTACCTTTTTTATGACTTCAGGAAACTTGTTGAATTATTCCAATTCTGGATTAAAAGAAGGTCCCTTCTGCCAGAAAATTGTAAAAAGCTGTAGTTTAACCAACTCTAATTCCTAATCTTCCCCAATCCCTTATTTTAGAGCATTTATTGTCATATCTCGTTTCTGATATCAATTTCTGAGAGCATTTTCTACATTTTAAGAAAAGTAGGACATCTGGGGAGATAAAACAGTAAATATCCTATTCTGATACTGTCACATTTTTATCTCATTTCATCCTCAGAAATAACCATATTAAATATATTTGCTGTCATTTTGCCTTATGTATTTTGAGACTATGGTATTAGATATATATCTAATTTAGAACTACATATTTTTAATGAATTGTACATTTTTTTATGTAGTGACCAGACCTCTTATCTGCTTATATTGCTTTTTTTTTTTGCCTAAACATCTATTTTGTCTCATATTAATTAATGTAGCTAGCTGTACTAGTTTTCTTTTGGCTAGTATTTACGTGCTTCATCTTTTTTCCATTCAGTTACTTTTAACCTTTAGGTATAATTCTGTTTTATGTCTTTTGTAAACTGTTTGTAGCTGGATTTTGTGGGTTTTCATTGAATCTTGAAGATCTTTGTCTTTTAAATTGACCAGCTCTAATTTTATTTTATAAAATGGAATCTGATTTGAACAGACATTTATAGCTATTTACTGATCAGTACTGTGCTAAGCCACTATGAGAAATGTGGAGAAATATGAGAAAATTTGCCATCATTGAGCAATTTAAAACCTGTGATTTTCCCTTAAAACATAGTATATACATTCTAAATTTTCAAAGGAAATTGCCTTCTGATTTACTTATTCAGATTATTAGATATACCAGTGGGTCAATTAAAAAAAAGTTTTTGTAAACCAAAAACAATATACATGGCCATATATAATTTGACCTTTAATTATTTTTCATGATAGATGAAAAGAATTAGCCACATTTTGTACATGGAGACACTGAAACTCAGAGCAGTTAGACTCACTAACAGTCCTAGAGCTGGTTAATTAGCAGCAAAGTTTGATTTTAAAGTGTTCTGGGTCTGTCTGATTGTTGGCTTCTTAAAGTGAAAAGACATGGACTTTGGAGTTACTCATTTTGGGCTTCAGTCTCTTCTTTGGTACTGATTAGTTGTATGATTTGTTTCATCTATCTGATACTCAGATTCCTTGCTTAAGGTACCTGCATCACAGGATTATGGTGAACACTAAAGGAGGCCATTTGTGTCCAGTTTCTTGTGTGATGTCTGATATATGTATAGTATATGCTTAATAGCTGGTAATATCATCATTGTTATTAGTAGTAAAAACTAGCCTTTACAACCTTTTCCAGAACTTGTCATCTTGTCTCATTAATTAGATGAATTATCTCTGAATTGTGGAAAACTGGCAGTGAGCCAGGGACAAGCACTAACAACATGATTTTTAAATGTGAGACAGAAAATTTTCTACAAAACCTGGGTTATGTTGCCCCATTTATTTCATATGGCTACCCTAAAGTTGAAGAAATGTTTTGCTCTAGTAAATTGTGACTGGGAATTTTAATTGATACATTTTTATTTTCAAACAAAACTTAAAGCTTTTCTTTAAAAGTAGTGGCTTTAATACTACACATCTCTACAAAGTCTAGTTTAAAGAAATTCATCAGCTTTAATATTAAGTTTCCCAAGTTTTCAAAGATTTGTGGCAATACCTTGGCATAACATAAATGTGAAATGTAAATTGAGTATTAATGTTACTCTAGAGTAAGACTCTCAAAACAAAAACTCTTGTGTTGATAATTCCTTTTCCCTACAATGAGGCTTTTCTGAGATTCCTTTTCTTCAGACCTAAAACATAAAATATGGTCCAATAAAAAGTACATTTTGAAATACACCATATACTTAGGAAATCAGGCCTGTAGTCAAGATAATATAGTTTTGTTGGTTTTTTTGTTTGTTTGTTTATTTTGAGACAGGGTCTTGCTCTGTCACCCAGGCTGGAGTGCAGTGGCACGATCTCGTCTCACTGCAACCTCTGCCTCCCAGGTTTAAGCGATTCTCCTGCCTCAGCCTCCGGAGTAGATGGGATTACAGGCACATGCCACCATGCCTGACTAATTTTTGTATTTTAGTAGAGACGGGGTTTTGCCATATTGGCCAGGCTGGTCTTGAACTCCTGACCTCCGGTGATCTGCCCACCTTGGCCTCCCAAAGTGCTGGGATTACAGGTGTGAGCCACCACACCCAGCCAGTTTGTTGGTTTTTTTAAAGACTCATTCGATGTACATGAAGAGGTTTGAATTGTGTATTCCTACTCTTGATTTTGACAATATTTTTCCTTTTCAATTCAGAAATCAGGAATGATGTAATTTTTGTGGATCCAATCCTAGGCTTGTGAAAATGGGTGAAGTTCTTTGTTGGATAGATTAGATAGATTGAAAGTTATATTTACATGCATTTTCCTGGTCTTTGTTTAAACAGAGTAGGGTTTTTAATGATCAATCTGAAAAAGAAACAAACAATTGCATATGAAAAAAGGATAGTAATCCTATACATCTTTATCTTTCATTTTTTTCCTCTTCTCCCTCATTGTACATGGGAGCAGTTGCAGCCTAAGACTTAAGTTGGAGCCAAAGGGAAAAGAAAAGATTGTACTCCTTTTAGTAAAATAGCATTTTAAATACTAAAATGTTCCACAACTCCTTATGCAATAATCAGCTGAAGCATTAATAACTTCCTGCTATCTTAAATGTAACAGTCACTTTGAAAAAGCCTCAATCATTAGTTGGGTCCCCTGTGGACGTTAGTGCCAAGTTCAGTTGAAATAGTTGCTTGTGGGACACCAAGGCATCCTTCCAGCAAAATTTTAAAAATTGAATCTAGTAAGACCTCATTGCTTAAAAAAATTTTTTTGCATATTTTAAAATTTATATCCAATGAAATTTACTCATTTGATGTGCAATAGTTCTGTCAGTGTTGATACATGTATAATCAAGATGTAAAATGGTTTTATTACCCCCTCAAAATTCCCCTGTATTGCTCCTTTGTAGTCAGCCCTTCCCTCCTGCCCCCAGCTCCTGGCAAACCCCTGATCTGTTCTCTTCCCCTGGCTCCTTTCATTTAGCATAATGCATTTAAGATTCATCCATGTTCTTGGATGTCAGTGGTTTATTCCTTTTTATTGATGAATGGTGTTCCATTATGAGAATGTACCATAGTGTATCCATTCACTAGTTGAAGGACATTTGGGTGATTTCCAGGTTTTGGTGATTATTAATATCACTTATCATAAATATTTCTGTACAAGTTTTTGTGTGACTATAACTTTTCATTTCCCTCAGATAAATACCTAGGAGTGGAATTGCTGGGTCATATAGTAAAGGTATAATTAACTTTATAAGAAACTGTCAAACTGTTTTCCAAAGTGTCTCTACTATTTTGTACTTAACACCAGTAATTTTTGAAAGTCCTGCATGCTTGCCAGCAATTAGTATTGTCAGTTTTTTTGTTTGTGTATTTTAGCCATTCAAATAGAGGGATACTCATTGCCTTTCAAAGTACAGTTTTGCTTTTGACTTCCACTGAGTGGATGTTCCTATAATATTTGCATTGTGTGTGCTGAGAATAGAACTATTTCCATCTACTTTTGCAAGTCAGACTGTAGTTCCAACTGTCTAAAACTATGATATATCTTTTGGACTTAGAACTTGAATGGCCAGTGCTCTGATAAATATTATAAATTTAGGAATAACTTAATACAGGTTTTTTGTATTCTTAATAGATAACAGTATTTGAAGATATTAAAAAGCAAGTGTACTACCTAAAGCAATTTATAGATTTAATGCAATCCCTATCAAAATATCAATGATATTCTTCACAGAAATTTTAAAAAAAACCCTAAAATTCATATGGAATCACAGCAGACAAAGCAATCCTGAACAAAAAGAACAAAGCTGGAGGCATCACACTACCTGACTTCAAAATATACTACAAAACTATAGTAACCAAAACAACATGGCATAGGTATAAAAACAGACACATAAGTCAGTGGAACAGAACAGAGAATCCAGAAATAAATCCATGTATTTACAGCCAATTGATTTTCAATAAAGGTGCCCAGAACACACATTGGGGGAAAGGATATATTCTTCAATAAATGATGCTGGGAAAAATGGATATCTATATGCAGAAGAATAAAACTAGACTTCCTATCTTTCATCTTTTAAAAAAATTAACTCAAAATGGATTAAAGACTTAAAAGTGAGATCTGAAACTATAAAACTGCTAGAAGAAAACACAGGGGAACTGCTTTAGAATATTGGTACTATACAGCCATGAAAAATAATGAAATCCTGCTATTTGTGGAAACATGGATGAAGCTGGAGGTTATGTTAAGTAAAATAAGGCACAGAAAGATAAATACTGCATGTTCTTACTCATATGTGGGAGATAAAAAAAATTCGAGCTCATGAAAGTAAGGAGTAGAATTGGAGCTGGGCGTGGTGGCTCACCCCTGTAATCCCAGCACTTTGGGAGGCTGAGGCAGGCGGATTACGAGGTCAGGAGTTCAAGACTAGCCTTAACAACATGGTGAAACACCATCTCTACTAAAAATACAAAATTAGCCAGGTGTGGTGGTGTGCCCCTGTAATCCCAGCTACTTAGGAGGCTGAGGCAGGAGAATCGCTTGAACCTGGGAGGCAGAGGTTGCAGTGAGCCAAGATTGTGTCACCACACTCCAGCCTAGGCTACAGAGTGAGACTCCATCTCAAAAAAAAAAAAGAGTAGAATTGGAGGTATTAGAAGCCATGAAGGGTAGGTGAGAAGGAAGGATGGGAGGAGATTGGTTAATGGATATAAAATTATAGCTGGATAGTACTAAATGAGTACTGATGTTCTGTAGCACAATAGGGTAAATATAGTTAACTGTAATTTACTCTATATTTTCAAAAAGCTAGAAGAGAGAATTTTGAATGTTCATAGTACAATGAAATGATCAATGTTTGAGGTAATGGATGTGCTATTTAATCTGATCATTACACATTGTATGCATGTATTGAAATATCACTCCGCATTGCATAAATAGGTATTATTATTGTGCATCAACTAACAATAAGAGTGAAATTGTTGTTGAATGAATGAAAAGGACTCAGAAATTGAGTTTTGCAAAGGTATTTATGCAGTTTTGCAAAAGGCTGTAGATTGAATTTCAGGCTGTCTTCCTGAACCAGATTCCGGTGAGTGCTCTGTATTAGTTATAGCCACCAGTAGTCTTCTAGTAATCTATGCTTAAGTGCGATAATTTTGTAGATAGAATTTCAGGCAGTCTTTCTGAACCAGATTCCTGTGAGTGCTCTGTATTAATTATAGCCACAAGTAGTCTTCTAGTATCTATGCTTAAATGCAATAATTTTGTAATCATTTTAGTTTACCAGCAGTATTGTTGTCAGGGTAACATTTCTTTGTTCTAGGAGATTTCCATCATGACTGAGGACATAGTTATTTTATTTTGTTACGCAAATTTTTCATTTACTGTTTTTATGGTTTTTTATCTGCAAAGGGTTAACACACAATTGTTCCAAACTGCTTGAGCATTACAGATAATTTTAGCACTCAGAAATGACTTCAAAAAGAGACACAGAGAGGACACATTCATTAGGACATACAATCACAATTAGTATTTTCCAAAAACTCCCATCATTAATGCAAACAAGCTGAATACCAGAACATACCAAATATTCTCTATGAGATAGATGGTTAAAAATTGAATGAAGAGAGAGCCTACCAGGTATATTAAAGGCCTAGAAAAGGTCTTCAGTATGTTCAAGTAAATAATCTCTTACCAGAGCAAATGTTTGTGCACAAAGGGAGGGCAGGTGGGGGTAGGTGGCAGGGGAACTTATGGGACTTGTAAACAAAATCTTTTTTTTAGGGCTAAAAAATTTTCATCTCTTGGCTTTTGGAATGTTTGAAAAAGTGCAGGATTTGATTTTCTCTGGGACTTTATGTGACTATCTTCAAATACTTAAAGCAGTTTGGCAAAGATTTTAGTTTCTTATTCTTCTTCAGGGTGAAAATCACTATATTTTATTGTTCTTCAGAAGCCAGGCGATAAAAGGAAATAATGTTGCCAAGATTTTGCTCTCTGTGAGAACATTTACATTACCCTTCTCTAATTATTTCTCTATAGAGTTTTCCAAAGAATTAAAGGGCTGAAAGGAAACCTGCTACTCACACGATAAAGAGTTTATTCCATATTTACTTTTAGGCAATTGAATGAGCTGTTCGGCATCTTATTCATACTTGTCTGCAATTAGCTTTAGGTGTCCTCTTCATATTGTTTCATTCCCATTAACATCCACACTGGTGACTTGCCATTAATCATGTTGCAGACTCCTTTGTGCTGCTCTGGTGTCTAAGATTCTAACTCATTAAAAAGTCAGCACTTCCTCTTGTCTTTGGTCCTTCTCATTGCTTCTATCAATTGAAACTTCCTTCCTTCTTTTTCATATTGCCACCTTTTTACTAAGGGGATTGCATTATTTCTGCATTAACTCCTATCTGGTTCCGCACAAATGTCTAGACCTGTGAAGGGTCTGAGATTTTACTTTACTTACAAGCTAACAAATTATCCTGGCACAATTTAGTGAATACCCAGAGTGTTTTACATTTATTACTGTTGCTTATACTATTCATTTAACTTGCATCATTTCATTTAAGGTCAGTCACTGGGACGGGCCTTAAGTTCTGAGTTACACACAGAAAAGATGCCCATGCTCCCTGGCACTTGGTTTACTTTGTATTCTCTTCCTTTCCTTTGGTTTTTTGGGGCAGAAGTATTAACATGATAGTGCCTTTCTGTCTTGATGTGTCAGCCCCCTTCTTATCCCTGGGGTGGTCTCTCTTGCTGAAACATTTGCCATTCACCCTGCTACAGATAAACTGATTAGTACCAAGGATATATAATTAATAAATGCTCATTTTTCATCTTCTCTGAAGCCACATCCTAAATCCTTCTGTTTTTACCAATGTATTTTAAGGCACACATATTGTTAATGAGTGGAGCCTGGTATAAGTAGAATATCGTCTTATTCTCTACCTAGATGAACCACAACATGGATTTCTGCGTAACAGCCCACTAATTCTGTTTCCCAGACGTTATTCAAAGCTGCTATAGTACTAAACCCATTTTCAGGCTTTTAGATCTTATCCGCAGGATATAACGAAGCTATAGCCTGTGAATCTAACATCTGAATTGCATTTATTATTTTATCTGATACCACTTTCTACTTTTTTCCAGCTGTTGTATTAATTATTGCAATACTCCAAAGCACTTCCAGCTTAAGTATTGGGACTGAGTGGTATAGCTACTATTATTATGCCCTGTTTACAGGAGAAAAAATAAAGGCACGCAGAGCTTAATTAACTTGCCTAAGGTTATAAAGTTAGTGAGAGAGCCGGATTTAATCTTAGCCGTCTACGTCTACAATCTGTGCTCATAACTTCATAACTCTTTGCTTTACTGTCTCTTCAAATTATTGTCATTTGAGAGGTTTAGGTAGTAGATATTGTTATGGATTCATAATAGGGGCAGTACAGTTAGAGTTTATGGAGAAGTGAGTTTCAGCTGATTCTTAAAATAGAGAATAGGTTTGAATATGTGAAAAAGAGCATTCCAAGATGTACAGAATAAGCAAAGGTTCAGAGACAGGACTAACCGGAGTATGTTCAGGGAATAATGAAGATATTAGACTGACTATAGAAATAATAAATAACCAGTGAACTTGGTTAGTATTGAAAGTTTATCCATTAGAACTTCACTGGAAAAAATATTAAGTGTTTATATCTGAGTTCTTAAATTCAATTGGATTCTTTTGAAGATACTGCTAATCTTACTCATTGGGAACATTGACTCAGTTTTCAGATGGAAATACATTAGTAAGGAAATAATGAAATAAAATTCATAGTTTTTATTGTAGAAAATTTTTTTTAGTATTTTCATTTTTTCTTGAGCTAGTTCTACTGACACCAACATACTTTGATTAGTTAACTGGTGATAAAATAGGTCCAGCAGGAGAAGTTGGATGTAATTTGAATTTCTGCCCGATTTCAGAAGAAAAATGTTAAGTGTTCTGGTCATTTCTGGTGGAGTGAAGGTCTTGTTATGAAGTTGTCATTGGCAGGTTTACAGACCACTGAACGTGGCTTTGTTATTTACAAAAACCACAACACACATACGCAGAAAGTAGCTATCATGTGAAAACATGTAACTCTGTCAAAGAAATGTCATGTTTATGTAGCCTAGTGAAAATAAGAATCTTGATTGTAATGGGAAGCTGGTTCCTTTCCTAAGCTTGAGGCTGAAGAAATGTGAATTTTCCTTTGGGTTTTGTGAACCACCCAAGTTTGAAATAGACATAAAATAAACAAATAAGCTGCCAATATTTATTTATTTATTTTACGTTAATTATTTTTTATGAGACAGGTCTCACTCTGTCACCCAGGTGGGGGTGCAGTGGCAAGATCTTGGCTCACTGTAACCTCAGCCTCCCAGGCTCAAGCGATCCTCCCACCTCAGCCTCCCGAGTAGCGAGGACTACAGGCCCATGCCAGGATGCCCGCCTAATTTTTGTATTTTTTTTGGTAGAGACGTGGTTTCACTATGTTGCCCAGGCTGGTCTCAAACTCCTGAGCTCAAGTGATCTGCCCACCTTGGCCTCCTAAAGTGCTAGGATTACAGGCATGAGCCACTGCCTGGTCTATTTATTTGTTATTTGTTATCTTTACAAACTAGAAGAGCTGTGAAGAGCAGGGAAATAAAGTGACACCAAAGGTTAGGAACTGCAGAAGTGTGGGAGGTATAGAGTTGGCCAAGTGGGAATTTCTTTGAGGAATCTTTTGTTTTGACTTGTGTGGATAAATAAGCTGCTTGTGATTACATAAAGAATTTTGAAGCTTAATTTCCTTTTCTAGAATGGAGAAGCAAACCCCTTTACAACTCTCTTTTTAAGAGTCTGGATTTGTAGTTGTCTAGTAGCTTTTTGAAGTCATCAAAAATAGTATCAAAGATTATTTTTTCCAAGCTAAACTGTGTTGGTACAGTGCCATTTTATATAGTGCCTTACCTATTTAGAACTGTAATTTGTACCATAGATTTCTCAGGACCCTTTAAGGGTAGGATCATAGCTATTTTGGAATGGGACCTATTCCTAGGATACATATGTTAATACAAAGTCCTCTGTTACTGCTGTGTCAAACTATGTTGAAAACACTTTCCTTTTGATAAAATGAATAGAGGCAGTAGCAAAAAATGAATCCTAACTGACCTTTAAATGAGTCTTTGCATTAGAAGGCTAAAACTAAGGGCTTCTCAATATTTTTATCCAAAGAACTGTCTGACTGCGAAGAATAGTGGACAGGGGTGTGGTGGGGAGGAAGTGGGGATGGTTAATGGGTACAAAAAAAAATAGAAAGAATGAATAAGACCTAGTATTTGATAGCACAGCAGATAGACTGTGGTCAATAATTTAGTAATTTATGGACAGTAATTTAATTGTACATGTTAAAATAACTAAAGGAGTATAATTGGATTGTTTGTAACACAAAGGATAAATGCTTAAGGTGATGGACACACCGTTTATCCTGATATGATTATTACACATTGCATGCCTATGTCAGAATACCTCAGGTACCCCATAAATATATACACCTTATACACCTATGTACTCACAAAAATTAAAAATTAAAGTATTTCTTTCGAAAAGTGAAAAAAGTGAAACCAACAAACAAACAACAAAGAACTGTTTGAAATATACTTAAAAGAAATGTTTATTTTCCAAATATTTTAATTTGGGAAAGACATTCAACTCACAGATCAGGATGAACCTGTAAACTTTCTCCTCTGGTTTTATTGTTCATCATTTCCTTACTTTAAAGTTTCTATTCTTCATTAATTTCTTCCTGGGCAGAACACATTAGCTTATGATTCTAGCTATGGCACAATCTAGTATGACCTTGAATCGGTTGCCAAAGTTAATCATCTGAGCCTTAGGCTTTTGCTGCTATACAGTGGGATTATTTATTATTTAACATGTTGTCATTTCCAACATGTGCCCTTAGTGCCATGTAGATAAGCCTGCCTTTGGTGGCTTCTAATTCAGAAAAACTAATAATACACACACACACACACACACACACACACACACTGTCACACACACACTACATAATTTATGTACTCTATATGTTTCCTGATTTAAGTAAACTAAACGGGATAGAAAGTAAATTTGAACTAGAGTTAATTTTATCTATCCTTACAAAGTTGTCATGAAAATTTATTAAGAAAAATAAAATAGAGTTCATTTTATTAAGAGGGCATTAAATCTTAGTTGGTAATGTCTCTTTCCTTCTTTCCTTTGCAGAGTATGTATGTAACTGCTCTGTGGTTGGAAGCCTGAATGTGAATCGCTGCAACCAGACCACAGGGCAGTGTGAGTGTCGGCCAGGTTATCAGGGGCTTCACTGTGAAACCTGCAAAGAGGGCTTTTACCTAAATTACACTTCTGGGCTCTGTCAGCCATGTGACTGTAGTCCACATGGAGCTCTCAGCATACCGTGCAACAGGTAAGCAACAGAGGGTGGAACTGAAGTTTATTTTATTTTAGCAAGGGGAAAAAAAAGGCTGCTACTCTCAAGGACCATACTGGTTTAAACAAAGGGGGATGAGGGTCATAGATTTACAAAATATTTTATATACTTTTATTCTCTTACTTTATATGTTATATTTAATGTCAGGATTTAAAAACATCTAATTTACTGATTTAGTTCTTCAAAAGCACTAGAGTCGCCAATTTTTCTCTGGGATAATTTCTGTAAATTTCATGGGAAAAAATTATTGAAGAATAAATCTGCTTTCTGGAAGGGCTTTCAGGCATGAAACCTGCTAGGAGGTTTAGAAATGTTCTTATGTTTATTAATATACCATTGGAGTTTGAGGAAATTTGTTGTTTGGTTTATTTTTCTCTCTAATCAAAATTCTACATTTGTTTCTTTGGACATCTAAAGCTTAACCTGGGGGTACCCTAATTTATTTAACTAGTGGTAAGTAGACTGGTTTTACTCTATTTACCAGTACATTTTTGAGACCAAAAGTAGATTAAGCAGGAATTATCTTTAAACTATTATGTTATTTGGAGGTAATTTAATCTAGTGGAATAATGTACTGTTATCTAAGCATTTGCCTTGTACTGCACTGAAAGTAATTATTCTTTGACCTTATGTGAGGCACTTGGCTTTTTGTGGACCCCAAGTCAAAAAACTGAAGAGACAGTATTAAATAATGAAAAAAATAATGACAGGTTATACTCAGTGTAACCTGGGTATAACCCAAGATCTGCTGCCACTTAGGAGCTGTGTTCCTTGGGCAAGTAATTTCCTTTCACTGAGCTTGTTTCTTCTCAAGGTTGTTGTGAAGATTAAATGAGTTGATATATATAAAATGCCTAGCACATGTCACTCAATAAATTCTGGTTTGTTTTAATTTCAAAGGAATATTATGGACTGAAATGAGAGAACATGTTTTAAGAACTTTTAGCTCCTTGACAAAGAAGTGCTTTATACTTTAGCACTAAATATTTTAAATGCTTTATAAATGATATTATACTGTTATGGAATATTGTATCATATTGTAGTTTATTAAAAATGTAGAAGAGGCTGGGCGCGGTGGCTCACGCCTGTAATCCTAGCACTTTGGGAGGCCAAGGCGGGTGGATCACTTGAGGCCAGGAGTTCTAGATGAGCCTGGCCAGCACAGTGAAACCCCGTCTCTACTAAAAATACAAACAAATTAGCTGGGCGTGGTGGCACACACCTGTAGTCCCAGCTACTCGGGAGGCTGAGGCAGGAGAATCGGTTGAACCCGGGAGGTGGAGGTTGCAGTGAGCTGAGATCGCGCCACTGCACTCCAGCCTGGTGAGAGAGGGAGACTCTGTCTTAAAAAAAAAAAAAGTAGAAGAGAACTTCATTAAGAAGTTTATAATTTCAAATGCAGCAATAATCAATGCTTCTGATGCTTAATATTTTAAAATAGTTATTTGTCTTAATTTTCACAGCAACTCCTTATATATAGGTTACTAGGTCACAAAGATAGTAAGTGCCAGAGAAAGAATTCCAAATTAGGTCTTCAATTCCAAGTCCAGTGTCTTCACTACCATAGCATACCGTAGCATGTAGATTCTATAATGAGAAAACTGATAATCACTCTATTCTTTGAGATTGAGAATAGAGTGGTAGCTTAACGCTGTTCCCTCCACTCCCCCTAAAACATGCTCATACAAGTTAGATTCAGAAGTTTCACATTGCTTACCGTTTTAAAAGATAAGCCATTGTTAAGTTTGTTCATTCTGGTGTCTCATGGAGTGTCCACTACTTTCTTTGGAATAATATTCTGCAAACATATTTGTGGAGAAATAGAAAAGTGTTTACTTCTAGGCCCAGTGCTTTATTAGAAGAGAAAGAAATAAAGGAAGGATTAAGAGAGAGTTTTATAATAGAAGCTGTAAAAGAGGAAAAAACAGTAATACTGATATTTATGTACTATCTTACTGTATTCATAATTCTACTGCAAATTATTCCTGATTTATCTTTTCTCTGACAGTTAATGCTACCAAGTTTAATGCTGAAACCCTATCCTGAAAATAGGTGGTAACCATAAAGTAATGGAAAAGTACACTAGACTAGTAATCTAAAGGCCTAGGGCAGGGGTCTGCAGAGTATGGCCTATGAACCTAATCCACCCCACTGCCTGTTTTTGTAAAGTTTTATTGGAACATAGTTCCATGCATTTATTTATGTATTGTCTATGGCTGCTTTTGTGCTATAGTGGCAGCATTGACTAGTTGTGATAGAGACTGTATGGGCTGCAAACATAAAATATTTACTATTTGGCCTTTTTGGAAAAAGTTTACCCACGCCTGGTTTATATGGTGGTTTATATCCAATCATGGTGGGTATTTTTAGGTAATCATGTAACTTTAGGCAGTTCACTTTAACCTTTATTTTATTCATTATTTTATTTTATTTTGAGACAGAGTCGCACCGTATACCCAGGCTGGTCTTGAACTCCTGGGCTCAAGCGATCCTCCTGCGTTGGCCTCCCAAAGTGCTGGGATTATAGGCATGAGCCACCATGCCTGGCTGAATTCTTTTAAGTGTTTGTCTTTTTATTTGTGAAGTGGAGATAATAATCCATGTCCTGTCCCTCTCCTGCATAAAGTTGTTTTGTCTTAAGAAGCAGGATAATGCATGCATAAATCTTCTAAGCTGCAATTGCTAGACAGATAATACAAATAATTATGGGAACCATTATTGAGCATATGCTATATGCTAGGGCACTCTACTAACTACTTGATGTGCATTATCTCATTTAATCTTTTTTTTTTTTTTTTTTTTTGAGACGGAGTCTCGCTCTGTCTCTCAGGCTGGAGTGCAGTGGCACGATCTTGGCTCACTGCAAGCTCTGCCTCCTGGGTTCACGCCATTCTCCTGCCTGAGGCTCCCAAGTAGCTGGGACTACAGGCACCCGCCACCACGCCTGGCTAATTTTTTGTATTTTTAGTAGAGGTGGGGTTTCACCGTGTTAGCCAGGATGGTCTGGATCTCCTGACCTCGTGATCTGCCTGCCTTAGCCTCCCAAAGTGCTGGGATTACAGGTGTGAGCCACCGTGCCCAGCCATCTCATTTAATTTTTACAAAAACTCCCTTGAGGAGAACATTATTATTTTCCCATTTTGACTGAGAATTTTGATGTTTAAAGGGTATAGTTAACTTGACTAATTTTATATACTAAAGCTGCCATTCAACCATTTGAACAAATGTAATATGTAAGCAGAGTCCACCAAATGACTTCACAGTTCGTGTTTTTCCTAGTAGAAAGCCTCTTGGTATTTAACACCCAAATGTCCTAGAATTCATTATCTCTCAATTCAGTGTGTTTTGGCAGATCATTATAAAATACATATTTACATTTATGTCCCAGAAATACAGCCAAATACTGCATTTTAAACAAAATAATGTGTGAGAAGTCTGTGTTAAATTCCAGATATAATTGGTAGACTGTCAGAATCACATGTCAACAATTTGAAAGGTGCACCAAATATCAACAAAGAGGATATGTAGCATGTTACTACTTGTAGCCACTGTTAACCTTAGGAATGGTTTTTGCTCAGGAAGTGATGTTTTCAGCATTTTATATCCTAACATTGGAGTTTGTTACTTTTGTATAGGTGCTTTACTGTGTTTTAGTTACACTTTAGGAACTTGGTTAGTTTTTTGGGGTTGACATGAAATGAATTGTAATTTTTTTCATTTAAAATTGATAAATAGGTTTTTTGTTAGTATCTCATGTGGAATATGTGATATTCAGTGATGGACGATTCATGCAAGAGGTGGAAGAGACCTATAATATTATTACTACGTTACTTAATGGTGGAGATATGTTGTGAGAAATGTGTTATTAGGCAATTTCATTGTCACACAGCATCATAGAATGTACTTACACAAACCTAGATGGTATAGCCTGCTGTATACCTAGACTATATAGTATGGCCTGTTGCTTCTAGGCTACAAACCTGTACAGCATGTTTCTGAACTGAATACTGTAGGCAATTTTAGTACAATGGTAAATATTTTTGTATCTAAACATAGAAAAGATACAGCAAACGTATAAAAGATAAAAACGGCACACCTGTCTAGGGTACTTACTATGAATGGAGTTTGCAGGACTGATGGTTGGTCTGGGTGAGTCAGTGATTGAGTCATGAGTGAAAGTGAAAGCCTAGGATATTATTGTACACTACTGTAGAATTTATAAAGTCTGCACACTTAGGCTACACTAAATTTATTTTTAAAAAGTTTTCTTCAATAGTAAATTAATCTTAGCTTACTCTAGCTTTTTAACATTATGATCTCTGATGTTTTAAACTTTTTGACTCTTTTTGATAACACTTAGCTTAAACATAAGTCCATTGTACAGTTGTACAAAAATATTTTCTTTTTTATATCCTTATTCTATAAGCTTTTTTCTATTTTAAAATTTTATTTTTTACTTATTAAACTTTTGTGTTAAAAACTACGACGTAAATATACACATTAGCCTAGGCCTACACAAAGTCAGGACCAATAGTACTGTCTTCCACCTCCACATTTCATCCCACTAGAAGGTCTTCGGGGGAATAACATGCATGGAGCTGTCATCCATGATAACAGTGCTTTCTTTTGGGATACCTCATGAAGAAACTGCCTGAGGCTGTTCTAGTTAACTTTTTAAAAATCGTAGATGTACACTCTAACATAACAATAAAAACTGTAGTATAGTAAATACATGAACCAGTAAGTCATTTATTTTCATTATTAAGTATTATGTACTGTGTATAATTGTACATGCTATACTTTTATATGATTGGCAGTGCAGTAGGTTTGTTTACACCAACATCACCATGAACACATGAGTAATATGTTGCAGTGTGTTACCACAGCTATGATCTCACTAGGTGATCGGAATTTTTCAGCTTCATTATAATCTTAAGGGACCATCATGATATATTCCATACGTCATTGACGGAAATGTCATCATGTTGCACCTGACTGTATTATTTTTCCCTGTTCTATATGGACTATTTTCTATGTGTGCCTACCTGATAGCTTCTGTTATCCTTAGTAGTTTTCCTTTTTTTAATGAGGTAACACATGGTTTTATATTATCCTCATAGCATCAAAGTGTGTTGATTTCTAAAATCCTTTATCATCTTCTTCTAAGTGAAATCTGGAAGGATCTTCCTTCCCCTGCAGCTCATGCAGGTAATGGTTGTTTTCTGTCTCACACTCTTACTTCTGGACCTGGAGTTGCAATAGATATCTCTCTTACTCTTCATTGCTGCTCTCAGAGTGTTCTTCCCAGCCTCCGTCCTAAAAACTCCTTTGAAGCTCATGGCAGCAGACTATGCTGTCACACCTCCTTGTTGCTGTTTCTACTCCTGGGCACCAGCCTTTATTTCTTACACTTGGCTCACTGTTATCTCTGGCACTACACTTGCCATAATTTTAGATGATTGCAGTATCTATAGATGAGCCTAACAATACTTCAGCCTCTCAGTTTCTTGACCTCTCTTCCAGTAAGTTTTCCTCCATGCTCCTTCCAGTCTTTGTTTCTTTACTTGCTGTATTTCTTGTTTGTCTTTGGCATATTAAACTTCTGAGATAAATTTATACTTCTATTGGTCACAACAGAGTCATTTTTTTAGTTTTAAAAAATATTATTAAAAAATAAAGGCCGGGCGCGGTGGCCCACGCCTGTAATCCCAGCACTTTGGGAAGCTGAGGTGGGTGGATCACCTGAGGTCAGGAGTTCAAGACCAGCCTAGCCAACATGGTGAAACCCTGTCTCTACTAAAAATACAAAAATTAGCTGGATGTGGTGGCATGCGCCTGTAATCCCAGCTGCTTGGGAGGCTGAGGTGGGAGAATTGCTTGAACCTGGGAGGTGGAAGTTGCAGTGAGCTGACATAGCACTATTACACTCCAGCCTGGGCAACAGAGTGAGACCCTGTCTCAAAAAAAAAAATAAATAAAATAAATAAAATATTATTTCAGAATGTCAGGCAATTTGTCAGAACAAGTAGTGTATCACAGAAGTAGTTTAAAAGCCTGTACTTAAAGGAAGTCTTTATAAGGAAGGCTTAGGAGCTCTAAATCCACATAGCCCTAAGCACTGAATTTCTTAGTAGGAAGTTAAATTGACATGAAACTAGAACAGAAATGGAAAGTTGCAGGACTGTGTACTTTGCAAGAAGATGTGGATGAACTCTGAGCAAACAGCTCTGTGTTCTGCTCTGCTAGAAATTATATGTGAGTGGGTTAAGGGAGAAAGGAAATTGTAGACAAGTAGTGTGATGACGTGTAGTAGAAAGGGAGCGGAATTTGAAATTGGTAGACTTGGATTCTGTTCTTGGTTCAGCCACTGGCTAACTATGTGACCTTTATTAAGCTGTTTGACCTCTCTGAACCTCATTGCTTTTATCTGTAAAATAGGATTAATATATCTAACATGAAGGATTTTTCTGATAATTAGTACAAAAATACAGTTAGATAGAAGAATAAAGATCTAGTGCTTGGTAACACAATAAGGTGACTATAGTTAACAATATATTTTGTATATTTCAAAAAGCTAGAAGAGTAGATTTGGAATGTTTCCAACACAAAGGTCATTACCCATTGTATGCTTATATAAAAACCACATGTCCCCTATAAATATATATGACTATTATATATCCATAAAAATTAAAAATTAAAAAAAGTTTAAAAGAAGAAAACTAAATTGTGCACATACGTGTGTGTGTGTGTGTGTGTGTGCCTGTGTCCACTTAGACTGGCACGTAGATTCAGCTCAATAACTCTCTACTAGTTGAATCTCTTTTTGGTTTTTTGGTTTTGTTTCTGTTTTTTTTTTTTTTTTTTTTTTTTTAAGACAAGATCTCGCTCTGTCACCCAGCCTGGAGTGCAATGTGGCTCAATCATGGCTCGCTGCAGCCTCAACCTCCTGGGCTCAATGGATCCTCCCACCTCAGCCTCCCAAGTAGCTGGGACCACAGGCATGCACCACCACGCCTGCCTATTTTTTGTAGAGACAGGGTTTTACCATGTTGCCCAGGTTGGTCTTCAACTCCTGGGCTCAAGTGATCCATCTGCCTTGGCCTCCCAAAGTTCTGGGATTGCAGGCAGGAGCCACCATGCCTGACCTGTTTTTTTTTTTTTTTTTTTTGTGTGTGTGTGTGTGTGTGTGTGTGTGTGTGTGTGTGTGCTTGTTTGTTTGTTTTAACTGAGGAATAGAATTAGTGTTATACCAAAAAGGAGGATTAAATCAACCACCCTTGAGTATGAGTAGATTTTGGGGTATTTGTTTTTTGTTGGTATGCTAGGGAAGAAGTTGTTCATTATAAACAGAAGAAATTCTCTTATTGTCTTCAATTTTTATTTAAAAACCTATTATACAGGCCAGGCGCGATGGCTCATGCCTGTAATCCCAGCACTTTGGGAGGCCGAGGTGGGTGGATCATGAGGTCAGGAGTTCGAGACCAGCCTGACCAACATGGTGAAACCCCATCTCTACTAAAAATACAAAAATTAGCCGGGCATGCTGGCGGGTGCCTGTAATCCCAGCTACACAGGAGGCTGAGACAGGAGAATCGCTTGAACCGGGGAGGCGGAGGTTGCAGTGTGCCGAGATCATGCCATTGCACTCCAGCCTGGGCCACAGAGCAAGACTCTGTCTCAAAAAAAAAAAAAAAATCCTATTATACCTTTTAAAATTGAATGCTATATATTTTAGAATAATAATAGCTTAAACTGAATACTTGCTAGGCATTATCCTAAGCCCTTTGCAGTTATTAATTTATGTAATTTTCATAGCAACCATATAATGTAGACACTATTATTATTATTCTCATTTGTACAGGAAAAAAAATGCAAGTTAGGTAATTTGCCTAATTTGCTGCATAACTGCCAGTAAGTAAAAGAGTTGGAATTAAAACATTTGCAGTCTGGATCTAGAGTATATACTCCTATCCACTATGCTGGTACAGCCTTTCTCAAAATCTCAGATATTGAGCAAAGAGAGTGAGTATTGTAAGAAATTCAATGCTGTGGTGCAGACTTCTTGATATTTTCTAAAAATTTCTTCTAGTTGTCTTTTGGTAATCAGACACTGACCCTGGTGTGATGTAGCTCATGTTATGTAAATAATAACTCTTCTTTGTAAGGACTAATCCTAGTTTTGGCGTAGTAGAAATTAGAGCATGAAAGGACCAGCCCTTTGATGAACAAATACCAATTGCAATATCTGTTATATTGCCCTTCCTTTTTATTAGGCACTTTGGAATATTGCTTTTGCTCTTGTCAAGAAATTTATAATCTAATCTGTGCAAAACTATGAAACACATACAATACAAAATAGTTTATGAATATCTGCTTAATTTGTAAGTATAGTAGTTCAGAGTAGAAAAAGAACAGGAGTAAGTAAATTAAAGTGTAATAGGAAAGGCTTTCCATAGGAGGTGGAGGTCTTACAGGTTATGATTTAGAGTGGCAGAGAGATGAGAAGACCTATCAGGAGAAAAAAAAAAACATGAAAATTCCAGTGAATTTCCTGATTATACAATGACATAAGAAATCTGATATCCTAACACCAAATTCTCTTCTGTTGTGACCTCTCTGTTCTCTTTTAAAAAATGAGAGTAGAAAAGTGGATTCAATTCTATCCTGATTCCCTCATATATTGAAAGTCTATGGAACTAACAATTGGCTTTTAAAAAATTCATTTCCCTATTCTTTATGCCCATATATTTCAGTGGGAGTCACCCCAGTGAGGGTAGATTTTGGCTGCAGGAGCCAGATGTGGGTTGAGCAATGTCTTTGTGTGCAAACACAAAGTTCTTTATGTACTGACGGATGTCCACCCCCTCACATCACCATTGGTGTTCCAACCTGTTTAATTGGAAGGAGTTGGTGTACAGTATCTGAACTTTTCAGTTTTGCTTTTGAAACACATTTCAAATGTTTTTCCTGATTTATATTTTGACATGTGCTTAATAAATGAATAGAGAAATCAGGTAGCATTTTATCTCAAAAAGCAGTATGCTTAGTGAATGCGTGAATCTCAGTATAGTTCTTAAAATGTTATCAGGGATGCCTTTATATGTAGACAATTGCACATTGATTTGAGGCTTTTTTGCCACTACAACCTCCGCCTCCCGTGTTCAAGCAATTCTCTGCCTCAGCCTCCCAAGTAGCTGGGATTACGGGCACCCGCCACCACGCCCGGCTAATATTTTTTTGTATTTTTAGTAGAGACGGGATTTCACCATCTTGGCCAGGCTGGTCTTGAACTCCTGACCTTGTGATCCACCCGACTCAGCCTCCCAAAGTGCTGGAATTACAGGTGTGAGCCACCGTGCCTGGCCTGATTTGAGACTTTTTAATGTATTCACGGTAGGTTAGAGTACAAGGTGCATCATTTTAGACTGTCTTAGATAAAGAAATTCTGTATTGGATAATATCCTTTTCCATAAAATCTGTCGTTGCTGCTACACAGTAAGTCCTCCTCATCATCGTAGGTTCTTGGAAACTGCGACTTTAAGCAAAACAAGGTACAACAAAACCAATTTTACCGTAGGCTAATGGATATAAACAAGAGTTCAAGTTCATATGCATATTTCTGGTCATAGAAACATCACCAAACTATCAAAAAAAGACCAAAAACACTTCTAATAATAAACATTGAAATAAATGTGAACTATACATATATGTAAGAAAAATTAATAACAAGTAAGAAAATTATTTACCTAGTTATTCCAGTTTAGGGTCATGGGTGGTTGGAGCCTGTCCCAGCAGCTCAAGGTGCAAGGCAGAACCAACCCTGGACAGGACACCATTCCATCATAGGGTGCATTCACACACCCCGCCACACTCAATCATCCTGGGATGATCTCAACTTGCCAGTTAGCCTGACATGCACATCTTTTGGATGTGAGAGGAAACCAGAGTACCCAGAGAAAACCTAGACCGACATGGGGAGAACATGCAAACTCCACACAGATAGTAGCTTCCACTGGGAATCATTTGTCTTCAACAATGTTGTACTGAAACTACATTATTTGAGGACTAGCTCTACGGTGTATCTTAAAATTTACAGTCAGCTTTCCTTATCTGTGAGTTCCACATCTGCAGATTCAAGCAATGCAGGTTGAAAATATTTTTTAAAAACCAATTAAAAATAACAGTACAACAATAAAAAATGAAAATTTAAGAAAACAGTATAAAACAACAATTATTTACATAGCATTTACATTGTATTAGGTATTATAAGTAACCTTAAAGTATCTGGGAGGACGTGCATATGCAAATACTGTGCCATTTTATGGAAAGGACTTGAGCATCTGAAGACTTCGGTATGGTGGGAAGGTCCTGGAGCCAAGCCCCATCCCATGCTCAGGGACAACTGTATTTACTATTTTGCATTTTAATTGTGGGAATGTGCCTCAGGTTAAAAGGCAAACTTATGAAGTAAACTGATGCCAAAATAAATTTCAAATGGAAAGATGACAAAACACCTCGGAGGCTTACATTCATATAGGGCTCTGAAGGTCATCTCTTGTGTAATACTGGACAGTAACAGCTGCTTTTGCAAACTCTTATTTACTACTTTGCCTATACTTCTGGAAGATTGAGAAAAAGGTTATTTGATCACTAGAAACAATTAACAATTTAGAAAAACTTTGTCATTTCATTCATGTTTTATTTTTAAAAAGACATTGCATTTGCCAACCATATGTCAAAAGATATTACCTCTATTCTCAAGGAACTTACTGGCTAGTGGACTTGCAAAGATAGACTTGCAAACATTCGGGGAGATCTTAAGAGAGGCAGTTGCATTTGGATTGATATTGAAGAGTGAGTAGAAATTTGTATAAAGAAAAAGACGTCTTCACTGATTGCAAGTGGTTCACTATTTCTTGAAGACAAAGTTTGGTAGTAGTGGGGAAGAAGGGTTGAAAGGAAGTAGGCAATGACAGGATGACATTTTTGTCTATTTGTCTACTGTTATATTTCTGACACCTAGAACAGTGATTGGCACATACTAGATATTCAGTAAATACTTGATGAATGAACAGAATGAATGAATGAAGAATAAACGGGGCCAAACCATGAAGGCCCTGATGTGCCTTGTAAATACGTTTATCCATTGAAGAATATTTAACAAGAGGTGACATCAGACTTGTTTTTTGGAAAAATTAGTCTGCCAGAAGTCTGGTGGTTAGAAAGAGTGGGCTCAGGCAAGGAAACCAGATTGAGAAAGCTGTTGTAACAATCTAAGCAAGAGAACTTAAAGGCCTGACTTAAGATATTAATATTGGCATTGACAATAGTGCTGGAAATGAGAGAATTTAAGAGATATTTGGAAGATAAAATATACAGTACTAAATGGTTGCTTGTCTATGGAGAGAGAGAGAAAGAGAAAGAGAAAGAGAGATGACTCCCATGTTTCTGGCTTGAGCACATAAGTGAAGAGCTATTCTATTATTAATAACTAATTAAAGAGTACAGATAGATAAGCAAGTTGGAGGGACATGATGATGTTAGGTTTCAAAAATGTTGATTTTGAAGTGACTATGGGATATTCAGGTAGAGATGTCTGGCAGACACTTGAAAGTAAGCATTTGTATATTCGTTGTGTGTCAAACTCAAAATCTAATCTAGCATATTCTTATGCTATTTTGTAGGAAAGCAGAACAATACTTCACTTTTTTTTATTTTAAGATAACTTTACTCTGTACCCCAATTATTCCTGCAATTATACCAATCTCTAGTTTAAATTGCCTTTATGGTACACTTGAATATTTTTTTCCGTGAAAGTAGACTTTTTAAAGGTAGCCATCTTGATCAAAAGTAGGTAACTGCTTTTAGCCTTTATCTTATTGTGATTCATTTGATTCAATAAATGCTTGTATAGGACCAAATGGTTTATTTCTTAGAAGATATCAAGTATGTTAAGTTCATGGAAAAACAAATTAAAGTTTGCATGTTAATAAATGGTCAGAGAGGAGCTTGTTCAGAAAAAGGCACTGAGTGCATTGGGATTTAAGTGTAAATAATGCGTATCTAATACATTCTGGAAAGCTCTATGTTTTTTTCAGTGGATTTTTGTCTTAAAGTTTCCATTCAATACAGGGCATAATCTGCCCTCCTAGTCTAATCATTAACTAGATATCAGCTGTAGTCAAATGAATGAAAAAAAAAAAAACTTTTTTCCAGGTCTCGGTGACCTTTGTGAACATTAACATGTCACAGTGTGTTGATATTGCCGTTGATTAAACATGTTACCGTCCCTAAACCATGTTGCAGACTCCTCTACTTATTTCATTTTATTAAGTTAGTTTTAGGCCAGTTTATAATTTTTTAAAGAAATATCTTAAAATTTTGTTATTTATAGTATTAGATCATTTATTTCATTTTTGTGAGAAGCTCCCCTCTAAATCTGTAGTTGAATATATGCTAATAGTATAAATAATTAAGTTTCTATAAATGCAGTATTTGGTATTATGGTTTCTGTTGAATAAAATAAATACCTTATACTAAATACCGCATTTATCTGCAGGTAATTTAATAAGCCTTGTGAGAGATAAAAGATAAATAAGATAATGGGTCTCATTCAAAAGGAGCTTCTAGTCTAATAAGGACACTATTAAATATGTGTAAATAGTTACAATACAAAGTAAAAATTGACCCACATCACAAAATACAGTATAAAGATAAAATGTTAAGAGGATTAAGAAGCTGGGAGACATCACTTATAGCTGGAAAACTCAGAGCTGAATTCATTGAGGAGGTAGCTTTTGATCCCAGCTTTGAAGGAAGGAAAGGATTTAGACATACAGAAGTGAAAAAAGATGAGAAAGGACTTTACAGACAGCAAACAGCAAGATTAACATCTCAGAGATGGGCTTACTGAAGATGTCAAGTGGAAGAGGAGTGGGGACAGGAGATGAGTCTGGTAAGTCCTGTTGGGGTCAGGTCACAGGGAGCCTTTAGGGCCAGACGGATGATTTGGGTTTTATTCACAAAGCAATTTTTAAGCAGGAGAAAGATCAACACTGGATTGTAGCAGTAGGAGAATGAGTAGATGTAAGTAGGGAGAGATTGGAGGCAGAGTAAAAACTAACAAGGGCCAAAATTAGGGTAATATTAGTGAGAATGGGGAGAATATTTAAAATATGGAGAGTAGTCAGAAGAGTCAGAAGGGTGATACGCCATGACAGCCATGTTTCTGTGCATAATTCTGTGGAAATTTTGTAATTTTTGCATTAATACATACAAATCTAAAGGTAGTTTGTATTTCTAAGTTGAACTTATGGAAATGCTTAGGCACAAAGTTCCTTCTCAGGCCCACACCCTCTCCCTGTGCTTACCATTCTTCCTTTGTTGCAGGCTGCAGGAATTGAATCTGCTTTCCTATGCTCCAGCAATTGCTACCACCCACTGTATCCCATGGGATTTTTATTCCTGCATTAGCCTTGCTGCTGAGTGTCAAGCAGTGTCCCCATATCCACATTCTTTCTGCATTACTGAAAAGAAATCCAAAGGCCCTTTACCTTTTAAGAGTTTTTAAAACTGTTAATCTTTATAAGGAGGCCTTTGAGGGTAGCAAACAATAGATATTGGAAAGTTGAAAGCTTATATAATTGACAAACTTTACTTCTTTTATTTTTCCAATTAATTGCTCTGGCCCTCATATGCCTAAATAGCATAAAGTCAAGTACTCTCTCCTCTTGATGCAACACATTATCAACAGGTAACTAATTGTCCTATAACTCTAGGGGTCAGTCCTCCTGTGATGCTAGGTATAAAAGGAATGTGATTCTGATCAGTTCACTAATCCTACTGTTTCTCACTGCTACCTGGAATTGTTGGGGTGAAGCCTGGTCCCTGAACAACCTAATGGATGGATGATGCTTGCTCACAACTGTGATGATGCTTTAACTGGTCCAGATCCTTGCAGAGGCAGCAGTGATTCTTTAAGGGAGGATGAACCCAATCCCTTAATGCCACATTCTTTCAAGGATGCTCTAAATTAGGTCTCCTAGGTTCTAGATCTTAACAATCAGCTCCTTCAGTTTATATATGCAGCCACATCTCATTGTGTAAGCCGGTCCCAAGAGTACTTTTTGAGGACATTTTGTAGAATCTTTTCACTAACAAACCTCAAACTTTCTTCCCTCCCCAGGGCTTAAGCGCCTTTCTTTAGTCACTCAAAATATAAAGAGTCTTGTTAAACCCTTATCTCAGGACAGTAGGGCCTGTTCATGCTATACTTATGTAACTAAAGGAAACCCAACTTAAATGATTTTTCACAGTCAGGAGGATCTGCTTCAGGGTTATTTTCCTACCTCTACCCAAATGGCAAAGCAATTGCACACTTCTCTTGCTAAAGAAGAAAGGAACTACAAATTTAATCTTTATAAACATCTCTCTTATAGGGCATTTTACTATACTTAATGTGTTTTAAAACCTTACGAACATGTAGTGTTTTCCTGTCTGTAGTTTGACTTCCTTCTGAGACAAAAATACCACACAACTTGACAAATGCTTCTGACATTATTACTACCACTATCAACTCCAGAATGAACAGCACTAACATTTACCGACTGTTTACTATGTGCCAGGGTAAGTGCTTTATATTTACTGTCTTGTAAGGATAAAATAACAGTTAATTGAAGGTGATATATTCTATTTTACAGATGAAGAAACTGAGGCTTAATTTGCCCCAAAACAGACAACTAATAAGTGGCAGAAACTGGCTCAAATTAATATCTGTCTGACTATCCTGCCTTCAGTGGGTCCTAGTGTTTGTTAATTGGTTGGCCGAACCACTGCTTATTTTCAGTAAGCCTGATAGCCATCCTTTAAGTTTAGCTATCATACAAACAGATTCCTAGCATTAAAAATTATCCTCTGTGTGATCAAGGTAACATCACTAGCAATATGTCATGAATATTATGTATCCCTAATGTGATGAGATGAGAAAGATACATTACATTTGTGATAGTCTTCCTCAAAATTCATAACCTCATTCTAATTGTGACAAGAGATCAGACAAACCCAAATTGAGGGAAATTTCACAAAATACTTGTCAAGTTCCCTTAAAAGCTTCAAGGTCATAAGAGACAAGAAAAGACTGAGAAACTGTCAGATTGGAAGAGGCTGCGGAGACATGACGAGTAAATGCGAGACAATATCCTAGATTGGATTCTGGAACCGAAAAAATGGATACTGGTAGAAAAATTAGGGAAATCTGAGTAGTTAATAGTATTGTGCCATTGTTAATTTCTCCTTTTTGATAAATATGTCCTGATTACATACGAAGTTAAACAGGCCGAGCCTCATGGTGCCTCACACCTCTTATCCCAGCACTTTGGGAGGCCAAGGCAGGAGGATCGCTTGAGCCCATGAGTTTGAGACTAGCCTGGGCAACATAAGGAGACCCCATCTCTACAACAGATTACACAATTAGTCAAGCATGCTTGTAGTCCCAGCTACTTGGTGGTGCATGCATGTAGTCCCAGCTACTTGGGAGGCTGAAGTAGGAGGATCGCGTGAGCCCAGGAGGTCAAGGCTATAGTGAGCCATGATGGCACCAGTCTGGGCAACAGAGCTAGATCCTGTCTCAAAAAAAAAAAGAAAAAAAAAAGAAACATTAGTGGAAGCTGGATGAATGGTAGATTAGAACTTCCTGTACTATCTTTGCAACTCCTCTTTAAATCTAATATTATTTCAAAATAGAAAGTTAATAAAATTGTTATTTGAAGCAGTCATTCAAGGGAGTATAGACAGTATTATTTATTTGAGGGCAAAGTTGGTCCTTATGGTAATTCTTAGCCTTAAGTACAGAAGAGAAATTAGGATAAGGAAATAAACTTACTTTGTTGACCTGCCATTTTAGATGTATGACATTGTGGTTAGAATGTACAATCAAATTCATAGCCTATTTTAATGTTCTTTTTTCTCTGCAGTTTAAAATGAATAGCTTCTAAGACTCATGTTAGTAGACTTAGGCTAAAATAGAAGGCCTCTTGTTCCCACAGAGAAGGCTTTGTCTTCCTCTCTATTCCCTGAAAGAAAATTAAATCAGCATGACTTTTTCCATCTCAGATTTTTTTTTTTTCATAGCAAGAAATATGTTTCCTAGAGGATGGAGATAAATATGGGACTGTTCAGCTTTTTTTCCTCCCTGGATGTGATTTCTTCTCAAAATACCTAAATTTGTCAATCCTAGAGGGAGACTTGGACTTGAAGTTTCTTTAGATTTTCCATAAAAAGGGACACAAATGCTTCAGCCATGATTATTTTGACATAGTATATAGGACTAGTTTAAAAATTATAAATTCCATTATTATGGCTTTGTGTAGATTAAATGAATATTCTGGTGTGATATATTTTGTGTGTTTCAACAATTTGGGGTTTTCAATTTAGTTTTTCAGTTTGGGGTTTTCTACATACACTACAGAAGGAACATAGGCATGTTTCTCACATTGCCAAAAGCAGTAATGCAAGTATGGCTTATATTGTCAATAACAAAATCTCTTCCTTCTCTTTTGCCAGTTTCCAACACATATACCATGACCATTACTTTAATTAAGTTTTACTTTTGCTGGCCTTGAATTGATTTTCAAAGGGTTCTGCAATTGAATAGAATGTCCATTAAAACAGATATTGTGGATATTTGAAGGAAACATTTTTACAGAGAAATATATTAGCTTTCTTGACTAACATGTTCACCGAAAGAAGCTGCATAATCCAGGAGAGGCAGCAGGAGGAACAGAAGGAAATTAACATTCATTGAACACTTTAAACCTCCATTCTTGATGTTTTACACATAAAACCTCTCTGACTTCTCAGACAACTCATCCATTTTGTTCTTAGCAGCTAAATTACTTAGCGACATGGCATAACTAATAAATGGCAGAACTTAGATTTGAGCCCAGATCTGTCCGGCTCCAAGTCTCTTCCCACTGTACCCTGAAATAGAATAGGCAAAATTAGATATGGCAGTGTGAGCATCTCAATGTAAGTGCAAGGCTAGCTGTGGGTGAGTATGACTCATCAGTTTAGGTACTGGCCTATGGAAATATAAATCTAGAAATCAGACCTGGGCTACAATGAAAATAAATACTGAACAGAAGGCAACAATAAAAATTGTTAAGAGTATACATACAGAATCATTGGAAAGGAAAAGGCAGGAATTAGGGCATTAGAAATATTTAAAGCTAGGTCTGTGGTTTGGGTGTCAGAACATCTGACTTGCTTGGGTTTAAGTTAAAAGGCAGGCATTTGATATGTGAGAAGTCTGAAAGCAAGTGTCATGGACCTAGTCATTGTGGTGGAAAGTGGAGAGGCAGGGCCACTGAGACCAGGAGCCAGGCATTGAGAAACTAGGGACAATAGTTGTAATTAATCATTAGGAATATAGGGGACTGAGGACAAAGGAACCAGTAGCAAATGGGACTTGACAGACCGCTGAGGTTGATTGCCTTAAGTACCCTCTTCTTAGGTTAGAATTGATACCAAATTCAGGGTTCATCACTATGCCTGGAAGTGGAAAGTAAGTAGCTTTACCAGTCAGGGATAGGGATATAAAAAATAGAGTGAAATAAGTACAGTTAATTTAGTAGAGTAGTTCTCTAATTATGGTCCCCAGACCAGCAATATCAGTTTAACCTGGAAATTGCTTAGAAATGCAAATTCCTAGGCCCAACACCAGACCTATTGAATAAAAAAGTCTGGGATAGGGCCCAAGAATCAGCATGCTAAAGTTTCAGAACCACTGATCTATGTTGGTGGCTCTGAGTGTGTTGTCCTCAAAACCTAAGGTCAACTTATGCAGATGCAAACTAGAACTAAGAAAGAAGGGTTTTTTTTGAGGCATTTCAACCTCTATTCTTTGTTTTTATGAGAATTGTATAAGCTAAAGAGGCCCTATTCAGTAGGGTCATGATGGAATATTGGGGTTGAGCAAAATGGATTTTTCTTTGAGGGCTAGGACTTTTTCTTTCTATCTGCTCTTCTTTATCTTACTTTAATGAACAAACCTGAGGGATCACTGTCTTACAAGGTTGATTGGCCTATCATGGGCTAGTCATTGAATGTCTCATTTTGCTCACCTAGAATGAATATTCTATTTCCAAGATTCTAAGAGGTTTATTTAAGTGTGACATAAAGTGTCAAGATTAAGTGCATGCTATTCACAATAGCAAAGACATGGAATTAATCCTGATGTCCATAAATTGTAGAATGGATAAAGAAAATGTGGTACATATACACCATGGAATACTATGCAGCTGTAAAAAAGAACAAAATCATATCTGTTGCAGCAACATGGATACAGATGGAGGCCATTATCCTCGGCAAGTTAATGCAGGAACAGAAAACCAAATACCACATGTTCTCACTTATAAGTGGGATCTAAACATTGAGTACACATGGACATAAAGATGGGAACAGTAGACACTGGGGACTACTAGAAGGGGGAGGGTGGGCGGGGGGTAAAGGGTTGAAAAACTACCTATTGGGTACTACCTGGGTGATGGGATCATTCATACACCAGACCTCAGCAACACAGTTTACTCATGTAACCAACCTGCATATGTAGCCCCTGAAAAAAGTCGATAAAAGTCTAAAGAAGAATAATAAAATTTTAAAAAAGATTAAGTACATGGAAAATATTAAATGGACTGAAATGAAAATAAATATTGCGCTTAGAAGTCATCAAGAGTTAATGAAGAAAGCACACATAGACTTTGGAGCCAGATTATGCAATCATTAAACAAAGTTTGCATGCCTATCACATGCCAGGCACTGTGCTAGGCACTGGGAATATAGCAGAGGAAAAAACACATAAAACCCCCCTGATTCCACAGAACTGACATTCTAGATGGGAAGAGAGATAATAAACAAGAAAATAAAATTTATGGTATATTAAATAGTAAGAAATATTACAATTTCAGATAGTGTGGCTAGGCAAGATATGTTGAGAATATGACATTAGAATAAGGAACAAAAAGAAGTAATAGAGCATGCCATGCGGATCCCCTGTGGAAAAGTATTGCCAATAGAGAGAACAGCAAGTAGAGTCCCTGATGCAGGAAGATGCCTGATGTATTTGAGCAACAGCAAAGTCATTGTGGCTGAAGTGGTATAAATTGGGAACAGGAGTTAGGGGGTAGTATGTAAAGCAAAATATATACACAGATATCCAGAATACCATTCTTTTGATTTATCTATATTTTCCAAAGTTTTTATACAGAAACATTGGAGAGAGGTAAAGCTATAGTAATCTAGACAGGGTGGTATTGGTTCAGGATAAACAAATAGATAAAAAAGAAAGCCCAGAAGTAAATCATATGTATAAAGACATTTGATATATGGCAGAGGAGGTACTAAAGCTTAGGGGCATAAAGGGTGGATTTATCAATGAATCGTACTAGAGTTTTGGCTATCTATTAGGAAGAAAATGAGTTTGAACCTTTCACTTATATGTTATGCAAAAATAAATTTCAGGTAGATCAAAGACCTAAATGTGAAAGACAAAATGTAAAATGATATTGGGGTAGAGAGGGATTTCTTCAACAATAATACTAAAATAATAGCAACACTTAGGTAGTTTTTACTCTGAGTCAGGCACTGTTCTATATATGTGCTTACCACATATTAACTAAGTTAATCTTAACAAACCTGTGAGATAGGTCCTCTGTTAGACAAATGAGGAGCTGAGGCATAAAGAGATTAAGTAATTTATTTAAGGTCATATGACTAGTGGCCAGGATTTTAATCTAGGTATTCTAGCTCCAGAGTTCCTATCTTTTTTTTTTTTTTTTTTTTTTTTTAAAGACGGAGTCTCACTCTGTCACCCAGGCTGGAGTGCAGTGGCACAATCTCGGCTCATTGCAACCTCTGCCTCCCGGATTCAAGTGATTCTCCTACCTCAGCCTCCCGAGTACTGGGATTACAAGCGCATGCCGCCATGCCCGGCTCATTTTGGTATTTTTAGTGGAGACAGGGTCTCACCATGTTGGCCAAGCTAGTCTCAAACTCCTGACCTCAAATTATCCACCCACCTCGGCCTCCCAGAGTGCTGGGATTACAGGCATGAGCACCGTGCCCTGCCCAGGGTTCCTACTCTTAACTATTTCACTAAAATACTCTCCAAAATATAAAAAACATATGGGAAATATTTATACATTCAACTGGATTAAAAGTGAAAACTTCTGTTTGTCAAGAGACTTTATAAATGAAATGAAAAGACAAGCCACAAACTGAGAGAAGATAATTACAGCATATGAAACTGACAGATGATTACTTTTACAGAAGTATATAAAGAATTTTTACAAGTCAATGTCAAAAATACTTGGACAAGCTGGGCATGGTGGTGCACACCTAAGCCCAAGCTACTCAGGATACTGAGGCAGAAGGCTTGCTCGAGCCCAGGAGTTCGAGGCTGCAGAGAGCTATGATTGTGCCACTGTATTCCAGCTTGGGAGACACAGTGAGACCCCATCTCTAAAAACAAACAAAAAATACTTGGGCAGATTCCTCATAAAAGAGGAAACTCAAATGGCCAGTAAGGGTGAAAAGATGTTCCATCTCATTACTAATCAGAAGAATGCAATTTAAAACCATGTTGTGATGCTACTTCAAGGTGCCAGATTGGCAAAAATGTAAAAGCTGATAGCGTCAAGTATTGGCGAGAATATAGAACAGTGAGACCATTATTCCGTTGCTGATGGGAGTATAAATTGTTACCACCCTGTTGGAAAATAGGCATTGCCCAGTAAAATTGATCATGCCCAAATATTGCCTACTGACTACTCTACCCCCTATAGGGTTCAAACCTCAAAGACTTAGAACTTGGGTATAAAGGACTTAGGCTTCAACCCTGTCAGTAATGTTTCAATTTAAGCAGGTTTTTGTTTGCTGATCTGGAAACTAAGCCACCATTTATGCAATCGTTTCTCTGAGAAAATGAGTTCTAAATTATAGGCACTACAAGTTAATTTTTGGAATACAGCAAATACAAAAATTAGGTATTAATAATTACTTTTTCAGCTGGGTGTGGTGGCCCATGCCTGTGATCCTAGCACTTTGGGAGGCCAATGTGGGAGAATCACTTGAAGCCGGGAGTTAAAGACCAACGTGGGTAACATAGTGAGACCCTGTTTCTACAAAATCAAAACATTAGCCACGTGTGGCAGCGTGCACCTATAGTCCTAGCAACTCAGAGGGGCTGAGGCAGGATGATTATTTGAGCTCAGTAGGTCAAGGCTGCAGTGAGCTGTGATCGCATCACTGCACTTCAGTCTGGGTGACAGTGAGACCCTGTCTCAAAAAAAGAAAAAGGTTAAAAAAAAATTTACCCTTTCACTAAACATCTCTTTTACAATGGTTACAAAAGAATACAAATATTAACATATTTGAGAAGCAACTTCTTGGCAAGATACCTAGACCCTATATTTTGTCTCTACATTTTCTTTTTTCAAAATGACTTATGAAGTGCAGAAACTATCAAATAATGTAGTACTTTTTTTTTTTTTTTTTTTTTTTTTTTGAGACAGAGTCTTGCCCTGTTGCCCTGGCTGGAGTGCAATGGTGCGATCTCGGCTCACTGCAACTTCTGCCTCCCGGGTTCAAGCAATTCTCTGCCTCAGCCTCCTGAGTAGCTGGGATTACAGGCACCCACCACCATGCCCAGCTAATTTTTGTATTTTTAGTAGAGATGGGGTAACACCATCTTGGCCAAGCTGGTCTTGAACTCCTGACCTCATAATCTACCCACCTCGGCCTCCCAAAGTGCCGAGATTACAGGCATGAGCCACCACGCCCGGCCTGGAGCACCATTTTTTTTTTTTTTAAAGCAGAATACATACTTTATTCTTTAAAATTTCTTCTCTCTTTTTTTTTAAACTTTTTTTAGTATTTATTGATCATTCTTGGGTGTTTCTCGAGAGGGGGAATTTGGCAGGGTCATAGGACGATAGTGGAGAGAAGGTCAGCAGATAAACATGTGAACAAAGGTCTCTGGTTTTCCTAGGCAGAGGACCCTGCGGCCTTCCACAGTGTTTGTGTCCCTGGGTACTTGACATTAGGGAGTGGTGATGACTCTTAACGAGCATGCTGCCTTCAAGCATCTGTTTAACAAAGCACATCTTGCACCACCCTTAATCCATTTAACCCTGAGTTGACACAGCACATGTTTCAGAGAGCATGGGGTTGGGGGTAAGGTTATAGATTAACAGCATCCCAAGGCAGAATTTTTCTTAGTACAGAAATGGAGTCTCCTATGTCTACTTCTTTCTACACAGACACAATAACAATCTGATCTCTCTTTTCCCCACATTTCACCCTTTTCTATTGGACAAAACCCCCATGGTCATCATGGCCCATTCTCAATGAGCTGTTGGGTACACCTCCCAGACGGGGTGGCGGCCGGGCAGAGGGGCTCCTCACTTCCCAGACGTGGCGGCCGGGCAGAGGGGCCCCCCCACCCCCCAGACGGGGCGGCTGCCGGGCGGGGGCGCCCCCCCACCTCCCAGACGGGGCGGCTGCCGGGCGGACGGGCTCCTCACTTCTCAGATGGGGCGGCCGGGCGGAGGCGCTCCTCAGTTCCCAGACGGGGTCGCGGCTGGGCAGAGGTGTGGAGCACCATTTTTATGCTTGTATTTTTTCTGTTTTAAAAAAAACAGTGAAGGAAGTGAAAAATCACTGTCCTAGTTGAATTAAGTTAACTGTTGCAAGTTGTGGCTCTGGAAATGTGTCACATTTGATTTTTATGCCTTTAAGTTTTACTTCTGAGTTTTTAAATTTTTGAATTTTATTTTGATAAGATCAGTTATCACAAAATATTTTTGCACTTAAGCAGTACTCTTTTTGAGTATTATGAATTTCTGGCCACCACTGTCACAAATGTGTACAGCCTATGCCACTGAGATGCTTACAGTTATTGCTGACATTGAATAAAGATGAAGAATCTTCATGAAGACTATACCACTGCACCCAATTGGAAACAGAGTCACCACCACCTTTTCAACCAGCAAACTAAAACCCAACTGCAGATGAAAGTCCTTATCTATGGAAGCCACTCTAGAAAGTTAGGAAGAGGTAGGCTGGACGCGGTGGCTCAAGCCTGTAATCCCAGCACTTTGGGAGGCCAAGATGGGTGGATTACTTGAGGTCAGGAGTTCAAGACCAGCCTGGCCAATATGACGAAATCCCATCTCTACAAAAATACCAAAAAAATTAGCCAGGTGTGGTGACATACACGTGTTAATTCCAGCTTCTCATGAAGCTGAGGCAAGAGAATCGCTTGAACTTGGGAGACAGAGGTTGCAGTGAGCCAAGATCATGCCACTGTACTCCAGCACAGGTGACAGATGGAGACTTCATCTCAAAAAAAAGGAAGAGATGATTGTTCCACCAGGTGCACAGACATCAACACAGGGACACCAGAAATATGAAAGAGCATGGAAATAGGTTGCCACCAAAGGAACGTCACTTTCTAGTGGCAGACCTGCATGAAAAGGAAATCAACTAATTGCCAGAAAAGGAATTCAAAATTATGATTTTTTAAGAAATTGAATGATATACAAGGAAATACAGATAGTTCAGTCAATCAGAAAAGGATTTATGATGTGAATGACAAATTCAACAGAGATAGAAATCATAAAAAAAAGAACCAACCAGAAATCCTGCAACTGAAGAATTCAGTGAATTAAATTAAAAAATACAACAGAGAGATTCAACAAAAGAAAGAATCCAGCAAAAGAATCCCTGAACTTGAAGATAGGTCATTCGAAATTACCTAGTCAGAGGAAAAAAAAAAGAGAGAGAAATATGAATGAAAAAGAGTAAAGAAAGCTTACAAGACTTATGGGACACCATTAAGTGAACAAGTATTTGTATTGTGAGAGTTCTAGGGAAGGGAAAAGGCATAGAAAACCTATTTAATGAAATAATAGCTAAAAAATTCCCAAGCGTGTGGAGAAATTTGGAAATCCAGTTTCAGGAAGCTCAGTGGTCCCCAAATAGATTTCACACAAAAAGATCCCATCCAAGGTACTTAATAGTCAGATTATTCAAAGTCATATACAAAGAGAGAATTCTAAACACAACAAGAGAAAAGTGTCAAGTCATGTATAAGGGAGTCTTCATTAACCTAACAGCAGATTTCTCTGCAGAAATCTTACAGGCCAGGAAAGAATGGGTTGATATATTCAAGTTGCTAAAAGGAAAAAAAAAGTGAACCAAGAATACTATACCCAGAAAAGCTATCCTTCAGAAATAAGGGAGGAATAAAGTCTTTCCCAGATAAGCAAAAACTGAGGGAATTCATCACCACTAGAACAGCCTTACATGAAATGCTCAAGGGAGTCCTACATCTGTAAGTGAAAGGACAATAATCACTATTATGAAAAAACACAAAAGTGTAACATTCACTGTTAGAAAAGATGGACAAAGGAGAAAGAGAAGAGAATCAAACCTTATCACTTCAAAAAAACCACCAAACATCAATGATAAACAATAAAGGCAGAACAAAGGAAATAAGGATATACAAAGCAACCAGAAAACAATTAACAAAATGTCAGCAGTAAGTCCTTACCTATCAGTAATAACCTTGAGTATAAACAGATTAAATCCCCCACTTAAAAGATATGGACTGGCTGAATGGATAAAAAGATATGGCCTAACTATATGCTGCCTACAAGAAATTGTCTTCACTTGTAAAGACATACACAGACTGAAAGTAAAGTTATGGAAAAAGATATTCCTGAGGCAGGAGAATGGCGTGAACCCCAGGGGGCGGAGCCTGCAGTGAGCCAAGATTGCGCCACTGCACTCCAGCCTGGGCGACAGCGAGACTCCGTCTCAAAAAAAAAAAAAAAAAAAAAAAAAAAAGATATTCCACACATATGGAAACCAAAAGTGAGCAGAAATAGCTATGCCTAAGTCAGATAAAACAAACTTTAAGTCAAAAACTGTAAAAAGAGACAAAAAAGGTCATTATATAGTGATAAAGGAATTAATTTAGCAAAAGGATATAATAATTGTAAATATATATGCACCCAACA
Source organism: Homo sapiens (assembly GCF_000001405.40). Lineage (NCBI taxonomy): Eukaryota > Metazoa > Chordata > Mammalia > Primates > Hominidae > Homo > Homo sapiens. Next base: position 120,634,273 of record NC_000009.12, on the reverse strand, counting down.
CTGGAGCACCCACATATGCACATATTATTAGATCTAAAGTGAGAGTTAGACTCCAATACAATAATAGTTGCAGATTTCAACACCCAATATCTAACGTCTCAACATTGGACATATCATCTAGACAGAAAATCAACAAGGAAACATTTGATTTAAACTGCACTTGAGACCAAATGGACCTAACAGACGTTGACAGAACATTTAATCCAAAAGCTACAAAATGTACATCCTTTCTTTTCAATAGCACATAGAACATTCTCCAGGATAGACCACATGTTAGACTACAACACAAGTCTTAACAAATTTAAAAGAATTAATATTATATCAGGTATCTTTTCTGACTGTAATGGAATCAAACTAGAAATCAACAATTAGAGGAACTTTGGAAAGCTATACAAATACACAAAAATTAATATACTCCTGAATGACCACTGGATCAATGAGGAAATTTTAAAATTTCTTGGAGCAAATGAAAATAGAAACGCAACATCCCATACCATGCTATGGGATAGAGCAAACACAGTATCAAAAGGAAACTTTATAGCAATAAACACTTGTATTAAAAAACTAGCAAAATTTCAAATAAACAACCTAATGATCCAGCTTAAGGAACTAGAAAAGCCAGAAAAAACAAAACTCAAAATTAGCAGAAGGAAAGACATAATAAAGATTAGGGCAAAAATTTTAAAATTGAGACTAAAAAGCAATACAAGAAATCAGCTAAATAAAAAGTTGGCTTTGAAAAGATAAACAAAATTGAGAAACCATCAGCTAGACTAACCAAGAAAAAAAGAGAAAAAACCTAAAGAAATAAAATCAGAAATGAAAAAGAGGACATTACAACTGATGCCACAGAAATACAAAGGATCATTAGAGGCTATTACAAACAACTGTATGCCAAGAAATCTGAAAACCTAGTGAAAATGGATAAATTCTGCTTGTATGGAAACATGCAAGCTACCAAGACTGAATCAGGAAGAAATGGAAAACCTGGACAGCCCAGTAACAGGTAATGAGATTGAATCAGCAATAAAAAGCCTCCCAATAAAGAAAAGCCCACTGGTTGCATTCATAGCCAAATTCTACCAAACATATGAAGAAGAACTAATACTAATCCTCCTGAAACTATTCCAAAAAATCAAAGAGAAGGGAATTCTCCCTAACTCATTCTGTAAGGCTAGCATCACCCTGATACCAAAACCAGACAAGGACACAACACAAAAAAGAAAACTACAGGCCCATATCCCTGAATAACATAGGCTCATAAATCCCCAACAGAATACTTGCAAACCAAATCCAACAACACATTAAAAAGAAAATACACCATGATCAAGTGGGATTTATACTAGGGATGCAAGGGTGGTTCAACACATGCAAATCAATAAACGTGATACATCAATCAACAGAATGAAGGACAGTAACCACATGATCATCTCAGTGGATGCAGAAAAAGCATTTGATAAAATTCAACATTCCTTCGTGATAAAAACACTCAAAAAATAGACAGAAGAAACGTACCTCAGAATAATAAAGGCCAATATGACAAACCAACAGCCAGCATCATACAGAGTGGGGAAAAGGTGAATGCCTTTCCCCTAAGAACTGGAAAAAGACAAGGATGCCCACTTTCACCACTCCTATTCAACATAATACCAGAAGTGCTAGCCAGAGCAATTAGGCAAGAGAAAGAAATAAAGGGCATCCAAATTGGAAAGGAGGAAATCAAATTGTCTGTTTGCAGATGACATGATCTTTTATATAGAAAACCCTAAAAGCTCCACCAAAAAGCTCTTAGAACTGATAAATGAATTCAGTAAAGTTGGAGGACACAAAATCAACATAAAAAATCAGTGCTGTTTTTACACAGCAACAGTGAAATAGTGGAAAAAGAAATTTAAAAAACCAATCCTATTTAAAATAGCTCCAAAAAAAAAAAAAAACACTTAGGAATAAATTTATCCAAGAATATGAAAGATTTCTACAAGGAAAACTATAAAACACTGATGAAAGGAAATTGATTAGGACATTTAAAAAATTAAAAGATATTCTATGTTTATGGGTTGAAAGAATTCATATTGTGGTCTGGGTTCTTGGGAGGCCGAGGTGGGTGGATCACCAGGTAAAGAGATCAAGACCATCTTGGCCAATATGGTGAAACCTGTCTCTACTAAAAATACAAAAATTAGCTGGGCGTGGTAGCATGCACCTATAGTCCCAGCTATTCAGGAGGCTGAGGCAGGCAAATCACTTGAACCTGGGAGGTGGAGGTTGCAGTGAGCTGAGATCGCATCACTGCACTCCAGCCTGGCGACAGAGTGAGACTCCATCTCAAAAAAAGAGGAGGAGGAGAAGGAGAAGGAGAAGGTGAGGAAGGAGAAGGAGAAGAAGAATTAATATTGTGAAAATAACCATACTACCAAAAGTGATCTACAGATTTAATGCTATCCCTATCAAAATATCTATGGCATTCTTCACAGAAATAGAAAATACAGGGCCGGGCACAGTGGCTTATACCTGTAATGCCAGCACTTTGGGAGGCTGAGACTGGCAGATCACTTAAGGTCAGGAGTTCAAGACCAGCCTGGCCAACATGGCAAAACCCCATTTCTACTAAAATTACAAAAATTACCCAGGCATGGTGGTGCACACCTGTAATCCCAGCTACTCAGGAGGCTGAGGCAGGAGAATTGCTTGAACCTGGGAGGTGGAGGTTGCAGTGAGTTGAGATTGCACCACTGCACTCCAGCCCGGGTGACAGGGCAAGACTCCATCTCAGAAAAAAAAAAAAATGCAATCAAATTCATATGGAACCACAGGGGACCTCAAATACTCAAATTCTGAGCAAAAAGAACAAAGCTGGAGGCAACACACTGCTGGACTTCAAAATATACTACAAAACTTTAGTAACCAAAACAACATGGTACTGGCATAAAAACAGACACATAGACTAATGGAATGGAATAAAGAATTTAGAAATGAATCCACATACTTACAGCCACTTGATTCTCAGAGGTGCCAAAAACATTCATTGAGAATGGGACAGTCTCTTCAATAAGTGGTGCTGGGGAAACTGGATATCCATATGCAGAAAAATGAAACTAGACCTTTATCTCTCACCATATACAAAAATCGTTTCCAAATTGACTAAAGAACTAAATGCAAGACTGAAAACTATGAAACTACTGGCAGAAAACATAGAAGAAATGTTTCAGGGCAGTGCTCTGGGCAGAGATTTTGTGAAGACCTCATCAGCACAGACAATAAAAGCAAAAATAGACAAATGGGATCGGATCCAGTTAAAAAACGTTTGCACAGCAAAGGCAGCAATCAACAGAGTGAAAAGACAATATGCAGAATGGGAGAAGATATTTGCAAACTATTCATCTGAAAGAGACTAATATCCAGATATCTTCAAACACCTCAACAACCAGTAAACAAATAATTTTAAAAATGGGCAAAGGAGCTGAATTAACATTTCTCAAACAAAAACATACAAATGAAAAGTACTCAACATCACTAATCATCAGAGAAGTACAAATCAAAACTACAATGAGATGTCATCTCACCCCCATTAGAATGTCTGTTATCAAAAAGGCAAAGAATACATGCTGGCAAAGATGCAGAGAAAAGGGGACTCTTATACACTGTTCTAGTGGAAATGTAAATTAGCACAGCCATTATGAAAAACAGTATGGAAGTTCCTCAGAAAACTAAAAATAGAACTATCATATGATCCAACAATCCCTCTACTGGGTGTATATCTATAGGAAAGGAAGTTAGTATGCCAAAGAGATATTTGCATGCCCATGTTTATTGCAGCACTTCACAATAGCCAAGATACAGAATCAACCTCTGTGTCCATCACCAGAAGAGTGGCTAAAGAAAATGTGTGCAATGGAACACTAGTTAGCCATAAAAAAGAATGAAATTCTATCATTCATGGCACAATGGATGAACTTGAAGAACATTATCTTAAGTGAAGTCAGACAGATGCAGAAATACTGCATGTTCCTACTTATGTGGGAACTAAAAATGTTGATCTCATAGAAGTAGAAAGTAGAATAGTGGTTATTAAAGGTAGAAAAGGTGGGAGGGGAAGATAGCCAAAGGTTGGTTAACAGATATGAAAGTATACATATAGGCTTTGTATTGACATACCACACTGTACCCCATAAATATGTACAATTGTTATTTGTCAGTTAAAAATAATAGCAAAAAAGGCTACTCAGCAATGGGCGGATGGTCAAGGTATACTGAACTGTACCATTAAAGAGTGAAAATAGCCATAGACAATACGTAAATTAATGACTGTGTTCCAATAAAACTTTTCTTTTTTTTTTTTTTGAGACGGAGTCTCACTCTGTTGCCCAGGCTGGAGTGCAGTGATGCGATCTCAGCTCACTGCAACCTCCACCTGCCAGGTTCAAGCAATTCGCCTGCCTCAGCCTCCCGAGTAGCTGGGACTACAGGTGCGTGCCACCACGCCTAGCTAATTTTTGTATTTTTAGTAGAGACGGGTTTCACCATATTGTCCAGGATGGTCTTGAACTCCTGACCTCAGGTGGTCCATCCTCCTTGGCCTCCCAAAGTGCTGGGATTACAGATGTGAGCCACTGCACCCAGCCAAAAATTTTTTTGGGGACTGTCTCACTCTGTCACCCAGGCTGGAGTGCAGTGGCACAATCTTGCCTCACTGCAACAACCTCCGCCTCCCAGATTCAAGCAAGTCTCATGCCTCAGCCTCCCGAGTAGCTGGAATTACAGCCGTGTGCCACCATGCCATTAATTTTTGTATTTTTAGTAGAGACGATGTTTTGCCATGTTAGCCAGGCTGGTCTCGAACTCCTGGCTTCAAGTGATCTGCCTTCCTTGGCCTGTCAAAGTGCTGGGATTACAGGCATGAGCCACTGCACCTAGCCTGTGTTCCAATAAAAGTTTATTTAAAATGTGTCTCAGGCAGGATTTGGCTCTGTTGTTCAGATTAATCATCATGACTGGGCCAGGCACAGTGACTCACACCTGTAATCCCAGCACTTTGGGAGAACAAGGCTGAAGGATTGCTTGAGCCCAGGAGTTTGAGACCAGCCTGGACAATATAATGTGAACCTGTCTCTACAAAAAATAAATTTCAAAAAGTTATCCAGGCATGGTGGCACATGCCTGTAGTTCCACACTCAAGAGATTGAGGTGGGAGGATATCTTGAGCCAGGGAGGTTGAGGCTGCAGTGAGCTGTGATCGCACCACTGCACTCCAGCCTGGGCAACACAGTGAGACCCTGTATCAAAAAACAAAAAACAAAACAAAGTCATCATGACTGGAGTGTTGTACTCATGAGAAAAGTTTTCAGAGGCTATGAGATTGTATCATTGAGAGGTGGTTATTGTTTCAAGACAATTCTCTAAAGATCTCTTGTGCTTTTGCAAGCAGAGGCACTGCCTTGTTCTGGACTATTTATTCAAGGATATTTGCATAGCAAACTGCCTTGGAAAATAGAGCTAATATCTTCCTCTGGAGTAAAGAACAGATTTGCCACTGTCCAATATAATAAAAATAAAGTCTCCCTCCTGGGCAAAGATCAGGTAAGCTCACTGTCCATTATAAAAGATTTGGATTCTCTGAGTTTGGGGTTCTTCTTCTGTAACAACCCACCTCATATGCAGGCATCACTGGCCCTCGTTGCATGACCGTTGGGAATTGAGGTTTGGGGACATGGTGTAAATGCTGATACTCTACTCTAGCTACTGCTTTTGTTTGGAGGAATAAACTGTCCTCTGTCTCTGAAAAAAAAAAAAAAAAAAAAAAAAAAACAACGACAAGAATTTCTGTCTGAATATGGATTTCCTCTAAACATATTTTAGACTATTTGCCCTCAAAAATACAAGGAATGTTTAGCATAATAGCCCAATGTTTTCAACAATAAAGCTATCCTTTTTTTCCTCCAGAAGCCTCGCTTATTGCATAATGATCTTTTCCATAACTGTGGAAAGACAGAGGAACACTAAATTCAGATAATCTTTTGCCAGAAAGTCCAATTATTAAGTTTCTTTTAACAAGAGGAGAAACTATTATTTTCTTACCTCTACAAAATCATGACCCAGACATGAAATTAAGAATTTTTAATAACGTTTTATTTTATTTTTCCATATAAAACCTTTTTGTAGTTGGAAAAACTTTTTCTAGCTACCTTTTAAAGTTCGATTTTAATATATTGAGCGAGTTTATAATCAGCAGTTTGGTATTACTGATTTCAGACTTTTAATTACTAGTTTCAGTCTCTTCCCAAAGTAAATTGTTTTTTAGTTATTTAAAAATAGCTTAAAATGTTATTTTTAAGTTCATTTTTAAAAGTGGAGGAAGAAGAAAATTGATACATTTCATTATCTCTTAATTGTGTTTCTTATTGTCTTCATGTCAGAGTGTCAACATGTGTAATGTCTGAGGAAGAAGGAAAGGGGAAAAGCAAAAGTTCCCAAATGACCACAAATGAATTAATTTTCTCTAATTAGAACTATGGGCTGGGCGCAGTGGCTCACACCTGTAATCCCAGCACTTGGGGAAGCCCAGGCGGGTGGATCACTTGAGGTCAGGAGTTCGAGACCAGCCTGGCCAACATGACGAAACTCTGTTTCTGCTAAAAATACAAAAATTAGCCGGGCGTGATAGTGCATGCCTGTAGTCCCAGCTACTTGGGAGGCTGAGGCAGGAGAATCGCTTGAACCCAGGAGGCGGAGGTTGCAGTAAGCCGAGATTGTGCCACTGCACCACTCCAACCTGGGTGACAGAGCAAGACTCCATCTCAAAAAAAAGAAAAAGGAAAGAACTATGTATAATTTTTAATTATTCTGTAACTGCTTGAGTTAAAATTGATAATGTGATACCTAAAAATATACATACACACGTACTTTATATCTTGTAAATCTTAGGAAGAAAATAGACTTTCTTGATAACAAAAAACATGCCAAGACATTTAACAATTTAGAAATAAATCATTAACTAGTTGGTAGAAAAGCAAGTCAGGTCCAGCTGGCTTTGATCCCACCTAATGTAGGATTTTGCAGATCCTTTCTCTTCTCGATTAAAATTTTTTCCCCCAAAACTGTTTCTACCATGTGTTTATAATGTGCTCTCTTTTTCTAGCCATATTTTTGCTACAAACTAGTAATTATCCTTTAATGTTTTGCTTTTTTTTAGTTTTATTAACAGAATTCTAAAATTTTAAATTACTTACAAATTTTAAATTTTAAAAGTAAGTAACTTAGTCTTCCCTGTCTTTGCCAACTGGGAATTCTAACCTACTTTCCTTAGAATTCTCAGAAAATATTTAAGATCTAGGATCACTGTCATCATGTCCATAGTTGCTTTCATTTTTGAGTACTGAGTATGTGCCAGACACTGTGCTAAATGCATTGTGTATGCAATTTTTAATATACTACAAAGGTTGGTATAATTGTCTTCACTTAACAAATGAGAATACAGAGGCCAAGATAGAATGAATACTTTGTGCCAGCTAGTCACTAGTAGAGCTGGAATATGAACCAAACTCTGTTTCCTCGGGCTGGTTTTTTCCATAAACTCTGATACTCCTTTCCTGTATTATACCCATCCCACCTAATCAATGTGACTGTAAAATAATGGAAATTCTGAAGCTTCTCCACCCACTCATCTTAAACAGAGTCTTTAAAAAGGTAATTTGGCTTGTATTCATGTGACATAGATATGTACCATATCTTGAGATGATACACCAGTGAATTTTCTTTTGAAAAAGTAATGACTATTAGTGTTGTAAAATATGTTTTTATTTATATACACTTAAAAAATGCTTTTTTCTAAAGTGTTAAAACCTTGCAGGAGTTGTTCACACCCATGAGTATGTAAGTTCTATAACTGAGCATTACTACCACAAGAAAATCTGAGAATCCCTTTTGGGATAATTTAAGAAATGTGTAGTATATGCATAGTTACACTTAATGCAGCGTAGCTCCACAATGCTTATGCTTCGTTTATGAATAATTCTATATTCTTTTTTTTCTGATATAATTTTTGTGCTATCTTGGTACTTTACTAGCAACATGTCATTAAGACCAGATAAGCAAATTTTATCTTAAATTGTTAGCTGATCTCATAGTACAGATGTCTGATTTCTATTTAAAATCCAGTTCTACACATTTATTCTCCAGTTATGAAGCTGTGGGTTTTGGTTCTTTCATTTCAAATCTATGGATAAGCATAAGTGGTCTGTTCACAGCCTTTTTTTTTTCTTTTTTGGTTTCATTGCATTTATATCATTGACCTTTGCTTCAGAAAGCATTCAAGTCTTTAACAGAGAGAGACCATGAAAGGGAGTGTTGTAAAGTCTTTATTCTACGAAGGAAGTCACACAGGCAAAGCTTTATATTTGCTGAGTGATTTCTTTTCTTTCTTTTTTTTTTTTTTTTTTTTTTTGTGAGACAGAGTCTTGCTGTCACCCAGGCTGGAGTGCAGTGGCGCAATCTTGGCTCACCACAACCTCCACCTCACAGGTTCAAGCGATTCTCCTGCCTCAGCCTCCCGAGTAGCTGGGACTACAGGTGTGTGCCACCATGCCCTGCTAATTTTTGTATTTTTAGTAGAGACGAGGTTTCACTATGTTGGCCAGGCTGGTCTCGAACTCCTGCCCTCGTGATCCACTCGCCTCAGCCTCCGAAAGTGCTAGGATTACAGGCATGAGCCACTGCACCTGGCCGATTTAAATCTTTTTTTTAAGAGACAGAGTCTCCCTGTGTCGCCCAGGCTGGAGTACAGTGGCTATTCACAGGCCCGATCATGGCACACTCAGCTCAAGAGGATGGCTTCAATTCCCTGTGATGTCATTTCCTGCCTAACCAGTCAGCACTTCTGGCTCCCTGGTTTCACCCCACCCACCAAGTTGTCCTTAAAAACCCTAATCCCTGAATACTTAGGGAAACTGATTTGAGTAATAATAAAGCTCTGGTCTCCTGCACAGCTGGCTCTGCATGAATTACTCTTTCTGTATTGCAATTCCCCCATCTTGATAAATCAGCTCTGCCTAGGCAGTGGGCAAGGTGAACCCATTGGGTGGTTGCAGGATTAGTCTCCTGTGTTTCTTGGTCTGTGGGGCTTTATGAGAGACAGGTTTAATTTGAGATAAGTGGACCCAGCTGTTTATTCCTGTTTAACTGCAGTTGGAGTAGTTCAGGCAGCCTAGAACTCCTGGGCTCAAGTGATCTTCCTGCCTCAGCCTCCTGAGTAGCTGGGACTATAGGCATGTGCCACCATGCCTGATAAATTTAATTCTTATACATGCAGAAATTGGCCTTGGGCCATGAATAACATGATGCAAAAGCACTAGTAGTGCAGCCTCACAACCAAAATTCCTCACTTCATTTTTTTTTTTTTTTTTTTTGAGACGGAGTCTCACTCTGTCACCCAAGCTGGAATGCAGTGATATGATCTTGGCTCACTGCACCCTCCGTCTTCTGGGTTCAAGCAGTTCTCCTGCTTCAGCCTCCCAGGTAGCTGGAACTACAGGCACACACCACCACTCTGACTAATTTTTGTATTTTTGGTAGAGACGGGGTTTCACCATGTTGGCCAGGCTGATCACTGGTCTTGAACTTGTGACCTCAAGTGACCCACCCACCTCAGCCTCCCAAAGTGCTGGGATAAAGGTGTGAGCCACCACGCCCGGCCTATATTTTCTTTTAAAAGAGAGAAAAGCACCTTTTTTTTTCTTGTTGTTTTAAAATCTGGCCATGCATGGTGTCTCATACCTGTAATGCTAGCACTTTCGGAGGCCAAGGCAGACGGATTGCTTGAGCTCAGGAGTTTGAGACCAGCCTGGGCAACAGGGGAAAACCCTGTCTCCACAAAAAATACAAAAATTAGCCGGATGTGGTGGCGCATACCTGTAGTCCCAGCTACTTGAGGGGCTGAGGCAGAAGGACCACCTGAACCCAGGAAGTTGAGGCTGCAGTGAGCCGAAATCACGCCACTGCAGCCTAGGGGACTAAATGAGACCCTTTCTCAAAAAACAAAAACGAACAAAAATCACCCAGGAAAAAATAAAGCATGGTATGTACACTCAGACAACTACTTTATCAAGATTCATTAAGTCACTTTAAATCAGCAATTAAGGAGCAGATCCTCCAGATAGAAAGTCTTTTAGTGCCCCAAGAATTATTAAGGGAAAACCCACTTCAGGAATAGCAACTACTTTGGGAACATTGGCTATATTATGGTTACACAATATTATTAAGTGATTTTGTGTTCGAAACTAATACCTTCTTCTTGTAGGTTGTGGGTTAGGCAAACACCATCATTGAAAGTAACTGTTTATCCTTTTGTATATTGAATAACATATTTAGAGGAATGAGGAGTAAGCATATTTTGATTAACATTTTAAAAGCCTTGGAAATAAGCTGATGAAGTGTTGTAAGCCATTCTTTGAAAGGTACATTATGTTCTTTATAATTTTCTGATAGTATAGAGTGGCTTCGATTGACTGGTTCCTTCTTATTGAGTCATAAAATATTCCTGAATTTTATTTTTTATGAATACAGGTTTTCTTTGCTAGATCTTTAAGTACCTTGGGATATTCTTGTGTAAGACCGTATATGTGTGTGGCTTCTTTTCTTTTTTCTTTACTAAATTACTTAAGATTCATAGATTCATGCTTGATAGTATAAATTAGATAATGTAAATTTTTGTTGCATTTTTAAAAACATCTCCTATACTATGATCAGTACAAATTTTATTTAAGCTTTAAACATCAAAATATTTGGGCTTCTATCTCTGAGAACCTTTGACTTTGTTAGGCTGCAGCTTCTCTTCAAGCAATAAGATTTCTCAGCCTTTGTTAAAGACCTGAAATTTACTTGCAGTGAGAAAAGAGAGCAAGATTTATTGTGGACAGGGCATAAACACCATCACTGGAGTCAGGACCTATATAGATGGTGAATTGTAATGCTTTGGATCTACAGAATGAAGCTTGATACCTAAGTGGATATCAAGTTATTTGGCAGACAAATTTCTTGTACCAATTTAGAGTCAATCTTAGGAGTAGATAGTATGGTGGGGAAAAGTCTGGCTTTGTATGAATAGACTTGACTTACTAGCTGAGGACAGTAACTTTATCTGAATTTTCTCAGTAGTAAAATAAGTATTATGACCCTCACCAGGTAGAACTACCTTGAGGATTAGAGAAAAAATATATTTATTGACATAAGCCCTCAATAAATGATAGCTCATTGCATCATCATTATTACTCCTGCTTTCAAATGCCTCCATTTTAAATTTTCTGTAAAATTATTTGTTAGCTAAGAAATTGCATTATGCAATACACTAGACAGCTTTTAATAGCAATACAGAATTTGATAGGTGATTTATTTGGACACAAGGCTTTGAGATATGGTAAGTATATATGATTTACATGAGCTGGGCTTTCTTTCCCTTCTGGGGTGTTACTCAATACAACTTTTAAATTGATTTACTTTTATTCATTGTCTTTGCTTTTATTTGCAGTTCTGGGAAATGCCAGTGCAAAGTGGGTGTCATTGGCTCTATATGTGACCGATGCCAAGATGGATATTATGGCTTTAGTAAGAATGGCTGCTTGCCCTGCCAATGCAATAATCGGTCTGCCAGTTGCGATGCCCTCACAGGTACGTACTTTCCTTAACTTTGTCATGTAATTATTCCACTGTTCTTTTAATTTGGAAATCTTTCAGCTATAGGTTGATTCTTCTGAAATAGTTTGGAAGGGCCTTTATCTTCTAAGTAGGATGTACTAGATCACAGCAAGCCAAACTCCTGCTACAACAAACTTGAAAAAGTACGTAAATTAAAAAAAAAAAAAAAAAGTCATATACCTATGGAGGCAAGGAGAACTATAGGAACTAAAATTCCAGAAAGGTTGGAACTCTTCCTAGGTAAACTGATGATCACCAGCCATTGTCTTTCCAGGGGACATTTGCTGATTCTGAGCATAGGCAAAGAATGAGCTAGACCCAAGCAAAGGAATTCTTTAGGAAAGAGATACAAGAAATGTTTTTGGCAGTCATTTGAGGCTTGCATGATGGTTGGAAACAAGAGGATCCCCAAACACAAGGCCAGCTTTCCCACAGGATATTAGCCGACTATGCAAAAGATGGAAGGCTGGGCCAGAAAGGTAGAAAAAAATCTCTTTCTCTTTCAGTCTTGTGCTGAGGAGACAAAATCCCTTTAGAAAGAGAGGGCCTGCTATGACATTCAATTATCTCCCCCTCAAGATGTCTTCAGACTCTGAGGGTGCATGCAGTGGGACCTAAGCTCAAATTACCAAAGGCCAATACAAATCTCTCACAGTCTTTTAGGGCTAAGGAGACACAGGCTTGCTAGGCTCTGACCAAGAAATAGTAAGGAACCAGAAGTTGATTAACTCATACTAAAATTACAGTCCACCCTCAAGCCGCCTCACCTTCTGATTGGATTGAAGTAATTCTCTCATTATATCTGCCTAACAGATGAAAGGGGAGCCCTCTCTGGTTCTTTTATATACTGTGTCCGGCATACAATAAAAAATACTGGACAATGCAAAGACAGAAAAATGTGACCAATACCAAAGAGAAAAAAAATGAGCAATGGAAGCAGACCTTTAGGTGATCTAGGTGTTAGAGTCAACTTAGAAAGACTTGACTAAAGTTAGTATTTTCATACAATAAAGGGAAAATCAGACAAAATAGGTGAAGAGAGGCAAAATGTCAATAGAAATTGGAATCTCTAAAATATCAAATGAACAAACTGGAACTGAAAAATACAACATGTGAATTAATAACTCATTGCATTAATCTAACAGTAGATTGTACACAGTGAAGACAAAGTTAGAAGACTTGAATACAGTACAATTAAAAATATCCAAACTGAAGCATTTCGAGAAAATATAATGGAAAGAACAGAGCAGGGAAGATGTGGGACACAGCCAAAAGGTTTAGCATAAATGTAATTGGAGATCTAAAAAGAGAGGAAAGTGATACTGGATCCCAGTAATATCTGAAGAGAAAATGGCCATGAATTTTCCAAATGGATTAAAGGTGTCAACCGACAGATTCAGAAAGTTCAGCAAACCCTAAGCAATATAAAACAAAGAAAACCACATTTAGGCAAACTTAGTCAAACCATTAAAAACTAAAGCCAATTAACTTCTGATCTTAGTTTTCCTAAATGTAAGAATTAAGTATCCTTCCTTGGAAACATTTTTTTTCCCAAACAAACAAGCAAAAAAAATCAGGACACACTAGTCTGACAAGTACAAGTGTTTTTATGAGAACAGGGTGGCAAAATACTTGAAGTCAAAAGTACCCTGGAAAAATCGGTTGAAAGTTTTATTCTTCATTCAAATACTCTATAGTAAAACAAATTGATTTAGAAGAAATTGTTTTTTTTTTCTTTTATGCGATCTTGTCTCTGCCTATTTGCCAGTTTTATCTTGTGGCGTTCTTTTTCTTTACATCTGTGATCCAGTCAGACTGGCTTTTATTTCTAAAACAAGGCATGTTCCCTGGTCCCAGGGTTCTCATATATGATCTTTCCTCTGCCAAGAATGGTTTTTCTAATCCACCTCTACCTCCATCCTTGACCCCTCTGCCTTATTAAATCACATTCTTCCCTCGAGTCGTCAATTAAAGGCCACTTCATTAGAAAGCATTTCCTGATGCTCTAGGCTTAATGGTAATTTCCTTATTATATGCTCTCACATATACTTGTATTTTTTCATAGCACTTTTCACAGTTTGTAATTGTATATTTATTTGTGATTCTGAGTCACATATGGCTCACTCATGAGGGCAAGAACTTTTTTTTTTCACCATTGTATACACAATCTCTAGCATGGAGCTTTAGCATATAGTAACTACTCACTAAATTTTTATCAAATAAATGAACAAATGAATGGAAAGGCGTACAGAGGAAAGATTATTTTCAATACTGAGTAACAACAGGAATACTTCATTATACTGAGTCGATTAAAATTACTCCCTAGATCTTTTACAGTACCGAAAAGCAGTCTACATTGCTGATTCTCAGTTTTAATTTTTCTTAAGGCAACGAGGCCACTGTCTTTACTGTCATGTAAGTGCTGACCTGTCCTTTCTCTGGAGATAATTTAAGGCAAAATAATTCTTTTCATGGTTATGGTTTCTAAAAGCAGCTAGTAGTGAGAGAAATAAATGGGTTCTTTGTTTGGAATTATAATAAAAGTGGAATCCAACGTGAAGGAGTGCAAATACTGTATTTAAAATTACAAGCTTTATATAAAACCACTCTCGTCAAGTGACTTTATTTTCAACAGTGCTGTGATAAGGTTGCCCTCTGGTGGCCACTTACTGTGTTTTCACAGTCCTATTTTCACCCCCTCTACTGTTTTGCTATACCTTGTGTTTTAGATTGAAGTAGATTTTCAAAGTACTCTTTTTTTGTGGTAAGATATATTTGGATAAACATTTTGGAAAGCAATTTGACAGTAAGTATTAGAAATCTTAAAAATTGTTCTTTGATCTGGTAGTTCTATTTCCAGGAATCTATTCTAAGGAAAGAATTCTAAATTCTTAAGAAGGTTATATTCAGAGATGCTCACCAAAATGGTAGTTACAATTTTAAAAAGTTAGGCAACCCAATTTCTCACAATAGGGTATTAAGTAAATACTGTTATCTAGGCAGTATATTATTAAAAACACAGAAAACCAAATGTTGACCTTACCTTGAGCAAGTTGCTTAATCTGTTTCTTCATCTATAAATTTGATATAATAGCAGTAACTGCCTAGTGGGTTGTCGTGAAGATTAAATGCAATACACTTGTACAGCCTTTATATAGTGCCTGGTCCATCACAAGTAATCAGTAAATGGTAACTGTTACTATGTTCTCGATAAAATGTTTTGTTTTGTTTTGTTTTTTCTGAAACAGAGTTTCACCCTTGTTGCCCAGGCTGGAGTATGGTGGCGCGATCTCGGCTCACTGCAACCTCCACCTCCTGGGTTCAAGCGATTCTCCTGCCTCAGCCTCCCAAGTAGCTGGGATTACAGGCGCCCACCACCACGCCCGGCTAATTTTTTGTATTTTTAGTAGAGACGGGGTTTTGCCATGTTGGGCAGGCTGGTCTCGAACTCCTGACCTCAGGTGATCCGCCTGCCTCGGCCTCCTAAAGTGGTGGGATTACAGATGTGAGCCACTGTGCCTGGCTGATAAAATGTTTTAAAGAATGATATATAGCAATATGAGAAAGTGAAAGAAGCAAGGTATAAAATAACTTATGCCATATAATTAGACTAGTTAAAAAACAAAAGCCAAACCCCTGTAAATGAGGAAAGATTACAAAGAGAAGTACTAAAAATCTTTTTTTTTTTTTTGAGACCGAGTCTTGCTCTGTCACCAGGCTGGAGTACATGGCACGATCTCGGCTCACTGCAACCTCTGGCTCCCGGGTTCAAGCGATTCTTCTGCTTCAGCCTCCCAAGTAGCTGGGATTACAGGCGCCCACCATCACACGCCCAGCTAATTTTTGTATTTTTAGTAGACACGGGGTTTCACCATGGTGGCCAGGCTGATCTTGAACTCCTGACATTAGGTGATCCACCCATCTCGGCCTCCCAAAGTCCTGGGATTACAGACTTGAGCCACGGAGCCCAGCCTAAAAATCTTAATGAGAGATTTCCTAGGATGATTTTTTACCCCTTTCTACTCCTGTATTTTTCTAGATTTTCTTTATTAAGCACGTTTCCCTTAAAATGGAAGTGGGGGGATATTATTTTTAAAACTGGAACTTCATGTTCATATAATATACTTCCTTTGAAAATCCAGTGTACCTTTATGTATTCATAGTGTCCCATGATGAGTAACTTGACCTGAGCAGCTTGACTGAGTTGACCAATCCTCTACTCCCCAATGATACTTACTTCAGAGTATCATGCTTTCCTAGTTTTTGTGCTACCTAACCAGCTTTTCCTTCTTATTTGTTCTACTACATCTTCCTCAGTTCAGCTCCAAGCACTGGAGTGCCTCAGGGCTCAGAGCTTGTCAAGTTTGTCTTTGCCATTTAAACTTTCTCCCTAAGTGGTCTCATTCAGTCCCCTGGATTTAATTTGTATTTGTTTGTTTGTTTTAGCTCATTTTCCCCCTTAACCCTGGATTTAATTTAAATGCCATCTATATATGTGCTTATTATCAGATTTGCATTTCTCCGTTGATCTCCACACTCAAATATCCAACTGTCAAATATCCACTTGTTTTAATTGGCATTATATACCTAACACATCCAAAACAACTTTTTTTTCAACTTATAAGTTAAGCCTGCTCTATTCATTTCACCAAGTTACTCAGTCCCAAAGCCTAGTAGTCATTTTTGATTTTGCTCCTTTTTATTACTGCAAATATCCAGCTCATCAGTATATTCCATCAGCCCTATCTTCAAAACATACCCTGAATCTGACCACTGTTCATGACTTTTATTGCATCATCCTTGCCCAAGCCACTGTCATCTCTTTGAACTACTTTGGCACAGTCTCATCTGGCCTTTCAGCCTCCTCTCTTCTCTCCCTATTCTCTGATCCCCACCCCACCACAGTTAGTCTCCACATAACAACCAGAGCAATCTTTTTAAAATGTAAAACCAGATCATGTCATTTTCATGCTTAAGCCCTCCAATGGCTTCTCATCCCTTTTGGAATAAATAAAATTCAAACATCTCTCTATGGCCTATCTGGTTTTACATTTTCTGGGCCCTGCCTTTCTCTCTGACCTTATGCCCTGTTACTCTCTCCCTTGTTAACCTGGGCTCCATACTGGCCTTCTTTCAGTTTGACAGGTTAAAGCTTGCCTTTTGTTCTATAAAGAGGGTAAGGCATTTCTTCCTACAACAAAGCACATTACTGTATTTCAGATAGGTTTATATATAAATGATGAAATGGTAAAATAAATAAAGGAATAAGGAAAGGTCTTTTTGCAGGTAACAATGTATGTTTTCAATGTTTTGTCCCTGAATTTGGCTGGAAAGGAGCCCTACATTCCTTTCTTTGACTATTTATTTTCTTGGTTATCTCTACAAAGATTTTTGAGATGCTTAGTCAAGGAGCATGAAAAAATCATCTTCAGGAAACATTCCTTTTTCTTTTGATCCACCCTTTGGCCATCTTTCAGCAATGAGAATGTGAGAATGTGAGTTTTAGGGCAGTATTGTTATATTTTGGGGGGTTCCAGGCAGAGCATAATGAACAATGTTAAACTTCAGCTTATTTTTATGTATCATTTATCATAAAAGAAAGATTCTTAGATTTTAGATTTAAAGGAAACCTTAGATTTCATCTAGTTCAGCTTTTAAAATTTACAGATGAAGAAATTAAGACATAAAGAGAAAACATTATGTCCTATGGAATAGTCTTTCACCCTTTGAAATGCTCACATTATATTAAATCGTTAGCCAAAGAATTATTATCCCATTTTACAGATTAGAAAAGTGAAAATCAGAGAAGCTGTTTGCTTAAGGTAACTTAGTTTGTGAGAATTTCAGCTGGAAATGGAACACAAATTTGACATTAATTCCCATACCACTTTTTTTTTTTTTTTTTTTTTTTGAGACAGAGTCTTGCTCTGTCACCCAGGCTGGAGTGCAGTGGCTGATCTGGGCTCACTGCAAGCTCCGCCTCCCGGATTCACGCCATTCTCCTGCCTCAGCCTCCCGAGTAGCTGGGACTACAGGCACCCACCACCATTCCCGGCTAATTTTTTATATTTTTAGTAGAGACGGGGTTTCACCGTGTTAGCCGGGATGGTCTTGATCTCCTGACCTCGTGATCCGACCGCCTCGGCCTCCCAGAGTGCTGGGATTACAGGTGTGAGCCACCGCACCCAGCCCCATACCATTTTTTAATGCTATGTTGCCTCTCACAGAGGAGTTGTAAGCTATTAAAGAAGCAAATTCACATCATTAGTTTCTACCGTATATAGGTTTTAAACGTTATGGTCTTTATTTTTATTGTAAAAATAAATAATTATTAAATATATATATGAAGTGTTTCAAATTGCTTGAGTTCTTGAAATATTTTACAATGTGTATGTGATATATTTTACAGTGTGTTATTTTACAATAAGAAAAATCAAGGTAATAAAAAATAAAAGTGATGCATGTATACTAGAGATAATTTCTAGACTAGAGGGAGAAAAACTCTGAAAGGGCTATTGCCTCTCACGACTGTTGTTAACACTTTGGTTATTTATGTCTGGCCTATCTTTAATTTATTTGTTTTCTTTCTCTATAGTTGTACTTTAGGTACATGCACCTTAAAGCAATGTAAAC
Source organism: Homo sapiens (assembly GCF_000001405.40). Lineage (NCBI taxonomy): Eukaryota > Metazoa > Chordata > Mammalia > Primates > Hominidae > Homo > Homo sapiens. The sequence goes on along the minus strand of NC_000009.12, from coordinate 120,615,955 downwards.
AGTGATTAATATTTAAGAATCAATGAATTTTATTCTTTTTTTAATTTATTTATTTTTCTTCTGAGACAGGGTCTCGCTCTATTTCCCGGGCTGGAGTGCAGTGGCATGATCATAGCTCACTACAGCCTCAACCTTCCAGACTCAAGCGATCCTCCCACCTCAGCCTCCTGAGTAGCTGGGACTCAGGCATGCACCACCGCACCCAGCTAATTTTTGTATTTTTTGTAGAGACAGTATTTTGCCCTGTTGCCCAGGCTGGTCTCAAACTCTGGGGCTCAAGCAATCCACCTGCATTGACCTCCCAAAGTGCTGGGATTACAGGTTTGAGCCACTGTGTTGGGCTAAATTTTATACTTATACTTGCTTTCATTTTTACTTTTGAGATAACATTGTTTACCACGTAAGGTTATTTTTTTTTTACTCATTGATTTCTCATTGCAGGGTATGGCCAAAAAACAAACACAAATAAAAAATTCTTCTGGAAAAAATATTCTGGTATAAATGGCTTAAGAGAGTAGAATTATATTGTGGTAGTCACAAACATGTGGAGTCTTATTTAGAATAGTAAAAAGCCCCAAAATAGTAAACATATAAGCCCAGTAGCCCTGTAGGAGTAAAGGATTACAAGTGTGTGTGTGTGCATGTGTGTGTGTGTGTACACACACATGCACACACACACGCTTACATATATGTATTTATTTATTATTATTATTTTTGAAAAGGAGTTTCACTCTTGTTGCCCAGGCTGGATTGCAATTGTGTGATCTCGGCTCACCACAACCTCTGCTTTCCGGATTCAAGTGATTCTCCTGTCTCATCCTTCTGAGTAGCTGGGATTACAGGCATGCACTACCACACCTGACTAATTTTGTATTTTTAATAGAGATAGGGTTTCACCATGTTGGTCAGGCTGGTCTCGAACTCCTGACCTCAGGTGATCCACCTGCCTTGGCCTCCCAAAGTGCTGGGATTACAGGCGTGAGCCACCATGCCTGGCATATACATATATACATATATATATGTATGTATGTATATATGTATATAAAGGGTAGCAACATGACCTTTTCTTGTCACATCAGCTATGCACAAAGGACTTATTATTGGACTGCATCTTACCCTGAACATCCAAATTTTACTATGGAACTGTTAGCTTTTTTTTTTTCAGGTATTTTTTATATTAAAGCTTAGCACTTTATCAGAACTTTTTCTCTTAAAAATTCTTTGTATTGAACATTTTTAATAGGGGGAGAGTAGGTAGACAGATTTCACACATAATGCAGGTTTTGACGTGTCCAACCTGAGGAACAGTTTAACTTTTAAAATTGTTTTATTTTTAGAGCAAAACTCCAGTTTCCTAGTATGTATTTTTCAGCTGTTTTTTATTGTCACAAAGATACATAGCTAAAGAGAGATCATGATACAAGAAGATCTGAAAGAAGCCAGTACCTAAAGTGTCTACCACAGCATGAATATATACTACTTTGTTATGTGGGAAAAATGTCATTAACACTATCAGGCCTTTACAATTACATGATTGAAAATGATGATATTTACATACAAGTTTGATTTAATGTTAAGTGTTCACATAAACTTTTGAAGGTATCTTTCACAATAAATTTATGAAGTTTGGGGGAATTTTGCTGTAGTCAGTTAAGAATTGAGATTTACACTTAGGGAGGCCTACATGGGCGCATCACTTGAGGTCAGAAGTTCGAGACCGGCCTGGCCAACGTAGTGAAACCCTATCTCTACTAAAATACAAAAATTAGCCAGGCGTGGTGACATGCGCCTGTAATCCCAGGTACTTGGGAAGCTGAGGCAGGAGGATCACTTGAACCTGAAGATGGAGGTTGCAGTGAGTGGTGAGCAGAGATCATGCCACTGCACTCTAGCCTGAGCCACAGAGTGATCTCCGTCTCAAAAGAAAAAAAAAAAAAATTGAGCTTTTTAACATGTAGGTTGATGACATTTTCATTCTTTTGTTTTTTTCAAGTTTTGCTTCAGTTGTGAGACCATTTTATTTCACAGCCTTATTCTCTCTCCCCTTTTAAAAATATTTCTGCTAGTAAGGAAAAGAAATCAAGACTTTTACGAATAGTTTTAGCATTGGACTGTAGTTAGCTTACTTTGTAAAATGTCATTATCTTCCTAGATTTCTATGTAGAATTTACTCACTAATTTCCATAATAGTAGTTCTGAGTGTCCCTTTGAATCTTCCTGGCCCCATAAGGAAGGAATGTAAATTATGTTACACTTTCTCATTTTGTATTTTCAAATGTTATGCTGCTTCCATGTCTGTAGAACATCCTTACTAATAGAGTGCCAAGGGAGTATTATTACAAAACCTAACTTTGTTTTGTTTTTTTCTTTTCTTTATTAATTGTTTTTATTTTTACTTTAAATTTTTAAATATATAAAGCTATGGAGAATAATATAACAAATATCCATGCACTCACACCCAGAATTATTAATAATAAAGATTAACATTTTGACATTTTGCTTCATATTTATATATATATGTATATAGTTACATCTTTGAAATAGAAAATTTCAATAAAGTTGAGGTCCTCTTTTCCTCCGTAGTCCTGTTTTACCCCCCTCCCTCCACAGAGACAAGCAGAGTGTAAAATTCCCCTATACCCTCGCAATCCACATTTTAATTTTTACCTCATGTTTATATCCATCTGGTTAGTGTACTCTGTATCCATTTGCTTAGTGCGCTTAGTGTGGTTTTTAAATTTTAATAAGTATTCTCTTTCTGTATGTGTTATTCCCCAATTTGCTTTTCAACCAACATTCTTTTTAAGATTTAGGCTGGGTGGCTAATCTAATGGCTCATGCCTGTAATCCCAAAACTTTGGGAGGCCAACGCAGGAGAATCACTGGAGGCTGAGAGTTCAGTATCAGCCTGGGCAACACAGTGAAATCCTGTCTCATAAAATAATTTAAAAATTAGCCGGGTGTAATGGCATGCTCCTGTAGTCCCAGCCACTTGGGAGGCCCCATCTCTAAAAAAAAAAAAAAAAAAAAGATTTGTGCATGTTCATGCATGTATGATTAGTTCATTTATGAAAATGCCACAATTTATCTATTCTTCTATTAATATGTATTTGGATTGTTTTTGTTTTCTCCTTGGCGTATAGTTGCTACTTTTGGTATGTAATCAGATTAACCAGCAAGGATTTATTGAGCCACTAATCTTGTATCCCACCTTTCCCTAAGGAGCTTACAATCTAGTAGGGGACACAATTCATAGACATGGCAGTATAGAAATCAGGTGGGGTAGAAATTAACTCTATCCAATCCCTATTAGTTTTTCTTTTTCTTATGATCTTTTTGTTGCAGGCATGATTTTTGAAAGTTACTTGGCTTTCAAGGTAAATCTTTAACTTTTAAAAATAATTTGCTTCTTTTAGGTGCTTGTTTAAACTGCCAGGAAAATAGCAAAGGAAATCACTGTGAAGAATGTAAAGAAGGATTTTATCAGAGTCCTGATGCCACTAAAGAATGTCTTCGCTGCCCTTGTTCAGCAGTGACATCTACAGGCAGCTGCTCTATAAGTAAGGCCTTTCTCTAACTTTTCATTTTAGAGGGAAAAAAAAATCAGTTATCAATAGGTATAAGTTGCATTGATGAATAAAGTTCTGGATGCTATAGGTGAAAGGGAGTTATAAAAACAGCAAAAGTTTTCCTTTCCAGGAATTTATAATCTAATCCAAATATATATATATGTGAATGAGACTTAAAGTGTCTAAAAACCTGCATAATGAGTTAATGCAGGAACTTCAAGACTGAGCAACTTTTGCTCACCTATTTCAAGGTAACATTTACTAATTAGTTCCTCCTAGATACCGAATAATGTTGACTAATTGCAATCTAATAAATATAGTTGACTCATTTAATCCTGATATATATATTAGTTATCTATTGCTAAATAACCTATTACCCTAAAATTTAGTGGCTTAAAACAGTAAGCATTCATTATTTCACATATTTTCTACTAGGACTTTCGAAGCAGCTTAGCTGGGTGGTGCTGGTTTGAATTTTTTCCTTTCTTTCTTTCTTTCTTTCTCTCTCTCTCTCTCTCTCTTTCTTCCTTCCTTCCTTCCTTCCTTCCTTCCTTTCTTTCTTTTCTTTTCTTTTCTTTCTTTCTTTCCTTTCTTTTCTCCCTGTCTGTTTAAATAATAGCTTTGTTGAGCTGTAATTCACATTTCATACAATTTAAGATGCAAAATTCAGTTTTTTTAGTACATAGTCTCAAAGTTTTGCAACCATGACCACAATCAATTTTAGAAGTTTTCATCACCTCCCCCAACAAAAGGACCTAAAAAACAATCCTATAATCATTAGCAATTACTCCCTTTTCCTCTGGCCTTAGGCAACCACTAACCTACTTTTTCTGCTCTATGGATTTGCCCATTCTGAACATTTCATACAAATGAAGTCATTCAATACATGGCCTTGTGTGTCTGGCTTTTTTCACTTAGCATAGTATTTTCAGTTCATTCATGTTATAACATGTCTCAGTACTTCATTCCTTTTTGTTACTAAATAATATATTATTGTGTTATACCCCATTTCATTGCTCTCTTCATCAATTGATAGACATTTGTGTTGTTTCCACTTTTTAGCTATTACAAATAATGCTGCTGTGAACATTTGTATACATGTTTTTGTATGTACATATATTTTCATTTATCTTCAGTGTATACCTAGGAGTGGAATTCCTGGGTCCTGTAGTAACTATGTTTATCCTCTTGAGGAGCTGTCAGACTGTTTTCCAAAATGAGTACACCATTTTGCATTCTCATTCTCACCAACCCTGTATGTAGGTTCCAAATTTTCCACAGCTTCACCAACACTTACTATCTGCCTTTGTATAATTATAGCCATCCTAGTAGATATGAAGTGGTATTCCACTGTGGTTTTAAGTTGCATGTTCCTGATGGCTAGTTATGTGCTTATTGTTCATTCATATATTTAGAGAAATGTCTGTTCAGATCCTTTGCACATTTAAAATTTGGATTATTTATCTTGTTATCATTGAGTTGAAATAATTCTTTATATATTCTAGATACAAGTCCCTTAACAGATATATGATTTATAAATATTTTTTCTATTTTGTGGTTTAATTTTTTGCTTTCTTGATGGTGACCTTCTTAGCAAGGCCCAATTCAAATGTTACCTGCTTCATGAAGACTTTTCTATACCTCCCAGTAGGAAATTATCCTGTCCCTCAAGCTCTCGTACTACAGTGCAATATCATGTATTTATGTATAGTGGATGCACCAAGAGGGAATAATTACTTTGCCTGGAGTGGGGGAATATCAGCAATGGCTTCAGAGAGGATGTGACATAAAAGCTGAGTCTCGTGATGGGAGTCTGCATTTAGCAGGTAGACAGGAGAAGGAAGGACATTTCAGATAAAAATATCAGTAGGAACAATGGTACAGAAATCTTAAAACAGCTTATTTGATCAAGAAACTACTTAAGAATGGCAGAAACAAAGTATAAGGCAGAAGGAGTGAAACATCAGGCAGCACATTGAATGTCATATTTGAGGTCCAGTTGGTCTGCCCATGACAGGCATGAAAGGCTTTCACAAACCTTAATTTCAGTCCTTCAGTCTATTTCATCAGGAATTCTTTAGATTATTGTTGCTATAGTTGTTGAAGTACAAAAATGCTGTAAAATATGGTACTGTTGTAAGCTGTAACTTCATTGAGAACAAGGAATATATGCCTTTTCACTAAGAATTTTTTTCCTGCATATTATTGTTTGCATGGGTTATGAATAATTCAGCTGCCACCTTTTATTGCTGAAAGTAACCTAAGTATTTCTGGTTTAATTCCTTTATTTGAAATATGGAAAGCTGAGGCCCAGAGTTTAGTAACTTACTTGAGATCACACTACCCACTAGGATTGTAAGTGGTAAGTTAGAATTCTTTATCAGTTGCACACTCTGGGAATATACTAAAACCATTGAATTGTATACTTTTAATGGTTGAATGTTACGGTATATAAATTATATCTCAAAGCCATTTTAAAAAGTAAAAGTGAAAGATGAAAGGAATTCGTTTTTCTTAAAGAGCATCAGAAATATGATTCATTGCCACAAGTTCCATGACCACTGTAAAGTATTCCTGCTATAATAACATTAGTCTGTGTTTAGATAACAGGGTGATCCTGTTAGTGTAATTATAATAGTAAATTCTAAGGAAAGAACTAATCTATCTAGCAGATTTAAAAGATGACTTGTTGATTATTAAAAATTATTTATTAAATATAATTAAGAATCCAGAATTGAAATCCTATGAAGAATAAAAAAGGAAACAGATAGGTATGAGTTGTTATGTTCCTACTGCCTAAAGTGAAATTACTCAGTAGATACATATTGAACACGTGCTATGTTTTAGGCACTGTGCTAAACATTGGCGATAAAGACAGAAAAATGTCAAATAGCTCATAGTTTAATGGGAGAAACACACAAGTAACTAGGTAATTACAATTTCAAATGACATGTGTTACAGTTAAGCATAGACTAACCCTATCCTAAACTGAGGGAATCAAGGAAAACTTCTGTGCTTCTGAGAAGAAGTAATACCTGAGTTAATTCCTACAGATTGAATTTGCTAACTGAACTAGAAAGAGAGACAAGAGGATGTCCCATGCAGAGAAAGTAGTATGTACAAAACCTCAGACAGAAGAAAGCAGGCAGTATTTGGGTATTTGGGAGTTCTTTTAAGCCATTTAATGTGCCTGAACCTTAGGGGGTGGTGGAGTGTGAAGTGAAGAGAGAAAAGTTGAGAGAAGTAGGCAGAGGTCAGATTATGAAAAGTACTAAAAATTCTATTACGTTTTCACTTAATCCTGAAGGAGTTAGGGAACCATTGAAGAGATTTCTCTAGAGAAGTAACATATTCTTATTTACTTTGAAGTTCAAAGTGAATGTAGGGGTGCATTGTGATAAAAAGAACCATGAGGAAGTAGCTACAATAATCTAGGTGAGAAATGATGAAGGCTTAATCTAAGATCACTCCAGTGGGAATGGAAAGAGACATCCGTGGATTGGAAAGACTTTAATCAGGTACAATTAATATGAATTGATAACTGCTTAGAAGGGACATATGGAGGAAGAGGATTGAGAGATGATTCTCAGTGTTTTGGCTTATGCAAGTGGGTAGATGTTGGTACCATTCACTGAGATCTAGGGAACATTGGAGGAAGACAGGACTCAGGAAGGGAAGATACTGAGGACAGTGTTGTACATGTTAAGTTTGAGATGTTTGTGGATCCAGGTGTACAGGAAGTTAGTATATAGTTTGGAATTTAGGACAGAGATGTAGACTAGAGATACACATACACATATTGGAATTGTTGATGATGTCAGTGGATGAGGCCACCCATGGAAAATGAGCAGAGAAGAGAAAGAAACCAAGAATAGAAGTCTGCAGAGTACCCACATTTAAGTTTGGGAGGGATGGAGGAAGTTTTTGTTAAAACAATATTTTATCCAATCTGTCATCTATAAAAAGAAGGGAATAACACAATTATGAGAGTGCCAACCCATCATAATCATTCAGACTCCTTATGTAAGCCTATTTATTTTGCTCTCTACATGAATAGGTTCTCTGGATGGCCCCATCATTCCTACAATAAGCTGGAAAATTAGTAAATAGATTATAGATTATTAGTTTAATTAATTAATAGAGATTATTATATGTCTCTAGAGAGGAGACAGTAGGGAAGGTTTATAAAAAACAAATTAGAAACAGGGTCTCATCATGTTGCCCAGGCTGGTCTCAAACTCCTGGGCTCAAGCGATCCTTCCACCTTGGCCTCCAAAGTTCTGGGATTATAAATCTTTTTAAGGACTAGTAGTTGTTTTGCATTTTTAATTGTAGCTTCAGACTGTACTAAACTATTTTGGCATTCTCTCTTTTAGAATCGAGTGAATTGGAACCTGAATGTGACCAGTGTAAAGATGGTTACATAGGCCCGAACTGCAATAAATGTGAAAATGGCTATTACAATTTTGACAGCATCTGTAGAAAGTGCCAATGTCACGGCCATGTGGACCCAGTTAAAACTCCAAAGATTTGTAAGCCCGAGAGTGGTGAGTGCATCAACTGCCTCCATAACACCACTGGGTTTTGGTGTGAGAACTGCCTAGAAGGTTATGTTCACGACCTCGAGGGAAATTGCATCAAGAAAGGTAAAACTTCACCTAAGTGATTGTAAATTTAATATCTAAAACTAGCAGTGAAAAATGGAAGGCTTTGTAAAACCTTCTAACCCTACCAGAGGAGTTTCTGGAAATAGATTTTGATAGATATTTGCCTAAAGAGGTTTCCTTCCATTCCTGCTGCTCTTCTGACACTCCACAGTCAACTCCAGAAATTTGAGGACCAAGACAAAGTCATTGCGACAGTGAGACAAAATGTTCTCACATTTTTCTCTTCATCTATTTTTATTTTTATGTTAATAATTTAAGAATCCTATCATTTCTTTTATTCTTTGCTTCCTTTATTCTCATCACTTTGAGGGATCATCAAAGGTCTTTTGAAGTAGGGACATCTAATCTGGTTAGAAGTTCCAGCTGAGAAGCTGGAGTTCATTCTAGCATCTGTCCTAACTTTGGGCCTAAGTTTCCCCATGTACAATGGAGGAAATAATAATATTCCTTTTGAATTTTAAAAGCAAAAGTTATCCACATGGCAAAATATTTCTTATAGGAAAGCTCAGTAATTAAAATTAATGATTATGAATTCAGGATGAGTTAGGATATTGAGGGTTTATTAGGTCACAGAGAGATTGGACCATGCTGTTCTACAAACCACTCTTTGATATTCTTAACATGCTGAACACGAGGCTGATGAACAGTTGGTCTATGGCAACTGTCATCTTTCTGCCATTTTCTTGATATCTTTATACTGTAGTGATCAAGGCAAAAAGATTCAGATTGAACCCTATTACTAGCTAGAGATCCTGCTACTCAGTTCTCTTACCTATTTGGGAGGCACACTTTGTCCATAGTTAGCTGACAGAACTGATGATTTTTCTTATTAGCTAATAGGTAATATATATAAACTTTGCCTCTTTTTAGAATAAATTGATATGGCTTTCATGGTGAAGAATTATAATAATAATAGTAATACTTTTATTGAGTACCTACTATATGCCAAGCACCGTAAGCATTAAATGTGATAATGCTGTGTAGTATATTATTTCATTTAATCCTTCCCAAGAACTCAGCAAAGTTGATGTTATTATTCACATTTTACAGATAAGGAAACCGAGCTTTAAAAAAATTTACTTATCTGTAGCCACACACTTCTATTTGATTCCAAAGCCTTTAGTCCTTCCACCAAACTATGCTGCCATTAGAAATACAAAGTATAATACCTAAATTATAAAGTAGCTGTAATCTACACAAAGGAAGAATTCCTACACATGGAATTAAGGAAAGCTGTTTTCTCTCTTGGCTGATGTCAGCCTCAGACATTTAAAATTTGTTTTTCAGACATAACTAGAGGTATAGTTTTCCCTACACCTCCTTTGCAGATAATTATTTTACCTTTATGAAATGCCATCAGACTTGTTAGACTTATTTTTGTTCAAATGATTGCCATATATCCCTGTTACTTTTAACTATGTGATTTAGAGCTCAGTAGTGACAAATTTACTGCCTTTGCAGGAATTTATATGATTTTATCTAAGAGTAAATAAGAATGGAAAACTCCAACACTGGTATTTTCCCAAAGATTTTTTTTTTTTTTTTTTTTGAGACAGAGTCTCGCTCTGTCACCGAGGCTGGAGTGCAGTGGCATGATCTCAGCTCACTGCAACCTCTGCCTCCCAGCTTCAAACAGTTCTCTGCCTCAGCCTCTCGAGTAGCTGGGATTACAGGCACCCGCCACCACGCCCAGCTAATTTTTTGTATTTTCAGTAGAGACAGGTTTCACCATCTTGGCCAGGCTGGTCTTGAACTCCTGACCTCGTGATCCACCACCCTCGGCCGCCCAAAGTGCTGGGATTACAGGTGTGAGCCACCACGCCCGGCCCAAAGATTTTAATGTAGATATTATACATATTGGAAAACAGCCATAGATGTAATAATCTAGCTTTCTAGACCCTGATTCTTACCCTTATCACTATATTTCTTTAAACATTATTTTTAACTTGCATTACCTTAAAGCAGAATATCATGTTAACATCCTACATCAACATTCACTCCCATGCGTATTTCTTTTATTGTTTCTCAAAACTAGATAATTTTGTCTTTTACATTTCATTCTCTGTTTTTATTTTCAGAAGTTATTCTTCCAACACCTGAAGGTTCTACCATTTTGGTTTCCAATGCCTCTTTGACCACATCAGTGCCCACCCCTGTTATAAATAGTACTTTTACCCCTACAACCCTGCAGACTATCTTTTCAGTAAGCACTTCTGAAAACAGCACTTCAGCTTTAGCTGATGTATCATGGACCCAATTTAACATCATCATTTTGACAGTCATCATCATTGTTGTGGTGCTGCTAATGGGATTTGTGGGGGCTGTATATATGTACCGCGAGTACCAAAACCGGAAACTCAATGCCCCCTTTTGGACCATCGAGCTGAAAGAAGACAATATCAGTTTCAGCAGCTACCATGACAGCATTCCCAATGCAGATGTTTCGGGATTGTTGGAAGATGATGGCAATGAAGTGGCTCCCAATGGGCAGCTGACCCTGACGACGCCCATACATAACTACAAAGCCTAAGGAGCTAGAACTGTTCTGAATTGTTAAACCACAGTGCTTGCTAAGACAGAGTCAGCCCCTGGGCCAGACAAAGCCTGGCTAGAGTTTGCTGAGAAAGCAAAGGCAAATAGTGCATCTGAAATTTTCAGGTACAAATTTGTAATGCGCTTAGCCTATCTATTGCTCTTAGTTTTCCCATGAAGATCTGAAGCGTTCACTGTCATTAGGACTTGAAGTAAAGTATATTTTTGTACCAAACCACATGGGAGTATGGAAAGGCTGAACCCCATAGTGCAGCCCAAAACCACTTTGACCTCCAGATAGACTCCTGGGGAAGCATTCACCAAGCCAGTGGTAACAAGATGATGAATGTGGAGGGGGAAAAGACTGCTGGAAGACTTCATCTCCATTCCTGAAACATTTTTTTTAAAACAGTGTCAGGGATTATATTCGTTTTACTATACAAAAGGACATCATTGAGGAAAAGCTTGTTTCTAGGCTGTATCACAGTAAATAATCTTGATTGTTTCTAGAACAGGGGTAGAAAAGTCCCAAGATCTTCAGAAGGGCTTGGTTTTTTCCTCCCAGGATTCTTGCTCAGTGATGAGTTGAAAGCACAGGATAAGCTTCTAAGGGAGGAAGGCAGCATTGGGGAGCAGGAGGCTGATGGTCCTCCTCAGGGTCTCAGTGTAAATGATAAATTGTCTAAAAATAAGGAATATTCCTGCCTCTAGAGAAATAAGGTGTACATAGTTAATGTAGCATATCTGGTCGACGTTGTATTTGTATCTATTTGTAAAAAAAAAATCATGTCATATTTTATCATCTGGAATTTATTTGTACAGCAGTTAATGGTGTTGTAAAAAGAAAAATATGGGGATTGCTTAAAATACTGTAAAATAGATGGCAATATTGCTAGAGCTGGGACTCTGGTGAGCATCCGTCATTTTTAGTCCTTCTTGAGGACATTGCTGAAATTTATAAGAGGTCGAATGTTTCTTTCTTTCCTTTCTCAGTCTAAAAGTAGAGTTATATGCTCTTTGACTTACTATGATTCAAGCAATAGATTTTGAAGTCAGTAATCGTTAAGCTGGGACATAGGATGCATTCTCCAAAAACATTAATCTAATTAGACATTAGCCACCCTATATATTTTACATAGATTAATATAAAACATATCCTCATTAAAAAATGTTTTTCTTGAATGTAAAAGATAGTCTTCCAAAGGATAGAAATATTTTAGTTCCAAGAGAAAAGCCATCATATTACTTGGGATCTGTAGTTTTCATGCCTATGAAATATTTATAATCCTCCCTCACCCCAAATAAAAAATCTCCTACATGTGAACATAGCCTGTCACTCATTTGCCATGAGGTATGTGCCATCTCCCTGCAGTGCTATAGTTCTCCCATTGTCTTCCTGTCTGGTTAATGAGCAGCTTTGTAGATGGGTGTGTCTAGTTAGTTCTTGCTTTTTGATGGAGTTTTTTCCTAGAGGCCAACTACTGTTGCTCTCGTTTATTATGATATTGACATTTTGGGTTAAGCAAGGTGGGTGGGAAAGGTGGTCAGATGTTAAATATAACTTATTAGGAGGAACAGTGAACTGTGAAGTGGTTAGAAAAAAAATAAAAACTTCTTATTAGATTAGACCTAGGAAATTCAAGCTGACCCCTTTGCCTAACTTCCCTAGAGAAAAACCTAGAACTTGGTCATCCCTTTATAGGAGACCCCTAAGTTGTTCTCAGGGTTTGGAGATGATGTTCTGGAGGGAGTACAAGCAAATAATCTACTTCTGGTAATCTGAGGGTGCTTTGCGTATTTGGCCATTGCTCAGAAGAATAGAGGTTACATTATATTACATTATATGAAAATTATTTAGTTTTTCTATAGCCCTTTGTAGTTTGCAAAGCACTTTTCCATATGTGTGTCCTCTCTTCCACACCATAGCCCCCTGAGGAAGTAATTGTTGTCCCCATTTTATAGATGAAAAGGCTGAGGCACAGAGGAGCTAAATATCTTGTTCAAGGCTATACAATGTGTGTGATTATTAGGCTTGGAATCAGGGCCTCTAACTCTAAAGCACATGTTTTTTCAACTATATGCAGAAATTGCCTAGCCATGGACACAAGAAAGCTGGGAGGAAGAGTTCTACTTGTGGATGTTTTTAATTTTTTTTAAATATCAGGAGCAATCCAGGGCCATACAGCTATGAAGCACTTAGTGAAAAGAACACAAGAAGATTTACTAACTGAAGTTAGTATTAGTGATTAGAAAACAAAACTGCCAGTTTGTGCTTCATTAAGGTGAACTCATCTCTCCAAGCAGGAAGGGAAAATTTGCTTTCCCTAGCAGTTGCTGCATATGTGTGTACAGACTGCACAATTCTAAGAAATTGTGCAAAATGGCATACCTGTCTTTCTCCCAGATACACCGCCCCCTGCCCCCCCCAAAAAAGGTCAGGATTAAAGGTGGTGAGAAGTGAACATTTATTAAACAGAAGTTAAACCAATAGAGAGAAAGGAGGTTTGTTGGAGTCTAAGAGGATTTTGACCATGTAGAAATTCCTTGAAACAGACCTTAAAAGGTATTGAAAAATTGAATCACAAAGAAAGTTTACCTTTAAATACTTGTTAATGGCTCCTAGATCATGGTTATAATTTTTCTCAATGGGAAAAAAAGTCTTAAAATTTGTTTTAAATAAGATCCTCTAATGTCTCGAGCTTTTTGATTCTGGAAATAATTTGCTTTAAAATATAAATCAATCAGAAAGTGATCTACCACTGAAATCATTCTAGGAAACTAGCATGGGATGCACTGCACAATGTTCTTTCCTCTAAAGGCATGGGCCCCATAAACTGTGGCATCTGGCAGCAGGATGCCATCAGTCCTTTAGAAAGCCTAATTTTGGGCCGGGTGCGGTGGCTCACGCCTGTAATCCCAGCACTTTGGGAGGCCGAGGCGGGTGGATCACAAGGTCAGGAGTTCGAGACCAGCCTGGTCAACATGGCGAAATCCCGTCTCTACTAAAAACACAAAAATTAGCCGGGTGTACGTGCCTGTAGTCTCAGCTACTTGGGAGGCTGAGGCAGGAGAATCACTTGAACCTGGGAGGCAGAGGTTACAGTGAGCCGAGATGGCGCCATTTCACTCCAGCCTGGGCGACAGAGCAAGACTCTGTCTCAAAAAAAAGGAAGAAAAAGAAAGCCTAATATTGGGAGAATGTTTGTGTAAGGATTGGAAATCTGTTTATTTTTAAATAAGATAGCACTGATGTGAATCTTATTTGGAAATTACAGATACTGCCATTAAGCGATGCTTTTATCTTCATTAATTCATTTTGGTAAGCGCCTATGCATTTCTGATGGTTAGGTGCCCTAGGTAGTGTTAAGTATGTCCGTGTCCTCCCTTACTCCCCTCTCGCTCCCTCTACCCTCTATCCCCTAGGGTTCTTTTATTAATGGAATTTCTCCAGTTATAGAGAAAAAAATGACATTTGAAAACTAAAGCTCATTTATATTAATACTAAGGTCCTGTGGGCCTAGTGCGTTACTCTTCCCAGTGATACCTAGATTTTAAGAGTAGAGAACAGAGGAAACATGGGATGAGAGGAGAGAGGTTTTTTAGACAACATTTGTAGACACCTCAAATTATATCACTGTTCTCTAGCGCCAATATTCCCAGGTAAATTGACCATTAAAGCAATACTCACTGACCTACTAGTTTATTTTGGTCAGCTGAGTACCATCAGGATATTTAACCCTTTAAGTGCTGTTTTGGGAGTAGAAAACTAAAGCAACAATACTTCCTCTTGACAGCTTTGATTGGAATGGGGTTATTAGATCATTCACCTTGGTCCTACACTTTTTAGGATGCTTGGTGAACATAACACCACTTATAATGAACATCCCTGGTTCCTATATTTTGGGCTATGTGGGTAGGAATTGTTACTTGTTACTGCAGCAGCAGCCCTAGAAAGTAAGCCCAGGGCTTCAGATCTAAGTTAGTCCAAAAGCTAAATGATTTAAAGTCAAGTTGTAATGCTAGGCATAAGCACTCTATAATACATTAAATTATAGGCCGAGCAATTAGGGAATGTTTCTGAAACATTAAACTTGTATTTATGTCACTAAAATTCTAACACAAACTTAAAAAATGTGTCTCATACATATGCTGTACTAGGCTTCATCATGCATTTCTAAATTTGTGTATGATTTGAATATATGAAAGAATTTATACAAGAGTGTTATTTAAAATTATTAAAAATAAATGTATATAATTTGTACCTATTGTAGATTTGTTGTTTACTTTTTTGTGTGGTCAGAGTTGTTTCATGTCTTCAAATACATGCCAAGGATCATTTACTTTCAGCCCACTTCATAAAAATCTTTGAACTCTTCATTTATTGGCCATGTATTTTGTTTAAGTTCATTTAAAGAATGTTTTCTACTTGGGGGGAAAAAAATCCATGAAGAAGATTCCCTCTCTTAGAGGAAAACAAAACCTGAGAAGAAAATATATTAACATATATTTTTGTTTGTGCTTTTGCCTATTCCCTCTGACATCCGTCGGATTTTATAGAGAAAACTTGCTCGCTTTGGATTTCTTTGTCACACATATAAAGAATTTCCTTTCTTTGGTAGAAATCTGAAGAGAAACCATATTCTACCTGTTTATTAAGTAACTTGTAATGAGAGTACATCTTTTTAATATTTTAAGCTACTCTTGAAGAACCTGTATTTTGACAAAGCTAGATGGTGTTTAATGGGATGCCATCTGAGAGATTCCTTTATTTGAAAAAAAAGAAAAAGTCAGGCATTTCTTTGTGCTGAGAGCTTTATAAACTTAAACTGTTTTATTCAACTTCAGTTGGTTAACATTTAAATTTTTAAACTCTATTTTTTCTTTTCTAGCCACACAAGAAAACAGGTTTTATCACTTTATAATAACACCTTATGTTTATACATGTGGTTCTGTGATGTATATGAATTGGGTATTAAGGGAAAAGAATAAGCATGGCAGAAATCTAAACAAATTACAGTTTCAAGAGAAAGTATATATATACAAACAAGTAAGGACATTTGCGAGGTTGCATTATCAAAACTGGTTGTATTCATTTTCCATAGGAGTATAAAACATCTATGTTTTAAAAAAATTCCACATGCTCCATTATAATTAAGTCAGTAACTTCAAAGTAACAGTGTGCTTACTTATATTTTAAAAGTTAAGCTGAATTGGCCGGGCGCGGTGGCTCACGCTTGTAATCCCAGCACTTTGGGAGGCCGATGCGGGTGGATCACGAGGTCAGGAGATCGAGACCATCCTGGCTAACACGGTGAAACCCCGTCTCTACTAAAAATACAAAAAAATTAGCCGGGCGTGGTGGTGGGCGCCTGTAGTCCCAGCTACTCGGGAGGCTGAGGCAGGAGAATGGCGTGAACCCGGGAGGCAGAGCTTGCAGTGAGCCGAGATTGCGCCACTGCACTCCCGCCTCGGCCACAGAGCGAGACTTCGTCTCAAAAAAAAAAAAAAAAGTTAAGCTGAATTAAAAACGTTTTTCATGAGATGATAGCATTAGGAGTGTTGACAGGCTGAAAATCAACATTCTATCTAAATCAATGTTAAAATTGCAGTTTTACCTATAAGTTAGTCTTTCAAGGCAATTTTATGAGGAATTATTGTAGTAATTGTACAGGCTTTCTAGTACTTCCGTGTACAAAATGAAAGCCATCAGACAATGTTAAATTTACAATGTGCTGCTTGTTTGTATTAATAATAAGTAGATTTTAAACCTTGTCTGTTGAATGGAACACTGCACTTCAAACAGTTGCAAAAGAAAACAGGCAAAATGTTTTCTTTGTATGTAATAAGAGTAGGTTTGGGTAATAAAAGAAGTATTTGGGAGGAAATCTTCTTTTGTGGTTTCCTTTGTGTTGTTAGACAAACTGCTGAAATTGTATATGTCAGTATTGGTTCTTTCAATCTTTGACCCAAAGAAGGAAAAGTCTCAGCTCTTGCCACGTTAATTACTATTCCAATTCAACCATGTTAAACTCATACAATTTCCTACATATGCCAGGTTATATGATGTCTTCCTCCTTTGCTGGTACTGTTTCCCCTACCTATAATATCCTTGAGAATGCTCATTCATTCTTTGCAAACCTTTGATAAAGGAAAGTTGATCAATTCTTAAATTTGTACCTCCATTTTGCCTAATGAATACTTCTACTACTGCATATATTTTATTATAAATACTTGTTAGTTTGTGCCTTCCCCAGTGAACTCTGTATTCCTTGAAATTAGGAGCGTTTATTCTTCTGCCTCTGGCATCTGGCATGTTGCTGGTACATTGTGGGTGCTCAGTAAGTGATGGTTTATGTACAAAAGGTAGTTGACAATACAAGAGTTGGTATGTGAACTTATTTGTTGAAGTATGGCAACAAAACTTCTATTCAGTGGATACGATAATATTTCTTATTCAAGAGAGGTGTCAATTTTACATAGGCTTCAGAGGTTCTGAGAAACCCTTGAAATTTCATGCCGTTTTGTTTATTGATGCAATTGTGTTTCTTTTTTTCTGGAGAGAAGACCCATACTTTAATCATTGTCTCAAAAGGATCCATGATCGGCCCGGCACAGTGGCTCATGCCTGTAATCCCAGCATTTTGGGAGACCGAGATGGGTGGATCACCTGAGGTCAGGAGTTCGAGACCAGCCTGGCCAACATGGTGAAACCCCATCTCTACTAAAATACAAAATTAAGCCAGGCATGGTGGCGGGTGCCTGTGATCTCACTTACTCAGGGGGCTGAGGCAGGAAAATTGCTTGAACCTGGGAGGCGGAGTTTGCAGTGAGCCGAGTTTGTGCCAGTGCACTCCAGCCTGGGTGACAGAGCAAGACTCTGTCTCCAAAAAAAAAAAAAAAAAAAAAAAAAAGATACATGATCCCCAAAGGATAAACAACTAATTGAAGGATTATTACTTCATTTTTCAGCAATCAAAATCCTCCCACTGAATGCAAATTGGCACAATTGGTAAATTGGTCTTTATTTCAGGAAGTCCACTTCTAGGAAATCTTCATAAGGAAATGACCTAAAAAGCAGAGGCTCCACAAAATTTTTTTTCAGACTGGTGTATAAAGTTTCAAAACTTGGGAATAAATTCTAGATGTTCAAGAACAGAGATGTAGCCTGGCACGGTGGCTCACACCTGTAATCCCAGTACTTTGGGAGGCTGAGGCAGGTGGATCACTTGAGGTCAGGAGTTCGAGACTAGCCTGACCAACATGGCGAAACCCCGTCTCTACTAAAAATACAAAAATTAGCCAGGTCTGGTGGCGCATGCTTGTAATCCCAGCTACTTGGGAGGCTGAGGCAGAATGGCTTGAACCTGGGAGGTGGAGGTTGCAGTGAGCCGAGATCATGCCATTGCACTCCAGCCTGGGAGACAGAGTGAGACGCCTTCTCAAAAAAAAAAAAAAAAAAGAATAGAGATGTAGTTTAGTGCATATACTTCATGAGATAACATACAGTCACTAAGAGGGATTAGGGAGAATTATTAAAAACTGAATCAAAGTTAAATGAAGAAAAATGGTTTGTTTTGAAGATGTGCATGTAATTTCACTCCTGGTATATAGTTTAGAGAAACTCATATATGTGCACCAGAAGCTGCATTTCAAATTCTTCACTGCAGCATTATTTATTATAGCAAAATAATTGGAAACAGTCCAAATGTCTGTCAGTAGAAGAACTGTGGTCTATCCATATACTTTGAACAGAATTTTATGCAGCCGTGGAAAATGAATGAATTACAGCTATATACATCAATGTGGATGAATCACAAAAACAATGTTGAGCAAAAAAAAGTAAGTCATAGAGGCCAAGTATGTAATCCCAGCACTTTGGGAGGCCGAGGTGGGCAGATCACTTGAGGTAAGGAGTTCGAGACCAGCCTGGCCAACATGGTGAAACCCCATCTCTACTAAAAATACCAAAATTAGCCAGGCGTGGTGGCAGGCACCTGCAATCCCGGCTACTCGGGAGGCTGAGGCAGGAGAATCGCTTGAACCTGGAAGGCAGAGGTTGCAGTGAGCCGAGATCATGCCACTGCACTCCAGCCTGGGTGACAGAGTGAGACTCTGTCTCAAAAAAAAAAGAAAAATTAGCACTTTGAACTGAATGAAAATGAAACAACATTTCAAAATTGTGGAATGCAGCTAAAGCAGTATTTAGAGAAAAGCTCAGAATGTCTATATTACAAAAAAGACTTCAAATTAATGACGTAAGCTTCTATCTTAAAAAGCTAGAAAACGAAGAGCAAAATAAACCCAAAGTATGCAGTTAGGAAATAACAAAGACAAGAGCAAAAATAAAATAGAAAACATAAAATGAAAAACAGAGCTAAAAGCTAGATCTTTGAGAAATTCAATAAAATTTATAGACTTCCAGACAGATAGATAATCAGAAAAATTAAGAAAACACACACACACACACACACACACACACAAAAACAGTACCAGGAATGAGAGAGGGGAAATCACTATACATCCCATAAACATTAAAAGGATAATAAAGGGGCCAGGCATGGTGGCTCATGCCTGTAATCCCAGCACGTTGGGTGACCGAGGTGGGGGGATCACTTGAGGTCAGCAGTTTGAGAGACCAGCCTGGCCAACATGGTGAAACTCCGACTCTCCTAAAAAAATACAAAAATTAGCTAGGCATAGCACCTGTAGTTCCAGCTAAACGAGAGGCTGAGGAATGAGAATTCGCTTGAACCTGGGTGGCCGAGGTTGCAGTGAGCCGAGATTGCTCCACTTCACTCCAGTCTGGGTGACAGAACAGAGCAAGACCCCGTCTAAAAAAAAGGATAATAAAGGAAGTTTATGCCAACAAATTTGATGACTTACGTGAAATGTACATATTCCTTCAAAGACACAAACCATGCTCACTCAAAAAGAAATAGATAACCTAAGTAGTCATGTTACCTTTATTTAATTTAATTTGTAGTTAAAAACTATTTGTTTGTTTATTTATTTATTTTTGAGATGGAGTCTTGCTCTGTCGCCCAGGCTGGAGTGCAATGGTGCGATCTCAGCTCCCTGCAACCTCTGCCTCCTGGGTTCAAGCAATTCTCCTGCCTCAGCCTCCCAAGTAGTAGGATTACAGGTGCGCGCCACAGTGCCTGGCTAATTTTTGTATTTTTTGTAGTAGAGACGGGGTTTCACCACGCTTGCCAGGCTAGTCTCGAACTCCTGACCTCGTAATCTGCCCGCCTTGGCCTACCAAAGTGTTGGGATTACAGTCATGAGCCACACCGTACCTGGCCTGTAGTTAAAAACCTTTCACAGGCTATGTGTAGTGGCTCACACTGTAATACCAGCACACTGAGAGGCCAAGGCAAGAGGACTGCTTGAGCCCAGGAGTTTGAGGCCAGCCTGGGCAACAAAGTGAGACCCCGTCTGTACAAAAAAAAAAAGAAAGAAAGAAAAAAAGAAAAATTAGCCATGTGTGCTGGTATATGCCTGTAGTCCCAGCTATTTGGGAAGTTGAGGTGGGAGGATCACTTGAGCCCAGCATTTTGAGGCTGCAGTGAGCCGAGGCTGCACCACTGCACTCTATCCTGGGCAACACAGTGAGACCCTGTCTCCGAATAAACAAAAAACAAACCTTTCACAAAGAAAACTCCAGGTCCAGATAGCTTCACTGGTGAACTCTAGAAATATTTAAAGAAATATTACCAATTCTACACAAACCCTTCCAGAAAAACTAAAGAAGCAATATTTGTCAACTCATTCTATGAAACCAGCATTACCCAAATAAAAAAAGAAGACATAACAAGAAAACAACAGACCAATGTCTCTCATGAATATAGAGAGAAACATTTCTAAGAAAATTCAAGCAAATTTAAGTACAACAATACACTTTAAAAAACAGTACTTCAAGGCTGGGCGTGGTGGCTTCTGCCTGTAATCTTAGCACTTTGGGAGGCCAAGGCGGGCGGATCACCCGAGGTCAGGACTTCGAGACCAGCCTGGCCAACATGGCAAAACCCCGTCTCTACTACAAAAAATACAAAAATTAGCCAGGCGTGGTGGCGCATGCCTGTAATCCCAGCTATGTGGGAGGCTGAGGCAGGAGAATTGCTTGAACCCAGGGGGTGGAGGTTGCACCACTGCACTCCAGCCTGGGTGACAGAGCAAGACTCTGACTCACACACACACACACACGCACAAATAGTACTTCATTACCAACTGGGGTTTATCACATAAATGTAAGTTTGGTATAACATTTAAAAATCAATCAGTGTAATTCACAAAGGCTGAGAAAGAAAAATAATATGATGATTACTTCAATAGCTGTACAAAAGGCATTTGGCAAAATCCAATATTCATTCATGATAAAAATGATGATGATGATGATACTCTCTTGTGTATTGTGATATAATAAGAAATATAGGCTGGGCACAGTGGCTCACGCCTGTAATCCCAGCACTTTGGGAGGCCGAGGTGGGTGGATCACTTGCGGTCAGGAGTTTGAGACCAGCATGGCCCAACATGGCGAAACCCTGTCTCCACTAAAAATACAAAAAAAATGGCCTGGCATGGTGGTGAATGCCTGTGATCCCAGCTACTTGGGAGGCTGAGGCAGGAGAATCATTTGAACCCAGGAGATGGAGGCTGCAGTGAGCTGAGATTGCGCCACTGCACTCTAGCCTGGGCAACAGAGCGAAACCCTGTCTCAAAAAAAAAAAAAAAAGAAATATATATTTGGGTCTTTGTCTAGCTCCCAGCTTTTGTGCAAGTTTCTAAATGATAAGAGCTGTAGTAGCATCTTAAGTTATATTTGGTTTTTGCCCCTGGCTCTTGTAATAGGTCCAGGGTGATAAAGGTGAAAGGAACAACTTTTGTTACTTATCATAAGTCCCTGTTGACCACACCTGAGTTATTGAAGTGACTTTGGAAAAGCCCCTCAAGATGAGGGTGCTGGTTGCCAGAGGAATCAACTGTATGTTTGGAAGATTGAAACGTTTAGCCCAGGAGGTTTTTTCTTTTGTTTGTTTATAGAGAGGTTCTCACTCTGTTGCCCAGGCAGGAGTGCAATGGTGTGACCTTGGCTCACTGCAGCCTTGACCTCCCAGGCACAAGTGTTCCTCCCGCCTCAGCTTCCTGAGTAGCTGGGATTACAAGTGGATGGACTATAAGTGGACACCAGTACACCCAAATAATTTTTATTTTTTTTTAGAGACAGAGTCTTGCTATGCTGCTAGGGCTGGTCTTGAACTCCTGAGCTCAAGCAATCCTCCTGCCTTGGCCTCCCAAACTGCTGGGATTATAGGCATGAGCCACTGTGCCCAGCTAAGGCCAGAAGGTCCAGGCTGCAGTAAGTCATTATCTTGTCACTGCATTCCAGCCTGGGCAACAGAGTGAGGCCCTGTCTCTCTCTCTCTCACACACACATACACACACAGACACACACACACACCCCTCACTATATGTTAGTAAATGAATAAGTGAATCAGCCGTATCACAGTTTCTACACTCATAAGTACAATAAAGGTGTGTAAGTATACTGCAGTCTGCAGGCTTTGAATTAGTGCAAACTTAAACCAAAATCCCAATAAACTGTTATTTTGGAAAGCATCAAGTCACTTGTAAGTAGGGATGTTTGTGAGTGACCCTGGGAACATACAGCACAAAATTCCCTTCGATGGAATGGTGCTGATGAAGCTCATTCCTTCGGTGTAGAGAGAGATCACGCCCACAGACCTGACTGCATGTCCTCAAACACTGCGGCCTGTGCTGACTGAGTAGGAAGCAAACATAGTCCAATATATGGATGCTTTTGGTGTCCTCCCCTTCCTGCCTTTACTTTTACTCCAGAACCAACAGGCTTCATCTCAGCTTTTTAATTTCCCCAAAACATTTTCTAAATGAGCCATTGTTATCTTTAATCACCATGGCTAGGGGGGATTATCCAGCCTCGTTTGAAGAAGCTATTTTTTGCAAAGAGATGAGATCCTTCCAGACAAGGATAAAGACATTAATGTTGTCTATTAAGATTCTGCTTTACTCAAGATAATAATTTTAGGGTAAATTAAGGAAATTGTATAGACGCCAATGGGCCATTAATCCCCAGTGGAATTGTCTGAAATGGAGAGGCCTTTAAATTTGGAAACAAGGAATTTGGCAACAGTTACATTTTGAATTTCCTTCAGTTAAAATGAAAAGGTTTCAATGTTAACAGGTACTGTCCTGGGTAAAGAATTTTATTTAGTTACAATCTGTATCTCAACTTTTTGTATTAAAAGGTAGAGATCATTAAACCTTTGAATTAAGAGTTAAAGTATCAGTTAAGTATACTAAGGAGGAAGCAGAAACATACCAGAAAACCTAGGCTAAAGGCTAAGTTAGCAAATGGCACCCAGTTGAGCTATGAGCTGCCCAACAAACAGCAACATAGATTATTTACCTGTATTACTGTCTAATTAAAAGGTGCATACTGGAACATCAACATAAAATCTATTTTTCTTGGTTCTAAAAGATAATAGCTTATGGTACAAAAAGCATCAGCTTTGAAAGTGATATGGACAGGAGACAGGGAAATACTGAGTAGAAGAGAGCGGTCCCCGGCAAAGGCCCCACCCTCAAGCCTGGAGACCTGCAGCCCTAAGTGGGAACAGGCATTTCTGTTTTCGTGCCCAAAAAGTTGCCTTTTTGCCCACCACACCCCCTATCTTGTACCCATATAAACCCCGAACTCCAGGCTCCGGAAGCAGACAAGCAGGGGAGGAGATGAGATAGGCAGAGGAACTGCGGAATGATGCAACAGAGAAAGAGAGACGAAGAGGAACATCTGAATGCCCAGAGGAGTTTGGCTGGGGGTGGTCAGAGAGGAGTTCGGCCACTGGATGGGCAGGCTCCAGGGGAATATCATCTTCCTATTCCATTCCCCCTTCCAGCTCCCCATCCATCCCTCTAAAAACCACCTCCACCACTCAATAAAACCCCACATTCATCCTTCAAGCCCATGTGTGACCCGATTCTTCCAGGATGCTAGGCAAGAGCTCACAATACAGAAAGCTATCACACTGGCCCTCTGCCCTTATGAAAAGGCAGAGGGTCCATTGAGCGGTTTAACACTCAAGCCGTCTACAGATAGGAGGGCTAAAAGGGCACACTGTAACACATGCCCACTTGGGTTCCTGCAACTGCCTGTCTGTGTGTTCCCCCTTCCCTCGGGGGTTTGAGCAGTGGCAGTGACAGGCAAGCCACACTTGCCTTCACACGTCCTGTGAGAGGGATTGGGGAACCCTCCCATTTCAAAAGCAGAGAGATATGGGTTCTAGTGCAGGCCTCACAACTGTAGGATCTGGGGCAACTTAACAGATGGCTCTTCGTCTTGTCGCCATTACCTATAAAAGTAATAACTTTTTAGTTATCACTAAACATGGGGTTTCGCCATGTCGCTCAGGCTGGTCTTGATGCTGACCTCTTAGGGTTGCAGCAAGGTTAAGTGAAAACCTTATGTGGAGCATCGCAGCACATGCAAGGTCTATAATGAATAGTTCGCTTCCTCTCTCCCTATTATTTAAGAGGTCTTTAGGCTGGGTGCGGTGGCTCATGCCTGTAATCCCAGCATTTTGGGAGGCCGAGGCAGGTGGATCACAAGGTCAGGAGTTCAAGACCAGCCTGGCCAAGATGGTGAAACCCTGTCTCTACTGAAAATACAAAAATGAGCCGGGTGTGCTGATAATGCGCCTGTAATCCCAGCTACCCGGGAGGCTGAGGCAGGAGAATCGCTTGAACCCGGGAGGCAGAGGTTGCAGTGAGCCGAGATCGTGCCATTGCACTCCAGCCTGAGTGACAAGAGAGAAACTCCGTCTAAAAAAAAAAAAAGAGGTTTTAAATAAAAACTTTACAAAAAATGCAATGTTTTTCTATCTCTAGTGAGTGGATAATTGGATCAGGTACCAGCTAGTTTGCTTCCTGACTAGAAAACCAATCTACAGCCCAGTATTTGAGTAAGGCTACTCTTGGGTTTTGGGTATACTTAAATGAAATGAGACACCTCCCTAAGTTGAATTGCTGCTGTTTCTGTGTTTTCAGTGAGTGGTCTGTGGCCAGGACGGCATCCACAGGAGGCTGAAAGAAGCAAAGTGACATGTTGTTGGCATTCTATGGTTCCACAGGGATCCATGAAGAAACGCCATATTTGCCTATGGGAAATGGGTGGGAAACTGGTATTGTGAAGCGAGGAGAGCACAGGCCTGGAAGTCTGCCCATTTTGGGTCTATTCTTGCTCTGTTATGCACTTGTAGAGTGAACTTGGGCAGGCCGCTGAATCCATCTGGATCTCAGTTTTTCCACTGGTAAATCCAAGAAGTTTCGTTAAATGTTCTCTGTGAGGACCTTTTTAATTCTTGTATTCTATTCAGTGGGAAGATAAGGGTGTTCAGAGTAAGATAATTAATTCTGGTTAAGATTTATTAATTCATTCTTTCCTCAATATTTATTAAACACCTATTATCTGCCAGGCACTATAAGAGACCAGAGGGTATAGAGTTAAAAGTTCTTGCTCTCCAGAGTAGCCAGACACAAGAGTATGCACTGTATGATTCCAGTCCTAAGAAACTGTTGAAAGACAAATCTTGGCTGGGCATGGTGGCTCATGCTCGTAATCCTAGTACTTTGGGAGGCTGAGACTGGAGAGTAGCTTGAGTCCAGGAGTTTGAGACCAGCCTGGGTGACATGGCGAAATACTATCCGTACAAAAAATACTAAAATTGGCTGGGTGTGGTGGCATGTGCCTGTAGTACCAGCCACTCGGGAGGCTGAGGCGGGAAGATCGCTGGAGCCCAGGAGGTCGAGGCTGCAGTGAGCTGTGATTGCACCACTGCACTCTAGCCTGGGCGACAGAGGGAGACCCCGTCTCAAAACAAAAACAAAAAAACAAAAAACAAAGGAAAGAAAGAAAAAACAATTTTTTTTGTTGTTTTGATACAGCATCTCACTCTGTTGCCCAGGCTGGATGGAGTGCAGTGGCGTGATCTCAGCTCACTGCAACCTCTGCCTCCCAGGTTCAAAGGATCCTCCTGCCTCAGCTTCCCCAGTAGCTAGGACTACAGGTATGTGCCATTATGCCCAGCTGATTTTTGTATTTTTAGTAGAGATGGGGTTTCGCCATGTCACCCGGGCTGGTCTTGAATTCCTGACCTCACGTGATCTACCCGCCTTGGCCTCCGAAAGTGCTGGGATTACAGGCATGAGCCATCGCGGCCACCTCATGCCCCACTAATTTTTAATTTTTTCTTTGTGGAGATGAGGACTCCCTATATTGAGTAGGCTGGTCTCGAACTCCTGGGCTTCAGCAATCCTCCTGCTTTGGCCTCCCAAAGTTTTGGTATTATAGGTCAGAGCCACCATGACCAGCCCAAAAAGACAAATCTTTAATGAGGAAAAATAGAACAGTGAGGCCGGGTGTGGTGGCTCATGCCTGTAATCCAAGCACTTTGGGAGGCTGAGGTAGGTGGATCACCTGAGGTCAGGAGTTTGAGACGAGCTTGGCCAACGTGGTGAAACCCTGTCTCTACTAAAAAATACAAAAATCAGCTGGGCGTGGTGGTGCACACTTGTAATTTCAGCTACTCAGGAAGCTGAGGCAGAATTATTGAACCCGGAAGGCGGAGGTTGCAGTGAGTCCAGATCTCACCATTGCGCTCCACCTTGTGTGACAAGAACGAAACTCTGTCTCAAAAAAAAAAAAAAAAAAAAAAAAAAAAAAAAAAAAAAAAAAAAAGCCGGGCACAGTGGCTCACGCCTGTAATCCCAGCACTTTGGGAGGCCGAGGCGGGCAGATCACGAGGTCAGGAGATCGAGACCATCCTGTCTAAAACAGTGAAACCCCATCTCTACTAAAAAATACAAAATATTAGCCGGGTGTGGTGGCAGCGCCTGTAGTCCCAGCTACTTGGGAGGCTGAGGCAGGAGAATGGCGTGAACCCAGGAGGCGGAGCTTGCAGTGAGGGGAGATCGCGCCACTGCACTCCAGCCTGGGCGATAGAGTGAGACTCCGTCTCAAAAAATAAAAAATAAAAGAACAGTGATTTCCTGAGGGGGAAGGGAGATTGACTTGGACTGTAACACCAAGGAACCTTGTGGGGTGATGGAAATGTTTCACATCTATGCTAATACAGTAACCACTAGCCCCATGTGGCTATTTAAATTTTAATTAAGATAAACATTTTAAAAATTCAATTCCTCAGTCACATAGCTACATTTCCAGGGTTCAATAGCCACAAGTGGCTAGTGGCTATTGTATTGGACAGTGCAGATTTAGAATACTGTATTTCCATCATCCAAGAAAGTTCTGTTGGAGAGTCGTGTTCTACCTCTCTCTCTCTCTTTTTTTTTTTTTTTTGAGACTGGATCTTGCTCTGTTGCCCAGGCTGGAGTGCAGTGGTGTGATCTCAGCTCACTGCAACCTCCACCTCCTGGGTTCAAGAAGTGATTCTCCTATCTCAGCCTCTGGAGTAGCTGGGATTACAGGCACACAACACCATGCCCAGCTAATTTTTGTATTTTTAGTAGAGATGGGGTAACACCACTTTGGCCAGGCTGGTCTTGAACTTCTGGCCTCAAGTGATCTGCCCGCCTCAGCCTCCCAAAGTGCTAGGGTTATAGGCATGAGCCACCGCGTCCAGTCTGCTATTCTGTATCTCTTGATTCTGATGATGGCTACATGAGTATGTAAGTTTGCCAAAACTCACCAGAATGTATACTTGAAGTGGGTACACCTATTTTGTGTAAATTCTATCTCAATAAAGTTGATTTAAAATATTAACATTGGCCAGGTGTGGTGGCTCATGCCTGTAATTCCAGCACTTTGGGAGGCCGAGGTGGGCAGAACACCTGGGTTGGGAGTTCAGGACCAGTCTGGCCACTACAGTGAAACGCTGTTTCTACTAAAAATACAAAAATTAGCTGGGCATGGTGGCGCACACCTGTAGTCCCAGCTACTTGGGAGACTGAAGCAGGAGAATGGCTTGAACCTGGGAGGCGGAGGTTGCAGTGAGCCGAGATTGTGCCACTGCACTCCAGCCTGGGCTGCAAGAGTGAAATTCTGTCTCAAAAAATAAAATGAAATGAAAATAAAATATTGACATTGCCTCTCCTGGCCTCAAGGAGTTCACACTGTGGCAGCCAAGTTAACAATTACAGAGCTAAATGTCACAATGATGATAAGCTCAGGGTATGCTGGGAGTCCAGAGGTGGGACATCTACCCAAACTGGGTCCCAAAACTTTCTCTTAAACTGTTGTTCAGAGGACCCTAGGACTCACAGAGAAGGGGAAGGAAGCATATTTTAGACTCTAAGAGTCACTGGCATGTATAGTTCTTTTGTGTGAATTAGAAAAAAGGCATCCCTGCTTTGGGATAAACTCACAGCTTGTCCAGCACAGCACGGACTCAATTTCAGCCTCCACTCCTCCTTTGGGTGGATGTGCTTGTGTAGGGCACAGCCTGTGCAGTGTACTTGGTGGCATGTCACACACACAGGAGGACACATGCAAGGAAAAGGGGACTGTCATTTATCCCTTTAAGGAAGGAGGCACTGCAGCTGCCACAAGTGTTGTGTTCATCCTTCTCTAGTTCCTGCTCTGTGCTCTCAATGTGAATTCACTGCATTTAAGGGAGATGCAAAGTTTACCGTCCCCTCCTGCAAGTCACAAGACATTAAGTACTTCTTTTAATCTGCAAAATGTCCAGACAGTTGATTAATTCAATTACCCTTCTCTGCTTAGAGCTATTGCTGCTTTACATATTCAATGTGCAGCTGGAGAGGGTGCTTGAAAGCACTCTCTGGCATCCTAGGATAATTTTTCCAGCAGCTTTTAGATCTCTGTTAGCCAGACCCTGGATTTAAGTGGGTGGGGATGTGGCCATCGTACTGAGGATGATCAATTTAGGTAGGAGATCTTGCCGTGGGACATATCTCTGGCTCCTGCAAGTTTCAAAAAGCTCAGGAACCACCTTTTGTGAATCAGGAAATGGAGGTCCAAGCTCCTCTCTGTCACTAGCTTGCTGTGTGACTTTGGGAAAATCGGTTCATGTCTCTGAGTCTCAATTTCCTTATCAGTAGAAGAATGATAACAAACTTGTCTTAGAGCTGTTGTGAGGTAGAATCAAGGGATGAAGAATGTGACATGGGCTTTTTAAATAGTTGCATCAAGTAGGGATTTTATTTGATCTCTGTTGGCCTTCAAACATGAGGAGCTAGTGCACATAATAGTATGTACAGGTTTTTATCCTGCTTTTGCAGGGCATAGGTCTTACTTGTAAAACAGCCTTCCCCAACTGCTCAATCAGAATGACTCAATCCCTTCTGTGATCCTAGAATCTCACTGTTCTTTTTCTTTTTCTTTTCTTTTTTTTTTTTTTTTTGAGATGGAGTCCTGCTCTGTCACGAGGCTGGAGTGCAGTGGCACGATCTCTGCTCACTGCAACCTCCACCTCCCAGGTTCAAGCGATTCCCCTACCTCAGCCTCCTGAGTAGCTGGGACTACAGGTGCGTGTCACCACACCCGGCTAATTTTTTTTGTATTTTAGTAGAGACGGGGTTTCTCCACGTTGGCCAGGATGGTCTCGATCTCCTGACCTTGTGATCCACCTGCCTCGGCCTCCCAAAGTGCTGGGATTACAGGCGTGAGCCACCGTGCCCAGCCCTGTTATCTTTCTTATACCAACAAAGTATTTAAAATGTTTTGCTTTGTTTCATAATTATGTATGTGCATTTTCACCAGCTTCTTGAGGACAGGTATTCAGTGAAAGGCACTACGGCCTAGTGGTTAAGAACATGGGCTTTTGGATGAATTCTGGGTTCAAATCCTGTCTTCACAACTGAGCTACTTGGATGGTGTCGGGGCAAAACTTTCCTTTAACCTGTCTGGTTCAGTACCTGAGGGTTCTGTGTATTAAATGGACAAAAGACAGATTAACAGGAGAAAAGGCATATTAATTTTTATTAATAGTTATGTGCACAAGAGTTCATAGAAAAGAAGTGAAACTCAAATAAGTGGTTAGGCTCAAGGGCTTTTATCCCATTATAGCAAAAGAAGGGAGTGTTGAGCTTCAAGGCTGATAAATCATGGGGAAGTGATTAGGGAATATATGGGGGAAACTAATGGTAGACAGGGAGGAGGCACATGTTCACAAAGGGGAATTTATGTCCTGCTTCAGGGTAGAAAAGGAGAAGGCAGAAAATTCTTTCTGCATCTGTTGATTCTCAATTGTCTTCAGCTCAAAATAATCCTTATGCAAAAGGGGCATATGTTGGGATGGCATATTTTGATCCC
Source organism: Homo sapiens (assembly GCF_000001405.40). NCBI lineage: Eukaryota > Metazoa > Chordata > Mammalia > Primates > Hominidae > Homo > Homo sapiens. Next base: position 120,585,860 of record NC_000009.12, on the reverse strand, counting down.
CTTCAATGGCCAGGCAACTCTTTCTTCTCTTTGTACTTCAGTTTTGTCAACCATAAAGTTGGAGCATAATCAGTTCTTGTTTCATAAGGTTATTGTGAGGATTGAATGCAAAGTATATAACACAGTACCTGGCACATAGAAAGAGCTTAATATATGGTAGCTAATTTTAGTTATTCATGGAACATCACAGCTGAAGGGGCCTCAATGTTGTAGTGTAATGCACTCAGCATACAGATAAGAAAATAGGCCCAGAGAGTTGAACTGGGAGATTGGTATTAACCTTATATTATGTTGATGTGTGTTACCATCCCTAGTCCAATAATCTATATTCTATTCCTTTGATATTTGGTATTTCTCATTCCACTTTCCATCTTGAGAAAAAGTCAGGACTTGGAGTTAATTTGACAAACTGGCATTGAGCATCTACTATGTGCACAGCCTGGGGCTACATGTTGGGCCCAGAAGGCATCACTGACTTGATCACCCTGCTCTTCAGAGAAGGCAGTGGGTACTAATTGAGAACTGGTCCTAATAAGGACTGCTGGTGTTGAGGGTTGGTTGGTAAGAGGTCTTGGGAGCAAGGGGGCAGATGTGTCTGCCAGAAATACTGCCAACTGTGGGACCAGACAGGCATGGGTTTGAATCTCAGCACGGCCATGGTTTAGAAGGGCAGCTTGGGCCAGGCGCAGTGGCTCATGCCTGTAATCCCAGCACTTTGGGAGGCCGAGGTGGGCAGATCACGAGGTCAAGAGATTGAGACCATCCTGGCCAACATGGTGAAACCCTGTCTCTACTAAAATTACAAAAATTAGCTGGGTGTGGTTGTGTGCGCCTGTAGTCCCAGCTACTTGGGAGGCTGAGGCAGGAGAATTGCTTGAACCCGGGAGGCGGAGGTTGCAGTGCCACTGGACCCCAGCCTGGGTGACAGAGTGAGACTGTGTCTCAAAAACAAAAACAAAAACAAAAACAAAGCGTGTCATTGCCATGAAAGACAGAACTGTCAGAGACTGGAGGAGAGTAAGGAGATGTAACAAGTAAATGCAGTGTGGAATATTGGATTGGATCCTGGACCAGCAAAAGGGAATTAATGGGAAAAGATTAAATTTAAATAAGATCTGTAATAAGTCATATTGTATCAATGTAATTTCTTATTTTTGACAATTGTGCTATGGTTGTGGAAGATGTTAATATTTTAGAAATTCTTTGTACTATTTTTGCAACTTTTTTCTAAGTTTGAAATTATTTCTAAATAAAAAACTAAGAAAGAAGGAAAGAAAAAAAAGTGTGACCTTTGGGAAATCTCTTCCCCTCTCTGAGCCTTTAGTTTCTTCTTCTGTAGAGTAGGGCGATCAACCCAATTCACTTCACAGCATCATGAGGATAAAACGGAAGAGTGCAAAGTAGTAGCATTGCGTATATATTGATCCTATAAAAAGTTATTTTTGCTGTTAGTAATGGCAGTGCAAATGTCTTGATCTGTTAAAGCTTCAGGAGGGTTCTACCCAAATGAAAAACATCTGACTGCAAGCTACTTCCTCCCAGCCATTTGATATGACCTTGTCTGAGGAAATAATAATGCCAGCTTTGTGGTTGGGTGGCTGTTGTCAAGGAGATAGCCCCAGATAGCCCAAACAGCTGGTGGTAGTGACGTCACCTCTAGGTTTGGCAGAAAGATCATGGTGAGACAGAGACAGGACAAAGGCCTCTGTCTCTGAACATGAAACCACTACAGTAGCAGGAAAACCAACTTCCAAATAGCCTTTCCTTTGTGCAATTGATTCTATTTTCAGTTTCTAGGTTCACTAAAGGGTTTAGCACGCAACCCAGGGACATGGTCATGCTGAACAAGGCAATGGACTAATCATAATGAGAGATCCTAGGCTGGGCGTGATGGCTCATGTCTATAACCCCAGTACTTTCTGACGCTGAGGTGGGAGGATCATTTGAGCCCAAGAGTTCGAGACCAGCCTGGGCAACATACCAAGACCCCATCTCTACTAAAAATAAACAAATTAGTCCGGCATGGTGGCACCTGCTTGTGGTCCCAGCTACTCGGGAGGCTGAGGTGGGAGGATCACCTGAGCCTGGAAGGTGGAGGCTGCAGTGAGCTATGATCACTCTTATTGTACTCCAGCCTGGTTGACAAAGCAAGACCCTGTGTCCAAAAAAAAAATTAAATAAGTTAAAAAAACAACCCAACTCCTCACAGGTTCTTTCATCTTCAATAATGTCTAAGGTATTCAATTAGATGAGGCAACCATGTGAACTCAGCATTGTCCTCCCCATTTTACACATGAAAATCGAAGTGTAGCAAGGGGAAGGAACCCCAGGTCACAGGATAAATGGGAGGAGTTTCCAGAGTCAGAATCCAGGTGTCCAGACTTCCAGTTCTGTAAACTGCCCACACTAAGATTCACCTCTTAGCCACTTTGAAGCAGTTTCCCAAGGAGTAGAGTCTGGTGAACACAACCCTTAAATACTGTCGTCTGGATGTAGACCTTGCCTCTTAGTACTAAATTCTAAAGCAAAAGAGAAACCCAAATGGGGATGACAGGTTGCCTGAAACAATCAAGGTGTTGGAATTCAAAGGGCCCTGGTCTCAATTCCAGCTCTGGCACTTACCAGCTGTAGGACCTTCAGTAAGTAGTTTTTACCTTTTGCAGCCTCAGTCTTCTCAATTGTAAGTCAGATAGTAGCGCCTCCTGCAGAAGGTTGTTGGGAGGGTTAAATGAGGTGGTGCATGTAATATGCCTGGAACAAGTGACGTATAAGACATGCTCAAAATGTATAAGTTCTCTTCCTTGTTTATATTCTCAAGAGTTTTCATTGGCTGGAGATGCAAAGTTAGTTCTTTCATGTGGGAAGTGTTAGCCTCCCTCCCCAGGAGAGAGTTGGTTGTATGTTAGTAGCTTTGAAATAAACACAGAAGCCAGGCACAGTGGCTCACACCTGTAATCCCAGCACTTTGGGAGGCCGAGGTGGGTGGATCACCTGAGGTCAGGAGTTCGAGGCCAGCCTGGCCAACATGGTGAAACCCCGTCTCTACTAAAAATACGAAAATTAGCTGGGCGTGGTGGCAGGTGCCTGTAATCCCAGCTACTTGGGAGGCTGAGGTGGGAGAATCGCTTGAATCCAGGAGGTTGCAGTGAGCTGAGATCGCGTCACTGTATTCCAGCCTGGGCAACAGAGCAAGACTCCATCTTAAAAAAAAAAAAAAAAAGAAATGTAGAAATCACCTCCAGAGCTGTAACATCCTGAGAGACCCTGAGAGGTTCAGCCCTCTCATTTAACAGATGTAGAAGCTGAGGTCCACAGAGAAGTGATTGGCCAGGCCGGGTGGGGTGGCTCATGCCTGTAATCCCAGCACTTTGGGAGGCTGAGGTGGGTGGATCACCTGAGGTCAGGAGTTCGAGACCAACCTGACCAAGATGGACAAACCCTGCCTCTACTAAAAATACAAAACTAGCCGGACGTGGCAGTGCATGCCTATAATTCCAGCCACTTGGGAGGCTGAGGCAGGAGAATCGCTTGAACCCGGGAGGCAGAGGTTGTGGTGAACCGAGATCGTGCCATTGCACTCCAGCCTGGGCAACAAGAGCAAAACTCCATCTCAAAAAAAAAAAAAAAGGTGATCTGCCAAAGATCACAGAGTTGGTGGCAGAGCCAGGGTGGGAATCCTGACACCCCAACTTCCCTGCTTTTGGACACACCTATCTCATGGGTTGAACTTACTGGCAAGGAGTATTGGTTCCTGGGCTTCAAGGACTGCCCCGTTCCTGAGGCAGTGCACCAGGTGTGCTAAGCTTTCCCTCTTTTTCATGCTTTTATCATTGCTAATTGTGGGTGTGGTTGAAGATCTAGAGAAAGAAGGGGGACAGGCAAATAATCGCGGGCTTTGGAAGCCTAACTAAAGCTGAGAGAGAGACAGAGAGAGAGAGAGAAAGAGAGAGAATGAATATGAATCTGGGATACACAGAATTACTATTGACAGAGGTCCTAAAAGTATCTCTGATTATTCTCACAAAAACCTTGCAGGATAGGTATTGGCCTTATTTCCAGACTGATTGATTGAATCACTCATTCATTTAACATACATTTTCAAATAGCTGCTGAGTGGCAGACATAGTGCTAGGTGTTGAGGATATAGCAGTGAACAATTCAGAATATAGTCCCTGCCCCATGCAGCTTCCAGTCTAGTGCAAGGAAAGACATTTAAAAAATGATTTTACACACACACACACACACACAAATTGCAAAATATGGTAAGTGCCACAAAGGAATAATTTGCATTGCTAGGAATACAAGAAGTGGCTTGATTTAGATTAAATGACTAGGGAAGGCTTCTTTTGAAAAGTATCAATAATTGGTTAATTACTTAACTGAAGAATGAGGGCCTGGTGCAGTGGCTCAGGCCTATAACCCCAGCACTTTGGGAGGCCAAGGTGGGAGGATTGCTTGAGGCCAGGAGTTCAAGACCAGCCTGGGCAACATAGTGAGACCCTGTCTCTATTTAAAAAAAAAAAAAAAAGAATGAGGAAACAGGGTGAAAGGGGAATTGTTCAAGATTACTGGGAAAGTCACTATCTATCCACTCACCAACCATTTCAAGTTATTTTCATCGGGCTCTCTCACAAGGGCCTGCAGAGGAAGGAGCAACACTGAGTTGAGGAGGGGAAGGTTAATTTCATTGCTTAAGCTCTGCCAAGATTATCTAAGTGTTTGGTGATTGCTATGTGCTTTAAGAAAGGCAGCCAAGGGGCCGGTGCTGTGGCTCACGCCTGTAATCCCAGCAGTTTGGAAGGCCGGGGTGGGCAGATCACGAGGTCAGGAGATTGAGACCATCCTGGCCAACATGGTGAAACCCCGTCTCTACTAAACATACAAAAATTACCCGGGTGTGGTGGCGCAAGGCCGAGGCAGAAGAATCGCTTAAACCCAGAAGGTGAAGGTTGCAGTGAGCTGAGATCGGGCCACTGCACTCCAGCCTGGCGACAGAGGCACCATTTCAAAAAAAAAAAAAAAGAAAGGCAGCCAGGGTTATGCAGAGAGCCCTCATCTAGTTGGCAGGAGCTGCAGACCCCCACTCCAGTTGAAAGACATTGTCAATACTTAATTACTTTGGGAGAGTCCTTTCCTCTTGCTGGCCCTCAGTTTTCTGACCACAGGTGCCTTTGAGTCCTAATGGTAATAAAAGACCAATAGGTGAGAGACTGGAGTGGGAGTGCTGTTGACCACTGGCTCATGGGAATGAGTTATTTGCTTCAAACTAAGTCTGCAAATTACTGTTTGCCTTGAGATTCCGCACGTAGTATTTTTCCAAAGCAAGGCAGCACTCAGTTATCTGAGTTTCAACTTAAGGTCAAATCCCAAAGTTTTGGGGTCATTATTCTAGAAAAGCAAACACGAGGTTAGGAACTTTGAGGATTCCTGAGTGGCTGTATTCATTTCCATCTCCCGCGTAAATTAACGGACTAGGGCCCGCTTTGGCCCTCAACAAAGATGGCACCCGCCCTCGCCTCTCCCTAAGTGCCCTCACAAAAAATGGCAGCCGGCCTTTTTTTGTCTCTTATTTTTGCTTGGCTTAAGCACGGATGCTTTGCCCTTAGTTAAGATGGCACCTATCCCCGCTTCCCTGCCCGTCCTCTGGCGCCAGCCGGTCGGCTTCACTGCGTGCGCCTCCGTGACCCCGCCTCGTTTCCGTAGGAAGAAGCGCCGGGAAAGATGGCGGCGTCTGTGGTTTGAATTCCAGCGGCGCCGCCAGAGTCTGAACAAGAGCTGGGGTGGAGGGGGCGGGGACCTGGGGAGCCCGGCGGGTCGCTATCGCGGGGGGTACTAGTGGCGCCGCCGCCACAGACACCAACGCTGTCGCCACCTCTGTAGCCATGATGGACTTGGTGTTGGAAGAGGACGTCACCGTCCCTGGGACGCTCAGCGGCTGCAGGTGCGGCCGGGGCATTGGTGGTCGTGGTAACCGGGCCGGGGTTCCAGCTGGTGGGATTTCGTTCTAACGCGGCCTTGGGGTTTGCTCTTGAGGGTGTCTGGCCAGGGGCAGTGTGTGGGGTGGGTTCCTTCGGAGAGGGTCTCTGGGGGGCCCACCACCTGACACTCTGGAGGGCTGGGAGCCGCGACCTGCACCACAATTGCCAGTAGCATTGCGCCATGTACTTTGTAGAGCGTGTGAAGAACAGGTAAGGAGTTTTCTGAAAGAGTAGGACGAGGGTGGGGCCACTTGGAGTATCCCGTTAGTGGGGATTGGTGGAGAACAGGGACCTTGAGGGCACCTGATGGTTCCTTCTGGTTTGAGAGTTTGTTTTCATTATGGAGAGAGTGTAGCCGGTATGCCCAGACTTTGCTTTTTGGGTCACATAGTGGCCACCCAGGAGGCAATGGAGTGCAATGATTAAGAACCTTGGCTAGAGTTGGACAAAACTGGATTCAAATCCAGCCCTGTAAACTGACTAGCTGTGTGACCTTGGTAAAGTGATTTCACCGGCTTTCCCATCTGTAAAATGGGCTAGTAATATCCACCCAACAGAGTTGGGGTGAGGATTAAAAGAGGTGATGCCTGTCGAGCCATTTGCTTGGCAGGTGTAGTGCCTGCCACATAATCAGTGCTTAAAAAATGATCTTGTGTTGCCATTAGTGTCATTATTACTACTGTCATCAAAGGTGATATGAATCAGGGAATAATGGCCAAGAGTGGCCTCCCATGGACCTGCCCCAAGAGACTGTGGGAGTCCCCATTGCTGGTGGAGCTGGGGTCTGGTAGGAAGGCCTAACAGAGCGCAACTCTGCTCCACGGCTGGCCCCTGTGGTTGTCCTAGACTCCTGGTTGGAGAGTGAGTAGAGGGAAGAGGAGGAGAGCCCTGACGGAGAACCTGCACTGTTTATCCAGCTCTACTATGGACAAGCTGCTGCTTTTAGTCAACAGATCCTAATTGAAAGGGTGACCATGTTATTTATTGTGCTAACTGGGACACTTAAGAGTGAAAAGAGCCAGGTGCGGTGGCTCACCTGTGTAATCCTAGCCCTTGGGGAGGCCGAGGTGGGCCGATTTCTTGAGCTCAGGAGTGTGAGATCAGCCTGGGCAACATGGTGAAATCCTATCTCTACAAAAACTACAAAGATTAGCCAGGCGTGGTGGCATGCACTTGTAGTCCCAGCCGCTCGGGAGGCTGAGGCAGGAGGATTGCATGAGCCCGGAAGGTTGATGCTGCAGTGAGCTGTGTTCATGCCACTGCACTGTAGCCTGGGTGACAAAGTGAGACTCTATCTTTAAAAAAAAAAAAAAGGAAAGTGAAAATAATTAATATTTATGCCCGGGCAGCAGACATAAAGAGGGCCTATCTTGGGTAAACCTGGACAAATGGTTTTTCTGTTTATTGAGAACCTTCATGTATGAGGCACAGACTAAGATGCTTTGCAGTTCCTGTCTAATTGGGTCCTGTGATATTTCATCATGCCCTTTTCTATCTATTTTACATCCACTGCCCCAATATATTGGGAGTATGGCTTCTCTCTTGTATTGTCCTTTGCACCTCTAATAGTTTTTTATACTACAATTTGAAAACTATTTTTTATTTATTTATTTTTTTGAGACGGAGTCTTGCTTTGTGACCAGGCTGGAGTGCAGTGGCGCGATCTCGGCTCACTTCAACCTCCGCCTCCCGGGTTCAAGCAATTCTCCTGCCTGAGCCTCCGGAGTAGCTGGGATTACAGGAGTGCACCACCGTGCGTGGCTAATTTTTGTATTTTAGTAGAGACGGGATTTCACCATGTTGGCCAGGATGGTCTCCATCTCCTGATCTCATGATCTGCTCTCCTTGGCCTCCCAAAGTTCTGGGATTACAGGCGTGAGCCACCGCGCCCGGCGTGAGAACTATTTTTTAAATATAAATCTGCTCTTCACAGTCTGCTGCTTTATACTTTTAATGCTGCTTATTGCTGTTATCATAACTTCCATTATTATTCTCTCAGATAGCCATTCTTATTTCAGTGCTTTTTGGCCAGACACTTGGGTTTTGGGGTCCCAGGCCTAGCTGGGTTTTAATCCCAGTTCTGCTACTTAACAACCCCTTGATCTGGGGCAAGTCACTCATCATCTGTGAGCCTCAGTGTTTATCATCTGTAAAAGGGGTTGGTATAAAGCCTAGGGTTGGCATAAGGATTAAAATGAATCTTAAAAAGTTTAGCTCAGTGTCTGACCCAGAGTAACTACTCAACAGATCAGCAAATATTCTCCTTTCCCTCATCTCCCTGCCTTTGCAGGACGTAGATACTGCATACATTCCATCTTAACCATTTTAAAGCATGGTTCAGTTGTATTAAATATATTTGTATTATTGCTCAACGGTCACCACTATCTATCTTCGTAACTCTCCATCTTGCAAAACAGAAACTGTGTCCCTGTTAAAACAGTAACTCCCTATTCCCCCCTTCTCCCAGCCTCTGACAATCACCATTCTACTTTCTGTCTCTATGATTTTTTTTTTTTTTTTTTGAGACAGGGTCTCGCTTTGTTGCCCAGGCTGGAGTGCAGTGGAGTGATCTTGGCTCACTGCAACCTCCGCCTCCAGAGTTCAAGCAATTCTCATGGTTCAGCCACTTAGTGGCCGGGACTACAGGCATGCCCCACTACGCCTGGCTAATTTTTGTATTTTTGGTAGAGACGGGGTTTCACCAGGTTGACCAGGCTGGTCTTGAACTCCTGGCCTCAAGTGTTGTGCCTGCCTCGGCCTCCCAGAGTGCTGGGATTATAGGTATGTGCCATTGCGCCCAGCCTGTCTCTATGATTTTGACTACTCTAAGTGTCGCGTATAAGTAGAATCATACACTATTTGTCCTTCTGTGACTGGTTTATTTAACTTAGCATTATGTCCTCAAGGTTCATGCGTGTTGTAGTATGTGTCAGAATTTCTTTCCTTTTTAAGGCTTTTGTTTTTAATTTTTTTTAGAGACAGTCTTGCTCTGTTACCCATGCTGGTCTTAAATTCCTGGGCTCAAGTGATCCTCCTGCTTCTGCCTTGCTAAGAGCTGGGATTACAGACACAAGCCACTGTGCCTGCCCTTCACTGATATTTTTATTGTCCTTTTGATTATAGCCATCCTTTGGGTGTGACATGGTAGGTATCTCATTGTGGTCTTTTTTTTTTTGTCGTTGAGACAGAGTCTCACTCCCTTGCCCAGGCTGGAGTGCAGTGGCGCAATTTCGGCTCACCGCAACCTCTGCCTCGTGGGTTCAAGCGGTTCTGGTGCCTCAGCCTCCCAAGTAGCTGGGACTACAGGCACGTGCCACCATGCTCGGCTAATTTTTATATTTTTAGTAGAGACGGGGTTTCACCATGTTGGCCAGGCTGGTGTCGAACTCTTGACCTCAGGTGATCTGCCCGCCTTGGCCTCCCAAAGTGCTGGGTTACAGGAGTGAGCCACCCCGCCTGGCCCTCATTGTGGTATTGATTACATGTTAATGGCTACTGATGTGTTGAGCATCTTTCCATGTGCCTTTTAGCCATTTGTTCACTTTCTTTGGAGAAATGTGTATTCAAATCCATCGTCCATTTAAAAAACGTGAATATATTTTGACCCAGCAATTCCACTTCTTGTCATCTATTCTAGAGAAATCCTCATACTTGTGCATATGGGACCTTATAAGGACATTCATATGACATTGCATGTAAAAGAAAAACTTGGAAACAAATTGAATTATCATCAGTAGGGGATTGGGTAAATACACATCCTTTCAAAAGTATCTTTCAGACTGTGGCCCGTTGGTAGCTCATGAAATTCAATTTAGTAGGTTGCAACCAGGATTTAGAAAAATAGAACAGAATAGAAAACATTTCAAGGATGAAGGGTAATAATATTTCTTCTGTGGCTCATGGTCAGTAAGGTTTGAAGAACACTGCTGTAGAAAGCTTTGTAGGAGTTGAAAACTTTGAGGCATATCTATTTGTACTGTCATGAAAACATCATGAGGGCATATTAAGTAGAAGAAGGATGTTGTAGCATGATGTATACTGTTTGATTGCATGTGTTTTTAAGCAGCAAAATTGAAACTATCTATGTAAAAACACATAAAAAGTTCTGGAAGTTATAGGTCTTTTTGAAAACAGTGATTACCTCCTAGGCGGGTTCTAGATGGGAGCGAGGAGGAGCCAAGGAGAACTTTAGGCTTATCTGTATTTTTTTAAATTTATGTATTTTTCTCTAATTAAGAATAAAATAGAATGAAAAAGGGGTTGTTAAAAGACAAAAGTGAGTTTGTTTGTGTAATCGTTGTCAGAATGTGATATCTGGTCTCATCCATGACTCTCATGAAACAATTTGTCAAGGAGACATAAGACCCCTTGGGTCTTATGGTTTGAGTGGACAATTGTTGCTGGCATATGTAGGCATAGAAAGAGGTCAGTCCTTTTCGGTAGCAATAGAGCAAGATAGGAGGATGAGGTGGTGGAGCTCAGGTGAAGGTCCATTCAGTCACTCAAAAATTATCCACAAACAGTTGCTACAGCTGGGCGCGGTGGCTCACGCCTGTAATCCTAGCACTTTGGGAGGCTGAGGCGGTCAGGTCACCTGAGCTCAGGAGTTCAAGACCAGCCTGGCCAACGTGGTGAATCTCCATCTCTACTAAAAGTACAAAAAATTAGCCGGGCGTGGTGGTGCATGCCTGTAATCCTAGCTACTTGGGAGGCTGAGGCACGAGAATCGCTTGAATATGGAAGGTGGAGGTTGCAATGAGCTGAGATCACGCCACTGCACTCCAGCCTGGGCGATAGAGTGAGAGTCTCCAAAAAACCAAAACAAAACAAAACAGTCGTTATGATGGCTGTGCCCTGTGCTGAGTGATGGAAATTTTATGCCTCAGTCCATTCGGCCCTTAACCACCACCACACCCCTGCCACCCCCAACCTCCGGGAAGGCGTCAGGGGTACCAGGGTGGTGTAGGTTCACAGCAGGGGGTTTAAAGTCAGGCTGGCTTGGAGTTTCCAGCCTATTAACTTTTTGGTCTTTGTTTCCTCATTAAAAAAAAAAAAAAAAAAGGCAACATTAAAAAGTACCACCAGCCGCAGAAAGACTATAGTGAGGATTAAACCTGATTTTAGTTTCAAACATTCAGTTTAGAAAATGGACTTTAATCCTGTGGTGAGGATGAAAGGGAAGGCTGCCTGTCCTGTGCTGAGTGTGGTGCTTGTGCAGCATGGGTGCCCCATACAAGGGCAGGTTTCTTAGATTGTGCTTTATTTTGCACGTGAGGAAACTGGTACTCCACCATGTGTCACATTTATATAGGAGCTTTGGGCAGTCCACACACAGGCTAGCAAGTGGAAAAGACACTGGGATCCTGGATTTTGGGCTTGGCTTTGCCACTAACTTTTGTGATTTTGAGTAAATAAGTTCCTAACCCATTTCTGGGTTTCAGTCTTCTCATCTGTGGAATAAGATCATATCTGAGCCCTTTTGTTTTGCTTACATTGTCATTTCTCGTGAGTATCCCTGAGGCCCCAGCCTTAATTATAAGGCTACAAGTGAATGATTAGAATGGAAAGAGGGAGCTGCTTGTGGCTGGAGGTGTAGTTGGAACTGACTGGAGGGTGCAGATGACAGATTCATAGCATTTTAAAAGTGGGTAGGTAAAGCCCGAGTGGAAATTTGGCAGGATCCAAGCAAAAATTTCTGCATTACATAGTGGTTTTGTCTAAGAGTTGGGATGTCAGATGTCATTTTTCAAACTTCAGTGTTTGCCTGTAGGAAGCTTGTCTAAGACCAGAATCTTTGGCTTTGTTTGCTAGGTACTTTTCAGCTGTGATTGATCTTGGCTTGAGTTATTCATGGGCAGTTTTAGCCAGTGGGAGTTAATGTAATGGCTCTGGTACCCGGAGAGAACCCCAGATTGAGAATGCAGGACCAGACCTTAGGCTGAGCTTGGCCAATAACCTGGTGTATGTGACCTTGGGCTTCTGGACCACCATCTGCAAAAGGTGATGGTTGAACTTGATTTTAGTTTTTAAAATTCAGTTTAGAAAATTGACTTTGTCCTTTTAGTGATGTTTATTGGAGGAAATTGAGAATTATATAACATTAAAAAGGAAGAAAACCTCTCATTTCCCTACTAATGATGATTTTTAATATTTCAGTATATTTCCTTTGTCTTGTTATATATCTGTAGCCCACCTATTTCCAAAATGGACTTGAGGTGACTTCAGTATTTATGTACTGTATATATTTGTTTTCATAATTGAGGACATATTCTGTTTACGTTTTTTCATTTACCTTTACAGGGGACACTTTTTTTTTTAAATTTTTTTTTTTTTTGAGATGGAGTCTCACTCTATCACCCAGGCTTGAGTGCAGTGGCATGATCTCAGCTCACTTCAACCTCTGCCTCCTGGGTTCAAGTGATTCTCCTGCCTCAGCCTCTCAAGTAGCTAGGACTACAGGCACCTGCCACAATGCCCGGCTAATTTTTGTATTTTTATTAGAGATGGGGTTTTACCATGTTGGCCAGGCTGGTCTCGAACTCCTGATCTCAAGTGATGCACCAGCCTTGGCCTCCCAAAATACTGGGATTATAGGCATGAGTCACTGCACCCAGCCCGGACACATTTTTTTGTGATCATTTTCTTAATGTTGGAATTTTATGATATTTCCAATTTTTTGCCTGTTTTTGATCTTGAAGGTACATTCCAACTCCAAAGTTTGGTGGTCAGGCAAAATTATCCTAGGAGCACAATGAATTTGGATTTAGAGGCATGGAAAGAGCAAATTGCCAAGAAGTCAAGCTGTTTCCATCAACTCCTACTTTACAGTGTGGGATAGGGAAGTATTCGTGGGAGTTGGACATAAAAGACCTGGCTTCTGGACCTGGCTCTCCACAGAACCGCCATGTGACCCTGGCTAGGACAGTAAAATTGTCTGGGCCTTGGGGCCTTCCTTTGAAAAATGTGTGCACCCTCAGGGAATTAGGCAATTCTAATGATGGTAAATCTTTTATAAATTGTAAAGCACTGTAGGTTTCAAGGCGACATGATATTTTGCTCCCATTTGTGGAGTACCCACAAGGTACCTTGCAATATCTTGTTTAATTGCCAGTTACTCTGTGAGGTAGCTGCTGTACTCATTTTACAGCTAAAGAAAGTGAGGCTCAGAGAGATACATGGCAGAGCTTAGAATAGATCAGGGTAGTGTCTTTTGTGTCACACCACACCTCCTATTATGGGTTAGTTTTCTGTCAGTGTCTCCAGATCCTCACTGAATTTATTTATGTAATTCAACCAAGACAACTTCTTGGATCAGTGAATTTTGCATTGTTTGACATTCTTAAAACATCTAAATTGGTGTCTGATTCCCAGAGGTGGTGATAGGCATATTAGTAGTCATAATGATAATAGTAACAACAACAATAGTTGCCGTTTACTGAATACTTACTATGTGCTTTGTGTTTATATACATGAACGAATTTAATTTTTACAGGGAGGGCATGGTATCCTCATGTACCAGATTAAGAGGGTGAGACTCAGAAACATAAGTATCTTGTACTTGTCACAGTGCCTCTGCCACTAGCACATATTTGGCACACAGAACATTTGATGTATGACTGAATGAATGATGTTACTGAAGGTCACTCAGCTATCAAGTGTTGGAGCTGGAACTCAGCCCCAAAGCCTGAGTTCTTAACCTCTGTGCTTCATGCCACATAGGTAGCCCAGCTGTGTGCATCCCTCCTGGCCATGGGATGATTGTCATGTGCAGTCCAGACCGTCTTAACAGTCTCTGTTGTTCAAACATTAGCTCATCTCTTATCTCATGTGTTCTCTCCTAGTGGCCTTGTTCCCAGTGTACCAGATGACCTGGATGGCATCAACCCCAATGCTGGGTTGGGAAATGGTCGTAAGTACACAAAACCAGGCATTCTCTTGAGTAAAGAACAAGGAAAGTAGACATTGGACTGTGAGCATCTTGAGCTTTCATATCTCTGGGGCCCAGAGGCTTCCCTGAACTGGCACACCGTAGGTGCTCAGTATTTTTTGTATGTATTGATTTGCTTTCCACCTCCTTTCATAAACACTGGACTAGAGGAATTGTTGTCCTTTTGGCCATACTTCATGAGTTTCATTTGTTGCTACTAAAGCTATAGGGATTCAGTGAGCGTTTGCTGAACTGAACAACTGCACGGAGGCTGGACATTGAATTGGCAGCTAGGCCAGTGGCTGGAGGCCCAGGAGAGCTGCCATCTGGACTGTAGCGTGCCAAGGCCTTCCTGGCAGGCTGCTGGATCCTGTTTGCCGGCTGAGGCCCCGCATTCCTACACGGGCCTGCCCTTTGGAGACAAATAGCTGGTTAGACCACAGGAGACGGCTCTGAGTAAATAAGTAGCGTACTGTGTTTAAGCTGGATTATGAGGAGACTTTGCAGTTTGGGTCTAGCTAAGCATTCTTCATAATTTTTATTTCTGAAAAAAGTGAATGCTTAAGCGTCTCTGTGGGTAGTGCTAGTTTTTGCAAAATATCTCTAAGATATTTTGACTTGTTCTTTTTTTTCTCTTCTCCACAGTGCTGAGATATGTGCAAGAGGAGGGAGATTTTGGAGCAGACAGGAAAAGAGTCCCACGGTTTATTTCTGGAAAATCCCTTAACTTACAGGGCACCTTCATGTTTTCCTGAGGAACCTATTAACTTTTACTTTATTTTTACTTTTTATTTTTTTGAGACATGGTCTTGTCCTGTCACCCAGGCTGGGAGTGCAGAGGTGCGATCACGCACACTGCAGCCTTGACCTCTTGGACTCAAGCAATTCTCCATCTCAGTCTCCCTAGTATCTGGGACTACAGGCGTGTGCCACGACACCTGGCTAATTTTTGTATTTTTTGCAGGACGGTTTTGCCATGTTGCCCAGTCTGGTCTCGAATTCCTGGACTCAAGTGATCCACCTGCCTCAGCTTCCCGAAGTGCTGGGATTACAGGCATGAGCCACTGCACTCATTGGCAACTTTTACTTTAAATGCAAAATCCAACAAGTCTGATTTGAGATGGAGTCTCGCTCTGTTGCCCAGGCTGGAGTGCAGTGGTGTGATCTCGGCTCACTGCAACCTCCGCCTCGTGGGTTCAAGCAATTCTTCTGCCTCAGCCTCCCGAGTAGCTGGGATTACAGGCACGTGCCACCACACCCAGCTAATTTTTGTATTTTTAGTAGAGACAGAGTTCACCATGTTGGCCAGGCTGGTCTCGAACTTCTGACCTCAGGTGATCCACCCGCCGCAGCCTCCCAAAGTGCTGGGTTTACAGGCATGAGCCACTGTGCCTGGCCAGCCTATTTCTTAATTTAGCCGATAGTATACATTTGCTTCATGCCAGACTCTGGGCTCAGTGCTAAAATTCAACCTCAAATGTGGTTACTGTTAAGCTGAGAAGACAGACAAACCCTTATGAGAATTTGTATGGTCAGTGTCAGGAGCAAAGATGTATCAAGTGCTGTGAGAGGGGATTAAAGGGAGATTTCCTCTGGTGTGGAGGTGGGTCAGGCTAGAGTTTCCCAAGAAATTGATATTGGAGCGGAGACCTGAATAAGTCAGATGTAGGTAAGGAAAAAGGAGGGGATGAGCATCCCAGACACAGGTGAGGGCATGGCCCGTTTGAGGAACAGGAAAACAAACTAGCGTGCCCTTCACAGTCTGCCCTGCCCACTCCTTAGCCTCTTTTCTGCTAAGTGGTTTCCGAACACCATGCCCACTCCCACCTCTGTGCTTTTGCCTGGGCTGTCTCTCCTTCCTTTTGTTTCTCATCTGCCCGGTGCCTCCTTGCTCCCTCTTTAAGACTCAGCTCAAAGCTCACCACCCTTTTTGGCTCTCCCCAGGCTGACTAAGGTGTACTTTCCTCTCTCAACATTGTGTATTTCACTTCATCTCATCTCATTTCATTTATTCCTGTTGGCTACTTTTAAAGTATCGGAATCAGACTAGTTCTCACCCACCTATACTCCTTCCATCCTACTCCAACCCACCATGATCTGCGGCCTAGATTATCCCAATATTCTCCTAACTGGTTTCCCTGTTTCTCTCCTAAGCCCCTTACAGTCTGTTCTCAGAAAGGCAGCCAGAGGGAGCCTGTAGAAACCTAAGTCGAATCATCTTACTCCTTAGCTGCAAACCTTCCAGCAGCTCCTCAGAGTCCTTAGAAGAGCCTAAAAACCGTATACAGTCTGTCCCTGTTTACCTCTCTCACCTCCAGTCCTGCTATCCCCCTTTGTTTATTGAGCTCCAGCCTATTGGCCTCTTGACTGTTCCCCAGACCCACAGGGGACCGTGCTTCCACCTCAGGCTTCTCCCTGAATGTGGAGAATTCTCCCCCAGGTAACTGGTCCTTTCTCTTCAAGTCTGCCCAGATGTCACCTTCTCATTGAGACCTTCCTTAACCACCTTACCTAAAATGGCAGTCCTCACCCCATGCCTCCTATTTCCTATCCTTATCTACTTTATTTTTCTCCATAGCATTTATCACCTTTTAACATATTATGCAGTTGTCCTTTTGTTTTGTTTATTGTGTTTCCTCCCTCTAGACTATCGGCTGCATTTGTTTGTTTCCTGATGTTTCCACATCTAGAAAGGGGCCTAGCAGAAAGTGGATTCTCAGTGCATATATTTTGAAAGAATGAACTTATTCACTCAGCACACATTTACTGAACACCTACAAAGTGCCACGGGCTTTATTCAGCCTGATAACAGTTAGTTTAGATCTCCATCCTGCTCACTCGATAGGGAACCTCTTGGATGCAGGATTAGTGTCTCCTTCACCATTGTTTCCTCAGCATGCAGGATGGGGCTTGGCACCGAGTAGGTGTGTAATACATGTTTGTTCAGTTAAAGATGCTGCGGAGAGATTTGGGTATTGCCATAGTCTTTAAAACAGGTCAGCAGTTTCCGGTCCACTGCTTGCTTTTGAAAATAAACTTTTATTGGAACACAACCACTTTGTTTATGGATTGTTTGTGGCTGTTTTTGTGTGACAACAGAGGATTTGAGTAGTTGTGACAGATTTTAGGCTTTGTGTATGGCCCACAAAGCCTAAAATATTGTCTGGCGTTTTAAGAAAAAGTTTGCCAACCCCTGCTGTCAAGTCAGTTAGATGTGCTTTGTTGTAATTACTGACGTGAGAAGATGACACTCTGTTCAGTAAGGTAATTTCATGAAATAAGGAAGTACATATCAGGACAGTCTGCTTTGCAAAATGCCTGATGTGTTTGCTGGGTTCATCCTCTGATGTGCACATTGTTACTTTGGGGTTAGTTTAAGTAATTTGTAAATTAATGGTTTAGAGCTTTCCCTGGAGCAAAATCAGTAAATCACAAAAGACAGCAAGTACCAGCCGCGTGTACTGTGGAAGCAGTTCGTGTTGTTTTCCTCTCTGTGCTCTATTCCCCAATAGGAACACTGGGCAGTTTGCATGCTGTGACGTTTTCCTCTATTTTACCTTTTTACAGTGCTCCCAAATGTGTCAGAAGAAACAGTGTCTCCCACCAGAGCACGGAACATGAAGGACTTTGAAAATGTAAGTGGAAATACCAAATTACTGCCCCCAACAAATTGTGTCTGCTGCCACTGTCCAGCCAGACCCAGGAAAGCTGTGTTTCTTGAGATCTAAGTTCGGTGATGCCAGAGGCAGGGGGGTGCCATGTCTCATGGACATCTTCTGTGAGACTTTTACGTACAAATGCAGTCAGCCCTTTATACAAGGGCCAAATATAGGTTCTGACGGGATCAGCAGTTTTCAACTTTGGGTGAAACTTTTGGTTTTCAACTTTGGTTTTCAGGTTTGGTGTCTTTCTGGTGTCCTAAAGGTGAGGATGTTCGCATGTTGCACAGTTGAGGGGAGCTAACATTTGTCAAAGGCCTTACTGTTACTATAAGGCATGTTATTTATGGTCCCCTATTTGATGCTCACTGCAACCTTTGAGATATTTTGTATCATTCCCATTTTGCAGGTTAGGAATCTTAAGACTAGGAGAGAGTTGTTTATGGTCATATAATACATAAGTGTCAGAGTTGGGATTTGAATCCAGGTTTTTATTAATTCCAAAGCCATTATTCTTTCCACTGCATTGTGCCTCCCCTTGCATTTTGAAGACTTTATCTTTGCTGTTGAATGAAATGTGAGTAGCCTGTACCTAGTACTGTGTAGTTTCTTTCTGAGAATGGATTACTTGGTGATGGATTTGGCTTCAATGCTTGATGTCTTCCAGCATTGTGTCTTTCATTTATTAGCAGAGGGGGTTTGTTGTCAAGTAACAGGAAAATAAGGTTATTTTCCCAATTCCAGTTCTCTTTAACAAGTTACCTGTTCAGTGCTCTCATTTATCATGGGAAGAATTAGACCCTTCTTCATTTGTAAGCAAATGAAATCCATACTATGCAAGACACAAGAGATACTTAACAGAGAGAAGATGGAGGACACAGAGAGAAGGACATTCCACAATTATGTTTCTTTCTCCCCAGTTGTCTTTACAGAACAGAGCAGTGCTGTCTCTGGATTTAATTTAGAATGCTCATTACTGCTAATAGTTATCTGCAAACCACCAGTGACCAATTGAAGAAATGACTTGTCAGATCTCTAATGGAAACAAGTAATTTCTGAGCTTTGGGTTGTTATAATTTCAGCTGTACAACTCGATCTATGCTGTGGGGTCTGGGGCCTCAAACGAATGAGATTTGATTATTCTACATCGTGTATAATTAAAATATGCTCTACTATTAAATGGTTGTTCCTGTTTTATCATAAGAGTAATAACAGCTACTGTTTATTGAGCTCTTGCTCTGAGCTGGGTACTTTAAGTGCTAAGCTCTTTGTATATGTTACTTTAATATTAAAGCGGCTCTGCAAGATAGTTATTTCATTTTTGAAGGGCACTGTTTTACATTTTATTTCTAAATTGGAAAATTTCACAGAATATTAGAATTTTGGTTTCACATCTTTTATCTGCTTATTGAACTGAAAGGAATCCTAGAATTGAACACAACCCTCTTTATTATATATAGGAGAAACTGAGGCCCAGGGATGTGATGTGACAAAATTGTTCTCAGAGGCAGTCTGTGCTGCCTAAGGCCCATTGGCTTCTGGAGCCAGGCTGCTTGTTTGTCCACTTCTCCTGGGTGCCCTGTGGCCGGTCACTTAACCTCTCTGTACTTCCCTCATTTTAACAATGGGCATGATAACAGTACCTACTTCATAGGGTTGTTAGGAGGATTGAATGAGTGAATATTTGCAAAGCACAGAGTACATTCTATGTGTTTGCCATGACTGCTTCTTCCTTTTCTTACTGTTATTGTTATAATTACTGTTATTTTTTTCCACTCTGCCATGTGATTCAAGTTCCCCTTGTTCAGATGTGTTCTTGATGACCTAAATCCTGTTTTACTTGAAGGTGAGGGAGAGCCTTCTATGCCAACATGTTTTAGGATTTATGTTTTTTTCTTTATGACTGTAGTCCTTTGGTTGCTGTTAGGTTTTTATGGCATTAATATTTTTTATTGTAGCATTTTCAAGAGCAAATTCTGCAGCCGGAATTGAAATGGCCACACTGTTCTTGATGTCTCCCTTTCAGGTCTTTATGAATCACTGAAATTTTTCATTTGGCCTGAGTTACAAAATGCATGATCTGTATGTAGTGGTAGTCTGAACTTTCTGTGGGATGCTTATAGGAAATGCTCTTGGCACCTAAAGCTAATTTTAAGAGCATGCATATTAAGGAGGGGGCTGAGATACTTTGGGTTTAAAGTGGAAACTCATGATTCGTCCTATTCTAGTCTCAGATGATTGATACCTAACCATCAGGAGTTGCATTTAGTTGGGAGCTGGCAACACATAGGTCACCTTCTGGTTTTCCTCAGAGTTCATCCATTTAATAAACATTTTTTAATATATGCCACTGTGCCAGGCTCTCTGCCAGGGGGAATCTGCAGTGGATTAAGACCAGGTAAGTCCCCCTGTCCAGAGGCTCACAGTCTGATTGGGAAGATGGATAGGAAAATAGTGCAGGGACAGAGGTAAGTCTAGGGTGCTGTGGGGCCACAGAGGAGGGGCTATGACTCGGGGTTCAGAGAAGCCTCTGGAGGAGATGTTGCCTGAGTTGGGTCATCAGGGACAGGTACGGTTTGGTCAAGTGGGGAGAGCTAGGGAGCATCCCAGGCACAGGGACTCACATGTGCAAATGTAGAGAGAGGCATGACAGGGTTTGATGAGTTCAGAGAGCTGTAAGTTCCCTGAACTTACTGGCTGGAAGGAGGCTGTGTGAGGGGAGTGGAGAGAAGTGAGGCCATTGAAGCAGGCAGGGGCCAGCTCCTGCAGGTTCTTGAATGTTACACTGCTTTGTTTGGTTTTTGTCCTGAAGATGAAAGGGAACCAGCAATGGATTTTAATCTGGGGAGGGAAATGACCAGAATTGTGCTTTCAAAAGCTTACCAGGCTGGTGACTATGAGGAGAAGAGTTTGGAGGGGAGCAAGGCTGGTGGTAAGGTGATGAGTTAAAAGGCTGCTGTGGTGTTGTGGGCCCAAAGGGAGGAATGTGGAGCTAAGGGCATGGAATGAAGGGATATTTAGAATGGAGTTAATTTCAGAGCTGGAGGAGCTCTAAGAATCATCTCTTCCAGTGCTTTCATTTGACATGTGGGGACTCTGAAGCCCAGACAGGGGTAGGGACTTATTCAGCTTTGAACCCAGGTCTTCTATCAAAGCAATTCCTTTCTATTTCATTTGACTGTTCTGTGGGAGTACTCACTCTGGCATGTGAAAACCACATGTCTTCTTTTTGGTCTTTAAACTGGTAATCCATTGTCTAATATCCTCATTAGCTGAGGGTATAATCACCTGTATGGCAGGCCTTATGGTAGGAAGTCGGTAAATCAGTTGCTCTTCTATGGGAGCCTGTCGTATTGGTCTTCCCTCCCTAGACCAGAGGAGGCCTTGCGGAGGCAGCATTTTGTGAAGGCCTGTACCTGTTGTGAGTTGTTCTGGACACTGCTATCTCTCTCTCCCTTTAAAAAACATGTTTTTTGGGTGAGTAGGGAAGACCCAGAATCTGGTACAACATATGCTGTCCAAGTAGCTATCTTTGTGAACATATGGAAGAGTTTAATCTTGGCTTTTGACAGGGAATGACATGGATAACTTTCCATTCTCAATACTCATGGATGGCATTATTACTGGCTGTGTAATATTAAATCAAGGCTTAATAAAAGGGATAGATTGAGCCATAATTTATATAACCTTACTGTGGGACATTTCAGGTTGTTTCTAATTTCTCACTTTTATAAACAAAGCTGTGATGAATCTCCTTGTGCATATATCTTTTTATAGTTGTATGATTTTTTATTTTTTTATTTTTTTGAGACAGAGTCTCACTCTGTTGCCCAGGCTGGAGTGGAGTGGCACGATCTCGGCTCACTGCAGCCGCAGCCTCCCGGGTTCAAGCGATTCTCCTGCTTCAGCCTCCCTAGTAGCTGGGATTACAGGCGTATGCCACCATGCCTGGCTAATTTTTTGTATTTTTAGTACAGGTGGGGTTTCACTTTATTAGCCAGGATGGTCTCACCATGTTAGCCAGGATGGTCTTGATCTCCTGACCTTGTGATCCGCCTGCCTTGGCCTCCCAAAGTGCTGGAACTACAGGCGTGAGCCACCACGCCTCGCCGAGTGTTTCTTTTTTTTAAGGGTAGATTCCTAGAAATGAGATTTCTGGATGTCGGAGATATTAAGCATAACTTACATGCAATAAACAGTAGATACTATGGAATAGGATTTGTTATGTCTAGCAGCTTCCTTTCCAAGGAATTGAAAGAACTCTTAGCCAGGTGTGGCTGAAACAATTGCCTGTATCCTGTCCACACCTGGTCTCCTTATCTTTTGTTGTTCTTATCTTATGCCCACCTGCCCTGAGATGTTGGCATTCTTGCATTGAGGCCCTTATTCCTGTTGTTGAAAATTCTTGGCCTCAGCCGAGGCAGTTGGTCAAATTTGAGTGTTTTGTTTGTGGTTTCACTAGGAGGTTTGCATCTTTAAATTTGCAATAATATGTTTGTGAGTTACTTACTGCCAGATCATAGCTCCCTCACCTTCCACCCCTGCCCCACTTGTATGGCCCCGAAGCTTTCAGAAGCACCATGGTGTGTAGATACGACATGGATTTGAGAATGATGAGGACTGGGTTTCAGGCTTGGCCCTGCCACTTACTGATCTGTGGCCTTAAATGGGTTGCTTCTAAAACCTCATGTGTAAAGTGGGGCTACTACTATCTTTCCTTCAGTTATTAATTAGGTAAGGTATGGAAAGCACCTAGCATGATGCTTGGTGCATAGAGGGTACTCAATGAATGCTGATGTCTGTCTGCTCTAATCCAAAGATTCCGTTGACTACAACCACTGCCCTGGGTTCTGCCCCATCAGTGTTCAGTTTCTGTACATCCTTCTGTGATGTTTCTTTGACCTTGGAATAAAATCCCTAATCTTGGCCCATGAGAACCCGTCCTGTGTGATCGACAGCTTCCTGTCTTTCTGAACTCAGCATATTCCTCTCCCCGTCGTACACTGCTCTAGCCACACAGGCTGCTGTTCCTCAGCCACACCCAGCTTGTCCCTGTGCCAGGGCCTACGTGCATGCTCCACCCTCTGCCTGGACACCCTTTCTCCCTTTCCTTGAATGGCAGGCCCCTGGACCTTCTTGCCTCAACTTGAATGTGGCCTTGTTAGAGAGGCTACCCCAACTCCCTTCTCAACTCATGATTCTGTCTTCTAGCAAGTACTCAGCGCCCTGTCTCTCCCACCA
Source organism: Homo sapiens (assembly GCF_000001405.40). Classification (NCBI taxonomy): domain Eukaryota; kingdom Metazoa; phylum Chordata; class Mammalia; order Primates; family Hominidae; genus Homo; species Homo sapiens. The sequence continues at coordinate 120,563,055 of NC_000009.12, read as the reverse complement.
TGACTCTTGTGACAGTTTGTGGTTATTTCTTTATTAGTGTACTTGCTTAACATGTGTCTCTATTCAATGTCTGGTACTCAACGCTGAACCTAACAAAATCGTAGGCATCTAATATTTGTTGATTGAATGAATGTGTAACCTTGTATGGAATACTAAAGCTCCAAATTTTGGTTGCTTTATCTGTAAAACTGGGAAAAATGTTTATCTGAGGCTTGTGGTGAGGAGTAAATAACATGCTAGGATAGTGCCTGCTATACCAGATCTTTAGCAAACAGGGCGGCTACTGTGGTTATTGTTACTAAAGTGGCTGGAGAGGAGATATACCTAGAGACATATCTAGAGGCAGACAGCTTATAATGAGGATGGGGGCATGCGGGGCCAGAGTCAGGAAAGCAAGCAGTAATGAGGGCAAGGTGAGGCTAAGAGTGGGAGAATGAGGGTGAACTTAGAACATGGCAGGAGTGTAAGAATTGTGTGGGATGCCGCTCAGTGGAAGTGGCTGAAGACCAGGTCTGTAGCTGGCAGAGCGAGTGTCATAGCCACTTTCCACGGAGCTCTGTGCACAACATATAGCCTGACGGTGCTAGGGGTTTTTGCTGAGTTGAGTACTTGGAATCAAGTAGGGCTCATGGCTGTTGGGGTAAAAGTGTTAAGTACAGGGGTTCATTTGTGTAGTGGGATGGCCTGCTGGATTGAACGCTCTGAGTTCCCGTACCTCGCATGTCCTGGCCATGCCCTCCAAAAACCTGGCCAGATGGAGGGCTGAGTAGTGTAAATTTTTACAATCTTTTTGAAGGCCATTTGGAAAGAGATTTTGATAGCCATAAATATAAAATTACTCTTGAGCCCAATAATCCATTTTGGGGAAATTGATACTAGGGAAACAGCCCAGTAGAAGGAATAAAGCTCTGTTGATGAAGGTGTTTGTTGCCACATTGTGTATAATTGTGAAAAACTGGAAGGAAGGGAAATTATATTTTATATTTGTTATCTCTTTGCTTTTGACAAGCGTGTGTTGAGGATATTTCACAGATGAGGAAGCTGAGGTTGGAGAGATTAAACAACTTGCCCATGAGCTTATTGTGATTGAGAAGCAAAAAGAAGGCAAAATTCAAGCCTGGTCTTTCTGATTGTAAAGCTGGTCACTTTCCATGAGAGCACACTGAGTCTATCAGTGCACAGCAGAGAAATGGTTAAACAGTTGACTGTGAATCACTTCAGCACAAGGTAGTGCAGTTATTTCAACTGATAGTTTTGTGTAATTCTGCCACAATATGAAAAATACTTAAGAAATATTAAATGAAAGCAATGGAATATGCAAATTCACTTATGTTATAATTCTGCAAAAATGTGTATTCATGAGCAAAGGTTGAAAAGAATATGAAAATAGTTGATTTCATAAGGTAGTTAAATTCCAACTGGTGTTTGAGATTCAGTTTTAAATTTCTGTTATTGAGGCTGGGTGTGGTGGCTCACACCTGTAATCCCAGCACTTTGGGAGACCAAGGCAGGGGGATCGCTTGAACCCAGGAGTTGTGACCCAGCTTGGGTCACAAAGTGAGACCCCATTTCTACAAAAAAAAATTAAAAAGTTAGCTGGGCATGGTGATGTGTGCTTGTGGTCCCAGCTACTTGGGAGGCTAAGGTGGAAGGATTGCTTGAGCCTGGGAGGTTGAGGCTGCAGTGAGCCATGAATGCGCCACTGCACTCTAGCCTGAGCGACAGAGAGAGACCCTGTTTAAAAAAAAAATTCTGTTATTTCTCCAGTATTATTTATAAGATACTTACCTAGTAACAGTTTTCTTGATGATTTGAAAACACCAAGGAGAGTATCAGCATCAGAAATTGATTCCAAAGTATCCTCCCCTCTTTACTACCTCACTTAGCTGCTGTAGGCAGTATTATCTTACATGCAGTATTGTTTACTAGAGATGAACTTTGGGTAGCCAAGTTCATGGTTTTTGTTATGCTAGGTGAAGTCTAACAGTGTTTGTACTTTCAAAAAGGTTAAAAAATTCATTGTGGCCCAAAGATCTGCTTATTGAGGGCCTGAGAAGCCAATTTTTTTTTTTCCTTTTTAAAAAAGGCTTTACTGTGTGTGTGTGTATACACATACCATTATTTAAGATAGACAATATCGGCTGGGTGCGGTGGCTCACATCTGTAATCCCAGCACTTTGGGAAGTCAAGGCGGGCATATCACCTGGGGTCAGGAGTTTGAGACCAGCCTGGCCAACATGGTGAAACCCCGTCTCTACTAAAAATAAAAAAATTAGCTGGGCATGGTGGCATGTGCCTGTAATCCCAGCTACTTGGGAGGCTAAGGCAGGAGAATCGCTTGAGCCCGGAAGGCGGAGGTTGCAGTGAGCCGAGATCGCGCCACTGCACTCCAACCTAGGTGACAGAGAGAGACTCTTGTCTCAAAAAAAAAGAGACAATACCACCATCTATGTATGCAGACCAGAATACTTCCCTAGATGTAAAAATTTAAAAATTGATGACTTCATGGAGGAAAGATGCCATACTGTCTTGAGACTGTGAATGGGCTGGCAAGTGGAGCATAATCACAGGGTCAGCAACAGCCAGGATCAGCACAGACCATTCCTGGTCAATAGTGAGTGGAGAACACAGGCCTTGAGACAGCAGTATGGGTGGGTTGGAGAAGATCTCTTCCCTTTAGTGCCTTGGTGTTGCCTTCACTCTACGTGATTTTTAACGCTATCCTGTGTTTCCTGCTTGCTAAGTGCAAGGCTCTGCCAGGTGCTTTAGCTCATTTAGTTGTCACAACACCCCTGTGAGGGAATTGACTTTATCCTCATTTTATAGATGAGCCAACACTGGACAAAGATGTTAAATAATTTTCCCAAGGTCACACACTGCAAAAGTAGCAGCTCTGGTAGTTTAGTCTGTTTCTGCTGGCCCGAGAGCTCTTGCTCTTAGCTCTTGCTGTCTTGGGTGGAAAGATGATTTGGTAGGGTGAGCCTCAGCTTTGGAGGCCCAGGTTCTTGTGAGCCATTGAAGCGGATAGCCAGAGTTAGGTGTACTTTGCTTAGATTTCAGTTGAGGTGGGGCGGGTTGGAGTTGCCCTGATTCCTTTTTATGTTGTTGGTTTTTCTTCCCTTTTAGATGGAACTTCAGGCTAGGCAAGGCTTTTGACAGAGAATGGGAGTAGGAGGAACCCAGAATGACTGACTAGTAGCTCCTGCAAAATTTTTCCTGCCGCTAAGCTGGGGCCCTTTTCCAGTTTCAGAAAGCACCACCCTGTAGTCATGTTGAGATGTTTCCCATTTCAGATGGCTGCACTTCCACAGTAACACATGGCTTCCAAGGGCTGGAATGTGGCAAATACAGCCTTGCATTAGCTTTCTTTTGAGCATTAGGTTTCCAAGTCATATTTTGTGGGTTTTATATTTTGGGTAATTATTCCTACTGTATTGTAAGCTGTTTTCAGTTTTTCCACCTCAAGTTTTTTTTTTTTTTTTTTTCTTGTTTCTCTTAAGGGGAAAAGTACACATGAGAAAAACAATGTTTTAAATTCTTTGTTTTCTTTTTTTTTTTTTTTTTTTTGAGACAGAGTCTTGCTCTGTGTTGCCCAGGCTGGAGTGCAGTGGCCTGATCTCGGCTCACTGCAAGCTCTGCTTCCCAGGTTCATGCCCTTCTCCTGCCTCAGCCTCCCGCTTGGCTAGGACTACAGGCACCCGCCACCATGCTTGGCTGATTTTTTGTATTTTTAGTAGAGACGGGGTTTCATCGTGTTAGCCAGATGGTCTCGATCTCCTGACCTCGTGATCCACCCGCCTCGGCCTCCCAAAGTGCTAGGATTACAGGCGTGAGCCACCGTGCCCGGCCTCAATGTTTTAAATTCTTATGTTTTACTAGCAACTATATTAAACATTCTAATTAATTTCTTTTAATTCTTAGACTAGCTTTTTGAGATGGTTATAATAATCCCTTTTTTATAGATGGAGGAACTGAGGCATGTAGGAAAAGTGAACTTCATTAAGGCCATACAGCTAGTAAAGTGGTCTGGATTGTATTTATTCATTAATTTGTTCACTCATTTAACAATTTGTTGAACGTCTACTGTGTTCTAGATACTTGTTAAAACCTTGGAGGAAACAGCCATGAAAGATTAAGTGGATTATATTCATGTAATAAACATGATAATAATAAACATGCAAAGAGATGAAACATATACAGATTGTGAAAAATTCTAGCAAGAAAGTAAGAGCTATGTATTAGAGAGTGAGCTGGTTGGGTTCATAGAGATGGGGCCCACTTTAGATGGTGTAGTTGGAGAGGCCCTCCCCAAGGCAGTGACATTGGAGCTGAGGTGGAAGGGATGAGATCGAGCCACCCTGGCAGACGCGTCAGAAAGAGCTTTGTAGGCAGACAAGGGCTTGGCTTATTTCAGGACTGGAAAGGAGGCCAGTGAGGCTGGAATATTGTGAACAGGGGAGAAGATGATACCTGATGTGGTTGGAGAGGTGGACAGGGGCCAGATGATACAGCACTTTGTGGCTGTGGCAGGGAGTTTTATTCTAAGAATGATGGAAAAAAGAGCTAATAGAGGGTTTAACCAGGGAGTGATGTATACCAGATCGGTCTGAAGTCTAAGGGGGCTCTTGTTACATCACACTGCCTTAAAGAAATTCTTTTTTTTTTTTTTTTTTTTTTTTTTTTTGAGACGGAGTCTCACTCTGTCGCCAGGCTGGAGTGCAGTGGTGTGATCTCGGCTCACTGCAAGCTCCGCCTCCTGGGTTCAAGCCATTCTCCTGCCTCAGCCTCCGGAGTAGCTGGGACTACAGGTGCACACCAGTACACCCAGCTAAGTTTTGTATTTTTAATGGAGACAGGGTTTCACCATGTTGGCCAGGATGGTCTCGATCTCTTGACCTCATGATCTGCCTGCCTCGGCCTCCCAAAGTGCTGGGATTACAGGCGTGAGTCACCGTGCCCAGCCTAAAAATTTTTTAAAAAAGAATTTCTTGGCTGGGCACGGTGGCTCACGCCTGTAATCCCAGCACTTTGGGAGGCCGAGGTGGGCAAATCACCTGAGGTCAGGAGTTCGAGATCAGCCTGGCCAACATGGTGAAAACTCGTCTCTATTAAAACTACAAAAATTAGCCAGGTGTGGTGGCGGGCACCTGTAATCCCAGCTGCTCGGGAGGCTGAAGCAGGGAGAATCGCTTGAACCCGGAAGGCGGAGGTTGCAGTGAGCCGAGATTGCACCACTGCACTCCAGCCTGGGTGACAGAGCGAGACTGTCTCAAAAAAAAAAAAAAAAGTTTTTTTTTGACAGAGGGTCTCACTCTGTCACCCAGGCTGGAGTGCAGTAGCATGATCATGGCTTACTGTAGCTTCGACCTCCTGGCCTCAAGTGATCCTCCAGCCTCAGCCACTCGAGTAGCTGGGACTACAGGTGTGTGCCACTATACCCAGCTAATTTTTAAAAAATTTTTTGTAGAGAAGTGGTTTCGCCATGTTGTCCAGATTGGTCCTAAACTCCTGGGCTCAAGTGAGCCTTCTGGCTCTGCCTACCAAAGTGTTGGGATTACAGGTGTGAGCCACACTGCCTGGCCAAGAAATTCTTAAATGTGTCTGTCCATCTATTCTGCCAACCATTGGCTATTTAGTAACCATCTGTTGGGTTACAGTCTAGAGTGCACAGGGAGGTTATGGGATGGGGGTGGGTAGAAAGCCGAGTATCCAGCTAGGACAATGCAGTATGGGCATTGCTCTGATAAAGTAGAGAGTGTGTGGAAACATGAAGAAGGATCCCCAGTCCAGCCTGGTAGTGGTATTCAGAGAAAACTGTGAGGAAAGTGGTACTAAGCAGAGAACTGAACTGGCCATGGTGGAAAAGATGGTGCTTGTATTTCATTTTATTCATTTGGGACTGTCTGTTGTTTGCTGTGACCTTCTAAAGGCGTATTTTGCTTTGCCATATACAAAAATTTCTTTACCTATAAATAGGACAAATATTCTTTCAAGTGTTGTTAAGAATTTTAGCATTGTGTACAATGGGGGCATTCTAAGCAACCTACATAAATATTTTATTGGTAGCTGAGTAACAGAATAAGGTTTCTCTTTATAGGAAGCATCTGGCGGGGTAGTCGTTTTTTGTTTGAATGAATGTTTTATGTGCTGTTTCCTTAAAAGGAGGTGCTAATGAACCTACCAGTTGTTTCTTGTGCTGTTCTTATTAACCACAAAATTGAAACCTTAAGTGTTAACAAGAGGGCCAAGGGTAGACAGTTTCAAAATATACTTAATGTGAAATATGCTTATCGTTTTCTTTTATTCAGTCATAAAATTGTATTTATGGGCCGGGTGTGGTGGGTCACACCTGTAATCCCAGCACGTTGGGAGGCTGAGGCGAGTGGATCGCCTGAGGTCAGGAGTTCAAGACCAGCCTGGCCAACATGGTGAAACCCCATCTCTACTAAAAATAAAAAAATTAGATGGGCGTGGTGACACCCACCTGTAATCCCAGCTACTTGGGAGACTGAGGCAGGAGAATCGCTTGAACCCGGGAGGCGGAGGTTGCAGTGAGCTGAGATTGCACCACTGCACTCCAGCCTGGGTGACAGAGCGAGACTCTGTCTCAAAAAAAAAAAAAAGTATTTACTAAAAAGAATATGATATGCTATTAAAAATTATTTTTTAAAACGCTGAAAAAAATACGTGATGAGTGTTTATGTGTGAAGATGTACTAGCGTCCAAGTGTAGCTTTTCACATTTTGCCCTATTTCATTTTAGTTATTTTAAAAATCAGCTTTATTGAGATATAATTTACATAAAATAAAATGCACCAATTTTAGGTGTTGGATGAACTCTGACAGATGTATATTCCCTTGTAATCACTATTGTAATCTATATGTATGTATGTGTGGTTATAGTTTTTTATATGTGTGTGCAGTTCTTGGCACGTGTAATGATCACCACAATCAGAATATAGAACAGTTCCGTAATATCAACAACTTCCCTTTTTTTTGCTTCTTTGTGGTCAAATCCTCTCTTCACCCCAAGCCTGTGGCAACTAATGCCCTGTTCTCTGTCCTTGTAATTTTGCTTTTCCCAGAATGTCGTATAAATGGAATCATACAGTATGTAATCTTTTCAGACTGTCTTCTTTGCCTCAGCATAATGTCTTTGAATTTTATTTACGTTGTGTGTTTCATAGTTGCTGAGCACTATTCTGTCATATGGATGTCTACTGTTTATCCATTCACCCTCTGAGGGACGTAAGAGTTTCTCCCAGCTTTTGGTGATTATTAATAAAGCTGCAGTAAACATTTATGTACAGGTTTTTTGTGTGAACATAGGTTTTCATGTCTCTAGGATAAATACCTAGGAGTGGAATTGTTGAGTCACATGTTAAGTCTAGTTTTTTTTGCAAGAAATTGCCAAACTATATCTAGAGTGTCTGTGCCATTTTGCATTCGCATCAGCAGAGTATGAGAACACCATTTATTCTACATCAGCACTTGGTATTATCGATTAAAAAATTTTATTTTACCAGGCACGGTGGCTCACATATTCCAGCACTTTGGGAGGCCCAGTCCTCTCATTTAACAGATATGGAAGCTGAGGTCCACAGAGAAGTGATCTGCCGGGCCAGGCAGGGTGGCTCACGCCTGTAATCCCAGCACTTTGGGAGGCCAAGGCGGGCGGATCACTTGAGGTCAGGAGTTCGAGACCAGCCTGGCCAACATGGTGAAACCTCGTCTCTATTTAAAAAAAAATACAAAAACTTAGCCGAGCGTGGTAGTGCGTGCCTGTAATCCCAGCTGCTCAGGAGGCTGAAGCAAGAGAATCACTTGAACCGGGGAGACAGAAGTTGCAGTGAGCCAAGATTGTGCCAAGCCTGGGCAATAAAGCGAGACTCCGTCTACCCACCGCCCCCCACCCCCCCCCAAAAAAATTTAGCCATTCTAATAGGTGTGTACGGTATCTCATTTTTTGTAGGGACAGGGTCTTGATTCTTTTTTTATATCTGTTTCTCCACTGAGACTTTCTATCTTTCCATTCATTTCAAGATTGTTGTCTTATGTCTTAGTACATGATTTTGCATGTTGCAAACATTTTAGTCACTTGACTTTAAACGTTTCACATTTTGAGGCTGAGCGTGGTGACTCATGCCTGTAATCCCAGCACTCTGGGAGGCTGAGGTGGGAGAATCACCCGAGGTCAGGAGTTTGAGACCAGCCTGGCCAACATGGTGAACCCTGTCTCTACTAAAAGTACAAAAATTAGCCGGGCATGGTGGCACATGCCTGTAGTCCCAGCTACTCGGGAGGCTGAGGCAGGAGAATGGCTTGAACCCGGGAGGTGGAGGTTGCAGTGTGCCAAGATTACGCCATTGCACTCCAGCCTGGGTGACAGAGTGAGACTCTGTCTCAACAACAACAACAACAAAAAAAACAAAAAGTTTCACATTTTGAAATCGTCAAATTCATTTATTTTCTTCTCTCAAAAACCTATGAGATTGATTTTATTATCCCTGTTTTAAAGTTGAGGAAACTGAGGCTCAAAGAAGTAGCATGTCTAGGTTGCATCATGAAAGAGAGTTAAGATTGAACTTAATATTGTCTCCAAAGCCACTAATCTTTCTGCCTTACCATTGAAAACTGAGCTTGAACAGTGACTTTGAGAATGGAAAGAGAACAACAGATGCATGAACTATAATGTGGACAGACACACTGCATTTAGTAAATATCATCAGCACTCGCTTCACAATTCAGAGTCTCAAAAAAAGATTGCATTTATCTATTATTTAAATTTATTTCATTTATGGGAAATTTATATGGTACAAATATACAGTGTACTTCTTTATGCCTACTGTCATATCAAGTAAATAATTATGTATTCATATCCCCTGCCCTTTTAAAAAATAGTAACCTATCTATATAATGTCCCATACTGTAGTGTTTTTATTTAACAATGTATCTTGGACTTAATTTCCTATGAGTGCACAATGTGGTCTCTCATTCTTCTTTATGGTTCTATCATATTCTATTGAGTTAACATACTATAATTTACTTAACCATGGATGAATTGACTTTTAATAATTCATATTAACTATAGACTAGTAGACTATTTGACTTTAAAAACTTTAAAAAATGAGGCCAAGTGTGATGGCTTGCACCTATAATCCCAGCACTTTGGGAGGCTTAGGTGAGAGGAATCCTTGAGCCTAGGAGTTTGAGGCTGCAGTGAGCTGCGATTATACCACTTCATTCCAACCTGGGTGATAGAGCAAGACATCATCTTTAAAAAATAAAAAAATAAATAAACTTTAAAAGAAATGTAACATACATGCAGGCATACCCACAAATCATATGTGAACAGTTTAATGAATTATCAAAAAAGGAGCATACCCTATAACCATCACCAAAGCCAAGACATGGTACATTATCAGTGCCCTAGAAGTTTGCTTTGTGGCTCATTCCAAGCACTATGCACTTTTCCTCCCCAAAGGTAACCATCATCCTGGACTAATTTAAAGTCCCTTCCTAGCTTGTGTTTCTGTCACTCTCTTTATAACAGGGTAACGAGAGGAATTTTTTTTCCCACAAAGGCAGAGACTTAAAAATGTATGAAACAGAGAGGGAGAAACTGGGGATGTTGGTAGGATTTTGGAGAACATTTAGCTATTTAAACATGGTGATAGAAGCATACTAGGAATTGCTTTACTGTGTAGGCTAATATCTGTTCTTGAAGTTAAGTTAGACTGCACAGAAAAGTTTACTGGATGAACCAAACCAAAAAAAAATCAGGAATTTTCTCTATAGGCAGTGAGGCTGAATTGACAGATCATAGTTACTGGAGTCAGACAGAAGTATAGGAATCCCAGCTCTTCCCCTACTGGCGTGATCTTTGATCATGTATATAGTGGAGGCAGTACTTTTGCAGTGTTACTTTAAGAATTGAGATATTGTATATAAATTATCTAGCTTGGTGCTTGTTTACATGGTAGGTTCTCAGTAAATATACTTTTTCTTAATATACTATTTTTTCCCCCAACTTTTTATTGTGACAGATTTCAAGCGTATGAAAAGTTGCAAAATAGCACAGTGAACAACCATGTATATTCATCTAGATTCACCAGTTAATGTTTTCTGTATTTGCTTTATCTCTTTTTTTCCTGTCTCTACTCATTTGAGTTAATTGCAGATGTCATGACACAGCACTCTTTTTTTTTTTTAAATTAAACTTTAAGTTTTAGGGTACATGTGCACAATGTGCAGGTTCGTTACATACGTATACATGTGCCATGTTGCTGTGCTGCACCCATTAACTCATCATTTAACATTAGGTATATCTCCTAATGCTATCCCTCCCCCCTCCCCCCACCCCACAACAGGCCCTGGTGTGTGATGTTCCCCTTCCTGTGTCCATGTGTTCTCATTGTTCAATTCCCACCTATGAGTGAGAACGTGTGGTGTTTGGTTTTTTATCCTTGCGATAGTTTGCTGAGAATGTTGGTTTCCAGCTTCATCCACGTCCCTACAAAGGACATGAATTCATCCTTTTTTATGGCTGCATAGTATTCCATGGTGTATATGTGCCACATTTTCTTAATCCAGTCTATCGTTGTTGGACATTTGGCTTGGTTCCAAGCCTTTGCTATTGTGAATAGTGCTGCAGTGAACATACGTGTGCGTGTGTCTTTATAGCAGCATGATTTATAATCCTTTGGGTATATACCCAGTAATGGGATTGCTGGGTCAAATGGTATTTCTAGTTCTAGATCCCTGAGGAATCGCCACACTGACTTCCACAATGGTTGAACTAGTTTACAGTCCCACCAACAGTGTAAAAGTGTTCCTATTTCTCCACATCCTCTCCAGCACCTGTTGTTTCCTGACTTTTTAATGATTGCCATTGTAACTGGTGTGAGATGGTATCTCATTGTGGTTTTGATTTGCATTTCTCTGATGGCCAGTGATGATGAGCATTTTTTCATGTGTCTTTTGGCTGCATAAATGTCTTCTTTTGAGAAGTGTCTGTTCATATCCTTTGCCCACTTTTTGATGGGGTTGTTTGTTTTTTTCTTGTAAATTTGTTTGAGTTCATTGTAGATTCTGGATATTAGCCCTTTGTCAGATGAGTAGATTGCAAACATTTTCTTCCATTCTGTAGGTTGCCTGTTCACTCTGATGGTAGTTTATTTTGCACACAGCACTCTTAAGTACATTAGCATGTGTCTCTTTCTTAGGACATTTTCCTGTAAAATCATATTATTACCTAATATAAAATTGTTATTCAAGTTTCCCCGGGTATCATCATATGGTTGTTTCTGTAAAAAATTCAAGATTCTATTGTACTTAGTAGTCATGCCTCTTCAACCTCCTTTTATTTAGAAGAGTTCACCAAACATTTTTGCCTTAGGATTGCCATTAAGATTTTTGAAGAGTTCAGTTCTGTTGTTTTGCAGAATGTTCTTCAACTTAGATTTATCTGGTAGACTCCTCTTGATTAGATACAGGTTAAAGGTTATAGACAGAAGCACTTTGGATGGAATTATTTGCTCTCATTGATTTATTTCAGGAGGAAAATAATGTTAGTTTATCCCTTCAATGGTGATAAGAGATGAATTTTTTTGGTCAAGATGGTGTTCGCAAGTTTCCTAAATTGTAAGGTTACCTTTTCCTTTTGTAATTAATAAGCCATTTGTGGGTGATATGTTATGACTGTCTGAATATTATGTTCTGTAGTGATCTTTCATCTAATGCTTTTAGTGCTGCTGATTCTTACCTTAATCAATCATTACTGTAGAGGTTTTAAAATAGTGATTTTCTGTTCCTTGTATTCTACATTTATTAACTGGATTTCTTTTGAAAAGAAGAAATTCTTCTTTTCCTTTTCTTCTTATTATCAGTGTGGAGTTTTGAATTCTTTCTTTATTCAGTCATTATTCATTCCTGTCATTATTCATTTTAATGCTCAAATTGTACTAACTTTGGCTAGTGGGAACCACTTAATTCTTCTGGGTTAGTAGAATGGTAGCAAAAATAAGCTTTCTCTAGTATTTAACATTTGAATCAGTTTTGTAGCCTCGTAATCCATAGCGACTAATGTATGTACTATCTGTTGGACCCTCTGTCTTTTGTTTGCTTTTGATGACCCTTCTGTGATATTTTTCAGCAAATCACTGAATTGAAGAAAGAAAACTTTAACCTAAAGCTCCGCATCTATTTCCTTGAGGAAAGAATGCAACAGGAATTTCATGGCCCCACTGAACATATCTACAAAACTGTGAGTGGCCCATTTCTCATTACTGTCCCTTGTGTCCTTTCTCATTGTCATTTCAAGCAGAAATTTGATTAATATTTGTTCTTAGAGTTAGTATGAATAGAGATGCTTTCATTTAATCTGAATTGATTATGGGGAGCATAAAGATATTAGGATGACTTTAATATTAAGCAAAGGGGTACATGATTAATTTTAAGAAAGTCTTTCACTGTCTTTTAAAAATCAGAATTCAGATTCACTACTTTTTACCTCAGTTAAGTTTTTATAATTACGTGTTCTTTAGAAACAGGCAGTGGAATGGTGGAATGGTTTTGGAGTTGAATTCTACTGTTACCAGGTAACTTGTGTAACTTAGGCAAGTCAGTTTAGCTTTTGGGGCTTGCTTCCAGAATTAAGTGATAATCCCTTTGTCATAGGGTTATTTGTATGAATTAAAATGAGAAGACAGATGAAAAGCTCCAGCACACAGTCAGTGCTTGACAATTACCGTCTTCTTGAGGCTTCCTTTGGCAGCCCAAAGTTAGGATTGTCAGTTTTTCTGTGATAGGACTCTTCGGTATTCCTGTGTGCTTGCCTGTAACTGTCAGAAGAAAAGCCTATCCTCATTTGAAGTCTTGACCTGCAGGTCTTTGTCTGAAAACAAACCTTGGTTCTGAAAACTGAAAAAAGAACTTGGCTTTCTTGAAAAGACAGGAGTACAAACAATATTTCAGTGCCTGTTTCTTGGCTTTTTCTAGTAGATTAGCCCTTGGCCTGGGAATTATTCTGACTTTTCTCCTCTGAAGTTTGCACCAGTGGAAACTTTTGAAGGAGGAAAAAGAACTCTCCTTGAGTTTCAGCAGATGAACTTAAATTGACTTGTCTTGAAGAGGGATTGTGCTGTACTTCTGAGCCTTTTCAAGAATTGGAAAGCTTCTTTGTCCCTTATGAAAGTTTTTTTCTTCACTCTGGGAGTGGAAAGACAGTGAGGATGTCCCCTTTTCTGGAAGGGAGTAGTGATGCAATCACAATTTTAAAGGAAAACCAATAGCCTAAAGCAGTTTATACGTGAGTATGGTGGTCATGCGTCTAGAACCTCTTGGGTGATAGGAATACAAAACGTGTCTGTTGCCAACTCTATCAGGCACTGTCTTGGGTATCTGTACATTTGCATCTTATTGTAATTCTCATGACAGTCCTGTGCCGTGGAGTTTATCTTCATCTTACAGGGGAAGAAACTGAGGCTTATAGATGAGTAACCCACCTGATGTCATATAGCTACTACGTGAGGTGGATTTTGAGCCCAGGTCTTCCAATCTCATTGTACTATACCACTTCAATTGTCTGACTAGATGACTTGATTTCATTGCCCCTTTCTTCAGTGTAAGTTTTTGGATAGGTGCACATGGTTTAGAATTCAAAAAGCCTAAGAGATATACACTGAAAACACTCTTCCACCCTTGTGTCCTGGTCCTCTAGATCTAATAAATATTGATTGCTTATGCAGAGGAATTTTATGTATATATAGTATAAGCAAGCGTGTGTTTGTGTGTGTGTATGTGTATAAACCCTCTTTTTACATAAGTGCAAGCATGTTCTGTTCTGCACCTTATATTTTTCGCTTAATGATATCTTTCTGTCTCTTTTTTTTTTTTTTTTTGAGACAGAGTCTCCGTCTGTTGCCCAGGCTGGAGTGCAGTGGCACAATCTTGGCTTACTGCAACCTCTGCCTCCCAGGTTCAAGCAATTCCTGTCCTCAGCCTCCTGATTAGCTGGGATTACATGTGCACGCCAGCACGCCTGGCTAATTTTTGTACTTTTGGTAGAGATGGGGTTTCCCCATGTTCTCCAGGCTGGTCTCAAACTCCTGGCCTCAAGTGATCCACCTGCCTTGGCCTCCCAAAGTGCTTGGATTATAGGCGTGAGGCACTGCGCCTCGCCTTACTTAATGATATCTTTCTTTAATAGTAGTTTAAGAATGAATTTCTTTATTCTTTTTGTTTTTGAGACAGTATCTCACTCTGTCACCGAGCTGGAGTGTAGTGGTGTGATCATAGCTCACTGCAACCTTGAACTCTTGGGCTGAAGGTATCCTCCCACCTCAGTCTCCTGAGTAGTTGGGACTACAGGCATGCACCACCACACCTGGCATTTTTAAATTTTTGCTTTTTGTAGAGATGGGGTCTTGCTATGTTGCCCAAGGCTGGTCTTGAACTTCTAGCCTCAAACCATCCTCCTGCCTTGGCTTCCCAAAGTGTTGGGACTTACAGGTGTGAGCCATTGCACTAAGATGCCTTTTTTAATAGTTTCATAATATTCCATTTTACTCTTTGAAGGTGCCCTGACTTTTGGTTTGGAAATTACAATTATGTATATAAGTTTATAACTTGAGATATTGGGCTTGAGAAAAATAACCGAATGGACATGTTAGCATTCATTCTTTTAAATGTATTAAATTGGAGTGCCTGTTGGTTCATCAGAAAGTGAAGCACGTAGAGTATATTATATCAGTTCATAAATAGAAGCTCTCCACCCTTCTGAGAGCTGGAAAAAGAATCCTCTGTTTGAAGGATGTTTCTGCATTTTTCACAAAATTACACTTGAAGATATTATACACTGTCACCCAGTGTCCTTTTTGCAAAGATCACTTTCTTCAAGAAAAAGTTCTGCCTCATAGATGACTTCTTTAATTCTTGTTGTTTGACAGTGAAGAAGATAACCTATTTTGAGCCCTGTCTCCGAGGCTTTTCTCATTTGCTAGCTCATTATAGTCCTTAAGGCCCCCATGTCATGGGAGCTTTTATGTTTTGTTTTTGACACTTGAGGATTAGAAAGGAGAAGCATTGCTTTCTCACCCTGTGGACTTATATGTCTAAGGACAGTTAAAGTATTGTGCTTCTAGTTTTGTATTCCACGTTAGCATGTCTTGTTCACTTCAGTGTCTTCTGTGGTTGGTCCATCACAGGTGCTTGGTAAGTTTCTGTGACGTGAAGGAGTGAGTAAGTGAGGAGCCACTGACTTTGTGGTCTCCTCCTGGTAGGGAGTAGAGACAGAATTTAAACCTATGTCCTTTTGTTCACACACCCATGACCTTACTGTCATGGCTGTACTTCTCAACGTGAAGTACTTGCTTCTCTAGGGCTGCTTGCCAGAAAGGAGGGAGGCATATCCTGTGAGACGGTAAATCTTACTGGAAATGATTTTTTTTTTTTGAGATGGAGTCTCGCTCTGTCGCCTAGGCTGGAGTGCAGTGGTGCAATCTTGGCTCACTGCGACCTCTGCCTCCTGGGTTCGAGCGATTCTTCTGCCTCAGCCTTCCAAATACCTGGGACTACAGGCATGTGCCACCACTCCTGGCTAATTTTTGTATTTTTAGCTGAGACAGTGTTTTGCCATGTTGGCCAGGCTGGTCTCGAACTCCTGACCTCAAGTGATCCGCCCACCTCAGCCTCCCAAACTGCTAGGGTTATAGGTGTGAACCACTGCGCCCGGCCTGGAAATATTTTTGTTTAAATAATACACATATGGCCGGATGCGGTGGCTCACGCCTGTAATCCCAGCACTTTGAGAGGCCAAGGCAGGCGGATCACTTGAGGTCAGGAGTTCAAGACCAGCCTGGCCAACGTGGCGAAACCCCGTCTCAACTAAAAATACAAAAAATTAGCTGGGCGTGGTTGCAGGTGCCTACTATAATCCCAGCTACTCGGAGGCTGAGGCAGGAGGATTGCTTGAACCTGGGAGGTGGAGGTTGCAGTGAGCTGAGATCGCACCACTGCACTCCAGACTGGGTGACAAGAGCAAGATTTCATCTCAAAAAAACAAAAAAAACGAAAAAACAAAAAACACATGTATTATGGAGTAGAATATAAAATTGGCATGGATTATTAAAATAAAAGAGGAGCTGTAAGCCCAGTGCTTTGGGAGGCTGAAGCAGGAGTATCATTTGAAGCCAGAAGTTTAAGACCAGCCTGTGCGATATAGCAAGACCCAATCTGTAAAACAAACAAACAAACGAAAAGACGGGTGTGGCAGTGCACGCCTATAGTCCCAGATACTCAGGAGGTTGAGGTGGGAGGATCCCTTGAGCCCAGGAGTTTGAGGCCTGCAGTGAGCTATGATAGTACCACTGCACTCCAGGCTGGGCAACAGCAGAGCAAGACTCTGCCTCTAAATAAAAAAACAAAAAAACAAAAAAACAAAAGGGAGATTTCCAATAAATTGTAGATTTACAGCAGTCTTCCACAAACGATGCACCCAAACCCCCATCTACTACTTGAGTTCATCTAATATTCTGTCTGGGATACATTTGTAGATAAGTTTGAGAAGTCTGCCACTGTTCAGCTGTCTCATATTGAATTCCATTTGCCCTGGATTCTCACGTGAGTTATAAGCCCAAGGCTGTGTGCAACTCCCTTTGTTCCAGTCAGTTAAGAGGAAGACATTTGGTTGGAGAACATTGCGGTGCTCCTTATAGACAGCTTGCCCCATGTGGTTGTAGCTTTAAGTGAGAACCCTGAAATCTTATATTGAAATGACACATGCCATGATGTGGTCTCCTGTTTTCCATCCACATGTTTTATTTTTTTTTAAGCTGTAACACGTTCCCACTGCTGCATCCACCACATGCATGATTGTAAACAACCACCAGTAATTGCTTTGGAATGGGAAAAACACACCGCAGAATTGCTTGTAAATTTGCTTGGTGGAGGGCATACAATTTTTAAATCAGCCTTCCTTGTATGACATTTATGCCTTGATATTTGAATGCTCTGGCTGTTAGAAGCTTGGAGCATTTACATAATTGTTCCAAGTCTCACAAAATCTAGGTCTTTCTTTTGAGACCACCAGTGTTTAATAATTCCCTTTTCCCTGTGCCCTGAGGCTAATGAGGGTTTTTGGAATCTAACATCTGCCTATTACAAGCATCCTGTAGTCAGTCTGTGCTGGAAGCAGTTTCCCCATTGTTGACATTCATAGGTCCTCTATTTTACATTGTTTCTTTTCTTTCTTAATCTTGTTTTGTAGAACATTGAGCTCAAGGTGGAAGTAGAAAGTCTGAAGCGGGAACTCCAGGAGAGAGAGCAGCTGCTCATCAAAGCCTCGTGAGTACCATCATCCGTTGAAAGCTTGCAAGTCGCCCACACTGGGTTGGTCAGTGAAATAGAGCCGTACACTTTTCTAAGACAGTTGGTTTCCATCTGGACTCTGAGGACTGCAAGGAGGTTTTTGTTTTTACTTAATTATTTACTTTTCAACAAGCTTTTAAGATATACCATGCTTATAGAAAAATGAACAGATCTTAAGTGTACAGCGTGAATGTTCACAAGCAAACACACCTGTGGAGCTACCATCCAGATCAGGAAACAGAACATGCCAGCCCCCCAGAAGCCCTCTTTGTGTTCTCAGAGCTCACCTTTCTCCCCTAAAGATAACTACCATTCTGACCACTGTTAGTTCTGCCTGTTTTTAAACTTTATATAAAAGGAATTATATAGTAGATTCTCTTTTGTGTCTGGCTTCTTTCCTCAACAATATATTTGTGAGATTGATCTATGTTGTTAATTATATCAGTAGTTCAATTCTTACTGTTGTAAAAGCCTGGGGTGACTTGAAGGGGTCCTGATGGGTGAGGCAGGGAGACAGAGGATGGGGCTTCAGCCACAGTAAATGTCTTTTTTTTTTCTTTAAGATCTGTTAAGTGTCCTAGGGACCCTCGTAATATTTTGCTTGAGAGAGGTTCTCCTCCTTAAAAAACATTTGAAAAGTAGTATTTTCATTTATTAAAATATTGAACAACAAGCACAGTTCAGCAAATACAGTCAGTGAATCAATTGATTTTTCACTCATTCGTAAACATTTATTACATAGTAACTTGTGAAATACACAAGTATTTCGAGTCTAACATCTGCCCGAAGATCTGAAAAGAGACAGCCCTCCACCCTTCTACTCCAAGAGCTCATCAGAGACTGGTGAGCTGCCCATCACACCTGTGAAAAATAACATGCCAGGAAGGTACAGTGATGGAGGGTGTTGTGGGTAAAGTGGCAACACCAAAGTGTGCTAAGTTTTGTTCTGTGACAGTGGAATAAGACTTTCCAGGGTTGCCTCACCGAGGATCCTAGCCAGAAGCTTATGTGGAAATGCTTCATTTGTCCTGGCAATAGAGTTCCTGCTGGGTGTGGTAGGCCAGGACCATGGAGTTCTTGGTTTAGGGCATGGCTGCACTGCTCTGGGCCAGGCCAGTATAATTCCCTTCATTGCCACAGGGTCCAGCAGCTGGAAGCTGGCCTGCTGTTGGCTTTCAGCAGACTAGAGGATGCCAGGCCCAGGCTTCTTCTCCAGGTTATGCTGAACTTGCACACTTGGTATTTTCTGAATGAATGAGTGAATGAAGTAATAAATATCACCAGATTAACAAGTTGTTATTGTTGTTGTTGTTTTTTGAAGTAGATTATTTTCTGGGCAGGGAGGCAAATCTGCTTTTTCAAGCTTGAAGATCAGTAATGGAATTTGGTCTATTTCATACTCAGTGCCCTGCCTGCTACAGGTCTTGGCTTGGACTAGTTTTTAGTTAAGCTCGTACACATGGAAACCTCAGCTCACAAAGGCTTGCATACACTCCTCAATAGCAACACATGGGATTGAGTATTTTGGAGGCTTGTGCACATGTTTATATGTGTATATTTCCCAAACTGCTCAGGGTTGTGTGGTCTGACCAGCTTTATTCGTTTATTCAGAAAATATTTATTAAGTGGCTCTTGTGTGCTGCAGTGGACTAGGTTCCTGGGGATATAGTGGTGATGCAAACAGATGTATGAGGCTCACATTCTAGTGGGAGTGATGGTGATAAAATACTTGGAGTAATATATAAACACAAGTTGGGGAAAGAGCTATGAGGAAAAATAAAGTGAGCTATGAGAATTTATAGGTAGGGGAGTAAATATATATTATTATTATTTTTTGAGACAGAGTTTTGCTCTGCCAGGCTGGAGTGCAGTGGCATGATCTCGGCTCACTGCAACCTCCGCCTCCTGGGTCCAGGCGATTCTCCTGCCTCAGCCTCCTGAGTAGCTGGGATTACAGGCATGTGCCGCCATGCTCAGCTAACTTTTGTATTTTTGTAGAGATGGGGTTTCACCATGTTGGCCAGGCTGGTCTCGAACCCCTGGCCTCATGTGATCCGCCCACCTCAGCCTCCCAAAGTACTGGGATTACAGGGGTGAGCCGCTGCACCCAGCCAGGTAGGGGAGTGAATATATAGATATGGCTATGTAGCTGGGAAAGTGTCCCTGAGGAGATGGCATTTGAGATGAGATCTGAAAGATAAGTAGGAATTAACCAGTTGAATGGGTAGAGAAACTGTTCAAGGAGAAGAGAATGTATAGGTCTGAGGGAATATGAGAAGTCTAGACACTAGAGATTTTGATCTTTATCTTAAAATCACATGGAAAGCAGTTGTGGGTTTTAAGCAAGTGACACAATCAGAGTTCTGTATTTGAAAAGGTCATTCTGGATGCTGGGTGGAAAGTGGATTGTGGAGACAGCATGAGTGAAAGCTGGGCGACCAGTCAGGAAGCTAGTCCAGTGGTTGAGGTGAGAGGTGAGTGACAGAGTAGCTGGGTGAATCAGACATTTGGGAAGCAGAATCAACAGGCTTTGGTGATGGATGGGAAGGGGGATGTCATGGATGATTCCTGTTTGGGGTTAAGGTCATGAGCTCTGTTTAAGAATGTTCGCAGTGACCCAACTGCTCCAGCTTCCTCTCCACCAACTCTATTCCAAACACAGTTCATGGATGCTAAAATGTTCTTGCTTTTGCTGCTCTAACTCTGCTCCAGCAGACCTCCTCCCCTCTCACCTCCTCCCAGCCCAAATGCCTTCCATTGCTCAGCCCTTTGTAAAGCTTCAGATCTGGAACCGCGCATGGCTTCCTCTAGCCCGCATCAGTCTCTTAACGGACTTCGCTGGTACAGAATGATAATACTCTATGTTTAACACTTTTTAGTTTATAAAACACTTTCCATTTACATTCCATCATTGTTCTGGGAGCTGGGAAAGTCTTGAGGAATACCCTCATTTCACAGAGGAGAGACTATAGGCCAGGAAAAGGGAAGGGCCATGACTCCCAGCCAGGAAGGTCACATCTGGTATTAGAACTTTAGTCCCTGACTTCTAGTTCAGCACTAGGTTCCATGTTCTTTTTAAATTTTTGTATGTAGATAATTGTATATTTGTATATACACAGTATCTGTGTATCTGTTCAATGACAGTATCTACCATGGAACTGCTAGGTGTACCCATCTCTTTTTTTTTTTTTTTTGAGATGGAGTCTCGCTCTGTTGCTCAGGCTGGAGTGCAATGGCACAATCTTGGCTCAGTACAACCCGGGTTCAAGTGATTCTTCTGCCTCAGCCTCCCGAGTAGCTGGGATTACAGGCATGCGCCACAAGCCTTGGCTAATTTTTGTATTTTTAGTAGAGACAGGGTTTCACCATGTTGGCCAGGCTGGTCTCAAACTCCTGACCTCAGGTGATCCCCCCTGCATTGGCCTCCCAAAGTGCTGGGATTACAAGCATGAGCCACCATGCCTGGCCGTGCTTTTCTCTTTAACCCTAGCTTCCTAGCACCCAGCAGTATGTCTGTGGTGGATACTTGTTGATGGAAAATATCTATGTTAATATGATACCCTCAACTCCCCTTTTCAGTTTTAGGATTTTTGTTGGGGCGTGGGGACAGGATATGACATCTGCCACAGGAAAATCCCCTGCTTTTTCCTGAAGAACCATAATTAGAATGAAAAGAATCCAGGGGAAATGTGGAGAATTAAAAAGGGTAGTGAGGCTGGCATTTATAGAATCTGGCTTTCTTGTATTGGGTGGAAAGCTAGATGAAACCAGTTTCTCTCAGCCTTTTCTCTCCTCAGGTCTTGCTGCCCACCTTGTGTGTTAGCCCAGATTCTGCAAGGAAAGAAAGGGTCGAGGGAGGGAGCTAACACTTACTGAGATCCTTCTTTGTTCCACATCCTGCATCTGGCGCTTGACAGGCTTTATTGCATTTGATCAGTTATGTGGGCAGTCAGTATTCCCATTTGAGTGGAGAGAAAACCAAGGTTCGAGGAGTGGGGAAACGTGTAGCGGCCGCTCTGCCTCCAGAGTGTGCTGTGCCTTGCTGTGAGATAAACATATTTGTTGGCTGGTTTTCCATTGTTATATTTATCAGTTACAATAAGGGGACATAAAAAACGAAAGCAGTCATATTGTTGCAAGTAAATTTTATCTCTGTAGCTTTAAAACACAAACAAAAATAATAATTCCATTAGTAGAGGAAAATTGTACCATACTACTGAGTATAAATTTTATTGCCACAGAAACTGTAAAGCACAAAGATGATAAATGAAAAGTTGGAACATTTATTATTGGGAGTATATTTTACTGGTATAACTAAAACTCAAACAAACTGAATAATAATAGTACTTGTTAAAAATTGTAATCAGCCTCTTGACAATGTATGTGATTTAGACAGCAAAACAGAAAGGTTAGATCTGGGCTGATAGGAGGGAGACGGCCTATTTGCACTCTGGTGGGCAGGGTGGAGGGGTAAGGGAAAGGGTAGCAGAGATGAGCCATTTTATAGAGGAGGCTCTGTGAAGCCCCAGGCCTCAAACCTTGGTGAGTGGGTAGCAGAAATTCATTCCTGGAGAAATCCTGTAGCCAAGGCTCGGGAAGGAAGGGCTTCTCGTCCAGAATTCTTTCGGCCGTGTATAATGCTCCTCAAGGAGTGATAGAAATGATTGTGAATCACTGTGAATTCAAGACAGTGATCCAAAAATGAGCCCCGGGAGTGGGGGGTGATGGCATTCAATGGTATTAATCAGGAAATGGAAATAGGCGCCTTGGCTTTGGCCAGCGGAGACCCCAGCAGAGGGTAGCATGAGGCCTCTCACAGCATGCTGCTCAGCAGGAGCCAGTGCTGTGTGGGCCTCAGAGGCCAAGGGCTAGTGTGCAGAGCACTCTGATCAGAGAGGAACAGGCCGACGTGTGTGAGCACATTAATTCTGAGAGGTAATCATCTCATTTTTCACATGAGGAAACTGAGGTGTGAGAGGTAATTTACTGAGGCTAGGTAATTCACCCAGAGTCCCACTGAGGACATAATAGAGTAAAAATTTAGAAGCAGATCTGTCCAGCTTCAGAGCCCATGTTCTTTCTTTCCAGTTGTTCACATTGAATTCCATTAAAATGATATGACACTGGGGCCTTCTGAAGCTTTATTGGTGAAAAGAAAAAAGATATTAATAAAGTCTTTATTTTCAGGCGACTCATGTTTGAGATTTGGACAACAAGTATGGCCCTCTTGACTTTCCATTGTTCTCAGTAAAAAATTCACATGGCTTGTACATATGAGAGATCACATGGCTCTCAGTTGGAAAAATTTTATGTATCTTTAAAGTAGGGCATGGGAAGCTGGTGGTGAATAGATTTGTTCTGTTGCAGTTTTTCTGAGAAACCAGCCTTAGGTGGAAGCATTTCCTTTATTATTTTGCCTTCTGGAAACCTGCAGTCATTTTAGAAATCTGACGAGGACTGCTCATACAGTCTTACAGAGTCATGTCCGACACTGTTTATCTTCTGGCATCGGTGGTTGTAGTCCTGCGTCTGATTTGGGCGTGCCGTTCCCACCACTGCCGGTCATGTGGAGAGAATATTCCATGGTGCTCTAGCAGTGTGTACTCTGTGTTTTATGTTAGAGTAACACGGAGTATGGGCTGCTTGTGTAACCTCCCCTTTTTATGCCCTAAGTGGTAGCTAGTGCGCAAACAGATTGATCCTGATGCATTTAAAATGCTTTTCTCTTCAGCTGGCAGAAGATGAAGTATATAGACTTCGTTGCATACTGCTCCTTTGCACGTTGGTTTGTCAGACCAGCTCTCTGCCCTCCTTGCACCACTGGTGGAAGTGTACTTTGTTGGAAGCCCCTTGCTGAGAAATTTGGCAATAGCTATCCAGAATCTTAGCAGTGGGCTTACCATGTGACCCAGCTATTCCCTTTCTACAAATCAATTCTCAGGAAGTCACTG
The DNA here is from genome assembly GCF_000001405.40 of Homo sapiens. NCBI lineage: Eukaryota > Metazoa > Chordata > Mammalia > Primates > Hominidae > Homo > Homo sapiens. The sequence continues at coordinate 120,539,738 of NC_000009.12, read as the reverse complement.
GATAGTAGACATACAAGGATGCTTTTATCGTAACATTACTTATTACAGTAAACAGTATCGCCAACATTTATTGAATACTTACTTTGTACCAGGCACTGTTGTCAGAACTTTGAGTATCGTCAGATACAATGTGTTAAATGAGAAACAATTTAAATGTTGTAAAAATAGAGAATTGATTTAGTAAACTATAGTACATTTCATACATTGAATTAATATGCAGCCTTTAAAAATGATGATATAGACTTTTATTTATTGACACAAAAGAATGTTCGTAGTATATTAAGTAATAAGATCACTTCACTGATGTGTACTAAATGATTCTTTTTTGTAGAAAATGTCTGAAAGGCTATATGCTAAAATGTTGACTTAGTTATCCTGAGTGACAAGATTATGGATGATTCTAATTTTTTTCTTATCTGTGTTTTTAAATGATAAATATTAAGCTAAAGAAAAAGAAGCTCAGCACAGGTCTGTGGGAGAAATGACTAGCAAATACTCCTTGTCTCTTTGGGGCTGTGAAATAACCATCAGACCATCACCCTTGCATGTTTTACCCCTGTGCCTCTTTTTGCAGCAAAGCAGTTGAGAGCTTAGCTGAAGCAGGTGGCTCTGAAATCCAGCGGGTGAAAGAAGATGCTCGAAAGAAGGTGCAGCAGGTGGAAGATCTCCTAACTAAAAGAATACTCCTTTTGGAAAAGGCAAGTCTGGAAATCCTGAGGGCAGTGTATTTCTTATAGTGGGTTAATAATAGGCTGGCACAGTTTTGTTTCTTTTTTTATAAACCGTCAGTTTCAGCAGAAACAACAGCTACCCTTATTGAGCATCTCCTGGATTGTAGCCCCATTTCAGGCATTTTATATGTATAATTTATAACCCCTTTACCCACAAACTGGCCATTGTGGTCCTCATTTCTGTGTAAGATCCCTGAGATACAGAGAGAAGTACTAACTCGTTTAATAGGCTTAACCTAATACTAGTAGGTTTAATCCTGGGTTTAACTATGCGGATTTTAAAGCCCATGCTCTTCCTACAGCACCACTCTGCTTGTCTAGTTTAGCCCCATTATTTTAAAGATGTGGAAGCTGACGGCCAGAGAAGGGAAATGACTTACCTAACATTAGTCAAGCCTGGAACCAGACTCTGACCTTTAGGCTACCACGTGTCCTTCCAGCTCTGGTCCCTGGTATCTGGCTTCCCTCCAACCATCCTGCTGGTGCTCATGGAATGTCTTTTCTCTATTAGGCACTGCATGTCACTTCTTCTATTTACTCTCAGTTAGGTATTTCCTGTCACTGTGATGGGAGTCAGGATGTTTCCTGGCTAAAAAATCCTGTCTCCTTATCTATTTTAAGCTAGTATTAAGTAATACTATTTAATTCTTGGTCTTTGAAATCTTTTGTTTTATCACAGTTTCTCTACCTGAAACTCTGGTTCTTTTTAGATATGGAGAGAAATGGCACCAAAAGCACTTCTGGATACAAAGAGCAGGCACTGTATTTTGCAGTTTACAATTTTCCATTTATGATGTTCATATCAGCCCTTAAATTGTCGTCTTGGGGTTATGTAGCTATTAGGCCCAAAATACCTGTGTTTTAAACAGGCTTGGAGGGGTTAGAAACATAGTATAGGTCAGAAGTGGTAGAACTAGAACCACATGAAGGTTCTCCTGATCACAAATTCTGAATTTTAGCGAAAATGTAATTATGAGATCTAACTTACTGGTTCATTTGTTTTTCCCTGTAAGTGCTTTCCCATGTGTTGGAGTGACAGGTCTCTGCTCTGTCACTTACTAGCTTTATCACCTAGGATAAGGTATTTGCCTACCCTGAGCTTCTGCTTTGTCATCTGTAAAATGACAGTGATACCTGGTTTGCAGTGGTAATTGTAATAATAACTGTGGTATTAACAATTTATTGTGGGCTTACCATTTCATTGTGTGAGACATCCTTCTAAGCTCTTTATAGACAGGAAGGTAATCTTTTCAGTAAACCTCTGTGAGGTGAATACTTCTGTCATCCTTTTTCATTCTTTCTTTTTTTTTTTTTTTAAACAGATGATGAAACAGGCACAGTGTGGCTAAGTCACTTGCTCAGGGTCACACAGACAGTAAATATCAGGTAGTCTGGCTTCAGACCTGCATTCTAAACTGCTATACTCTACTGTCTTAGGATATAACTTTTTAGGGTTGGATGCAGATGGGAGATAATACGAATGAAGCTCCTTGCTCAGAGCCTGGCATTTAGTAAATAACAGGCTTTGTTGTTGTCTAAGAGTATGATAAATGATTTTTTTCGGCTTTCATTGAGAGTGACAGGAAGCCCCTTGGGGAGATAGTGGTGGGGGCGGCACTGTGGAGGGCAAGGGCAGGGAGGAGGGAGCCAACATTTTTTTCTGAGCTTCCTGTGATGGAACAAGCATTTGATAGAGACTCATGGTAGCTCTTTGATGGGACGGTGGTTATCCCTATTTTATAGATTGGGAAGTTCAGGCTCAGAGAGGTTTAGCAACTGCCTGAGGTCACACAGCAAGTATGTGGGAGAGCTGGGTTTTGAACCCAATTCTGTTTGATGTTTATCTTTGTGATGTAATTGGAGGCAGTTGGTGTGAGTAGTTGGAGATTCATATCTACTCCCAGGTCACTTTCATGACCACAAGGGCCTTTTTCCCTAACACAGACACTGCCTGCATGATTTAGATAATTTCCTCGTTGGCTTCTCTGACCTCTTGGGAAGAACATACAGTTGTTTTTTTTTTTTTTTTCCCAACTGAATCACCTTGGAGATACAGAAAATGTACTTTAGAATTGTTCAGTCATTATCTTAAAAAAATAGGGCGGTGGGGGTGTGTAGGATGAATTTGTATGGAAATTATGGTGACTCTTTGGAATTTATGTATGTTTATTATTGAGAGGAGCATTTCTTCTTGTTCTTCTTGAAGCTGTAAATATTGATCTGATTTTTCAAAACCAAAAATACAGTTCTTACAGAGTTGAGTCTTTTCCATTGGAAATGCCTGTTATGCTTCAGGATACAAGAGGGAAAAATGGCTGGCAAATGTATTTATTACTGATTCTCTCCATGTATAGTACAATTCAGGGAGGGGAAATGTGCTGGAGAAGAAGTCATAAATATTTATATTTTAATCCAATTTCCTTTCAAAATGTTCCCAATTGTATTGAAAAATTGCATCAAATGCATTTAATTTGACTCTAGGATGTGACAGCCGCCCAGGCAGAACTGGAAAAGGCCTTTGCAGGGACAGAGACGGAGAAGGCTCTTCGGTTGCGTTTGGAAAGCAAGCTTTCAGAGATGAAGAAGATGCACGAGGGGGACTTGGCGATGGCTCTGGTCCTGGATGAGAAAGACAGGTCTGGCTCTTGTCCCTGTCATACCCTGACATCACATTATCTGGCAGCGTGGGGAAAGAATTGTTTCCTTTTATTCTCTTTTATCCCTCCCTTCTCCCCATGTTTCCCATAGGACTTGAGTGACTAATGGGAACAAGTCCAACACAGTTAGATAGAAAACTAGGGATAAAATCAGGAGGAAGAGAAAAGGAATAGCATAGTCATATGAGGTCAGAGATTGTCTACTGATAGACATTCATGCTAAAAAGTTCCACTCAGATACTAAAGTTAGCATTTGATTTTGCCCATGAGCTTCCTGGGAGCCAAAGGAAAAAGGGTAGAGACAAGATTTACATTGCAAATGAGGTAAAACAAGCTAGTAACTCAGGAGAAGCCCAGTTTTACTTGGCACTATCAGAGGAAATTTCTCTTGTGGTTCTTCCCAAAGTGAACAGTGAGTGACTGCCCCCACAAGAAATAACAGTGAATTTCGTGTGACTTATATTCCATTATATCTTTTAATGCAGCCCAAGGCCCAAATGAGTACAGGGCAAGGTGTCAAAAATAAAACAGTGTAGACCAAATACAGAGCTCTTTGATGATCCACGATAAAATGGGTGCCTTCTAGTTTATTGGGTAGTTGATATGTCCTTTAGGCAGTCTTTAGTGCCCATCATATTTTGCAACGAAATTTTTGGTAAAAACTTGTCAGGAGAAAGTTGAGTTTATTCCTTACCATAAACCTTACATTATGATACTCTTGCCTTATTTGGCAGTCACTAAATGGAAGGTTAACTAAATATAAGTCCAACTGCTGGCTAACCTGTGACCTATCTGTTGAAGAGCCGAGCTTGTTTGGAATTTGATAGAAATTGTTCTAAAGCAAATGATCTGTTTCGGAGGATACTGACTGGCTCCTTTTTCTTGGTCATTTGGTGCCTGCCCTCTGCACTGACTAGCACTACTGTGTTGTTTAGGTGCTTGGCCTAACTGCCGGGTTCCTCAACTCTTGTCTGCTTTTACTTCTGCCTTGGTACCACCTGTGGAGATTGGAGTCTGCTGCTTGGAAAATCAGATGAGCAAATCCTAATCTTTGGGATAGGATTATCTGTAAAAGAAAAGTAAATAGACCCAGAGGGAGAGCCCATGCCTCCATGTAAGTGCCCTAGCTTCAGCATTTGGAGGTGCGAGCATTTATTTGGTGCTCTGCAATCTTTTCTTAGCTTTGATCTGGAAAATGAAAGTTTTATGATTAATAATTTCAAGGTGAGTGAGGAAACTGGGTTCCCCATGGACCTCAGTGGAATGAATATATATCATCTCAGTTTACCCATTTGACACCTTGTGTTTTTCTTGACTTCATGGCTAGGAAGAGAAACTTCCCTGGGAAGTGCCCTCCTACTGAGCCTCCCCCCAGAGTACTGGCCTTTCCAGGCATCACCCATGGAGCCACTAGACTGTGAGAATTCCACAGAATCATTTCCGTGTTCCCTTGTATCTCTCCCAACCCATCAGCAGTGAAGCCCTTAGAAGGCTTATGGGCTTGTCTTCCTGGGGGAGCTACAGGTCTGGAGCAGTTAAACTGGGAGTAGGGGACCCAGGGAATAGAGTATGTGAGCAGCCACCAAAGAAGAAAAGACTGGCAGAATTCCTGGCGCCTGTGAAGGGGAAGGAGAGGGTTTGGGATAGGTTTGAAAAGAGGTCCTGGGACAGAATGAATAGAAAAGGCCCTCTGAGGGTCCTGACAGATGCTGAGCAGTCAGTTAATTGGTTCTATTGGATCTTTATGCCTTTTATTCAAAAAATATCACCTGAGCATCTTCTACTCAGCACAGTGGTGATGAGAATGTAAGAAGGAGTGATACAGCCTGGGTTCCTCTCCCCAGGAATCTCATTGTTTGAGTTGAAGCTTATCATCCAGCAGGGTGGGAGGGGTGGAGGGAGGAGCAGGATGATAAGGGCTAAGTAGGATCAATGCTGGGTTAACATATATCTAATTCAGTTTAGAGGGATTAGGAAAAGCTTCCCGGGAGAAGTACTAGGAAGAGGAAGAATTACTTGGACAGAGAAAGGAAAGTAAAGGAACAGTGCGAGTGGAAGTCCAGAGGCAAGAAGGAACATGGCAGGATGCAGGTACAGGAGGGTGCATAGCCTGGCCTGAGTGCTGTGTTCTGGAAAGGAGTGGGGAAGAGGTGAGGAGAGGGAAGCTGGGGAGGTGACATGGACCTTATTGAAGAATTTGAGTTTTATCCTAAAGGCATACAAGAAGCCACTGAAGAGTTAAAGGTGGGGCTTCAGGGAATGACAAGATCAGATTTAAATTTAGAAAGGTCTTTCTGCCTGCCCTTGGGGAATGGATTGACACTGGGGCTGGGTAGAAGACTGGTTCTCAGGCTGATGCAGAAATCCAGGAAAGAGCTGATGGTGACCAAAGTGGAGGTGACAGAGCTGGGAATGGAGGAGAACAGGCTAGAAGGTAGAGTGGATGTGATGGGCTTGAAGGGCTTGGTGACTGACTGGATCTGGGGGATAAGGGGAAAAGCTACAGTGACACACCCTTGCCCAGGCATTTTTTTTTTTTTTTTTTTTTTTTTTAGATGGAGTCTTAACTCTGTCCTCCAGGCTAGAGTGCAGTGGCGTGATCTTGGCTTACTGCAACCTCAGCTTCCCAGGTTCAGGTGATTCTCTTACCTCAGCCTCCTGAGCAGCTGGGATTACAGTTGCCCGCCACCAAAAAAGCCTGGCTAATTTTTGTATTTTTAGTGGAGACAGCGTTTCACCATGTTGGCCAGGCTGGTCTTGAACACCTGACCTCAGGTGATTTGCCGGCCTCTCAAAGTGCTGGGATTACAGACATGAGCCACTGTGCCTGGCCCTTGCCCAGGTTTTGAACATGAGCAGCTGTGGGGTGGTGCAATTTATTGAATTTTGTTGGGGGAAAAGGAAAAAGAGGAAATGTTTTTGGGTGGAGGGAGAGGGAAGATGATACCTTCAGTTGGCACATGTTGGGTTTGAGGGCCTGTGAGCTTCAGTGAGTAGAGTCTAGGATGTGGTTGGGTGTATGAATTAAAGCTTGAATTAGAGGAAGTATAGATTCATTCCTTAACCAACTACTGAGTGTGGCCTTGGGAATGCGTGCTGGGAATGCAGGGCTGAACGTTGTCCTGCTTCTATGGTGCTCTCAGTGTGGGAGGGGATAGATGTTAAAAAAAATATATGTCGTGATTGATGCCGTGATAGAGGTGAGCCCAGGGTTCCGTGCTGTGACAAAAGCAAGGTGTGATCAGCTCTGCCTGGGCGTGGAATGGGGAGGGCTTGTCAGACAAGGAGTCCTGCGAGTTGGGTGAGGACGCTTTGCCTAGCAGAGAGAACAGCACGTAAAGGTACAGAGCCTGGCACATTTTAAGGTGATCCTAGAGGAGAGTGGTCCTGTTAGCATGTGCCACAGAAGCTTAATTGCTCATCTTTTTTTGGAAGGGGGACTTTGGGAAGGGTTAACGTGTATCAAGTACTTACTGTGTTCTAGGTGGTAGAGTCTCCATGGATGTCGGATCAGAGCTTTGCTAAAGGCGGCATCTTCCTGGGATTTCCCATAGGTCTGACTGGAGAGGCACCAAAACCCAACATGTCAGTCCTATGAATGCAGCTGTCTCTCAGGGATAGCTGTGTCCCAGGCGCACTCCCAGAGATCAGTGCAGCAGTCAGATGCCAGCTCTGGATTTTTGCTCAGGGTGTGGCCCTCTTTGTGGTGAAACCTTCCTGGGTGTGTAGGATCAGCGTGTTCCCTCCCTGAAGGCAGGCCTGCCTAGGAAGCTAAGTCAAGGTCAGATGGTTAGCAGAAAACTGGAGCCAGAGTCCTTGGTTTTGCCCTGGTGAGACGGATCCAGATCTGCGACACAGATTGACTCACTGTTGGGCAGGGCAAGGTATTGAATCTTTAGGGCCCAGGGACCCCTCACGTGGATGGACTCTGCCAATATCTTTCTGGGCTCCCACCACCCTTTTTAAAGGTGCATGCTTTAGCTACTTTATTGTCTTCAATCTGGCCTTTGAGCTGCTCTGTGTCTTTAAGGCAGTTAATACTGGGAAGTCCTGCAGATCAAATATGCCAACAGATATGATCTGTTTGGCTTACAGTATTTTTTAAAGTGTGAATTAGTTGCCAGTATGTAAAAAATTGAATTTCATGCAGAAGTCTGGATTTCCACCTTCTGTTTAAAACCTAGGAGATTGGCAGCCCTGGGTATCATCTTGCTGGATTGAGGCTACCCCTCCCCTTAGATGGGCTTGGTGCTCCAGCTTGGCCACAGGAGTCCCCACCAGGCCTGCCTACTTTTTCTTTTCTCTATGTAGAACTTGCTTTAAGGTAACTAAAAAAAAAAAAAAATTCAGTTTTATTGGTGTATAAATTACATACAACACAGTGCTTCAATTTTAAGTGTATATAGTTCGGTGACTACCTCTCCCATTGATTATGTGACGATTTCAAAGTTGAGCCCCTAGAGGGCAATCTTACACCTCTTTCCAGGTTTTCTGGGGCATTGCACTGGTGCTGCCTGGCACCTTGTCTCCTAGTGCATTGCTAGGTGCTTTAGTTACCTTTGTCTCCCTCTTTACCTTCATCCCAGGAAGCTGTGCTTCACTAGGGCAGCTCTGTCTGACTGCAAAATCTTTCTTCTTTCTCCCAAACTAAGTTGCTTTCTTGGTTTAGCTGCAGAAAGGCTATTCTGAGGGTCTTCTGACAAAATGCTAATTGTTACATGTTAAAAAAAAAAAGTAATAATTATAACAACTGTCATTTGTTGAGTTCCACCATATTCCAGGAGCAGTGCAAGATTGTTTTAAATAGCTTGTCTCTGGTCCACAATCACAAGTCACCCCTATTTTGTAGCTGAGGAGGCACAGGCTCAGAGAGATGGAATTACTTGCCATGGCCAAGGGGCAGTTGATATGGGATAATTTGGTAATTATATTGTGTTATTTGATAACACAGCCCAGAGAGGGATGTGTTCAGCTGTTCCTGAGTGGGGCACTAGGGGTGCAGGTAGCAAAGCTTCCTGGAGGGGAGCTTAATTAGCTTTGGCAGGATGAATGGGTGTTTGTCAGGTAGAGGTGGGGGTGAGGCGGGGGTAGGGTGGGGAAGGGCATTTTAGGTAGAAGGAATAGCACGAGCAAAGGTGTAGAGGCATGAAACAGTCTGGCTTCGGGAGAGAACTGAAAGTGAGGCTACTGAGTGGAGATGGAGAGGGTGATGGTTTCCCGTGAGAGATGAGACTGAAGCTGTCGGCAGGGCCCTCTGATCTGGTAGGCCCTAAGACCTAGGACCTGGAATGCCTGGGAAGGAGTTTCACCGTTTTTTATTTTTTTATTTTTTCCTTTTTTTTAAAAATTATACTTTGTTTTAGGGTACATGTGCACAACATGCAGGTTTGTTACATATGTATACATGTGCCATGTTGGTGTGCTGCACCCATTAACTTGTCATTTACATTAGGTATATCTCCTAATGCTATCCCTCCCCCCTCCCCCCACCCCACAACAGGCCCTGGTGTGTGATGTTCCCCTTCCTGTGTCCAAGTGTTCTCATTGTTCAATTCCCACCTATGAGTGAGAACACGCAGTGTTTGGTTTTCTGTCCTTGTGATAGTTTGCTGAGAATGATGGTTTCCAGCTTCATCCATGTCCCTACAAAGGACATGAATTCATCCTTTTTTATGGCTGCATAGTATTCCATGGTGTATATGTGCCACATTTTCTTAATCCAGTGTGTCATTGTTGGATATTTGGGTTGGTTTTATCTTGAAAGTCAGTGTTTTTAAACTTTGCCCTGAGAAGTCTTGGCAAGACATTCCGTTTTTTCCACACTTATCGGAACAGCTCTGCTTCATTGGTTTTGTTTGCTTAGGTTTCAGTGACATATCTTTTGGAGAGAGGATTTCTTGGCCAAAGAAATTAGTAGTCCACTGCTGTTGGTGGGGACCGTTGAAGGTATTTGAACAGGAGCACAGCTTGGCTAGAGTCCAGAAGCTCAGAGTTGAATTGACTGGAGCCAGGCTGGAGGCAGGCAGGGGACCAGTTAATGTCACACGAATTCTGACGCTTAATCTCCTACCTGCAAAATGTGATTCTGTTTGTGTTCAGCCATTGTATATGTCTACTTTGAAGATATCTGGCCCCATTTCCTTCCTCCTCCAGCTCCACTGAGCTAAGAGAACAGCTTAGAATTAATATTTAAATTTTGTTCTCTTTTAGACTGATTGAGGAGTTGAAGCTGTCTTTGAAGAGCAAAGAAGCTTTAATTCAGTGCCTTAAAGAGGAGAAATCTCAGATGGCATGTCCTGATGAGAATGTGTCATCTGGAGAGCTCCGAGGACTTTGTGCTGCTCCAAGGGAAGAAAAGGAGAGAGAAACTGAGGTGAGGTGACAGGACATGAAGAGGGGGCTTTAATTAGCCAACCAGACTCCTCTGTGGGAGATGGAATGCGCATTCGGTCCTCATGGTTCACACACAGCCTGCTTCTAAATATGAGTCCCCTGTCAGCTGAGGAGTGAGCAGAAACTGCCTTTGTCAGGGGCCCTGGCATTCTTTTTCCTTCTTAGTCTCCTGTTCCTATAAAGAGTTGCTTAAAGAAAACCAGTCCCTACCTGCTTACCTCTGTTTTACCATGTGTTGATTTGTTGTTACCTGGGGACTTTATTTTCATCCTTTGGGTTTTCTTAGGATACAGTTGTGGTGCATTGTTTTCCATCTTGCCTTTTTGGTTAGAAGTAGGTGTGAGGCCAACTTTGGTCTGCAACTTGAGAGGTAGGGTGGGAAGAGGACTAACTCGTATCGGGCTTAGCAGTATGGGAGGGGTTCAGTATACCATCTCGTTCAATCCTCCCAGCCACCTGGCAAGGTAGAGCTCATGGTCTCCTTGTCACGTTTAGAAACGGGCTCAGGCTCAGAGGAATTGTTACATTTTTCCAGGTTCCAAGAGATGGGTTGCTAGTAGCTGACCCCAAAGCCTCCCTGGACTCCTGCCCCCGCCCTAGGCGGCCTCCCCAGCAAGCTCTTTTGAAGAGGTTGGGCAGGCCAGGGAAGTGCAGGTAGGTCTTAGTCCAGGCCTTCCATTCTTGTTGGAGTAGCTGCTGCATGTCGTATGTTCACATTGGGGATGTTCTGGTTGTTCACAGAAAGTCTTGGTTTCTTCATGGAGCAGGGCCTGTGCTCCTACCACAGCAGTGGATGCTGTGGCCTTGCCAGTTCGTTTTCATCTGTAATCCACAGTTGTCTCCTGTCCCTCCTCTTAACTCTCTTGCCCACTTCCGCCACACGGCCCTCTAGTAGGCCTTTGTCTTGTTAAGCAGCACTGTGGTTTACTCTCTGTGGGGCTGGTGATCAACCAGGGTAGGTTGTTGTCTTCACATTTTTCTTCATTCAAATCAGGCAGGGCTTTGGGTGGGGTGGAGAGAGGGAGGGGACACTTGTTTTAACGAGTTCCACAGTAGTGGGGGAAGGTGAGTAAGCGACAAGGACGTGCTCATTCTAATTGTTCTGGAGAAGCTGTTGGATTGCACGTCCCTTCTTCACACCAATTAATGCCTTTTCTTAGGCTGCACAAATGGAGCATCAGAAGGAGAGAAACAGCTTTGAAGAGAGGATCCAGGTATGTTGATACAATTTTAAAAAATGTATTGAAGATTTAGCCTATTCTTGCCTCTTGTTTTATTCTGAGTGCAGCAGATAATTCTGTGTCACAGTAGCTGTCACTCATTGAATGCTACTGTATGCCAGTCAAGCATAAGGTACTCTAGAAAGGGTTTCTTAATCTTTGCAATAACTCTGTGAAGTAGGCATTCCCATTTTACAGATGTGGTACCTGAGGCCCAGAGAGGTGAGGTCACTTGCCTAAGAGCACATAGCTAGGAAGAGATAGAGCAAAGATTTGGACCTGCCCATGTGCCATGGTTCCTCTGTCACAGCAGGAGGCATTTGTGTGGTGCCTGCCAGCTTAGAAAGTGCTTTCACATCCATTATCCTGTTTGATCCTCACAACAGCCCGGAAGAGAGGTGGTGATGATTATCTTTAGAATGAACTCAGACTATAAATGTATAGTTCAGTCTCCATGAGAAGGAATGAAATTAATGATCTGTTATTTCTCCCAAATAACCTGGTATGGTTTCAAAGACTCTGACTGACTGTATTCAAATTCCATAAGGCATTGGAATCCTTCCCATAGGAATAGCTGTCATCGTCTCAACTGATTTGATCCCCTTCCCCTTCACCCAGCCCTGTTGCCGGGAGCGGTAACACAGTAACTTGGAGCTGATGGCACTATGTTCAGCTCCACTTGGAAACATTAATCACAGGTTGACAGGAATAAGATAGAATAACTGCATTTGAGTGTGCTCTTAAAGATATATTTATGGTGCATTTTGGTTGGAACGCATCAACTTAGTGAATCTTTTTCTAATCTAATTTAGGCACTTGAAGAGGACCTGAGAGAGAAGGAAAGAGAAATTGCTACAGAGAAGAAAAATAGTCTAAAGAGGGATAAAGCCATTCAGGGTTTAACCATGGCATTAAAATCAAAGGAAAAAAAGGTATGTCTGATACACTTGAAGTAAGATTTTTCTTTATTAGCTTCTATGACTGGCCTGTCCTACCCTGAATTTTTAGCTTCAGATAAAAAGTTTATAAGAGAGCTGAGGTAGTATAGAAAGTGGGGAAATGATCCTCTAGTCAACCGGAAATTCTTTTGGAGTGTCTAATCCAGTGCTGTCCAATAGAAATATCATATGGGTTACCTATGTGATTTAAAACTTTCTAGTGGCCACATTAAAAGAAGTAAAAAGAAACAAGTGAAATTAATTTTAATTATATATATATCCCCCCCCAAAACATAATCATTTCATCATATAATCAGTAAAAATATTGAGATAGTCAACACTTTTTTTTTTCAGAACTAAGCATTTGAAGTTCAGATGTGTTTACAGCACACCTCAATTCAGGCTAACCACATTTCACATGCCAAGAGCCACATGTGGGTAGTGACTGCCGCATTGGACAATGCAGGTCTAATCTTTTGAAGGATAACAGAAAATTGAGATAAAGGAGTTTTGGGAAGCAAGGCCATGACTGTGAGCCAGTTAAAGAGCTGCCTGAGTGTTGCGTTTGTAATCCAAGGTGGTAGCTGATGGTTGCCTTTGTGATCCAAGGTGGTAGCTGATGGTTCTGTGCTGTTTTCTTGTCCTTACTATGGCAACCTATTGTGTCCTAGTAGCTATGCAAGGAACAGACAGAGAAGAAAACCCAGCTCTGCTTGCAAGTCTATTGGGGAAGAAAGAGTGTTGAGGGTTGTGATTGAGGGAAGTGTAGGGAGCTGGGGAGGCAGAGGGAAGGGGACCTGATCCAGATTAGGTGTGGATATTGCATGTGGGGTGCAGTGCTTAGAGGAGAAGGTGCCTGAGCTGCATCTGAAAGGATAAGTAGGAGTTAGTTGGGAAGGAAGGCAGGGACGGGGATGCCATTATGGACAAAGGGAGAACATTGGTCAAGGTGTTTAGTTAGGAGAGACCCCATATGCACCACAGACAGTTTGGAGTTGTCAGAGCACAAAGTGTAAAACTTAAAGGAGGCGAGAGAAGAAGGTGAAGCTTCTTCAAGTGGCCAGCCGGTGGGGGTTGGGGAAACTAATCATATTGAGCTGCTTAAGTGGCACTTAAGGACACTGAAAACTCTTAAGCATATTTTCATTTTGGAGAGGTCTCTGGCTCTATCTGGAGAGTGAATTGCAGGAGGGAGAGAATGGAGGCTGGGAGACCAGTAGCCTCAGTGAGAGCCAAGAAAGGGTGAATTAGAGCAGTGGGCACAGCAAGTAGGAATGGAGGGGGAGGGGCTTATTTAAGAAATAAGGTTCAAAGTAATTAGAAATAAGGTTGGGAAAATTTGAGGATTAGATGTAGGACTTCAGAGAAGCATAGTGAAGGAAGACTTCTAGGTGTCTGGCTTGCATGACTAGAGGTATGGTGGTGCCACTGACTCAGTTCAAAGCGTGGATAGTGGAGGTTGATGGCAAGATCTGGGACAGTGGTAGATGTGATGAATCTGTTTAAAAAGTGGTGACTTTGAGGAGCCCGTGGACCATCCAGATGAGATGTCCAGGAGGCAGATGACATGCATGCCTAAAGTTTGGAGAGAGCTCAGTCCTGAAGAGGTCAATCTAGGACTCCCTGTTTATAGGTGTGAGTTAAGAGTCTGAGAGTTGACCTACTTATCTAAGGAGAGTATAGAATGGGAAAGAAGAAGGTTGATGATGGGACTGCAGAGGACATCAGAATTTCAGGGATAAGGAGAGGAATGCACAAAGGGGACAGAAGGAATAGTTGCAGAAGTAGGACACTAACGAGGAAACTGGGGGTGTTGCTAAGGAGTTTGAATGATCACCACTGTCAGATGCAGCAGAGATTTGCCTCCTAGTGATAGTAGTCACTTTGGGCATGGTGGCTTACGCCTTTTATCCCAACACTTTGGGAGGCTGAGGTCGGAGGATCGCTTGAGGCCAGGAATTTGAGACCAGCCTGGGCAACAAGGTGAGAGTGTGTCTCTAATAAAAATACAAAAAAGTAGCTGGATATGGTGGCGTGCGCCTGTGGTCCCAGCTACTTGGGAGGCTGAGGTGGGAGGCTTGCTTGAGCGTGGGGAGTTGAGGCTGCAGTGAGCTGTTATCAGCCACTGCACTCTAGCCTGGGTGACAGAGCAAGACCCCGTCTCAAAGGAAAAAAAAAAAGTCAACATTGTATCACATGTGGGGGAGTTCTAGGTCCAACCGAGATCGGAGCCCTTCAGTGTGTCAGGACACTGGTGTCAGAGCTGCTCTGGGTGCTGGCAAAGTCCAGGGTGTGGCCATGGTTGTTCATGGCCAACTCCGGGGTATAGGAGAAAGTCACTGGAGGCTGAGGAATTTGGGGAATACCCAGGCTAGGTGTTGGGTAGGTCATCTATATGGACAGTAATAATTGTAACAGTATGACCAAGGCATTATTTTAGCACTGATGCACATTACCTCATTTAACCTTAACAACACAATAGCTGGGTGAGCGGTGGTATCCTCATTTTACAGTTGAGGAAATGGAGTCTCAAAGATGTTAAGTACCTTGCCTGAAGTCATCCAGCTAGTAAACGGCTAAACTGGAAATCCCACTCGAATCTCTTCTGACTACAAAGCCCTTGATTATAAGCACGACACAATTGAGCAGGAAAAGCATGTGGGCTGTGCAGAGAGGAGAGCCCAGTTACATACTTGGCTGGTATTCATTATTTTTCCCCAGGTTGAAGAACTTAACTCTGAAATTGAAAAGCTCAGTGCTGCCTTTGCTAAAGCCAGAGAGGCCCTACAGAAAGCACAGACCCAGGAATTTCAGGTAAGTGTACACTTGGCTTAAGTGGCTGTCTCTTTGATCCTGACCCCTGGTGAGGTGAGGACTTTGCAGCTGAAAGAACTTGGGTGATTTTAATAAGGAAAACTGTGGGTGGTCTTCAGTGATAGAATTTGCTAGTCTAATTAAAGGGAAATTCTCTACCAGATTTGGGAGCTTTTCCAGCCCCCTCCTCAATATGATAATGATAAATACCTCCACAGTTAGGAGTGCTGAGTGTGCTCTGTGCTAAGTAATAATGCAAGATATGTGGATTATCTCATTTAATCTTCACCAGCCTGTGGGAAAGGTAGTCATCATCCCTCTTGTGTTTTTAAATTTTTTTTTTTTTTTAAGACAGAGTCCCCCTCTGTCGCTGAGGCTTGAGTGCAGTGATGCAATCTCTGCTCACTGCAACCTCCGCCTCCTGGGTTCAGGCAATTTTCCTGCATCAGCATCCTGAGTAGCTGGCATTACAGCCCACCACCACGCCTGGCTAATTTTTGTATTTTTACTTGAGCCGGGGTTTCACCATGTTGGCCAGGCTGGTCTCGAACTCCTAACCTCAAGTGATTCACCCACCTTGGCCTTCCAAAGTGCTGGAATTACAGGAGTTAACCACTGCGCCCGGCCGTATTTGTGAGGTTTTGAGGCTCAGGAGCATGTGTAGCTTATTCACTGTCACACAGTTAGCAAGTGGCAGAGCCAAAATTTTAGTGTGGTAATTGCTAATAATAGCAAGAGACATTTATTGAACACATACTATGTGCCAAGGCCTGCTAAGTGCTCCCCATAGATTATCTCAGTTAACTGAACAGCAGCTCTATGAAGTAAGTACTATTAATATCCTTTTTTTTAAACTGCTGAGGAAATCCAAGTTAAGTTTCTAGTAGCTTGCACAGGTTCCCAAAACTGGTAAGTAATAGAGCTAAGATTTGACTCCAGAGCCAATCTGACTCCAAAGACTGTGCTTTTACTGTCATCCCGTATCTCCCTTACCTGGCTGCTTTGGTCCCAGCTGCTCCTCTCCAGGTTTCTTTTCCAGACCTTGATGTTTTTGACCTGCCTTCTCCTCCCTCCGTCCCCCAATGTTGTACTACAAGGACTCCTGATGGTCAGCCCCTCTTTCTTCCTCATTTTAATTTCGTGTTTTAAATTATTTTAACATGTTTCTTATCATGTTTCTAGTTTTCTTATACAGCTTATACCTATCACTAAATAACTTAATAAATCAATACAGTTTTATCATCAAAGTAAGTCCATACTGCCTAAAGCTTCCTCCTCCCACCTCTTGCACTGATGTTGCTTTTGGTTGTAACGTAGAAGTTAGAAGTTAAATCTGATTTAAGACTGTTTGATTCCCAAGATTCATATCCCATGACTTATCTTTTGCAGAGCCTTTAGTTAACAATAAGAATAATTGAAGTAATTTGGTTTAAATCATGGTACGCTAGGAACATAGACAAATCTTTGCTTTTGGAATCTCAGACTTGCCTTCTCTTACTGTTTTGACAGTGGTTGATGAAATGGAGCTAAGATTACACTTTAGACTGTTTCTCTTTTTCCTTGCCTAGAAAATAACAAGCTTCAGAAGCTGAATTCTTAGGAAAATTATGTTTTCCATTGCTTGGGTAAAAATCTGTTGGCTGCTGATAGCCAGAGAGACCGGCATAAACATTGTGATATTTTACTTGTTATGACGGGTCTTAAAGGAAAGAAAGGAATCTTATACATTTAAATGTTACCCAGATGTATTATATACATTTAACTTAATAACCCCAGTCTTAGTCAAAAGACTTTAAGAATGAGTTTTGAGGTCTTACAATGTACAGTGTTGGTCAAGTTTCTTATCTTGCAGCACACAGAGATCAGGAACTGTTGTAACTCTTCAGGTTATACATGTCAGGTTGGCTTTTCAGAGGACCCTCATTTAATCCTTGCCCGAGGAGGTAGCAGATTTACAAACCAGCGAGTTTTTGCAGGACTTGAACTCAAGTCTGTCTTCAAAGCCTATGCTCTTTCCACTCCTCTGATTGTGTGTGAGTAAATGCACACAATACACCTATATCGGCTATCTCACTGTGAGGTATACATAGTTTGAATGGTGCACAGATACTTGTAAATGCATTTTTTCCCCATGTATTGGGGTCTTTTTGCCAATTGCAGCATGAGTTAAATAGCCAGTGTTCACAGGGTTGGCATCAAGCCTGACACTGAAGCAACAGCAGGTGATATTTAAACTCTTGAAGTGATTGCCAAAGTTCAGAAGCACAGAGGTGTGAATTCTAATCACTGGTTTCACTGTGAAGGTGATAGTGTGGGCTGGCTGCTGCTACCTCCATACTCATTTTAAAAAAAACTTTCAAATTGGAAATGGCATCCTCCCAGCTATTAAAGTAAAAATGCACATTGTAGGAAATTTATAAAGTACTTAAAGTAGTAGTGAGAGGTTGATAGAAATCATCAGTAAACTCACCTCTTGCCTTGACTCTGTACCTTGACTGTAATGCATATTTATGCATATATACATATATACTTTAAAAAATTAAATAGGATCATAATATGTATTTTGTTCCATGACCATTTTTTAAGATTTAACATTCTTGCCATGGCAGTATATGTAGACCTACCAAGTCTTTTATATTTTAATTTTTATTTTGAGATAATTGTGGATTTACATATACATCCTTTATATTCTTTACCCAGTTGTCCCAAAGGTAACATCTTGCATAATTGTGATGTAATATCACTGCCAGGTCATTGACATCAGTGCAGTCCTTTGACCTTATTCAGATTTTTAGCAGTTGACATGCATTTATTTGTTTATGTATGGGGGTGTGTGCATATTTAGCTCTGTGCTGCTCAATCTTTTTAAACAACTGAGTATAGTCCATTATATGGAGGTAACATATTATTTTTACTGGGAAGAACATGGAGTGGGACATGGATTTGAATCTTGACTCTGCTCTTGTTAACTGTATTAGTACATTCTCATGCTGCTAATAAAGACATACCCGAGACTGGGAATTTACAAAGAAAAAGGTTTAGGCCAGGTGCGGTGGCTCGTGCCTGTAATCCCAGCACTTTGGGAGGCCGAGGCAGGTGGATCACGAGGTCAGGAGATCGAGACCATTCTGGCTAACATGGCGAAACCCAGTATCTACTAAAAATACAAAAAATTAGCCAGGTGTGGTGGTGGGCGCCTGTAGTCCCAGCTACTCGGGAGGCTGAGGCAGGAGAATGGTGTGAACCCGGGAGGCGGAGCTTGCAGTGAGCCGAGATCGCGCCACTGCACTCCAGCCTGGGCAACAGAGCGAGACTGTCTCAAAAAAAAAAAAAAAAAAAAAGAAAAAGAGGTTTAATGGACTCACAATTCTTTATGGCTGGGGAGGCCTCACAATCATGGCGGAAGGCAAAGGAGGAGCAAAGACGCATGTTACATGACACAGGCAAGAGAGCATGTGCAGGGGAACTGCCCTTTATAAGACCATCAGAACTTGTGAGACTTATTCACTGTCATGAGAACAGCATGGGAAAAACCTGCCCCCATGATTCAGTTACCTCCCACCCGGTCCCTCCCATGACATGTGGGGATTTTGGGAGCTACAATTCAGGATGAGATTGGGGTGGGGACACAGCCAAACCATATCACTAACTGTAACCTTGGGCAAGATATTTGAGCTCTTCCAGCCTGTTTGTGCGTTGCAAAATCTAGATAATCACCCAAGGTTTAAATAAGAAAGTGTACCTGGGCACAGTAAGTGTTGTTAGCTCACCCTTAAATTAGGTGGTATTTGGACAAAAACAGAGTACTTTGGTCTGTTTTTCAAATTCTTGGTTAATAGTGTTATTGTATATAGCTTTTGGTTTGTGGAACCTCTGTTATTTTTTGATTGGGAATGAAAGATAATGGAGTAGGTAAAGGAAAAGTAGAGCTAGATTTATTTATGTTGTACCCACTGAAATGGCACTTTATGTATCATATGATATATATGAGATACATCTCATGATATATCTCATATGATACATGAGATACAGCTCATATGAGATATATGATATATGAGATACAGCTCATATGAGATATATGATATATGAGATACAGTTCATATGAGATATATATGAGATATAGCTCATATGAGATATATATGAGATACAGCTCATATGAGATATATATGAGATATATCTCATGAGATATATGAGATATATCTCATGAGATATCTGAGATATATCTCATGAGATATGAGATATCACATGATACATATATGATATATCATGATATATGAGATGTATCGTGTGATATATCTCATATGATATGTGATATATGAGAGAGAGATATATATATATTTTTTGAGACAGAGTCTTGCTCTGTCGTCCAGACTGGAGTGCAGTGGCGCAATCTTGGCTTACTGCAACCTCTGCCTCCTGGGTTCAAGCAATTCTCCTGTCTCAGGCTCCTGGGTAGCTGGGACTACAGGCACATGCCACCATGCCCGGATAATTTTTGTATTTTTGGTAGAGATGGGGGTTTCACCATATTGGTCAGCCTGGTCTTGAACTCCTGACTTCAGGTGATCCACCCACTTCAGCCTCCCAAAGTGCTGGGATTACAGGAGTGAGCCATCACGCCCAGCCTGAGTATCATATTTAATCTTCACAATGACCATATGAAAATAGAGACCATTCCTCCCAAAGTGTTGGGATTACAGGCAGCGAGCCACTGTGCCTGACGAAGGATGTGTTTCTTGATATGAGTGTATTCAGTTTGTGAACATTTGTTGAGCTATACACTGATGATTTGTGTACCTTTCTGTATATATGCTATTTTTAGTAGAATGCTGGTAAACCAGCTTTCAGAAAAAAAGAAGGAAAAAATAATAATTTAAAAAATAGAGGCCATTACTTCCCATTTCACAGATGTGTATATATTTGATAATCATATGTATTTTCTTTAGTTAACTGTGTATTAACGAAATACCACATATTCTTGACTTATTTTGCCCATGGACTTTGCTGAAATTACAGTCTCTCAGGCTGGCCATTGAACTAGCATGCTGACCACCTTTTTTTTTTTTCTCCAAATGAATCTGGGTTTGAGCCATTCTGATGTGGATGAACATTGTAAGTGCTTAGATATATCTCTACTTTTTGTCAACCTAAATAACAGAGAGAATCTCTCAAAAAGAAAATGATACTTATTCAGGACTAGGACATGGCAGTGGGAATACATGTGCCATAGCTATGTGCATATTCAGGGAGGTTAAGGAAGACAAAGATTTTTAAAGAAAAATGAGAATTACATAACAGTATTGAGATACTTGTCCTTGGCTGCAAGTATCAATAACAAGGATGACACCAGTCGTAGGTTGGATGGGCAGTTGCTGGGCAGATGTCCTTGTGGAAGTATTTTTTGTGTAGGATTGCGGTGGCCTTTGTGCAAGGTTGTGGTTTTTACAGAGTCTTTTGTGATAGTTTTTGTTCTGAGGCATTTATGCCTGAGTAATCTGTCTTCATATACCCGAATCTATTTGTCAAGGTTGTTTTGTTTTGGTTTTATTTTTATTTTTTTAAAGACAAATGAGTCCATTCTGATTCTGACAACTTTCACATTTTCAAATGAAGGTCTTCATTTTCTACCATTCAAAAATGACTTAAATTGTTTTTTAAACCATTATTAAAGTAACATGCTCACTTACCTTAGAACATTTGAAAATACAGAGTTATGACAAAAAAAAGTAACTATAGTCCCACCCAACTAAAGACAGTTACTGTGAAAATTTGTGCTTTTCTTTCTTTTTTCTTTTTTTCTTTTTTTTTTTTTGAGACGGAGTCTCGCTCTGTCACCCAGGCTGGAGTGCAGTGGTACGATCTCGGCTCACTGCAACCTCCGCCTCCGGGTTCATGCAGTTCTCTGCCTCAGCCTTCCCGAGTAGCTGGGACTACAGGCACCCACCTCCACGCCTGGCTAATTTTTGTATTTTTAGTAGAGACGGGGTTTCACCGTGTTGGCCAGGCTAGTCTTGAACTCCTGACCTCATGATCCATCTGCCTCAGCCTCCCAAAGTGCTGGGATTACAGGTGTGAGCCACTGTGCCCAGCTGAGAATTTGTGCTTTTTTTCTGGTCCTTTAAGAAAATACTTCTTTCATACAACCATCCACATCATAAGAAACATTATCTTATGTTATTCCAAAATCTTCCTATTATTTTTGCTTTGGTTTCTGAATGTTGTCTATGTTAATCTTTTTCTTTTCTTTTTTTCCCCCACGGCGAAAAAGAGCCCAGGTTTCTTGGTTTGTTTCATGAGGTATGAAAATTAGCTCATCTTGCTTCTCTGCCTTCTCTTCTAGGGGTCTGAAGACTATGAGACTGCTCTATCAGGAAAGGAAGCCCTTTCGGCTGCGCTGCGCTCACAAAACCTCACCAAGAGTACAGAGAACCACAGACTGCGTAGAAGCATTAAGAAGATCACCCAGGAGCTGAGTGACTTGCAGCAGGAGAGGGAGAGACTGGAGAAGGACCTGGAGGAAGCCCATCGAGAGAAGAGCAAAGGAGACTGCACCATCCGTGTGAGTACCGCCCTGCCCTTCTGACACAGTGGACAGTGCTTTTGGGGCTATGTGGCTGTGTCTGGTTGTAGGGTGATATTCAGTACAGAAGACTTAAGAAAATATTTCACTTATTATCTCAGTACCTAGAAATGACCAGCTTCATTTGATCTATTTGGTATTTCAGTCCTTTTATTCTCCTCGCTCTCTCTCTCTCTCTCTCTCTCTCTCTCTCTCACACACACACACACACACACACACACACACACACACACACACACAGAGTTGTTATCGAGTTGAAAATACAGTTTTGTATCGTGCTTTTTTAAGTTTAATGTTCTCTCTCTGGTTTGTTGCCATGTCATGAATGTTCTTCAAAAACAATTTTTTTTGTGCCAGCATAATATTTCATCACTTGGATGTATTACAGTTTATTTAACTAGTTCTTTTTTGAACGGCATTTAGATTATTTTACTTTTTTTTTGCCTTATGACTTCTGCAGCAAACATCCTTGTACATAAATATTTATCCACTGATTCTTTGTTGTTTTTTTTGAGACAGGGTCTCACTCTGTTTCCTGGGCTGTTCCTGAACTCCTGGGCTCAAGTGATCCTCCCACCTCAGTTTCTTGAGTAGCTGGGATTATAGGCACATGCCACCATGCCCACCTCACTGATTGTTCCTGATAGAGGTATAATAACTGGGCCAAAGAGTATGAATATTTTAAGGACTGTTGTATAGATATATTCAAATTGTTCTGCAGAAAGATTATATCAGGTTTCTCTAGGTGATCTTTTTTATGACTGTACTCTATTTAGCATTGGGTATTAGCATTTAAAAATCCTCTCTGAATTTGGTAGACTTATTAAATTTCAATTATACTTAAATATTCAGTGTCTTTTAATTTAATCCCTCCTGAGAGTCACATCCAGATACGTAGCCTTGTTGCAATCAGGTAGGATTGGGGTCTGGGTCTGAGTGATCATTGCCATGAAGGTTAATTGAATTGTCTGCCTGAGATCCTGGGCCAGGCAGTCATTAGAGTAGAGGACTCAAAAGAGTACCAGTGGTTAGTTCTCTGGTGGCTGCTGCTGATAGGGACACCAGGATCCGGAAGGTGAAATCCCAGTGTTAACACTGAAGAAAGAATTGAAATGCAAATGTTTGTATATTTTAATAAAATTTTAACAAACATTAATGGATCAATAAAGAAAACCTAGAAAAACTAGAAAATGGTAGCTATAATTCCACTACCCTAGCAAAGTAACTCTTACTGATTTTCTGTACTATCGTTCAGTCCTGATGCCCCTGGGCTCCTGGTCTAATCAGAGGCTAAATACTGTTCTGTCTTTGATCACTTAGTCTGTCATAGGCACCATCTCATGGTGTAGGCTCCAGAACGATCATGTTGAATTATGATGCATACCCTTTCACTGAATAGATTTCACATGATTTACTTAATAATCTCCTTTGTTGGACATTTTGGCTATTTAAATAATGACACAATGAACATCTTTTGACATAAGGATATTTTCTCTTGAAATCCCTAGGATAGATCCTGAGGAGTGAGATTACTGGGTCAGATAGTGCCTATGTATATATGTACATACATATTTTTTGGGACAGAGTTTCACAGTGTTGCCTAGACTGGAGTGCGGTGGCATGCTCATAACTCACTGCAGCCTCAAATTCCTGGGCTCAAGGGATCCTACTGCCTCACCCTCCTGTGTAGCTGGGACTTTGGGTGGATGCCAACATGCCCAGCTAATTTAATTTTTATTTTTTGTGGAGACAGGGTCTGGCTGTGTTGCCCAGGCTGGTCTCAAATTCCTGGTCTCCAGTGATCTTCACATCTTGGCCTCTGAAAGTGCTGGGATTACAGGTGTGAGACACTGCACCTAGCCAAAATTTTTTATTTTTTATTTTTTATTATTATACTTTAAGTTTTAGGGTACATGTGCACAATGTGCAGGTTTGTTACATATGTATACATGTGCCATGTTGGTGTACTGTACCCATTAACTTGTCATTTAGCATTAGGTATATCTCCTAATGCTGTCCCTCCCCCCTCCCCCCACCCCACAACAGTCCCCGGAGTGTGATGTTCCCCTTCCTGTGTCCATGTGTTCTCGCTATTCAATTCCCACCTATCAGTGAGAACATCTGGTGTTTGGTTTTTTGTCCTTGCAATAGTTTGCTGAGAATGATGATTTCCAGTTTCATCCATGTATCTACAAAGCACATGAACTCATCCTTTTTTATGGCTGCATAGTATTCCATGGTGTATATGTGCCACATTTTCTTAATCCAGTCTATCATTGTTGGACATTTGGGTTGGTTCCAAGTCTTTGCTGTTGTGAATAGTGCCGAAATAAACATACGTGTGCATGTGTCTTTATAGCAGCATGATTTATAGTCCTTTGGGTATATACCCAGTAATGGGATTGCTGGGTCAAATGGTATTTCTAGTTCTAGATCCCTGAGGAATCGCCACACTGACTGCCACAATGGTTGAACTAGTTTACAGTCCCAACAGTGTAAAAGTGTTCCTATTTCTCCACATCCTCTCCAGCACCTGTTGTTTCCTGACTTTTTAATGATCGCCATTCTAACTGGTGTGAGGTGGTATCTCATTGTGGTTTTGATTTGCATTTATCTGATGGCCAGTGATGATGAGCATTTTTTCATGTGTTTTTTGGCTGCATAAATGTCTTCTTTTGAGAAGTGTCTGTTCATATCCTTCGCCCACTTTTTGATGGGGTTGGCACCTGGCCAATATTTTATACTGGTTAATTATGTTGCCAAATTGTTTGTCCAAAAGGCTGGCCCATTTTATGCTGCCACCAGCAATGTTAGAGTGCACTAGTTTATTGCATGTTATTAAAAGACCTGTTTCTCATCTTTATTCAGTGTTATTGAACACAAAATGTATCTGGTTTAGATACTGATGGAATTACAATACGTAACTCCTGAAAGTTTTATTTTTCTAAGGGAGATGAAAATGTTATACAAGACAAAATGCAAAACAATTTAAAATCCACAGTTAATTAATATAACCTGTACTCAATGCAAAAGATCCTGTGTGATGTGGTAGTCAGGGAAATCTTCTAAGAGGGGCTGACACTTGAGAATGAAAGGGGTGAGATTTGAGTAGTGTGACTTTATATAGATGAGGTAAAGAAAAGGCTGGCCAGAGGGTCCATTTATAGAGCTGCATGTTTCATAGTCAATTCTTGTATCTTTCACTATTAGATGACCTTTTTTTTTAGTTTAAAACAATTATCCCTCATCCCTTACTGCCATTATAATGTTTGTTTGGTAAAATTTGGATGGCCGAGGATGAGGGGGTGATACACACACACACTCTGTCTCTCTCTCTCTCTCTCTGTCTCTCTCGATAATATATAATATGTAGTTTTTTTATATCATAACTTAGTCTTTGTAATCATTTGAAATTGCTGTATAACATTACATCAAGCGTATATACTGTAATTTTCTTAGGTATACCTCTGTTGTTAGACATTATTTGTTGGTTTCATAATTTACTTATTCATGTAAACTCTGGTGCTTCTAGAAGAATTTTGGGCTGCTGTGGATAAAAAGATGTATTGCTACATAACATGTATACGTCTTCATATGGAGGTATTTGGGAAGGAGTGGAAGGGGACTATGATGGCAATAGGGCAGGGATTGGGGTGAGTATACTATGGGTAGGACTTTCTTGTGAGTGGTAGAAACCTAGCTTGAACTAAGTTTGGCAGAAAGGGAACTTGATTGCCTTGTGTAACTAAACTGCTGGAAGGACGGGGCACTGGAACACTACCAGGAGCAGACTCTCTCTCTGAGAGCTGGCTTCTTTTTCTTGCATCCATACTACAGTTCCAAGTGGCTGGACTCATTGCCAGCCACGCTGGGATCACATCTTCCCGATTTACTGCAGAAGAGGAAGAAGAACTCCCACACTTTGCTGCCCTGGCTGGTTTCTTGTCAGGATGGCCAGACGGGTGATGTACTGAGAATCCCAATTTGGGTCACATGCTTATTGTGCCTTGGCAGAAGGGTGTGTGTGTGTGTGCGTGTGTATAACATCATTGGCAGCCTCCCTAGAACCACATGTTTGGAAGGGGATGAGCGGGTACCCAGAAAAAGTGGTATTTTGTTTCAGGGCACTGGGCAGACCAAAAGCAGCTGTATACTCTAAGTGCTGTCCTCAGGTGAACATGCCAGTGACTCAGGCTTCCTGGCATCTCATCGTGACTACCTTTACACATCAAGTTACATACATGTTTCCAACAAGATGATTTGGCCGTGGTTTCCTTTTTTTGCACAGATGTTGCATCACAGTTGTATCTCTAGTTAACTTTTGCTTATAGTCTATGAATTTGATGTGTCCATCTCACATGACTGTTTTATACCAGGTCTTGGAAGTACTGGCTTACTCAGAGCCTGAGGAAACATGGTGGGGTGGTGTCTTTGCATTATGGTGCTAGGATAAATGTACAGGTGGAGCATAACACACTAGCCTTGCATAGCTTACCAGCTTGTTTCTGGTAACTAGGCTCCTTATTTAACTGGAGTGCCTCCTACTCACCAGCTGCTACAGGTGTTGCTTTTGGATTGAAACAGACAGAAAAACCTAGACCTTTTAGTGGTCTCTGTTTCTGTCCTGGCAAAAGAAAGGAATCCATTCATACATTCAGCAACATTGAACACTTTGTGCAAGCCCTCTACTAGACAAGGAGAAAATTCCATAATAGAGACATGAAGAAACAACCACAGGAGCACAGAGAAAGGAAGTGGCTTGCAGGACCAGAGCAGGCTCCTGGGGAAAGTAACTTTTGAACTGGTTCTGAAGTTTGAGCTAGAGGTTAATAGATAGGCAAGGGAGAGGAAGGTTTTGTATAGAAGGCTAAGGTTTAGAGGTGGGAGAGGGTATGGTGATTTTGGGGAAGAAGAGTTTGGGGCTGCAGTAAAGGGTGGTTCCTCTAGGGATGTGTCAGGAGATTAACCCGAGAGAAGTTGGCTTGTGGAGAGCCTTGGATGCAGTTTGGGAGCCTGGACTTGAGGTGTAGGCAGGGGGCCCCTGGTGGGGTAGGGTTGGCTATGCCAGTCAGAGGATTG
This sequence comes from Homo sapiens, assembly GCF_000001405.40. NCBI lineage: Eukaryota > Metazoa > Chordata > Mammalia > Primates > Hominidae > Homo > Homo sapiens. The sequence continues at coordinate 120,513,326 of NC_000009.12, read as the reverse complement.
ACAGGATCAGATTTGCAGTTTAGAAAGACTAGTCTGATGGATGTCTAGAGGATGGATTGCTGAGGGAAAGCCAGGAAACAAGATGGGAAAAGGCTTTTCCTTAACATGTAAGTCAGGCTCTGAGAGGTCAGGGTTATAGGGGAAAAAGAAAAGGAACCTGTTTCTCTGTAATGGGGATGCTCAGGTGTAGCTTCTGGGGCTTGACTTGGTGCGTATTCAATGCTTCATCCACGAGGACTCTAGGATGTTCAGCTTTGGGTCCCTCTCATGTTTACTCAAATTTTGCTGCATCCCACAGGTAGGATAAAGAAAACGTTGGTAAGAACAATGTCCAAAATACAGGTCTTGTTCTCAATTCACATTCAGCTCAATCCTCATTGTCCTCTTTGGTAATGAAAACTGCTATTCAGAGTGGTAGAAATAAAGCAGGTATGATCCTCAGGTGTAGATTGTACTTTACAGTTTACAAAGATTGCCTGTGTGCCCGCGTGATGCTCCCAGCCCTGGGTTTGGGCATAGAAAATGTTTTTCCCATTTTACAGATTAATCTGTGCCTCAGAATTTACACTGCTCAGCCGTCGTTACATAGAAGGTGATATATATGTGACATGGATTCAGGTCTATGGACTCTATCTAATTTCAGGACTTTGCTAAGATACTACGCTGTTGCTATGCCAAACCGTCAGTAATTATGTTGAGAATACTGTGCTTTTGGCAGAAAGGAAGATTGGTATATTTTCAGCTTTTCAACAGACCAGAATAATACATTCTCAAGAACACCCAACTTGAAGTATTCTGGCTAATTGAAGCTGTAAACATTGTAATTTGTTCCTTTTTGTGTTTCAGAAATACTTGCAGAGGTTTATAGAAAGTCATAAGATTAAATGAAATTAAAAATAAAGGCTTTAGGGTTCAGGAAAAATAAAAGTGACTAGCAAAATGGAAGTAGAGTGAGTATTTTAATTAATTAATTCATTTGAGACAGGGTCTCACTCTGTCACTCAGGCTGTTGTGTAGTGGCACGATCCTAGCTCACTGCAGCCTTAAACCTTCAGGCTCAAGTAATCCTCCTGACTCAGCCTCCTGAGTAGCTGGGACTATAGACATGCACTACCACACCTGGCTAATTTGTTAAATTTTTGTAGAGAAAGGGTTTTGCTATGTTGCCCAGACTGGTCTTGAATTCCTGGCCTCAGGCAATCCTTCTACCTTGGCCTCCCAAAGTGTTAGGATTATAGGTGTGAGCCACTGCCCGTGGCCCAGAGTGAGTATATAAAAATGCACATTGTGGCCGGGCGCGGTGGCTCACGCCTGTAATCCCAGCACTTTGGGAGGCCGAGGTGGGTGGATCACCTGAGGTGAGGAGTTGAAGACCAGCCTGGTCGACATGGTGAAATCCTGTATCGACTAAAAATACAAAAATTAGCTGGGTGTGGTGGCAGACACCTGTAGTCCCAGCTACTTGGGAGGCTGAGGCAGGAGAATCACGTGAACCTGGGAGGCAGAGGTTTCAGTGAGCTGAGATCGTGCCACTACACTCCAGCCTGGGCGACAGAGCGAGACTGTCTCAAAAAAAAAAAAAAAAAAAAAAGCATGTTGTGATATCCTTCACAGTGCTAAAGAGGGGGACTTACAATTCAACTGGTAGCTCCTGGCAGGGAAAGCAAAAAGAGAAAATCAGTTACAAGGTCTGCAGTGTCTGTAAGATGAACATGTCAAGTAAAAGGACAGCTTTTGCTGGCACTGAGGCCCAAGGAAAGAATTGCCTCTGGTGAGCTTTTATAAAGAGTACTTTGAGCAGTTTATAGCATCTTCAACAATACCCCATTCAACAAAAGCAATTCTGCATGGGGCCAGATCAATGTTATCCAAGTCAGTAAGCTTGAAAGTAGAAGCTTTTCAGTCCCTGGGACTATATCTAGCTGTTTCCCATTATTCTCTTTTCTTGGACAAGAACTACAAAATCAGTTAGAAATGCTGCAGCCCTGTTTTACAGATGAGCCCTGACCTAAATCCTATGTACAGGATCCAGATCAAGCAGTCCTGGTTTTTGTAGCGTTCTTGAATTTTGATGGTAAGCCAACCATTACTCTTGGATATGATCAAACCATCCTTTGCTCATGCCAACAACATTTATTGCCAGTCTCATTGTGCCTCTTCTTTAGCATTTTGTAGGGAGGCAATTCTTCTGCTGAAAATTGAGCTTGGATCAGAGGCTTATGAATTCACTGTGTCTCATTGTGCACGAACACTGAGAAGTTGAGCCCCGAGAGTCAGTTCTCCATGTTTGTTTGTTTTAATTGCCTGTGATTGCAGTGACCTAGTGCCGGTTGACTCAGCATGTGTTGTAATTTGCAGTTTTTTATTTATTCAACACATTTATTGAGTACTTGTAATGATATTGTTAGGCTCTGATGAATACAAGCTTTGGTTTTTACTTTGGTAGTCTTATTTACAGTGAAGAAGGTGAAAAAGTGAGGATCACAGATAGGTCCCCTGTATTGTAGTATACCTCCCTGCTGCCAAAGGGGCCCATATCCCTTGAAGGAAACTCAGGAGACCTTTGCAAAAACAAACAAAAAACCCAGTGTTCCCAAGTCTATGCCCTAACTGGGATGTTTAAAGTGTCCTACTCTTGAGGTTGGTAACAGGGATGCTGCTTGGATCCTCACATCTCTGCCTTCATACATCTGAGTTTGATACATTGTCAGAGCCCAGAAACCTGGGCTCTCCTTTTAGTGTGTGTGAGTGTGCACATGTGCATGAATGTGTGTGTTTGGTGAAGGGTGAGGGAAATCTTTATTTTAGGTGCACTCTCTCTGGTTCAGGCGCTTGGTATTCTACTCAGGGTGGGTGTGGGAGAGAAGCAAGCTAAGGTTTTTTTGTTCTCCTTTATAAGCAACATATATTAGACATTGCCTTGGCCATATTCCCCAGACTATTTCAGAATGCTTTCATCTGTTATGAGACCCGTCATCCGCTACCCTGACAAGTGTGTGCTTCAGTACCTGGGCCCTTAGCTCTGTGGGGATGCATTTGCTGGCTAAAGCCCAAAAATCTAATTAAAGTCGTACCGGTCACCCAGCTGGCTAATCCCATGTGCTTTGACAGGAGTGGGTTTAATTTCAGGGTAGTTCAGCCTGAACCTCCCAGTTCTCACATGTACTCATTGATGGATATCTCCAAATGAGATTGTGACAGCATTTAGAACATCTCTTGGTAAATCAGAATCAAAACATGGCATTTGGAGACAGTGTCTCTACAGGCTGGTTGGTTAGGGCTAAGACCACAGATCTGAGGTACTATATTTTTTACTAATGGCCAAAGCTCCTCTTGCCCTAAAAAAAAATGTATATATATGTGTGTGTGTGTGTGTGTATTAGGTGTGAAAGTTTTGAGTTGGTCTCTTTATAGAATAATGTGCAGTTTAAATGACCTATGTTGGAAGAAGCCTGAAGCCAGAAACACGAGTCAAACTGGTTTGGAGTCCTGGCTCCATTACTTACTAGTTGTTGAACTGTGAACCAGCAAGTTTGCCTCTTCGAACCATAGTATGCCCATTTCTTATCAGAATAATAGCGATTAGTTGTTAGGTTTATCTGAGAGAGGGAGTGACACTTAGCATAATACTTGACACATCATAAATGAGCAATAATTGGTAGCTATTTTGATGATGATGCCTTGGCCTCGGGCACTAGAAACGTAGCAATTTCAGTGGCCATCTTTGGAATAGTGGAAAATAGTTCTCAACTTGGGTTGCAATCTCAGCTTCACTTACAAGTGCTTAACTTCTAAGCCAACAGCTTAAACTCATTAAACTTATGTTCACTCCCCTAAAGTGGGGTTGATGATATCTATTTTAGGATTAAACAAATGAATAGTAAAATGTAATGTGTGAGAAAATGCCTACCGTGGTTCCTGGCACAGAGAAGTTGATGCTCAGTGTATCCGATTCCTTCTTTTCTTTCCTGTTTTCCTGCTTTTAATTGTGTGGCAGGTGCTGGCTCAGGACTTTGAATGACAAACCATCACCTGCTAGAATCTACCAGACGGTGTTGATTAATAAATGTTGTCTGCCCTTTTACCAGCCAAGTCACCAAAGCTATAAATTTCTTCCTTGATCAATAGTAACCTCTCCTCTGAAGAAAGTGCTTGTCTGTTCCTTTCCAGCTGATTGATCCCTATAAGAAGGGAGTCGGAGCGCTCTGCTATTGAGAAACTCTGGAGAATCTCAGTGGCTCATACCTGGGGCTGCTGTTAAAGCTGTTTTAAAAGGCTGTCCCCAACAGTTTTTATATGGAATTGCTGTAATCTCCATGGGGCACAAACAGGGAGACTTTCCCTTATGTCACCCTCTCATTTTATCATTTCTGTGCCAGGCTCTGTCCTGGGCACTAGGAGTACAGGACCGAATAAAATCATACACAGTCTCTGAAGGAATCTAGTGAAGAAATAGCATAGAAATACAAAGAGCTAATTAAAATATAGCATGATAAGTCCTGATAGTGGAATGGACCGAATGCTTTGGAAGCACAAAGAATGGAACTGTGCTAATAGACCAGAGAGGGAGGGAGGGAAGGCTTCACAGAGGAAGTGGATTTGAGCTGAGACTTGAAGGATAGGTAGCTGTTTGCCTGGGGGAATGGGAGGTGGGAATGCATTCCTGGTAGCAGGAAGGCCTGTGCCAAGGTTTGGGGTCCATGAATGAGCCTGGCTCATGGGGAACAGTGAGTGGGGCTGGAGAAGGGGGCAACTGGTGAAAGCTACATCAAGCCCTTTGCTCAGAACTTGTGCAGTCATCACAGCTAGCACCATACTGTTAGGTGAGGCACATGTTTGTTAGTTCTGTATGCCAAGGACTGTTTCATTCTGGTGGCCTCTAAGTTTTTTTCCCCCAGCATATGAATTATTTGTTTGAATGAACTGTTATGGAGAGAAAACACAGAAGTGGAGCTGCTCAGGGTGAAGTGAGGTAGGAGGCCTGGCACCCACCTCCACACATCATCTGTTTCCGCCACAGCCTGCAGGAGCAATGAGGCTCCACAAAACGTGGCTTGAACAGTGCTCTCACCTACTAATTCTGGAAATTCTCCTTACATCACAGAGTATCTCTTCCTCATTAAGATTGTGGAGAAATTTCCTTTGTATATTTAAAGGTAACCACTGAGCACTTTGACAAGCTTTCTCGCAGTGAAACCTGATAAGGTGGAAATTTGATGGATGAGAACCTTCTCATTCTCCATCTGGCCAGAGATAAAACAAAACTAGCTGGCTGGAGGAGGAAGTGTGAGGGCTTGGCTTTTCATTTCTAATGTGATTCTAAGATTTTAGAACATGTTATTTTTCAAACAATCCACTATATATATATATATATATATATATATTTTTTTTTTTTTTTTTTTTTTTTTTTTTTTTTAATCAGCCAGTCTGCTCTAAGAGAACCCTGCCATGCAGAGGCAGCTCTCAGCCCAGTGCTGGTCCAGAGTGCACCTGTGAATCTTAAGGGAAAATTGCCCATTAGTGTAGAAATTGAGGCCATTAGTTGACATCATCATACAGGTCTTGCTGTGGCAGCACTAACTTTAAATCAAGGCAGTAGTCTGGTGTAGGATAGGGTTCTTTTTTTTCCTGTGTAAACCCTTTGTTCAGAAGCAAATAAAACAGATGCACCCGGGGGGCTCTGCAGATTCCTTAGGATGGTGGCTTTTTTTATTGAAATAAAATATAATTTTCTGTGGTCTTCCCTAAGCTACTGAGTCAATTTCTAGAGGAAGGCCCAAGAACATGTAGTTAGAGGGTACTGATATCCAACCAGGTTTGGGTATTCCTAATCCTAGAGCTTCTTGGATTTGGCTTGTAAAACCACTGGTAGAGTAAAAAGAATGCAGGTAGACCTGGTTTCAAATCCTGCTTCTACTATTTTTTACCTATGTTGCTTTGGTTAAGTTGCTTGAAGTCTTTGAACTTCAGTTTTCTGATTGGTAAAATGGGTATAATTAAGGTACAGACGTCCCTCAGGAGATATTAGGGATTGGAATAAAGCGAGTCTTACGAATTTTTTGGTTTTCCAGTGAATATAAAAGTTATGTTAACACTATACTGTGGCCTATTATGTGTGCAACAGCATTACATCTAAAATAACAACATACATACCTGAATTAAAAATACTGCCAGAAATACTAATGATCATCAGAACCTTCAGCTAGTTGTAATCTTTCTTGGTGGAAGGTCTTGCCTCAATGTTAATGGCTGCTGACTGATCAGGGTGGTGGTTGCTGCAAGAATGAAGTTTGCCACGTTGATTAACTCTTCCTTTCACAAAATATTTCTCTATGGCATGTAATGCTGTTTGTAGCATTTTACCCACAGTAGAACTTCTTTCAAAACTGGAGTCAGTCCTCTCAAACCCTGCTACTGCTTTATCAACTAAGTTTACATAATATTCTAAGTCTTTTGTTGTCATTTCAACAATGTTCACAGCATCTTGAGATGGAGAAGTTTCCATCTCAACAAACTACTTTCTTTGCCCATTCATAAGAAGTAATTCCGTATCTGTTCAAGCTTTATCATGAGATTGCAGCAATTCAGTCACATCTTTAGACCCCACTTCTAGTTCTCTTGCTATTTCCACCACATTAGCAGTGAAGTAAAGTCTTGAATCCCTCAAAGTCATCCATGAGGGTTGGAATCAAATTCTTCCAAACTCCTGTAATGTTGGTATTTTGACCCTTCTCATGAATCACAAATGTTCTTAAGGGCATTTAGAATGATGAATCCTTTCCAAAAGGTTTTCCATTTACTTTGCCCAGATCCATCAGAGGAATCACTCTTTACAGATGTATTTTTTAAAGACTTGAAAAGTTAAAATTACTCCTTGATCTGTGGGTTGCGGAATGGATGTTGTGTTAGCAGGCATGAAAACAACATTCATCTTCTTGTACATCTCCATCAGAGCTCTTGGATGACCAGGTGCATTGTCAATGAGCAGTAATATTTTTAAAGGAATCTTTGTTTCTGAACAGTAGGTCTCAACAGTAGGCTTGAAATATTCAGTAAACCATGCCGTAAACAGATGTGCTGTCATTTAGGCTTTGTTGTTCCATTGTAGAGCACAGATAGAGTAGATTTTGCATAATTTTTAAGGAGTTCTGGAATCATAAGTGAGCACTGGCTTCCAGTTAAAGTTACCAGCTGCATTAGCCCCTAATAAGGAAGTCACCCTGTCCTTTGAAGTTTTGAAGCCAGACATTGACTGCTCCTCTTTAGCTATGAAACTCCTAGATGGCATCTTCTTCCAATGTAAGGCTGTTTCATCTGCATTGAAAACCTGTTTAGTGTAGCTACCTCCATCAGTTATCTTAGATCTCTTGGATGACTTACTGCAGCTTCTACATCAGCACTTGTAACTTTACCTTACACTTTTATGTTACTTAGATGACTTATTTCCTTAAACCTCAGGAACCAACCTCTGCTAGCTTCAATTTTTGTTTTTTCTTTTTGCAGCTTCTTCACCTCTCTTAGCTTTCATAGAATTGAAGAGAGTTAAGGCTTTGCTCTGGATTAGACTTTGGCTTAAGGGAATATTGTGACTGGTTTGATCTATTCAGACCACAACTTTCTCCATATCAGCAAGGCTGTTTAGCTTTCTTACCATTCATGTGTTCACTGGAGTAGCACTTTTAATTTCCTTCAAGAATTTTTTCTTTGCATTCACAGTTTGGCTAACTGGTGCAAGAGGCCTAGCTTTTGGCTCTATTGACTTTTGACATGCCTTCCTCACTAAGCTTAATCATTTCTAGCTTTTGATTTAAAAAGTGAGAGACATGTGACTCTTCCTTTCACTTGAATACTTAGAAGCCATTATAGGGTTATTCACTGGCCTAATTTCAATTTTGTTGTATCATAGGGCATAGGGAGGCATGAGGAGAGGGAAGGAGACAGGGAATGGCCAGTTGGTGGAGCTCTTGGAATACACTTTTATCCGTTAAGTTTGCCGTCTTATATGGGTGTGATTTGAGGCACTGCCAAACAACTGGAATAGGAATATCAAAGATCACTGATCACCATAACAGATACTAATAGTGAAAAAGTTTGACATATTGCAAGAATTACCAAAAGGCGACACAGAGACACGAAATGAACACATGCTGTTGGAAAAGTGATGCTGACAGACTTGGTTGATGCAGGGTTGCTGCAGACCTTGAATTTGTAAAATACAAAATCTCTGTGAAGTGCAGTAGAGCAGAGCACAATGAAATGAGCTATGCCTGTACCTGCTTCATAGGGTTGTGAGAGTTGAGTGAGGTGATGGGTAAAGTGCCCAGCACTCTCCTAAATGTCATAGAGTTTATAGAAGAAAATGTTGGGTGGTATTTTATGAGGATGATTGGTGATGGCCTGAGTAATCAAATTGGGCCTTGTGGAAGAGATGGCACTTGAATTGGGCCTTGAAGGATAGCATGCTTTCTCTAGGTGGAACTGGAGGGAATTTGTACTTTTTCCAGGTGGAGGGGACTGGTAGATACAGGCAGAGAGCCTGAAAGTATGTTAATGAAGTGGTTGGATGAAGGGGACTGGTTGCAGATAAAGCTGAAACGTAAGCTGAAGCCCACTAGTAGGAGCCTTGAGTAGACTCCTCGTAGGGTAGCTTCATTCTGCAGTTAACTTGGAGTCAATGAAGGATGCCGAGCAGAGACGTAATGATCAGAGGTCTACATGTGGTTTAGTGGGGTGAACCCAGAAGCAGCAAGACCAGTTAGGAAGCTGTTGCAGCTGACTGGCTGGGAGCTGAGTTCTGAAGAAGGCAGAGGCAGTGGGATGCGGGGTAGGGAGCTGTCTGGCGGGAGGAATACCTTTCTTAGTACTGCAGCTTCTACCCTTCTTCCTTTATAATTAAGGAGGGAGGAGTTACTAATCTGAGTGATGAGAGTTCAGGATATTTTGGGGGCCATTCTTGTTAATGGGTGAGTTATAAGAACCCAAGTTCCAGATTCTTTTGCTTTCCTGCTCCAGATGTAGCCAGGCCTAGTCTTTGCTGGGCAGGCCAACTCCCTCATTTCCTCATCAGTCATCTTTGTGCACTTCTACTTCTACTTGAATAAGAGAACCTGGGCAGCTCCCTAAGCTGCACACACCCTCCCTTTTCCCAAACAGTAACAACATCAACTACCCCAAACCCTTAATTTTATCAGAAAGCACTTATCTGGATATGAAATTGTCACAGAATTGTACTTTGATTCCCCATTCTGCTATTGTTGTGTATAACTCCTTTGAGAACTCTGGGGATAGCAGGAGTGATTGACAGGGTAGGATTTGGACACTCTTGGCCATGAAAAGCACCAAATCCTCGCTTTTCATCTCCCAGGTGCTCTGTGTTGAGGGCGTGCCACACCTTAAGGCCTGGGTTAACTGTTGGATGACAAGATGCCTGTGAGAGGGAGGGGCAAGAGCTGAACCTTGTTGTGGGGTGGTGGTGGTGGTGGTGATGCCATGGCCATGTGAGGAAACCGGGTAGTGAGGATCAGTCTGGGGGTTGTATGTGGGGACAGAGAGAGGTGACACGGCTTCATTTGCTCTGCATTAGCTTCTGTGCTGGGCTCCCATTGTGCATTCTCTCCTCCAGACCTCCAAGGACCCTGGGAGTTTGCATTATTGTCTTCATTTACCGGAAAGGAAACACTCAGAAAGATTTAAGTTATCCATCTCTGGTCACACTGCCAGTTAGCAGTAGAGGCAGGATTCAAGACTAGGGCTGTCTGTTTTCACAGTCCAGGAATATCGAAGGAGGTTTGGAAAAACCACCCAAGATGATCAATTTTCAGTTCTGATTGTTGTACTCAGGCAAGACATGCCATCTCCATGCCTCCCCAAAACATTTATTAGAACCCCACTGGTGGCAAGTGCATGAGCCTGTCTGCTGTCTTTGTGTTGCCATGGCAGCACTCTTCTTCAGGGCCATCTCTGCACACAAACCTGCCCTCCCCCTATGGTCATTTTGCTTTAAACTTTCTTTGACTGCTCTTCATATGAGGTTGAAGGTGCTTGGTTCTGCCCCATTCATTAGAAGGAGGGCCTCAGTCTCAGGCTAGAGAGTCCATCAATCCAAGTCCTTAAGAAATGATAAATTAATTTCAGGTATTGAAATTATTGGCTAGTGGAAGCCTATGTCACAGAGTGGTTTTATGTTTTCTTTAGCCTTAACAATAGCACATTTGGGTGGAAAAAGCACAGAATTTGGGGTCACACTGACTGGGGTTTGGATTTCAGCACTAGAACTTACTAGAGCTTTTGTAAAGCTTTGTGAAAATATCTCAACCTCTGTGGGCCTTAGTTCTCTTTCTGTAAAAACAGGACTAATAATACTTACCATGTAGGCAGTCATTAGGGTTTGAGATGTTTTGTGTAAAAATGCCTTGGCCTGTGTTTGGTTCATAGCTGGTGCTCAGTAAATGGTGGTTTCCATAACTAATGAGTAAAATAAGAGAAGCGGTCTATACTCTTTGGTATCCTAACTTTCCCCAAGGTTCTGTTGATGCTGTGGGCCTTCTACCTGACCCCCGACCGCAAATGTACACGCATACAAATTTGCATAGGATCCCTGGCCCAGTCAATGGACCTTAGGTTAAGAACTCCTAATCTTGGGGAATGACAAAACTACAAATCTTGGGGAATGACAAAACTACATGTCCTTTGTGGAATTCTGTAACAGGTCATTTTCACGTTGTCAACTCTGTTAGGGGATTTGTGGGAGAAATGTGGCACGTTAGTAGCCCTTATTGCTTAAGCCGTGTAAGACGTTCTTAACCTAGGTAGCTGAATTAAAAATTAAAAGGAAATTAAAAGGAGCATGGAATAAATGGTTGCTGAATACACATACATACACTGGAACTTGAACCAGACATCAAAATATGGTTCTGATAGTCGTTTGTATAGAGGAGGAAACTGAATCTCGGAAATGAGGTAAGTGGACCTGTAATTACTGTGCACAGGAAAAGTGCACACTCTTTACTCAGCATGATACGTGAACATTTTTAGAATTAACGGGTGTGCACGATCTTTCTAGGATGACATACACATTTATTGTGAATTTAAAGGTGTACCTAAATGGCTGGCTTAACACAGGTTTTATAGTTATTCTTCACAGCATTTTTCAGGGGAAGATTTCTAAAAGTGAGTATTAGATATACGTTAAGTGGACTGGGATCATTGTGTTAGTGAGTCATGCAAAAGAGATCTAAACCATGGTGTGGAGGCGAACTGAGAAGATTTGGAATGAGAGAGACCTGGAATAAGGCAGGTGCTGTCCCTTGGTGACTGTGATCTTAGGCAAATTACCTGTCTCAGCCTGTTTCCTCATTCATAAAATGGGAGCAGTCCCATCCATCTCATTCCTTAATTTATTCAGTCATCCAACAGATGCTTATTGAGTGCTTTCCTTGATATCTATTGCTGCATAACAAATTACCCCAAAACAACAATCATTTCATTATACCTAATGAGTTTGCGAGCCAAGGACTTGGGCAGGGCATAGCTGGGTATTCTGCTCCATGTGGCCCAGGTTACTCATGGTCTTCAGCTGGTGGATGGGGTGGACTGGAGGGTCCATGATTCTTCACTCATATGTCTGGTACCTTGTCGGGGATGGCTGGAAAGAACAGAAACTGACATAGTGTCACTTCTGCCGTATTCTCATGGTCACAGCAGGTGCTATGCTGCCCAGATTCAATAGGAGGGGACATAGACTCCACACCTCTTGATGGAAGGGAAGTCAAATAATTTATGGCTATGTTTAATCTGCCACAGTGTCTGCTATGTGCCAGGTACCATTCTAGGTGCTGGAGATATAGCAGCAAACAAAATACACAAAATTCCCTGCCCTCATGGAACTTGCATTCTGGTGGGAAAACTGCAAGCAAAATACACATATAAATTAAATACTATATTAGGAGGTTCCATGGGGCAAGTGGTGAAGGGAAGGAATATGGAGAGTAAGGTGGATGGTCAGGGAAGACTGGTCTGAGAAGATGATGGCTGAGCACACACTTGAAGAAAGTAAGGGAGCAACCTGGAGAACTTTCCAGGTAGAGCAGCAGGCTTAAGGGCTCTGACCTGGTGTGTAAGAGGAACGGCAAGACAGCCAGGGTTGCTGGAGCAGAACTGGCTGCGGAGAGCCACAGGAGAAGAGGGCAGCGAGGTCAGGGGGGTCTAGCTGATGGGGGCCTTGTGGGCCATCGTATGTTGTGAAGAGTAAATGCCTCATTATGAAAGTGTCTAGCACCTTGCCTGGAACAATGGTAGGTGCTTGACACACAGTAGCATCTATTATTAATAGAACCCGGATGTGGGAGCTCCCAGGTGTAGGAATTTTCAGGTATGGGAGTTCCCAGGCCCCCCCTTACTCCACTCAGTACCCGTTCTTTAGCCACAGCCGCTCTTCTGGCCCTGGTTGTATTGACTGTTTCTGAGCAGTCACCGGCCAGCAAAACACAATCAGGAAGGCAAAAACATGATGATATCCATTTGAAAGGTGAACCCTCATAATCAGCCTCTTCTCTAATGGCATTAGTATGGTAGCTAGACCTTGCCCTGGTAGATTTTGTAATGTAGGGGGAAAATGAGCTTATGTGTGTATGTTTGTGTATGTACACCTTGGGTGATTCTTGAGAGATCAGCTTTTCATTATGACTCTCCTTGAAACTATTTTCATTCATGGCCCACAAGGACAATTTGCACAAGGAGAAATTCAAACAATAGTCAAATATATAGAAGCATGATTGGCAATCAAAGAATGCAAATTCAAACACTTGTGAAGAACCTTTTTATACCAATTAAATTAGCAAACATTTAAGAAAATATCAGTGCTGGTGAGGATGTGGTGCAACAAAAAACTCCCACTTGGTGATTGCATTTTTGCCACTGTGTTTTTGGAAGGAAGTTTGTCACATTGTAGAAAGAATTCTGAAAACATGCTTACCCTTAGGCCTAGTAATTCTACTTTTGGGGATTTAGCCTAAGAAAACAAATCAGAAGTTAGAAAAAAAAAACTTGTTTTATGCTCACAGCTCTTCCTTTTTGTATTTTCTGTACTAGCAAACAGTTGGTGACAGTGGGAAAGTAGTTAAGTGACCTAAGAGATATGCATTAAAATTGGTCAGCATAACGATCATGTGGTATCTTTCACTTTAGGCACTGCCTCGCCACCTGTCCCGCCTTTCCTTTAGACTAAAAGGATGAGCAGAGCCAAGTTGGAAGCTCCGTATTATAGCAGCTCTCTAGACCATTCTCATCTCTGTACTTTAAATGAAACAAAACAAAAAACTTTTCTTGACTTTATTCTCTTAAACTTTTCTTTTTGTTTAATTGTTCTTTTATGTTATCATTAATTAATTGCTCTATGCTCTTTGTAGGCCATATAGTATAATGGAGTAAAGTGAAATGGGGTAAAGTCCATACCAAACTTAAAAACTGTATAAAAATTAGGGCTGCAGATGGACAAGAACTGAAAGGAGCACCTACTGTTTGAAAATGGTTTAATATATTGCCATGACTGTATTTTGGGGGAATGTTTTTGTTCTTTAGCTTTAGAATTCTGTTAATGTTGCTTTAGTATCATTTGTATAATAATATAAAAAACCCTTTCTTTCCTTCTCCAGAATTGAATTTCTATTTACTGCCATTTATAATTCATGATAGGTTCTTGGTCTGGCTGTTTGGAGTAAAGGTTTAGGGCAATCTCATCATCATCTTTTTGCCCAAGAAAAAAATTAACAATTTTTAAAGCATTTAAAAAAATGTTACTTTACCAATTATGAATGTAGTGTCTGCTTAGTGTGAAATATTTTAAAATTAAGAAAAGAATAACACAATTAAAAAAATCATCTATAATCATGTGTTCTGATACTTCTTGCAGGTTTCTAATAAGTACCTTTAAAAAAAAAACCCCTGCTCATTATGGAAAATTCAAATACCCACAAAAGGAGAGAGAATAGTACATTGAACCCCTATGTGTTTGTCTCCCAGCATTAGCCATCACAAACTGAGAGCTAATCTTGTGTCATCTCTGCCCTCCCCCTCACTCCCTCCTTTTCAACACTGAATTATTTTAAGCAATTCCCAGACATACTACTTTATCAGTATTTCAGTATGCTTTAAAAAGTACCATTTTCACATTAAAAAGGGTAGTAATCTCTTAAAATTACCAAATAACCAATAAATGTTTAGATTTCCCTGATTGTCTCATTAAAAACAATTGTTTGAAATAATTTGTTTAAATCATGATCCAAGGATGGGAGTGGTGGCTCATGCCTGTAATCCCAGCACTTTGGGAGACTGAGATGGGAGGATTGCTTAAGCCCAGGAATTTGAGATAAACTTGGACAACTTAGTAAGACCTTGTCTCTAAAAAAAGATAAATCATGATCCAAACAAGGTATATACATTGCATTTTATTTACTTATTTATTTATTTATTTTAGAGATGGGGTGTTGCCATGTTGCCCAGGCTGGTGTCAAATTCCTGGGCTCAAGTGATCCTCCTGCCTTGGGCTTCCAAAGTGTTGGTATTACAGGCGTGAGTCACCACACCCGTTGATATATATATATATATATATTTAAAGCCTTTTTATTTTGAAATAATTTTAAACATACAGGAAAGGTGCAAAAACAATATAGCGAGTTCCCATATATCCCCTAGTGTTAACATTTTGCATTACTGTGGCATACTTACCAGTATCAGGAAATTAACATTGATGCAACATTATGAACTAATCTACAGACTCTATTTGAATTCTGCCAGTTTTCCCATGAGTGACCCTTTTCGGGTTCAGGATCTCATGAAGGATCCACATTGAATTGTCATGTCTGCTTAGTCTTGGCTAATCTGGAACAGTTGCTCAGCTTTTGTCTTTTATGACCTTGACTGGTTTGAAGAGGACTGGTCAGTTATTTTGTGAAATGTTCTTAAATTTGGGCTTGTCTGGTGTTTCTCTTATGTTGGGGTGATCAGACCCAACACCAGGTCGTGGGGGCAATGAAGTCCGTCGGAGTCAAAGGAATGAGAAAAGACAGTTTGAGAGAGAAAGTGGCACTAGGGGGCCATCGCTAAGTATGGAGGCTGGGAAGGCCTGGAGCTCTGGAAGCCCAGACTATTTATTGGTGATCAAACAAAGAAACAGGTGGTGAGAATATGGGAAAGGGCAAGCACGTGATCCACAGCTGTGACAGTTTAGCATTTCCTTTGCGGCATATGGAACATGTTCTGCTACTTGAGATAACGGAGAGCAGGTTCTTTTAACTCAAGATACAATCCATCCTGGGAGAGCAAGGAGCCAGCAAGACTAGACACATCCTAGAGCTACAAGGGATTTTATGCCTTGAGCCCTGGATTCTATCCAAGCCACGAGGGGTTTTATGCCCTGGGCTTAGATTATGGTGCATCAGGGTAGCCTTCCACCCTTTAGCACAGAGCTTGGTGTTCCAAAGGCCACAGGGGTTTTAGACCCTGAACCCCGGACATGTTCCAAGACTCTTTTACATTATGTCAGATATCAAGCCCTGCCTCAGCTTCTCCCAACACTCAGCTTTTCTCCCAACACTCTCATGATTAGATTGAGGTTATGTGTTTTTGGCAAGAATAGCATGGAAGTGATGTGCTCTTCTTAGTGTATTGTATTTGGAGGTGCGTAATGTCAGTCTGTCATTATTGATGAGGTTAGTGCTAGTCACTTGGTTAAAGTGGAATCTTCTGGGTTTCTTCACTATAAAGTCACTATTTTATTCCCTTTATAATTAATTTTGTGGGGAGATCTTTTGAGACTATATGAATATCCTGCTTCTCGTCATACTTTGAAGAATTCTAGCATCCATTGATGATTCTTTTTTTTTTTTTTTTTTTTTTTTTTTTTTTTTAAATTTATTTTTTTATTGATAATTCTTGGGTGTTTCTCACAGAGGGGGATTTGGCAGGGTCATGGGACAATAGTGGAGGGAAGGTCAGCAGATAAACAAGTGAACAAAGGTCTCTGGTTTTCCTAGGCAGAGGACCCTGCGGCCTTCCACAGTGTTTGTGTCCCTGATTACTTGAGATTAGGGAGTGGTGGTGACTCTTAACGAGCATGCTGCCTTCAAGCATCTGTTTAACAAAGCACATCTTGCACCGCCCTTAATCCATTCAACCCTGAGTGGACACAGCACATGTTTCAGAGAGCACAGGGTTGGGGGTAAGGTCACAGATCAACAGGATCCCAAGGCAGAGGAATTTTTCTTAGTGCAGAACAAAATGAAAAGTCTCCCATGTCTACTTCTTTCTACACAGACACGGCAACCATCCGATTTCTCAATCTTTTCCCCACCTTTCCCGCCTTTCCATTCCACAAAGCCGCCATTGTCATCCTGGCCCGTTCTCAATGAGCTGTTGGGCACACCTCCCAGACAGGGTGGTGGCCGGGCAGAGGGGCTCCCCACCTCCCAGTAGGGGCGGCCGGGCAGAGGCGCCCCTCACCTCCCGGACGGGGCGGCTGGCCGGGCAGGGGGGCTGACCCCCCCCACCTCCCTCCTGGACGGGGCGGCTGGCCGGGCGGGGGGCTGACCCCCCAACCTCCCTCCCGAACGGGGCGGCTGGCCGGGCAGGGGGCTGACCCCCCCACCTCCCTCCCGGACGGGGCGGCTGGCCGGGCAGAGGGGCTCCTCACTTCCCAGTAGGGGCGGCCGGGCAGAGGCGCCCCTCACCTCCCGGACGGGGCGGCTGGCCGGACGGGGGGCCGACCCCCCCACCTCCCTCCCGGACGGGGCGGCTGGCCGGGCGGGGGGCCGACCCCCCCACCTCCCTCCCGGACGGGGCGGCTGGCCGGGCAGAGGGGCTCCTCACTTCCCAGTAGGGGCGGCCGGGCAGAGGCGCCCCTCACCTCCCGGACAGGGCGGCTGGCTGGGCGGGGGGGCTGACCCCCCCCCCACCTCCCTCCCGGACGGGGCGGCTGGCCGGGCGGGGGGCTGACCCCCCCACCTCCCTCCCGGACGGGGCGGCTGGCCGGGCAGAGGGGCTCCTCACTTCCCAGTAGGGGCGGCCGGGCAGAGGCGCCCCTCACCTCCCAGACGGGGCGGCTGGCCGGGCGGAGGGCTGACCCCCCCACCTCCCTCCCGGACAGGGCGGCTGGCCGGGCGGGGGGCTGACCCCCCCACCTCCCTCCCGGACGGGGCGGCTGGCCGGGCAGAGGGGCTCCTCACTTCCCAGTAGGGGCGGCTGGGCAGAGGCGCCCCTCACCTCCCAGACGGGGCGGCTGGCCGGGCGGAGGGCTGACCCCCCCACCTCCCTCCCGGACGGGGCGGCTGGCCAGGCGGGGGGCTGACCCCCCTACCTCCCTACCGGACGGGGCGGCTGGCCGGGTGGGGGGGCTGACCCCCCCATCTCCCTCCCGGACGGGGTGGCTGGCCGGGCTGAGGGGCTCCTCACTTCCCAGTAGGGGCGGCCGGGCAGAGGCGCCCCTCACCTCCCGGACGGGGCGGCTGGCCGGGCGGGGGGCTGACCCCCCCACCTCCCTCCCGGATGGCACGGCTGGCCAGGCGGGGGGCTGACCCCCCCACCTCCCTCCCGGATGGCACGGCTGGCCGGGCGGGGGGGCTGACCCCCCACCTCCCTCCCGGATGGGGCGGCTGGCCGGGCGGGGGGCTGACCCCCCCCCACCTCCCTCCCGGACGGGGTGGCTGCCGGGCGGAGACGCTCCTCACTTCCCAGATGGGGTGGCTGCCGGGCGGAGAGGCTCCTCACTTCTCAGATGGGGCAGCTGCCGGGCGGAGGGGCTCCTCACTTCTCAGACGGGGTGGTTGCCAGGCAGAGGGTCTCCTCACTTCTCAGACGGGGCGGCCGGGCAGAGACGCTCCTCACCTCCCAGACGGGGTCTCGGCCGGGCAGAGGCGCTCCTCACATCCCAGATGGGGCGGCGGGGCAGAGGCGCTCCCCACATCTCAGACGATGGGCGGCCGGGCAGAGACGCTCCTCACTTCCTAGATGTGATGGCGGCTGGGAAGAGGCGCTCCTCACTTCCTAGATGGGATGGCGGCCGGGCGGAGACGCTCCTCACTTTCCAGACTGGGCAGCCAGGCAGAGGGGCTCCTCACATCCCAGACGATGGGCGGCCAGGCAGAGACACTCCTCACTTCCCAGACGGGGTGGCAGCCGGGCAGAGGCTGCAATCTCGGCACTTTGGGAGGCCAAGGCAGGCGGCTGCTCCTTGCCCTCGGGCCCCGCGGGGCCCGTCCGCTCCTCCAGCCGCTGCCTCCCGGGCGGCGCTCGCCGGCGCGGCGGCAAAGACTGAGACAGCTCCGCTGCCCGCTGAACTCCATCCTCCCGGCGGTCGGGCGGCGGCGGCTGCGGTCGGTCGCGGCAGCGGCTCCGCTTCATATCTGCAGCTGGGGCCCGCGGGCGTCAGCGCCGCGACTGTCCTGGCTCCGCACTGCCCCGGGCCGCAGCGCAGCCGCGCCAACCACCAGCCGCGGCCACCATGGCCAGACGGGCTCCCTAAGCCACCGACCCCAGCCCGCGGCGCCTTCGACCCTTCTGGGGCCTCCGGCGCCGCCTGATGATTCTTACCTGCAACAGTTATTACTGTGGTGTTTACCTAGTTGTTATTTTCTTTTTCTATCTTTCCTTCTATTCTTATTAGTTGTATTATGTCTACCATGAGGAAGAGCTGTCCTCTTCCTCCTCCTGCATTTGTTTATTAGTTATTTGTTTCTATCAGTATGGACTTGCAGATACTGTTTTACTCTATAAGTTATAAGCCATTACTATCATTATTTA
Source organism: Homo sapiens (assembly GCF_000001405.40). Taxonomy (NCBI): domain Eukaryota; kingdom Metazoa; phylum Chordata; class Mammalia; order Primates; family Hominidae; genus Homo; species Homo sapiens. The sequence continues at coordinate 120,494,534 of NC_000009.12, read as the reverse complement.
TTTTATTGTTCAGATTGACCCAGACTTGGCCATTGGGAGCTCCTTCAAATTGATTCCTGTGCCTTTTCAACATGACTCCTCATTTTTTGAGCAATTCCTTGCTTTCTAGGAGCACAAGATCTCCTAGGCTCATTTCGTATTATGTTTTCCCTGCTCCAGGTCTGGAATCAAGTATTTGCCCAAGAAACACTGGTTTCTTTTATTGGAAAATGATATTTAGAAACCAAGATGTGAATGATAGGTATCCTCATTACTACTGGAGTGTTATTGCCTCTAGGATTTGTCAGTGTACAGAGCTGAAATATGTGTATTGACACATGCATACAAACATGTATATTTATATTTCTATGTCTTTCCAATTCTCTGTGTGTGTGTGTGATCATGAATTCAGACTGATAGCAGAGTTCATTCTCCCCTTCCTTTACTTTTTTTTTTTTTTTTTTTAAACTGAGTCTTGCTGTACTGCCCAGGCTGGAGTGCAGTGGTGCCATCTTGGCTCACTGCAACCTCTGCCTCTCGGATTCAAGTGATTCTCCTGCCTCAGCCTCCTTAGTAGCTGGGATTATTGGCATGTGCCACCATGCCCTGCTCATTTTTGTATTTTTCATGGAGACAGAGTTTCGCCATGTTGGCCAAGCTGGTCTCAAACTCCTGACCTCAAGCGATCTGCCTGCCTCGGTCTCCCAAAGTGCTGAGATGACAGGCTAACTTTTAAACTTATTGTTTAATAAGTAAGCAGGTTCTCCCTCCTTTTTTTACCCCATGTAATTTGTTTGTTGAATATGTTGGGTTGTTTGTTCTTTAGAGTTTTTCACATTATGGATTTTGCTGACTGTTTCTGTAATGTCATTTGACTTATTTCTCTGTTGACTGTTTCTGGTAAACAGTCTAACTACCATCTAAAGTGGTAGTTTAGATAAGATGCATGGTCAAATTCAGGTTAAATTTTTTGGCAATGTTACATCATAAATGGTCATTTGTACTTTCAAATATTTGATAGTCCCTCTTTTTGTGATGTTACTAGCTATTGATCATTTGCAAATGGTGATAATTTGATTTCATTATTCCTTCTTTTATAGCTGAATACGTCTATAAAGAGAAACTTGGTTTTTCATCACCTATTTAGTTACCCTGAGGTGCAGCTCATACAGGAAAGTGAAAACAAGTTCCCTAGAATCCTCCAATGGTGGCTGTATTATTAGCTTCTATTGCTGCTGCAACAAATTACCACAAACTTGGTGGCTTAACAATACAAATCTATTATCTTGCAATTCTAGAAGTCAGAAGTCTCAAATGGGTCCCACTGGACTAAAATCAAGGTGTCGGCAGGGCTGCATTCCTCCTGAAGGCTCTAGAGGAGAGTCAGTTCCTTGCCTTTTCCAGCTCCTAGAGCCTACCTGATTTCTTGGTCTGAGTCCCCTTTCCATCCTCAGAACCAGTGATATATTTGCATATATGCAGGTGATACTGATTATGCTGTTCTAGGGACTATACTTTAGAACCACTGCTTTGAAGAACCCTGATCTTTTTTATAGGAAAAGGCGTTTAGAGACTATAGTCTGGATACCAGGGAGGACACCAATTCTAGGCTTTTTTAGTGAAAGAAAGGAAACGACAGAAAATAGAAGTTCATATTGATATTTCAAATTCAAATTTAGAGTGACAAGTTTTAACTTCTTCTATGTTTGTATTTCTTTTCTACTTAAAGTTTTGGGTTTTATGACAATAATTGTTTAATAAATATATATGTTATATATACTCACACAGTTTCAGAATAACATTACCAATATCATTACTTATAACATGATTACTAAAAACAGTTTAAGATTTTTTTACAACCTCTTTTGTACTTAGAGAAATATCCCACTAGGGATGTACAAATTATTCTGCTTCAAAGTTATTGGAACAATTTCTGTCTGTTTGGTTAACCAGTTAACTGGTTACAAAGTTAGATTCATTTGTTTGCTTGCTCTTTTTTCAGTTTTATGGGATTTTTATTTTATTTTTAAGATAATTGTATAAACGTTTAAATGATTGCAACGTCACATCTGTAAAATGAGTTTTAGTTTCTATCTTTGTCCCTTCTACCTTGTTCTCTCTTATACCTTATAGGCAGTCATTTAATTTGTTTTATGGTTAAATAAATGGCAGTATGCTATCCATACTTATTTCTCTTGGGTCTCTGCTGCTGCCACACACACTTAACAAAATATTCTGAAGATTACTTTAGGGCAGTATATTTATAGAGAGAAAGAGTCCTCATTCCTTTTCCTTTATAGCTTAAGAGTGCTCCATTGTGAGAATGTACCATAGTTTATTCCTCTGTTGGTGGACATTTGGATTGTTCACAGCCTTTTGCTATTATGAATAGTGCTTCAGTATTGCAAATAGTACATATTTAAAGGTAGTCACAATCATTCTGTATACGGTTTTTTTTTCCTTTTTCTGTAACATGGGAATAACATGAACTTTTTTTATGTTATTATAAATTCTTTGTAAATGGTATTAAGACAGTTTTTTTCCTGATTATGAAGATAATACAGGATTATTTAGAAATTGTGGAAACTTAGAAAAATAAGTAAAAAAAATGGAAAATTACCCACAATTCCTCTACTTAGATATACTGTTGTTGTTTTGATGTGTTACCTCAGCCTTATGACATTTGTATTAACATTTAGAAAATAATGAGCATCTTATTATCTGTACAGTTTGATACTCTGGTTTGTTTTGACTCATAATTGTGGGTGTGTGTTTTTTAAATACCGTACTCTTTATAATTATTTCTCTGTTGTTGACTGTCTAGTTTCTTTCTGGTTTTCCAGCATTTTAAATAATGTTGTGATAAATATCTGTTCATAAATCTTTTGCCAAATTTCAGATTATTCTTATAGTGGTTTTTGTAAGATTTTAAGTGAGAAGGATTTAAATATACACTTGTATACTCCCTTAAATACATCTATTATCTTGCTCTCTTGTAGCAGTAATTTAGCAAGTCAAACACATAAGAGATTGAAATTTTTGTCAAGTAAATTCCATTTTTTCATTTTCTTCTGGTAGGATCTTAGAAATGAAGTTGAAAAATTACGCAATGAAGTGAATGAAAGAGAGAAAGCAATGGAAAATCGTTACAAGAGTCTTCTGAGTGAAAGCAATAAAAAATTGCACAATCAAGAGCAAGTGATCAAACATCTAACAGAAAGTACCAATCAGAAGGACGTGTTGCTTCAGGTACTGTAACTTTTGTATTTAAATTTTTTAATTTGGCATGGGTTGATTTTTTTAAAAAATAATTCTTTTGCAGAAATATTTATGATTACAGTAATCATTGCTATGTTTCAGAATACTTTAGAGCTTTAATTATGTCATTTGGGCTTCAGCCACCAGGGAGGTAAGTGTGGTGAAACAGAAACTCAGAGAAGGGAAGAAACATATCCTGGGTCATATGACGACTAAATAGCAGAGCCTGGATTCACACTCTGGCTTGTTTTGCCCTAGTGCTCAGGCCACTTCACTGAGGTTCTTCTACTGCAAATACTTCCTGTTACTTATTTATACCATGCTCTTTCATTCCCCTGTACTTTTTCTCTAACTGTTCCTTTTTCTTTAGGAGTACCCTTCTTGTTTGATCATGTCGTGAGTTTTTGAAATTCACCTCAGACTTACAGATAACCATGATGGAGTAAACATAGGCATTTAACTCTGCTTCCTACAGAAACCTCATTAAAATAACAATGAAAGAATAAAAAGGTATAAACCCACAGGGACTAACTAGGAGAATAGAAGCAGGTATAATAGCAAGTGTGAGTTGTCAACAGAATTTTGGATAAGTGTGGCTTGTAGACGAAAGAGGTAAAAAGAAAAAAACAAAGAAAAAAAAATTTGGCTAAGTGGATGGGCAAGTGTTAAGGGCATAGGATTCAGCTTTCTCCACACAGCTACATGCCTTTGGGACAAAAAGCCAACAAGAAGCAAGCTGGTTTATGCTGCAGAACCCCAGAAAGGCATAGCATGCATTGGCTATACCTGGTAACTTTAAAAATGGGAGACTGGCTGTAATTCTAAGCAGTTAGAGGTGACACTCTCCTCACCAGCAGGAGATCTCTGGAGACCTTAAACCAGAGAATCTCTGGCCATGGGGTCACCAGATGTAACTGAAAGCAGGAGTGACCACTTAAGTGAAAACAGGGAGGGAGTGGAAGTGTGCATGCCCAGCAGTGAGATGCCTCAGAGAGGAGAAACAACTGAAAAATGCTGACAATTGGGGGTCCTCCAGCAAAATACCTGGGCCTCTACCTGCGCACCTCACTGTGAGGCCACCTTTGACAGGTCCTTTCCACACTCTCAGAGCTGCTGAGCACTTCTAACCCCTAAAAGTAGGTGGATGGCCTGAGTTTATCAAATAGGAGAAAAGAATTTAGGAGGAAAGATGGCCTGGCGTGGTGGCTCACGCCTGAAATTCCAGCACTTTGGGAGGCTGAGGTGGGCGGATAACCCGAGGTCGGGAGTTTGAGACCAGCCTGACCAACATGGAGAAACTCCGTCTCTACTAAAAATACAGAATTAGCCAGGTGTGGTGGTGCATGCCTGTAATCCCAGCTACTCGGGAGGCTGAGGCAGGAGAATCGCTTGAACCCGGGAGGCAGAGGTTGCGGTGAGCCGAGATTGTGCCACTGCACTCCAGCTTGGGCAACAAGAGTGAAACTCCTTCTCAAAAAAAAAAAAAAAGGAAAGACAAAGACAAAGGCCAAACAGAACAGAGGTACATAGAGGAAATAGAAACATGCAAGGAGGAGAAAACAAGACAGCTTTTAAAAATCCAAACATTTCAGGGCTATAACTCCTTTGGATAAGGCTCTGACAAAAAAGATATTTGGAAAAGAAGACCTATTGGAATTTGAAAGTAGGACTGCAAATATAAAAAAGTTTAAAAGAAGAGTAAGAAAAGTTGGAAGATAAAGTTGAGTAAGTCTTTCAGAAAATAGAACTAAACAAATAAAAAGATGAGAAAATGGGAGAGAAAATTAAGAAAACTAGAGGCTTGATACAAGAGGTCCAAAATATGACTAATAGGAGTTCCAGAAAGACAGGCAAAACAGAGGAAAGGAAGTTTTCAAAGTAATAGGAGAAAATTCCCCAGAATGGAAGGACAACTATTTCTACATTGAAAGGGCCTGCTATGTTTCTAGCACAAAGAATGAGAAAAGACCCATACCCCATGGTGTGTCATTTTGAAATTTTAGAACAGAGGGATAAAGAGAGGACCTGAAAGGCTTCCACAGAGAGGAGAATACAGGTCACATACAAAGAACCCACACTTGGAATGACATCGGAATTCTCAGCAGCAACATTGGAAACCAGAAGATGGAAGAGCAATGCTTTCAGATTTGGAGGAAAAGTGATTTCCAATTCAGCGTTCTGTACTCAGCCAAGCTGTCAGCAAGTGTGAGGGCAGAATAAAGGCATTTTCAGACATTTGGTGCCTACAGTCATTTGCCTCCTATGTACTCTTGCTGGAAGCTCTCGTAGGATGATTCCATATGTATAAAGGAATCACCAAATGGGAGAGAATAACCGAAAGAGAGAGACATGGGTTCCACAAAGTAGGGAATTCACATGGCATGTGGTGAAGGGAAGTCCTGGGATGAGAGCTGAGCTGCTTAGGTAGAAAGCCCAGATTTGAACTCTTGAGGAGGACTTCAGTTGGGATTTCTCTAAGAAACTAAAATGCAGATGGTCAATTTTTTGATGTGTGATCACGGAACACCATATGGCTAAGTTATGAGCAGTATCTGCGTGGCTATAATGTAAATGCAGAATATTGATTTAACTGAAATTGGGATATTATTAGGAAAAGGGTTGAGGGACAGAGGATGTAAGAGCTGAATCCTTAAACTTCTATGGCAGGAGCCAGTAGGTAGAATCTAAACTTAAGAAACCAAGCCATGTAAGAATAGGAATGTAATATAGAAACATGGAGGTATATAGCAGAAGAAATAGCTAAAGAGTTGCAAGTTGTTTTTCTCTGGGAGTGGGATTTGAGAGGTGAGAAGAGAGGAGAGGGAGAGGACACCATTTTCCATTTAAGCCTGTAGTACTATTTGACTGTTAAACTATGTATATCTATAATTGGACTTTAGAAAAATGAAAATGAATAGTGTAATTTAAGCACAACTGTATTGTGACAATTCTAGAAAGTCAGTATTGGTTATTTGATTCCTAGTTCTTTCTATTACAGTTCAATGGGTTTTTATAAAGAATTGCCTTAATTTTTTTGTTTGTGTTCACCTAATTTCTTATAAAAATTTGAAAGGATAAATTAATTCTGCTAGGTGCTTAGGAATAAGATGTGGTTCTTACCCTTAATATTTGACAAGAGTGGACAGAATCCTAGTTCAGGAGTTACTAGGATTTTAAATAGTTAGGAATAGATTCCATGCAGAAGACTAGAGATATGGTCTCCGGTCCTGTTGTGTTGTTGAATGTTCGATCTTCTGAAGGGTTCAGCCAGTGGAATCATATCATGTGTGATCATGAAGGAGCCTTTCACATGTGACCAGACCCTAAAGCAGTATTTGCAGTCTTGGCTTTTTTTCCTGGAAGTCAGATCTCCTTTTGGATATGGACAGTTCAAGTTTTATCAAATTTGTAACATTTCAAGAGAGACTAAGACTTCGTTGGGTTTTGATGTGCAAGTCTTGTAATCATCCCCATAAGCCTGCAGGACTGGAAGCAGATCGCACCCTGAGCAGGATGAACCTAGGTTTGGAACCAGGTCTGTTGGGTCAGAGCCTGGCTTTGTCCTCCACACCCACTGGAAGGTAGTCACAGTGGTGGTGAGCGAGGACGGTTTGTAGCGACTGCGACCATCCTTGGCTCTGCTTTGCTGGCATTCAGCTATTCTGCAAGTTGTAATAGCATAGAAATGGAGTTGCATGACAGTTTTGTAATTGCCTAGTATTTTGGAATGATGAAAATTATGTAGGGGATATAGGAGTATTATGAAAAAATAAAATATTTTTCCTTAAGGAGTTTGGGACAGTTTCTTAATATTTTTTTTCTTGATGACAATTTCCTTAGAATTTGTTTTATTTCATTAGAAATTCAATGAAAAAGATTTGGAAGTAATACAGCAGAACTGCTATTTAATGGCTGCAGAGGATCTTGAGCTCAGGAGTGAAGGCTTAATAACAGAAAAGTGCTCTTCTCAACAGCCACCAGGCAGCAAAACCATCTTCTCTAAGGTAAGCTTGACTGAAATTGGACATTCACATGCGAATGGATTCATACACTTTTTTGAAACATATTTGATAACTCCTTTGATCTAGAGATCCTCAAATGCCTTCTTGTTGGTAACTGAGCCTACAACAGGTAGGAGGAGGAGTTCTTAGCCTACCACGTTACAGATTAATATCCTTCAATGAATATTAGTCTTTGCACTGCACACGAAACTGAGAAAGCATAGCTTGTTAAACCAGAAGCCTCATTTGCTCTATCAGGGCTCACCTCTTAAGAACTATGTAATCCCAAGTGTTTCGTAAGTGTTCCTATTTAAATTCACGCAGAAAATGGCACAGCAGGCCCTTCCTTATCTGGCCCCAAATCAAGTTTCCAATCTCATTTTCTTTCGTCGCCAGCAATAGCAAATTTCTTATAGATTCCTGAAAACACCATGTTTGTACCTCTCTGTGCCTTTGTGTATGTAGTTCCATCTGCCTGGACTGATTTTTCCCTCCTTGTTTACATGCTAACTCCTGAACATCTCTGCAGGTGCCATCTTAGTGTCACCTTCTCTCTGGAGTCTTTCCTGATCCTGCTTAGTAGTGTGGTCCCCCGTTTTCCTCTGGTTCACAGCACTTTACACACCCCTCTATCATGGCACTTACTCTGTTTGTTGGAGTTACACGATCCACCTTTCCGCTTCCTCTCACCTGGGCTCCTGTACAGCACCATGGGCAGGCACTTCTGGGGTAGGGAACTGGCACATGTTCCGAATCCCAGTGTTCAGCCTGTTGCCTGGCTGTGTAAATATTTGTTGAGTGAATGAATGAATAATGCAACCAGGCAGCCAGATGTGGGAAAGGAAAAGAATTAACTGTAGGCCAGGTTTTTTTTTTTTTTTTTTTTTAAAAGAAAAACCTGGCTTAAATTAAGTTCATACATTTGGAAGATAGAGAACTCTTATGCAAATTAGTTTTCTGATGAATGGCTCTGATTGTGACTTGCAGGTTTGTGAAGGGTGATTCTCAAAATAATTAACAACTGGTACAACATGGGCATCAGCCTTCAGAAAAGACTCGGGCACTAGAGCTGGAGTGGGGACCTGGAGGCCTGCTCCTGTGCCAGGCACCAACCCTGTAGTTTAAAAACTACTAGGGACCTCATGGGGAGGTCCCTAGGGAGGGACCAGGGCAGCTAGGGTGGTTGGAGTGGATGGACCAGGGTTTATTTTCCAACTGGTGTGGAAGTATTTCAGTATATTAGCAACCAATGCTAGCCACTGTGCTGTGTATCTGCTCAGTATCAGAGCTTGTCCTGGGGGTATCATTGGCTGAACAGTTGGAGCTGTTTCTTAATTCTGACTGTTTGTGTATTTGCATTTTGCTGTTTCTCTTGAGAGCGTCAGCATGGACTTATGGAGCCCTTGGGCTGGGCCAGCAATCTGGAGACCTGGATTTCTCTCTGTCGACTCTGTCATTTCACTTACGTAACCTGGGGCAAGTCTTATAACTAAATCTCAGAGGGCTAATATTTTGTGATTCTAACTAGCATTTAGTTAGATTTTGACCAACTTTAGTTGGCTAAGATTCACATTAACCTGTAATATAAGGCATAGTCTTTTTCACACCAAGATAGCAGCTCATCAGGTTATTTTAGTTGGAAATATCTTCATTACTTTGAATATATTAAGTTAGTTAAACTAAAATGCTATTTTGAATCACATTTTAGTCATGTAAAAAGTATCTCCTGTAATCCCAGCACTTTGGGAGGCCGAGGCAGGTGGATCACAAGGTCAAGAGATCGAGACCACCCTGGCCAATATGGTGAAACCCCGTCTCTACTAAAAATACAAAAATTAGCTGGGTGTGGTGGCACATGCCTGTAATCCCAGCTACTTAGGAGCCTGAGGCAGGAGAATTGCTTGAACCCCGGAGGCGGAGGTTGCAGTGAGCTGAGATCGTGCCACTGCACTCCAGCCTGGCAACAGAGCAAGACTCCTCTCAAAAAAAAAAAAAAAAAAAAAGTATCTAAATGTTGAACAAAATGTTTATAGATTTATTGGACAGGTTGGGTATTTTAAAATCTAATTTCAGTTTTATCATTTTGTTTTTAGTTTTTTTGTGCTGGGTGATGTACTTCACATGACCACAAATGTAAAGTTACTAGCTGGGCATTTTGGTAATATTCAGATCCCGGTGATATTTAAATAACTGTGTCAGATACCTAAGTATTTTAGCAAAGGCTTTAATAGTGTTCTACAAGATGAATTGCAAATTGTAGATAGAGATTTACTGGCCAGGCATCATAGCTCACACCTGTAATCCTAGCATTGTGGGAGGCTGAGACAGGAGGATTGCTTGAGGCCAGGAGTTGGAGACCAGTCTGAGCAACATACTGAGACCCCAGTATCTACAAAAAAAAAAAAAATATTAAAATTAGGTTGGCACAGTGGTGCACGCCTATAGTCCCAGCTACTCAAGAGGATTGCTTGAGCCCAGGAATTTGAGGCTGGAGTGAACTATGATTGTGCCACTGCACTCCAGCCTGGGTCACAGAGTGAGCCCCAGTCTCTTTATTTATTTATTTATTTTTTGAGACAGAGTCTTGCTCTGTTACCCAGGCTGGAGTGCAGTGCCATGACCTTGGCACACTGCAACCTCCGCCTCCTGGGTTCAAGTGATTCTCCCACCCCAGCCTCCCAAGTATCTAGGATTCTACGCATGTGCCACCATGCCTGGCTAATTTTTTTGTAGTTTTGGTAGAGACAGGGTTTCACCACGTTGGCCAGGCTGGTCTCAAACTTCTGACCTCAAATGATCCAACTGCCTCATCCTCCCAAATTGCTGGGATTACAGGCATGAGCCACTGCACCTGGCTGAGACCCAGTCTCTTTAAAAAAACAAAACAACAGCAACAAAGGAATTTTAAGTGATCACTTAAGAATTGTAAATTTCTGGTGTCACTTTAAGGAATCCCAACTGTTGCAGCCTTACAGTCGTACCCCCGACTCCCCCGGCCCCAAGAAAGGTGTGCTTTTCAGATCGTAGTTCTTTCTTTGTAGAAAATGTGAATTTATTCTGCTGTGCCCTTGGCTATTTTGTGTTGGTTTAGAATTTATCCTCTGCCCATTTCTAGAAAGAACTTGAGGCTATGATCATGTCTCCATAGACTCTGGGCAGTCTGTTTTCCTTCTAATCATTGTGTGATCCTGAGAATCAATGCTAGATGACTAGGGAATTGAAGAATAGAGAGTGAAACACACTGACCATATTTAACTAACTACAGCCGGAGATTCATGGCTTGGTTATTGGCATGGTTGGGACATCGCTGCTGAATTTTCAGGGTATTAAAATTAATGTCTTTGTTGCAGGGCTGTGACATAGCTACTGAAATAGACACCATCTATCTACCAGGCCTCTAAATTGCCTTGATTACCAAGAAGTGATCCATTAAGCTTTCTCCTTACATGTCTGCTGTCTCTTTAGATGTGGTCTGCACATTACATGTGTTTCCTTCAAGTCATTAAGGAAACTATGGTAAAGTAGAAAATGCCCGGCTTTGGTGTCAGAATGCCAGTCCTACTACTCACTAGCTCTGTGATCTTGGGCAACTCACTTAATGCCTCTGAAACTCACTTTCCTAATCTGTGAAGTGGGCAATTACATGCCTGCCTTTTGAGAGGATTAGAAATAATGGAAGTGGATTAGTTAAGATTCTTTTGGTTGCAAGCCATAGAACCCCACATTGGGTAGTTTGAGCACAACCACCATGAAAGGGAATATTGACTGGGAGCAGACTTGAGGCTGTCACAAATGCCAGGCAAGACTTGAACAGCCACACTTTGGGGAGGGTGAAGCTGGGGCAGCACCATGGACCTCATCTGAGTCCCAGACTCTAGGGCTCTGTCGTTGACATGACACAGACCCAGAGACTTCCAGCTGTCTGGTGTCTTGGTTTAAATCTCTCAGTTCCTGGGAGAGAACTGTACTAGTTTAGCAAGTGGGCCGAGGGCCTGGCTCACAAAGGAGAGGAGTCTTCCTGGGACTCACCCCTGTGTTTTAGGGACAGTTCTCAGGTGAGGCAGGGGAATGCGGTGAGCGGGGTGGTCACTCCAAGGGCTGTGGAGAACACGTCGCAGAGCCAGACACACAGCAGATCTGTGGCAGTGATGAGTCTTCTCTGCACTGAGAGGCCTCCTGTCTGGGTTGCTTTTTGTTTGGAGGGGCTGGGTGGAGAGGGGAGAGTGGGGGTTGGTTGCTGTTGCTGAGCAGGTGCTTCTCATGACTCCCCTTTGGGCAGCCTGGCCGCCTGCCTGTGTGCCGAGGAGATCTACTGGTTTGTCAGCTCTGCTGAGGGAGCCAAATGACTTCATTCTAATGGGGCATGATTCAACGCAGGGGAATAGGTGATTGATGAAATGGGACCCAAATGGCTTCAAAGAGTTCATTTATTTAACATGGGTAAGCAATTTGCTTCTAGGAAGACTTTGACTCAGTCTGACTTCCATTATGCAAAATATCCCCAGGAATCTCTTCTCTTAAGATTCATATCGGTCTCTGAGTTCCCCTCTTACCTACTTAATCATCAGTTTAGCAAGTATTTGTGGCAGCGTTTGATTTGTGCCAGACACTGTGCCTGGCTCAGGACACTGCTGCTTGCCAGGAGCCCTCAGCCTTGTAAACAGGTGGCTGACACGCCAGCTCTGGGGGCTGGAGGAGGGCATCTTTATCAGTCAAAGAAGGGCTTGCTGATGAGGTTTGGCCGGAGCAGATCCTGTGAAGTGCCCTGGAGTGTGCCAGTGGATAGTGGTAAATGACAGCACTGGGTCTCAGGGGATAGGCATTCCCCCTGGGACTCTGATGGAGGGATTTCCCAGTTCCACTGAGTTGGAAGGGTAGGAGGAAGGGAGGAGGGCAGGAGCTGAGGAGAATGGTGGCCTGAAAATTCCGAGGAATCTTTGGAATAGCTGCCAGAAAGAAGAAAAGAGCCTGAACTGATATCCAGGCCCTGGTGTGGCAGGCAGTGGGCTGTCCTCCTCTAGGACTAAGAGCCAGCCTGCAGAGGTCCTGTTAAGATACTGGGTCCCACATACATACATTCCTGGAGTCTCTGTGCCATCCATCAGAAATCCATATTTATTGTTTTTTTTCCCCAACCTTTCTTGGTTGGCTTTGAAGTTACATACTTAAGCACAAATTCTGACTGTAGCAGTTACTAGCTTAGTGGACTCAAACAAGTTACTTCTGCTCTCAGAGAGTCAGTTTCATCATCTGAAAAATGGGAAGTTCCCTGGAATGCTGTGGCAACTAGAGATGATATGTTGGTAGCTAGTATAGCACTTGGAGCATAAGAATAATAGTAACAGCTGACATATATCAAGTGTTTGCCTCAAGCCGGGCATCATTCTGAGAACTTTGTCTGGATTAACTCATTTAATCTCTTTAACGCTCCAGGACATATGTAGAATTACTACCACTACTTAGAGGTAAGAATATTGACATACAGGCCCGGCACGGTGGCTCACGCCTGTAATCCCAGCACTTTGGGAGGCCCAGGTGGGCGGATTGCCTGAGCTCAGGAGTTCGCAACCATCCTGGGCAACACGGTGAAACCCCGTCTCTACTAAAATACAAAAAATTAGCCGAGTGTGGCGGTGTGCGCCTGTGGTCCCAACTACTTGGGAGGCTAAGGCAGGAGAATTGCTTGAACCTGGGAGGTGGAGGTTGCATTGAGCAGAGAGTGCGTCACTGCACTCTAGCCTGGGAGACAGAGAGAGACTCCATCTCAAAAAAAAAAAAAGAAAAAAAAAAAAAAGAAAACAATATTGACATACAGAGAAGTTGAGTAACTTGTTCAAGGTCACATGGTTCATAAAGTCACACACTCTTAATCATCACTGCCTCTCATGTTAGGTGCTCAAGAAACAATAGATTTTCTTATTTTGTCACTGGCTTTTCTTATTTTATTTGGCTGACCTTTATGTGGCTGACAGTGATGATGTTACCCTTGCCAAGCACCCAGATGCATTATATTTAAGGCATCTATTATGGGGCAGTGATGGGTGGGCTGAAGAGCATGGGCCTTGAAGCCCACACCTGGCCTCACCATCCTGACCTTGACCATGAACAGCCTTGTGTGTCACAGTTTCCTCATCTCTAAAATGGGGAGTGTAGTAACACGTAAGCACATTGGGTCATTGTGAAGATTAAATGAGAAAATGCCTGGAAAGCACTTAGCATGGTGGCTGACACACTGGCCCTGGAGAGCCTCCTTGGTTTTCATGTCCTCTTTAAATCCTCCCCACTCTTCTCTGAGGTCCTCTGGCTGCACACGTGGTTGTGTGCAGGTGGGAGCTGAGAGAATCCCACATGATACTGTTGTTGTGTACAAAAGGCATTTGGGAACTCCTTGTGCCAGTGACATGTGGCATGATTTACAAAAGGGCCTGACATTTCCAGCAGTCTGGATGACTAACTTATCATGACCAGACTGGTGGTTTAGCATTTAAAAGCTTTAATTGGCAGGTGGTGCCTTGGCCTTGTTTTGTCAGGATTGGAAGCACAACAGTATTCTCCTGGATCAGGGCTTCTTCACCTTTCTTGCCCTCTGCATCCTTTTGGCAATCTACTGAAGCCAGAGACCCCTATCTTGAAAAAATGTTTAAATGCATACAATATATGTGTAGGATACTAAAGGAAACCAAATATTTTGAAATTAGGTTATCAAAATATAAAAAAATTATGCTATGGAAATGATGCTTCTTTATTAATATGTTAAATAGTAAGATATGGTGGTGAGTATAAGTAACTGCCGTAGCTATGAAGTAGTGATAAGAATGAATATTTTGAGATATCTGCAACATATACAAAATAACTATTTCTTTTGATGACAAAGTCAAGGTAATACTACTAGTATTACTATGGTTTGTAGCAATAGCAGTATTCCTTCAATTCATAATTGAAGGTAATGCTAAATTTCAGTTAGAGGTTAGTGGAAATAGGGATGTAATTTTTTTCCCTTGCTCATATTCCTACAGCCTGTAAATTTTAATCAAGTTGAAAACCCCTGTCGTAGGTGGTATGTCTTAGCTTTAGGAGAAAACACAAGTCAATATAAACTACAAAGGCTGTTTGCAGCCCCAATTTCTTGACGGACTGAACATCCGCCTCCAGCATTTAGAGAGCATTTAGTTGGTGCTAGGCATCATGCTGGATATTCTGTATGCATTAACTTTATTTTAACATTTTTTCTTATTTTGAAATAGTTTTAAATTTGTAGAAAAATACAAAAATAAAGGATTGTATTTTTTTCTGAGCCTTTTGAGAGAAAGTTGCCAATGTGAAGCCTTGTCCCCTCTGAATGTGCTAGTGTATATTTCTTGTAAACAGGAACATTCTCCTGTATAACCTCAGCCCAGCCACTACAACCAGGAAATTAGCCTGGACTGATTTCCTTCATTGCTACCTTCTAATCCTCAGACTCATTTGAATTTCATCAGTTGTCTCAATAACACCCTTTGTAGTGAAAGGATCCTATTCAGGATCATGCCTTGCATTTAATAGTCTTGATTCTTTAGTCTTTAGTTTGGAACAGTTCTAAAATCTTTCCTTGACTTTCATAACCTTGACACTTTTGAAGTGCCTGGGCCAGTTATACCATAGAATGTCCCTTCAGTTTGGGTTGTTTGTCTGGTGTTTTCTTGCTGATTAGATTCAGTTTATGCATCTTTGGCAGGAATATCACAGTAGCGATGCTATGTTCTTCTCATTGTGTCCTGTCTGATGGTACACAGTTGGATTTGCCCCATTACTGGCCATGCTAACTTTGATAACTTTATCAAGATAGTGTCTGCCAGGTGTCTTGACTGTCTAGTTATGCTTTTTTCCCTTTGTATTTAATAAGTATTTTGGGGGAGGTGTTTTGAGTCTATGTAAACATCTTGACTTTTACCTACTAGTTTTAGCATCCTTTTGTGTTTCTTGGCTGAATTATTTATTACTGTGATGGTTGGCGAAGGGTGATTTTTCTAATTCCATTATTCTTTTTACATTTATTAGTCATCATCATTTTTCTATAAAGAAAAACCTACTCTTTTTCCCTCCTATTCATATCAATATGGATTTATGAATTCCTGTTTTATTTGGTGGGTTATAATCTGTTACTATCAGTTATTATCAGTGGGTTATAAACCATTACTCATTATTTCAATGCTCAAATCATCCCAGATTTGGCTTGTGGGAGCCTTTCCAAACTGGGTCTGTGTGTCCTTTTGACAACATTCCATCATTATTTAAGCATTTCTTTAAAAATTTTTTCAGCTTTGAGTTATAATTGACAAATTAAAATTGCATGTATTTAAGGTACACTAGATATTTGGATATATATATACATTGTGAAATGATCACCATAATCAAATTAATTGGCATATCGATCATCTCACATTGTTACCTTTTTTTGTGTGATGAAAAAACCTAAAATCTACCCTCCTGGCACATTTCAAGTGTAAAATACAGTATTTTTTGTTTGTTTGTTTGTTATTTCAGGGTCTTGCTCTGTTGCCCAGGCTTCAGTGCAGTGGTATGATCCTAGCTCATTGCAGTCTCAAACTTCTGGGCTCAAGGGATCCTCCTGTCTTAGCCTCCCAAATAGCTGGGACTATAGGTGCATGCCACCATATCCAGCGAATGTTTTTATCTTTTACTTTTTTGTAGAGGCGGGGGTCTCACTATGTTGCCCAGGCTGGTCTTGAACTCCGGGCCTCAAGTGATTTTCCCGCCTTGGCCTCCCACAGAGCTGGGATTATAGGTGTGAGCCGCTGTGCCTGGCCAGGGTATTGTTACATATAGTCATCATGCTGTATATTACATCTCTGGAATTTATTCATCTTGCGTAACTAAAACTTTGTTCCCTTTCACCAACATCTCCCATATCCTCATCCCTCCAGCCCCTGGCAACCACTGTTCTATAAGCACTTCCTCATTTTTTGGCACAATAAAATGCTATACACATATCTTTTATTGTTCCTGATTTTCCTTGTCCTAATACGGGAATCAGCCATTTCTCCAGGTATCCCTGGTTCCTTACAGTATGCAATTTATCTTTCATCTGCTCTGTAACTCCATAAGGCAGTGGTAATTGTCCACCAGTTTTACAGGTGAGAATACCAAGGCTCCTAGTAAGTAACTTCCCAGAGTCTCAGAACTGGTAGGTGGCAGAACCAAATTTTGAACATTAAAAAATTTCACATTTGTGAATGTGAATTCATAAAATGACATCCACATTTCATAAATGAGGAGACTGAAGCTCATAGAGTTTTGTTAAGCTACTTACCCAAGATCATACCTCCAGTAAGTGGCAGAGATCCAACTCAGATTTCTTCATCATCACTGTGTTCTGGATGCCTCCCAAGAATACCTCAGTTGACCTCTTCTACTTGACTGTAACTAAATCCCTAGTCCCCAGTACTTGCCAGGTTTTGGTTTGTGAATTTCTCTTCTTTGGAGCAACAGTGAATATGGAAAGATATTTTTTTTGTAGTGTTTTAAAAACGATGAACAGCAGCTCTGAGGGATGACAGACTCATGATGGGCTAATCCCATAGCTGGTGCGTCTTCCTAGCAGCTGTTGGAAGCAGTATTGGAAGCTCAGCTCTCTGCTTTGTTCTGGGATGAGTGATGGGCAGTCATTCCCCACTCCTCCTGAAGGTGGTGCTCTCTGACTGTGGCCTGAGCCAGAGCCAGGCACAGGGCCTCTCTCACCTTCGTTTGATTTTAAAAACTGGGACTAGCTACATATGTTTGCATAATATAAGGATGTACTCTTTCAAAATTCTTTCCTTAATGTCAAATGCCCATTGTCATTTCCAGGAAAAGAAACAATCATCAGACTATGAAGAGCTGATTCAGGTCTTAAAGAAAGAGCAGGACATCTATACCCATCTGGTCAAATCTCTGCAGGAATCAGACAGGTAAGCGTTTCTGTCTGGACATCACACATGTGAATGCGAACACACACACATGCACGCGCATACACGCACACACCCTTTCAATCAGTGCTGATCTCTAAGGCAGCAAAGCCCTGCCAGTTTGCTTATGGAGCTTATAAAGCTTGGGTGGCGACTGCCCTATTTGATAGTCACATATACCTGTTTTCTATCAAGAATTGTCTGATTTTTGGCAACAAAATTGATTACTCAGGTTTTAAAATCATGATTACTCAGGTTTTAAAAATACTTTATTATATATTTAGAAAGTGCTTCTATGTGTATTATCTCATATGATCCTCACAGCCTTTCTGTGAAGTAATAATAATGCTATCCCTGTGTTTTCTATAAGGTCATGAAAACTAAGATAGGGTAAGTGACTTGCTCAAAGTCACACAGATGTCAAGTGACAGAACCCTGGGACTCAAGCAAGTCTCCCTATCTCTGCAGAATTGCTGAAATGAGTTGCTGCCAGCAAGGTGTGGTGGGGAGAGCCAACTCTAGGATAGAGGCCTTGTTCTAGCCCTGACTCTCCCACTTTCTAGCTCTGTGTCCACAGGCAAGTGCTGCTCTGGGCCTCTGTCCATGTGTCTGTACACACAGGGTTGGCCTCAGGGACTTCTCAGAATTGAGAAGTCCTTTTTTTTTTTTTTTTTGAGATGGAGTCTTGCTCTGTTGCCCAGGCTGGAGTGCAGTGGCAGGATCTCGGCTCACTGCAACCTCCGCCTCCCGGGTTCAAGCGATTCTCCTGCCTCAGCCTCCCAAGTAGTTGGGACTACAGGCACATACCACCACGCCCGGCTAATTTTTTGCATTTTTAGTAGAGATGGTGTTTCACCATGTTAGCCAGGATGGTCTTGATCTCCTGACCTCAGGATCCACCCACCTCCGCCTCCCAAAGTGCTGGGATTACAAGTGTTGGTCACCTCTCTCTACACAGTGGGATGGGTACAGCTGAAAGGATATGATGTCTGGGATTCATTTCCAAACAGTGCAGAAGCTGAGGACGTGGGTGGGAATATCAAAAGAACAAGATTGGCCCTGGCTCTCTGATTGTTGGGGCTGGGGTATGTGTAGATGGGGGAGAGGTTCATTACAGTAGTTTTTTTTTTTTCCTTTTGTATATGTCTAAAATTTTCTATAATGAAAAGTTAAAAAAGAATCACCCCTCATTTCTCCCTCTCATATGTCCTCTGCTCTTACCATAGTGAGCTCTTTATCGTTCCCTGGGCTGTGTGTTCCTGCCTGTACCTTCACCTGTGTTTCCTACCCTTCTATTCCCAACCTTTCCCCTACTTTGTCTCCTCCCAGTCCTTTAGAATTTAGCTTGAATGTTACATTTGTCAGGCAGCCCAGCTAATCCCCAAAACAGTTGCCTCTCTGTGTTTCTGCCCTGCGTGGGGAGGTCACCTTCTGTAGCCGTCTGTGCCTGCTCTGCCTCCTCACCTGTGTTGGAGCTCCCTCAGGGCAGGGGTCCCACCTTACTGTCTCTGCTCCCCAGGGCCTGGTACAGAGTAGGCATTTGGGAAATGTTCTGTGCAGGAATGCCCCTCCCTGCCATGTTGATCTTCTAAATTATGAGATAATTTCCAGATTTTTTCATAGGAAATGAGTTTAGGGAAAATGAAAACATGCTGCTGAAATTCTGGGAGTAGGCGTCACTCTCTGAAAGTGAGTTTTTTCAAGAAACCTCAGCTGCTGGTCATTTTCACTTGGCAAGTGGTGTTGGGGGAGGTGGGCGGTGGGAGCGAGCAGTGGGGGGCACTGGGGGTTGAGTCGTGTGGAAACTCACAGAGGGAGTGGACACATTTCATTTCAATTGCGCAGCTTCTCTGGGTAGGAGCCAGGTTGATTCTGGGTACTGAGAGGCCTTGTGGGTGGATATGGTTGCTCCTGAGTCTTCTCAGCTTCATGAGGGGCTCCCAAGTTTCACAGGCTCTTTCTTAATGAATGAAAACTTGGATGGGACTGAGGCGGGTCAGGGCTAACTCGGACTAACAAAGACTAACCGGGACTAACAAGGTTTCTTAAAAGGCTTCCTGTTCATCTTCAGACTTGTAATACATTCAGTGGGAGACAGACCTAGGTCCACATCTCAGCTCTGCCACTCAGCAGCCCTGAGCTCTTGGGTAAGTAATTTCTCACCCTGAGCCTCAGTGTGTTTGTGAAATTGAGATTGGCTGGTCTGCCTACTTACCTACCTACTTAGATGTCTACCTGCTTTACAGGGTTGTGTTGAAACTAGAGAGGACACTGTGTAAAGACCTAATACTTCCTGGCATGTAGTAAGCACTCAGTAAATGGTAAGATTTCTTAAGAATAATGACAGCATGAAAAGCTTACATATGTCTCAATATTTCATCATGCATAAACTTAGTTTACAGGAGGTTTTTGAATCCTCAGACCTTGGCATATCCAGAGGGCAGAATGTGGGCTAAGGAAGGTAGAGCTCTCTTCTGTAACTCCAGCACTGTTCACTCTGGAAATTGACAGGAAAGGTGGATGACCCTGAAGACAGATGATGTACTGTGATTAAAACTGGAAAGGGAAGTCAAGAAGGGAGGAAACTCATTGTGAGCAAGAATGTGGCTGATCCTTTCACTTTTACTATTTATTCTTCACAGCAGCACTTAGAAGTTGGTGGATGATCCCCAAATTACAGAAGTGGAAATGTGCATTCTAAGACACCCGGTGTTCCGCAGTGAAGGATTATCAGTGCTTAGGTCGTCTTGGCTCCCAACCCAGGTTCTTGCTGATACACTCCCCATCTTGAGGACTAGCACAGTTTCCCTGTAACTCAGGATTTCTCAGCCTCAGCAGTATGAGGCTTTGAGGCTGGATAATTTTTTTGTCATGAGGGCATGTCCTGTGCTTTGTAAGATGTTTAACAATCCCCGGCCTCTACCATGGGAGGGTCGGCACACCTGATCCTCCCATGGCAGTTGTAACAACCAAAAATGTCTCCAGACATGGCCAAATGTCCCCTGGCGGGTGGGGGCAAAATCATCTCCAGATGATTATCATTGCTGTAACTCATGAAAATCAGCAATCTTGGCTCATAAATATTGTCTTCTGTATGGGAGTTGTTAGAGTATGTGGAAGGAAGGAAATGATGTTTGTTGAGCATCTCATATGTGTTAGCCCCTGTCCTAACGTCTTTCCCATGTAATATCTCATTTATTCCTCAACACAATCGCAAAGCAAAGGTATTATTATTCCCATTTTGCGTGAGGAAATCAGGACTCAGTTAGTTGAACTGGCTTGCCCAGTAGTGGTGGCGTGCTATTTTGAGCTTCGATCTCTCTAACTCCTTGTTTCTGCTCCTGTCTGCCCTGCCCCAGTTCCAGGAAGAGGAAGGTTTTTGTTTTTTTCTGAGTGAAGCACCTTTTGTTCTCCCAACTCCTCACACCTTGAAAAGATTCTCAAGTTGGGAAAACATAAATGACAGACACAGGAGCAGCAGCTGTGTACTTTTCACCCTGTCAGAAAATGGAAGAGGGAGTGAAGCAGTTAGCTTTCCCCAGCCCTAATCGCAGGAGCTTCTCTAAAACAGTCTCTTTTTTTCTCCCTGGTTAAATGCCTCTGCAGCATGACTGCATCCAAGCGAGTGCTGTGCTGTGACACCTCTGTGAGGTTTTTCATCAGCCTTACAAATTGATCATTATGATTGTCTTAAAATGGAACTAGATACAAGTTGCTAGTAGGGCCCTTTCCCTTGCGTGAAGACTGCTTCACAATGAACTGTCCTCAAAGCAGCAAGCATAGAAGAT
The DNA here is from genome assembly GCF_000001405.40 of Homo sapiens. Taxonomy (NCBI): domain Eukaryota; kingdom Metazoa; phylum Chordata; class Mammalia; order Primates; family Hominidae; genus Homo; species Homo sapiens. Next base: position 120,473,564 of record NC_000009.12, on the reverse strand, counting down.
TAGACATAATGGTTTATTTTCCTTCCAATGTGTGTTGATTTATGTGTGCAGTCCGATGGATGGAGCTGGAAGTCTCTGAAGGAGAAGCGGGGCTTCTTTGAGGAGTCTGGCACACATATTTGGAGTAATTGCCTCTAACCATTCGGGGGCTATTGATCCCTTTTGAAAAATCTGATGAAAGCTTATAGGCCCTCTCCCTAGAAAAATCCACAAATTCATTCATTTTTTGCAGATAATTTCATGGCATTGATGGACATTTTTAGGGAACCATAGATGCTAGATGGAGAATGATAGATCTCTTGGTATCTAAAAAAGAAGGCTTTCTGATTTGTTAATGTGTTTCAGTAGTCTTAAAGATGTTCATATACTTTGACCCAGTAATTGCATTGCTGGGAATCTTTCTTAAGAAAATAACCTGGATGTCAAACAAGGCTTTAAGCACAGAGATGGACAGTGAAGCATTATTTATGCCATTCAGATGTCAGCTGGGGTCTCCATGTTCTTCTGAGAGCTGGATTTAACTGGTTCTGATCTCTGCCATTTCCACATCAGTAGGAGTCCAAAGCTGTTCTTACGGATCTGCACTGTCCAGTTCAGTAGCCACTAGCCATGTGGCTGTTCACATTTAAACTTACTGTAAATTTAACAAAATTAAACGTTCAGTTCCTTGGTACATTAGCTACATTTCAAGTGCTCAATAGACACATTTAGCTAGTGGCTACTGTAGTTGACAGTGAAGATATAGAACATTTCCATCACTGGAGAAAGTTCTATTGGACAGGTTTCCCCAAGATTAATGCACATTCTGGGAGGTGTGCATTTTCTTGGTCTCCTCTGGGTTTTGGGCTTCTAGTCCATGCAAGCTCTCTGTACAGCTTAGCACTACATCTCCTCTCCCAGAATAAAAATCCACTCATACTATGCGTTTCTGAGTGGTTCACCCACCACAGTGGAGTTTTTTTGGCCCCTAATAGATTAGTCCTTTTCTCCTTCTTATTGTTGGCTCACTCTTCCTTTATTTTTTTCTCTTCCCACCTGTCCCCCACCCTTAACTTCCAGTATGACTTTTTTGAGGAGTAACACAGCAGGAGTCCTCTGTCTCCCTTTCTTCTGAAGCCCGGGTGCCCAAGTGACACTCAGGCCCTGGGGAGCCTCCCTTTCTATACCCAAGCCCTCTTGGGGCATTGTTCAGAACAGAGACACATTCTGGAATGGAGAATTACGTTATTTTCACCTAGTTAACGCCTATAGCAAAAATTTGGAAATGACCCAAGTATCCACTAATAGGGGATGAGTTAAAGTAAGTGGTGGGACATTCACCTGGTTTAATATTATATAGTCATTAAAAATGATTTTGCAAATAATTTCTAAAATATAGGGAATTATGAAGTGAGGAATGCATATCAGCATTGTATGTCTAGTATTATTTCAGCCATGTAAATTACGCATAGGGGAAAAGATTGGAAGGAAATACAGTCTGCCGTGTGTTAGTTGGTAGTAGGAGCATGATAATTTTTGTTTTCTTTATACTGTTGTATTTAAAATTCTCTATAGTAAACCTGTATATACTTTTATAACCAGAAAAAAACACAAATGACATAAAAATCACAGGAAGGCTTTCTGGGCTTTGCATCTAAAAGTACAAATAGGTCTGTTTTAAAACTTCTGGTGTCTTGTTTTACCAAGTATCAACAACCTGCAGGCTGAGTTAAACAAGATTTTTGCCCTGCGGAAGCAACTGGAGCAGGATGTGCTTTCATATCAGAATTTGCGGAAGACCTTGGAGGAGCAGATCAGCGAAATTCGGAGGCGGGAAGGTACACACTTTATTCTATGTGCTTCTCTTTGGTTTTTCCACTTGGAGGGCATGGACTGAACTTCAGGAGAGTCCTAAATATTTGTTAAGGGATGAAGCATACACGGGGTTTCGTTTGGAGATCCTTTTTGTGGTGACCATGCTGATGTTAGCCTTCCTAGTAGAAGAGCCCAGTAAGTTGTACTAAATTCTGCAGAAGGTCAGGTGCAGGATTGCTTCCTTGCTGCCTCTACTGTTTTCTGCATCATTTGATACTTCTAGTTCCAAATATCCCTGGGCACTTGCAATCCCCTTTTTTGGGGAATTGCAGCCCTCACTGCCCGGAACATCTGAGTACTGCCTACCACAGCACCTATTGCAGAGAGCCCAAGACTGCACACATATATGGGTGAGATGCTGTTTCAGGTTGAAGCACTGTTTTTAGTGCTGTATATGCATTAAGGGAGGGCTACAAGATGAGGGTCCTGTGGGACTTATGTTTTCTGTATTCATCACAGTAATATTAAGATTTGACCCTCTCCCCTGGTAGAACTTAAGCCCTTTAAAGTTTGGGTTGGTATCTGATTCCCTTCTGTATCTCTAGCCCGGTGCCTGACACATATGGTAAAAATTGGTAATAACAGTGGTAGGTTTGACATCTCTTGAGCATCTGCTGTGTACAAGGCACAGTGCTAGGCACCTAACTTTTCACCTGTGATCCTCACAGTCATCTCATTAGGTAGAGTAAGTATTAAGTTCATTTTACAGATGAAGAAACCAAGACTCAGCTGGGGTTTGACGTGCCCAGATTTCAGCCAGGGCATCTTCCTTTAAGTCTAGCTCTTTCCAGTATTCTGCACTGTATTTTAGATGTATCAGCTCTTACACGTGTGTGTTAAATGAGATACTGTTTGTGGATATGCCTTGCTGAGTACACATATACACACATCTTCCCCCCGCCCCCCACTTCTCCCCTTCCTATTAGAATTGACCTTTGCTGCAAAGGAAACAGATCCTTACATTGGTGACCAGAGATTCTTCTAGCTTAGCACTAGCAGGCACTTTCTGCACTTAGTGTGCTTGTTTCCCATGAGGGTTCTGGGGCCAGTAAAAAAAAAAAAAAATGATCAGACACTTTTATCTCCCTTGAGTTCTACCCTTGAGGGTCACATCTAATTTTTCTGCATTTTCCCCTAAACAGAATCAGTCCCTCATTTAAACTGAAATCACCATTTTCTTGTGCCATTCAGAATGGTCTCCAGGCACAATACTTGATATGCAAATTATAATTCACAGTTGGCCACAGTGAAAACCTACGGCCTAAGATGAAACCATACATTGAAATATCAGCCTGTTGAGAAAGGGAAAATTAATTTTGCTCCAAAGGTGGTGCCTTAAGCCCCCTCTGTGTACTATGCTCCCTTCCGCCCCACCTCCCCCATTCACATTGCTTTGGATGGATTGCACTGGGGTCAGTCTTGGGAGGATCTGTTTCTGATATTCTTTTTCTCCTCCCCCTCCCCACCTTTTTTTTTTCTTTTTTGGGCAGAAGAATCATTTTCACTTTATAGTGATCAAACATCTTATCTAAGTATTTGCCTTGAAGAAAACAATCGGTTTCAAGTGGAACATTTTTCTCAAGAAGAACTTAAGAAAAAGGTATTGACCTATTAATTTTTAGTGCTTTTCTTTTCTTTTTGTTAGATTGTTTGTTGTATCTTGGGTTCCTCATGAGAGGTTAAGATTCTGAAGGCCTCTCTCCTTCCTTCCTGTCCCCTCTGCCTTGTTGTGTGTGCCCCTCCTGTGTCCGTTAACTGGAGTACCTTCCCTCGTGTCTGATAAACTCCCCAGGCCTGAGAACCCAGCCAGGCTCGATCTCCTTGAGGAAAAGCTCTCTGGCCCCTCAGTTTAGAGTTAGCCACTTTTCCGTCAGGCTGTTCACCTCTTTTTTTTGTACCTAATCCAAATCGATGTCCTTATTTTACTGATCTATAATTATCTGGTTATTTGTCTATATTTCCTTGCTAGGCTGTGAACATCTTAAACTTAGTGATTATGTCTTATTTCTGATTTCCCATTGCCTGGCACACATATAGGAACTAATAATAGATGCATTTTGAATGAATAACGTTCCAGGTTTGATCAATAAATCTTTTTTTAAACTGGAAAGATTCTTCAATGTGTTGATCAGTGTCATGGTTAGAGTGGTTTAGTGTTTCAAGGTTCTGAAAAACATTCTTAGAAATAGGAGGTTTGAGACCGCATAGTTTATTATAAAATTATCATGTATGTGTGACTAAGATTCAGTTTCTATCTGGGAATAATTTACATTCTGATAGAAGAGACAGGCATGTAAACAAGTAATTGCAGTATGAGGTGCAAGGTTGCTGTATGGGCAGCTGTACAAGGTGTAGAAATAGCAGAGGAGAGGCTAATTGCCTGTATGGGAGATGGGGGGGTGAGCTCACCTGATCAGGGGAGGCTTCTCAGCAGAAGTGAGACTTGAAGTGGGTTTCGAAGGACGAATTCGGAGTTTGCCCAGGTCTCCACTTTCTCAGCAGAGAAAGAGAAAACAGCCTGTTTAAGGCACAGAACTAAGAAATAGCAAGGAGAATAAAAATTTGGGTATTTTGGGAGGAATAGGGCAAGGAGTATGGAGGCAGCTGTTAGTTTTTAAAGATGAAGAAAATAGAGATGATAATAGCTGCTGCTAGTGCCTACTGGGGCTGTGGTAAGGCCAGGAGGTAGTTCACTTGGTTGGCACTTAGTAAATCAGAATGTCTTGTTCTTCCTACTAGAACCTCCTTGAGGATTCGATCCAATTTTTTTCATATTTTGATATATTGGATATCTACTATGTGTACTCAGGGTGGGAATTTCCATGTTATTTGAAGAGCTAATAATCGCTTCCATCAAGAAGCCTTGGAAAATTACTGGCCATTGGGATTTGAAGCCTGCAGGAAACCAAGGTGGTGTCTGCTTGTTCCTTCTGTGTGTGGCCTCGCAAGACCCAGGCCCAACTCTGCCTGTGTAGAGGCAGCTGCTCTTTCGCACATGGTTAGGCACTTCGGCCATTGTTCTGTCTCATTTAATTCTCCAGACACCCCAGCTGTGGGACTCTGGACAGTTAAATTTCTTTGTATTTCATGTCCTCATTGTAAAATGGAGAGAGACACACTAGTCTGTTCCCCTCCTCAGGATTTTTGCAAGGAATAATAGACTAAAGCTTGTAGGAGTATTTTAGTAGCTGTAAATTGCTTCATAATTGACAACTGTTAATATTACTGGCATTGCCAGATAGGTGTACAAAGGAGGAGGTCACTAGTGAAAAGTAAGACTCTGATACAGTTTCAGAAACTTTCGCCTTGGGAGACTTTTCCTCCAGAGGGTCTCAAGTGCAAGAGAGAGATAGTATTAGCTGTCATTGACTGAGCACTTAGACCGTGCCAGGGACTTTAGTGCACTGTGACCACAATCCTGTTCAGTTCTCGTAGTAACGCTACAGATGAGGAAACTGGGGCTTAGACTGTGCAGTTTGCCCAGGATCTTTTTGCCTTGAAGTGATGGCTCTGGGATTAAAATACTGTTATGCCAGATGTTAAAGCCAGTGTTTTTGTCACTGTGCACAGGGTATCCTGAGGGCTAGAATCAGCCTGATTCCCCGTAACTGTGGTGCCAAAGAGTCGCTTGATAGGGCTGTCTGGGGCTGCGGCCCTGGGAAGCTGAAGTCTCTTGCTGGGTAGACAGCCTTTTCCCTGTTCTTACCTCCTAGGTCAGTGACCTTATACAGCTAGTGAAGGAGCTGTATACAGACAACCAGCACCTGAAGAAAACCATTTTTGATCTCTCCTGCATGGGTTTCCAGGGAAATGGGTTTCCAGATAGACTTGCGTCTACAGAACAAACAGAGGTAAGAAACATTTTTGTTGTCATGTGCTGATTACAAAAATATAACAACCGGCTTGGTATGGTGGCTCACGCCTGTAATCCCAGCACTTTGGGAGGCTGAGGTGGGAGGATCACTTGGGCCCAGGACGTTGAGGCTGCAGTGAGCTGTGATTACACCACTACACTCCAGCCCGGGGGATAGAGCGAGACCCTGTCTCAAAAAAAACCATCAAAACCATATATTCATATATATGTATGTATGTATACAAACCATATGTTTATATATATGTATGTATGTATACAAACCATATATTTATATATATGTATGTATGTATAACAACCCGAAAGGTTTTTCAAGACTGCATCTGTTCCTGGGGAGGTCTCTAACTGAAATTCCCTTTGTTGTGGACTGGGTATTGAGAGCCCCACTAGGCTGGCAGGTCTGTCCACAGGCTTCCTCAGGTTCCAGTCATGTCTCCACGGACACATTGGATATACTGTGATGCTTTGACTCTGGTCCAGCCCTGGGACCTGTGCTGCAGATGGCACACATCTGGATGAGCGATGTGGTCTCAGACGGATCTGGAGAGTTTCCAAACCACCCAGATAATTTGAATAGTGTGGATGCAGCCTTAATGAATACATTAACATTGAAAAACTGACATACACACAACCCACCTGGGAAAAGAGGAAAGAAGCCTTATTCACCTTGATGACTTCTGGGTCTCAGTGCTGATCTTTGTGATTTGTTGGCTCTGATTTTCTGTTTGGGACCTGGGCTGCACAATGGGAGGACCCTGAAGTTGTGATGTTGTTTCCCTCTTCATTCCCTACTGTGGCCTGACTCTCTCGTAGGAAGCACCTTGCTTCATGCGCATGTTAGCATTGTTTCGGAAGACCAGAACTGCTCTCCCATGAAGTGCAGTAGTAGGGCCTTTTTGTACTTGGGTCCCTCACGTATGAAACTGGAATCTTCCTGGTTGGGGTTGTCTTCTGCTCTACCTGGCGTGCCAGGTAAATGGAGAACTCACATTCATTGCAACATCATTTCTTGGGAAAGATTTGTCAGCCTTAAGCTGTCTCCTCCTACCTTCAAAGTGGGAAATGCTCAAAGGTATTTATGCTGCACTCTGGCCATCTTCTTTCTTTGTGAGAGGGAACATTATTGATCTTAGCCTCCAGGACTCTAGATAATTTTGAAAACCAAGAATATCTGCGATCCATTTAGGGAGAAACAAGTATGATTTGCTTCCTCCAAGGCAGCATTCTTCACCAACTTCATTTGAGACACAAATGGTGTGTTTTGTTTGTTCATTTGCCCTTTAAAAAAAAAATCTGTTAAATGTCTCATTATGTCCTTTGGAGAAAAAGGATTTTTCCTTTTCCCACCCTAAGATCTTAATATCAGCCAACTGAGATTTGTTGAGTCTTTTATCATATTGTACTTTGATTTGATGTTCCCCATGAATAGCCTTGTTCTTCATAGCACAGCTCCCCATCATCCCCCAGAATGGGATGGGAAAGGTGGTGTGCCCATTGTAATCTTGGGCTGAGGGAGTAGATGGAGTTAGGGTGAGGGTGAGATGGGAAAGAGTGGAGCCTGCGGTTCTCTGGGAGTATGCGTGGTTCTCCTTTGATGAGAAACAAAGCAGAAACAAACCAGAAATGCATATATTGTCCACAGCATTTCCCAAGCAGCATGACTTGCAAAGTGAGGTCTGGGTATGATTCCTGTTCTGTAGGAGACTATAAATCAGAAAAGGAGGGGGGAAAAGCAAGTATATTTTTATTTTTAAAATTCAGTATTTTTTCTCCAATATTTAATTAACCCATAGCATTACCCCAACATTTGGAAAAGAGAGAGAATAAATTACCCCTAATTCTGTCACTTTAAAACAAGCACACAGTTAATTAACGTTTGGAAGTGTTCCTTCTGTATTTGTGTGTATGAACATGTGGATGCACACATCTCTCCTGGAATGCAGCTTTGTCTCCTGTTCTTGCTAATTGCCATTATGTCATAGCATCTCATTCCTTCTTATGAATGTGCTGAAACTTAACTGCCTCACTGCTGTTGGACATGTAGGTTATTTCTAGTGATTTGCCATTTTTAATTTCCTAATGAATGTCTTTGGACACAAATCTTTTTCTGTGTTTAGAGGTTTTTTTTTTTTTCCTTAGAGTTGATTCCCAGATATGTGTCATTAGTAGGCCAAAGGACAGATAGAAATATGCAATAGGCATAAAATTTATTTTCATTTATTTATTTATTTTCCCCCTCCCCCCAACAACTTTTAATGTGTAAAAGACTGTAAGTAGTTTGAAGGCCCTGATAGAGTTTGTCAGATTTCTTTCTAAGATGCTGGCCCTGGTGTAGAGCCTCACCAGCTGGGTACCACGGTGCTCAGTTCCTGCCTGTTGGTAGTTCACGTAGACACCACCAAACAAACAGAACACCAAGAACAGGTATCCTGTTGTTGCTGTGTACATTTAAAAAAATCTCTAATGAGGTTGCACCTATTTTCTCATATTTATTTGCTGGTTTTTCATGCATTATAGGAGAATTAGGTTGAAAATCGATATAGAGGAGTGATTTCAGCAGAGTGTAGTCAGGACGGTGAGCATAGAAAGCCAGGAACTGTATAACTTGTGGACCTGCCCTCTGATTATAGGCTCTGTGTAAAGAAAGCATGTGGCACAGGTCCTGGCACACTGCAAAGGCTCGAAAGGGTTAGTCACTATTATTATTTACTTATATTGTCATTATTAAGAATGGTTAGAAAACTCACTTTTTTTTGACGTAGAGAGGAAACCTGGACAAAGGGGCATAGTTTAATTGAACTCAAATATTTGTAGGGCTGTCATGTTGACAAGAAATAGACCTTATGTGACTCTAAAGGACAGAAATGGTTGTCAGAAGTAGAAGGTGCTTGTTAAATATTCTGTTAATAGTAAGAACAAACCTGGTTTGTCAGAGCAGATTTCATTTAAAGGAGGAACTTTCTAACAATTTGACTTCATACGTTATTATGAGATTTACATGATTTATAAAGCCCTTGGCATAGTTCTGGCATATGGTATGCACTCAGTAAAACAGCTATTTTAATTTTTTTTTTTGGTATGCTAGTGGCGGAGATGGGACTATAACCCTCTTCTGACTCTGTGTAGAATTGTTTAGCAACACCATAGGGCAGTGCTTCTGAAGTTTAATGTGCACATATATTTCCTGAGAGTCTTGTTAAAATGCAGATTCTTGTCCAGTAAGCCTGGAATGGGGCCAGAGAGTCTGTATTTCTAACAAATTTGGGTGATGATGCTTCTGCTGCCCTAAGGAATACACTTTGAGTAGCAAGACCAGAGGTAATCCTGAAAACGACTTGTTTCTAGGTCTCGTTTTGAAAAAAGTCTTTATTCATTTGTTTATTTGTTCAGCAGTGTTATTGAGCGTCAGGCATTGATGTTAAAACTATGAGCACACATGTCCCCGCCCTGTCTAGGATGTAATCCAGAGAAGCAGAGGGGCAATTGGGGCAGAGTGTGGTGAGGGCTGTGATGGAGTGAATGCAGAGTCTCAAGGGAGTTGTAGACAGGTGCCCAGCCCTCACTTTGGGGATTAAGGGAAGTTCTCCCTGGAGGAGGAAGAGGAGCTGCCAAGCAGATGAAGAAAGAATAGCTCAAGAGGCAGGGGGAGAGGCAGTAGAGTGCAGAGTAACAGCGTGGGGTTTCAAGGAGGGAGTGTTTCATAGTGTCGAACACTCTGAGAAGCAAGAAAGAAAAAAGTACTGAGAACTTCCTATGAGTCCCATGACCTGAGCAGTTTCATTAGAGTGAGGGGGACAGAAGCCAGCTTGCAGGGGATAGAGAAGTGATGAGAAGTGATGAAATGAGGATAGAGCCAGTTGACACTTGGAGGTTGCTTCTTTAGTGGTGGTAGGGCTGGAAGCCGAGCCAGGTATAGTGACTCAGTTCTTTCTGACATCTTAGTTCTGGATCTTTGAAAATGAGTAAATAGCATGCAGCATGAAGTATGTTTCTCTATGTCCATAACATTTAATTTCTTGACCATTCCTGGAAACCGAGAGTTTACTTTTAATCTTGACCACGTCAGCAGAGGTAAAGAGAAATGAAAGTTAATTTTTATTTAACTGTGTCAAGCATTGGCATGGTTGTGGTTCTGGAAATGCAGAATAACTTTGACGCTTTTCATATTTCAACTTGGAATGATGTGTTAACAATACTTTCTTTGCTCAGCTAAGCTTAGAGGAAACCCTTCTCAGATCCGCAGGAGTCTGGGAGGAGCTTCTCCGTGCCTCTTTCCTAACCCCATGTGGATTTCATCTCTCATTAATACAACAAGGTCTTTGGGGACCTTTCCTGGGCAGTAAAGCCACATTGCAGAAGGTGAGAATAGACCCCTTGCAGAAGCTTGGAGAGAGGCAGAGAATACTGAGTGGCCAGAGCTGTTGGGGAATCAGGGGGAGACTTTCGTTGTTGTTGTTGTTTTGTTTTTTGAGATGGAGTCTCCCTCTGTCACCCAGGCTGGAGTGCAGTGGCGCGATCTCAGCTCACTGCAAGCTCCGCCTCCCGGGTTCATGCCAGTCTCCTGTCTCAGCTTCCCAAGTAGCTGGGACTACAGGCGCCCGCCACCATGCCCAGCTAATTTTTTTAATTTTTAGTAGAGACAAGATTTCACCATGTTAGCCAGGATGGTCTCGATCTCCTGACTTCGTGATCTGCCCACCTCAGCCTCCCAAAGTGCTGGGATTACAGGTGTGAGCCACCGTGCCTGGCCCTGTTTTGTTTTGTTTTTTAAAAGATGGGAAAGACTTTCTCCTAATATTTTATTATGAAAAAATTCAGACACAGTGAATACCCATATACTCACCACCTAGGTTCTATTCACATTTCCCACCTGCCCATCATCACTCTGTCTCATCTTTCTAATAAATTTTAATTGAAACTGCAAACATCAGTATACTTCCCCCAAGTACTTCAATGTGCATATCTTCAATAAATGCTTATAGTCAAATGAACTATAGAAATTGTAAGCCTGCGTTCACTAAGTTTTACAAGTGTATGTGCCTGTGTAAGGCAAACCCCTATCAAGAGCCTGCATGTCCTCTGTTGTCCATACCCAGTCCCACCCCAGCTGCTCTTCTGATTTTGTCCCACTATGGGTTAATTTTGCCTAGACCTTCATATAAATGGAGTCATACAGTATATTCTCTTTTGTATATATTCTTTTACTCAGCATTATGTTTTTGAGATTCATCCATGTGGTTAGTGCATCAAGTTTGTTCCTTTTTATTGCCAGGTAGTATTCCATTGCATGAGTGTATTACAGTTGTTTATTCATTCTGCTATTAATGGACACTTGGGTAAAAGGTGATATGGGCATTCATGTACAATTCTTTGTTGGGACACACTTTTTTTTTTTTTTTAATTTGATGAGTACCTATGAGTAGAATTCCTGAGTCATAGGATTACTCGTTTTATAAGAAATTGCCAATACTTTTTCCAAACATTTTATATTCCCACCAACAAGTTTGATAGTTCCAGTTAGTCTTTATCACTCGAGAATGTTATGGTAATGAGGGAAGAAGCCAAAAGACAAAGAGGGTTCCTTACCCATATTTATAGACTTTTATGCTTCAGTAGGTATATTTATGCACGTCTAGTCTGTTTCATGCTGGATAATATAGTAGGATGTGGTTTTTGATCATCACTTCTGTTTGATCCTGATTGCAGATTTGGATATGGTCAGATTGAACATGTTCTGACCCTGGGAAGTTTCTATAAAAACTGAACTCAGTTGCCTTTGTTTTGTTTTTCTTCCACAACAAGGTTGTTCCTCTGAAAGGAAAAACAGAGAGTTGGGCTGGAGAGCTATGGGGATAATTGACTAAATGTAGGGATTCAGAAATAAAACTTGAGCTAGAACCGTAGGTATCTCACACGTACAACATGCCCAACAAATGACCCAATACTCTGTGGTTTCAGCACCTTCGGTGCAGACTCTTTTGTTTTGTTTTTGCTTTCGAGACAGGGTCTTACTCTGTTGCCCAGGCTGGAGTGCAGTGGTGTGATCACGGCTCACTGCAGCCTCGACCTCCCTGGGCTCAGGTGATCCTCCTGCCTCAGTCTCCCGAGTAGCTGGGACTACAGGCATGTACCACCACACCCGGCGAATTTTTGTGTTTTTTGTAGAGACAGGTGTCTCACTCTGTTGCCCTGACTGGTCTTGAACTGCTGGACTCAAGCAATCTGCCTGCCTAGGGCTCCCAAAGTGCTAGGATTACAGGTGTGAGCCACCGCACCTGGCCAGACTCTTTTATTGGTCAGATAAGGTTTGGTATAATTTTGACATAGCTTTGATTGATTCCTTATCCGGGAGTGGCTGGCCACCTTTTCTCTCATTTTTAATTTGGTTAATTCAGGTGCCCCATGACTAGAATTTTTGCTTTTGCGGAGAGCTGAGAACTGGCTTTCTTGAGAACTTTGTACCGTCCATTTTGTAGAACTCAGAAGCTTTGGGATTTACACTTCTTTGAAGCATTAGGGATTTATGCAGTCTTTATAAATAACTGTCCTTCATTTCCAAAAGCATAAAGTTATCGTCACGCAAGCGTGATACTCTTCTCATTAGAGATGAGGAATTTCTGTCAGCAAAATGACAGTGTTGCCAGGACTGTCCATCTCAGATGTGTGACAGTCCAACAAGAAGAGGTTTATGCCTTGCGCTAAATAGAAGTGATGCATAAATTGGGCACACCATAAATTTCATTTATTACTTTCTTGCTGTTTGATATTTTCAATTCCATCAATAGCTATTTTCCAAAATCTTGTTACTTTTATATAATCTGAAAGTGAATTTAGTAAAGGCAGGAGTGGCAGTGGCATAATAGACGGCATTTTTAATTTACGGCAGCTCAGGAAAGGCCATGCAAGGGCAAGGGGCAATGCCTTTAGTTATTTTCTTGGGGAATTTGTCCTTAAATTATGCTTGATCCAGGCAGCTGTGTCTGATTCGCCACAACTAGCAACTCTAACCTTGGTTAATTTTTATTTCATGGCTTTGGCATTTGTTTCTTCCTCTTTTTTGTTTGCTTTTTGTTTTGCATTAAAAAAAAAAAGACATCACTGACTTATTCATACATATTCATGCTGCACACTTTTTTGGGTTGCATTTTCACACCATTCCATGCTCCATGTAGCTTCTGGCTAGCAAGGAGGACGAGGACACGATCAAAATTGGGGAGGATGACGAGATTAATTTCCTGAGTGACCAGCATTTGCAGCAGAGTAATGAGGTAGGAACCTTTCAGTTAACTCCTTATTTCATCTACTCCACTCTATGTCCAAATCAGTCTTCGAGTCTGGAATGAGTCCAGTGGGTTTTCTGTTCATTCTGCCTATATCCTGTACCTTTCATGTGCCAGTGGAAAGCAAAGACTAGGTCTTTTCCTTCTTATAAGTTATAAACTGGGTGACAGAGCCAGTCATGAAACATGAAAACGAGCATAAACTTGCAAATAAAAATGGGCTTGTTATAGTAGAATAGCAGGCATTGGATGTTTGACCTGGACAAATCTTTAGTGATGTAATCCAACCCATTTTATGAATTAGAAACTGAAGGCTTTGAGGACTGATGATTTATTTGGGGCACAGAGTAAGTTAGTGATAGAGTTGGGATAAGAACCCTTGTTTCTGGACTGTGTAAACTACCAGATCATTTAGTTGAGGTGTAAAGACCTACTGATGGAACTTAGCTCCCCTTCCTAGGGGCCCTCTGCAATCTCCTCATCTGGAACCCACGTTACTGTCATTTGGGCATTGTGAGAATCTCACCCCCGTACACATAGAGCACTCTTCCAATCACATTGATACTGAACATGTGGAGCAAGCAGTCTCCAACCCTCTAATTCATAAAATAAGTAGGAGACTCCAAGCAGTCTCCAAGGTTGAAAGAACCCTAGAGACTGGGATGTGGTGGGGGTAAGATGCTACAGATTTGGCATTTTTGGCCTTCAGGGTGTTCAAGTTTGTGGAGTCACAAATGGGAGATCTTAAAATGTAGATAGTTTTAGAAAGCAAAGTAATTAAAAGTGGGGGCTTTGCAACCAGATCAACCTCATTCAAAGTCTTAGCTTTGGCACTACTATCTCTGTGACCTTGGTTAATTAGTGCTTAACCTCTAAGCCTGAGTTTCCTTGTCAATGAGGATAGTAATACTTCCTTTTAGGATTATGATATTTAAATAGAAAGGCATGTAATAAGTGCTCAGTAAATAATAATTATTTTTATTATTCTAGACATTTCCTTCTTTGGAGGTTGCTTATTAGTTGGATTTAATAACTAGATTGGTGGCAAAGAAGACCCTATAAGTAACAACTCATTTGTGTAGGTCTTGTCTTCCATTTAAAAATCTTAATCATTTCACCAGTATGGAGAGATGGGGGTGATGGCTAGTGTGTATATCACCAGCAGTAATGAAGTCAAGAGGAGTTATTTATAGACTGGTAGAAGAAATTTACAGCTTTGGATAGGGGAGAAAGAATGTTAATTGCAGCACCTCAAAGACATGCCCAGTACAGGCTTTAACTAGATGCATCTTTGATACCACTCCTCTGGGACCCTCAGTGATCCAAGAAGGTGGATCGGTAAATAACATCTCCATGGGAATTAGGAACTCTCTATCTTCCTAATGTGAAAGATCAAAGCCATGTTAAATAATATGTGTCTGAAAAGAGTAAGTCAGCTTTGTGATATATAATAAGGAGGATACATTGCAAGAAGAATATAATAAGCACTCAAATCACAACATGGGTTCCATACTCTTCTTAGGAAGAACTTTCAAGGATTGGGCTGTAAGGGTGGGAGAACACATTTCCATTGTGCACCTGTAGTGAGTAAGACATGTCACCTGAGGTGGTCTCATTTCATTCTCCTAACCACCTCGGGAGGTACCATTACTACCCCCATTTTATAGGTGAGGAAACAGGGTGAGGAGAAGTGATGTAAACATCTCTATCCTGTTTCTAGAACATCTCCCTGTGTTAAAGTGAGTATGTATGCACCTGCATGCCTGTGTCTCTCTCTCTTCCTCCTTCTCCTCCCCCTTTTCTTTTCTGTTTCTCTCTGGCTCAGTGTGTCTGGCTTATTTTCACTTACTCACTTACCCTGCATCTCCATCCTCTCTCCACACACCCCATTCCCTTCCTCCTTATTCCATTATTTGACCAAATACTTTTATTTGCAGATTATGAAAGACCTTTCCAAAGGAGGCTGCAAAAATGGATACTTAAGGCACACGGAGTCTAAGATTTCAGATTGTGATGGGGCCCACGCACCTGGCTGCCTAGAAGAAGGTGCATTCATAAACCTGCTTGCCCCTTTGTTCAATGAGAAGGCCACATTATTACTGGAATCCAGGTATACATGGGGCCCAGGCATTCCTTTGTTTCTCTAGTTCTAGGGGAGAACAAACTCATTTTGCTAAATGGGTTTAGATGATCGTGCTGTGTAATTTACCTGAGAGAGCTCCTGAAATGGCTTGGAAGGAATCTTGCCAGTCATGAAATTAAGTAATTAGGCTGCATGCTAGTGGCTGTGAGGGGACGTCAGCAAAGCCTCATGTAAGCCCATTATAAAGAGGAGAAAGAAAGCTTTCTTTGGGAATTATTCCTGGGAGCCCCCAGAAAGGACTGCCTTGCTGTCAGCGAGAGGAATCAGCCCTACCGAAATATCTTCCAGTTTCGACAACAGCTTAAAAAATACCATTGTAGTTGTGATTCTGCTGTTTTTGCTGAGCTTGAATTAAAGTTCTCTTCTCATTATATCTGTTGGGAGCCATTCCTATGTGAGGAGATACTACAGGTTGTTTTCCTTAAAACAAAAAAGGAGAAACATTCAGTACATTTGTATTTTTTCAATTAATCCTTTAGGAGTAATTTTTGCCCCTTTCATATTCTTCCTAGTCCATCCATAACAGCTGCTTGGGCTTTGGAACCAAAAAGAGCTGTGGTTTTATCTCTCAGTGCCTCAGTTTCTCTGATTACTTCTTAGGGTTGCTGTGATGAATAAGAAAAAAACGTTTAAGAAAAATGGCTGGCATTTGGTGTGATGCGTGTTCAATAACAGTTTTTAGTTCTCCTCCTGAATGGATAGAGAAATGGAACGGTAATGATTGCCCATGACTCTTGATAAGAGCCAGGAACCCTAGTATTTCTTCTATCATTGATGGACTAAGCCTTACAGGCATTTCTTCAGCTAAAAAACGGGATTGAAGCATTCTGTTTTTGTGAGCTCAGCAAAGCTAACTCCTCCCCAATCCCTGACATCTGTCCAATATTTTTCTAGCTTGAGTCTTCTTGGAAGACATGGTCAGTGGCAATTCTGGCTTATTATCAGAAGTAGTTAGGTGACCGTAGTAGTTGGTGCTTGAGAAATGGAGGATTTCCTAAACATCAGGGTCCCAAATTTTACTTCAGAGTTAAAAGACACTTTTTGTCTGAGGGCCATGTGGGAATGTACTTGGGTGATGTGAACCAGGGAGAGTGCAGTGGGCTGTGGTAGGAGCGTGGTGAACTGGGCGGTCAGGGGGAATGCTCCCTTCTGGCAACGGAAGCATTTCAGCCCCAGCCAATGGTTGGGAGTCAGAAAGGTCTGGAATCTCATCTTTGCTCTGACACTTGGTTGGGGGATCCTGAACCTTTATGAGCCCATTTCTTCATCTGTAAAATGGGTTTTTAAAAAATCCCCCTCTCACAGTCTTATTGTGAGGATTCAGTGTATTTAGAGGATTTGGCACATGGTAAGTGCTTAGGAAATGTGAGTTCCTCTCCCCTTATACCTTCTTCATGGCACAGATGCCCAGGAAGGGGATATAAACGATATTTGGGCTCTGAGAAGTCTCTTGGACTGAACCGTAGAAAAGGTTCTGCTTATAGTGATAGCTTAATGAATCTGCTGTTCAGATTTCTAGCAAAATAACACTTGAAGTATTTTATTTAGTAGCACCACCACTTTAGTATATTATAATGGCCTCTTTCACCACCTTTTACTACCCATTTGTAAAGTATTTTTCCTCAGTTTTATTGTGTTGTTTGGTGGTGAGTAATGGTCCTCCTTTGGCTAGCCAAATAACAATTGTCATTACTTTTTAATCTATGTTAAAGAGGCGGAGGGAAGGAAAATTTAGTTTAACATCTCCTGAAGCTTGAAATGCCAGAAATATTTTAAAAGTCTGGGTTTACTATAGTTTGAGATTGTTTCTGTTGTCTAGGTAATTTCACATTAGAGGTGAAAAATGTACCATACATGTAAATTTTGTTGTTAACCCCATTTTGGTGTGCTATAGCTATTTAAATGGAGTTGACTCTGCCCCCATCTAGATAATAGAAATCTGGATATGCAGAGGGCCTTCTCTCTCCCCTCAGAGGGCTCAGTGGGAAAGACAACACAGGGGTGCCTGTCATTGCCAGTGGCAGCAAAGATCGGAGGGAGGGAAGTTCGGAGTATGTTAAAGGAGTTGTAGAGTACAGCCTGACTGTTTCACCAGGTTTCTAGAAATAGAGCAGGTAGTAGAAACCGAAGTGAGAAGGAAAAAGAACTAACACCAATGAGGACCTTCTGTCCCCTGCTCTTTGCTGACTGCCACCACCTCACCCAGACCTGCATTTTCTTTCTCCCAGGAGTTAGCCACAGCTTTCCAGCTGGTCTCTCCTCTCTACTTCCCCCATTTATTTTCCCATAATTTTCTGTCCCAGTTTCATAACTCCCTCTTATGAATTTTTTTCCCTTTATTTTTTAGATGATTTAAACATACTTATTTAAAAATCTTCTTCAGATTGCTTTATTGTTTCTATTTCCTCAATTGTGAATTCTCTCATTTGTTAAGTTGTTGTCTTTTTAACAGCCCTTTTCTTGCAGCTGTGGGTTTTCTCCTGTTTTTGATCTTTGGATACTTTTATCTTGATTTTGAGCCCTATAGTGTACCTTACACTATTTTTTAGGTGTGCATATTTTGCAGTCATTCCTCTGTGATTAGACCAGCATGAGGGGAGCTCCTTGTGTGCAAGGCCTCTCCGTCCATTCTCTATGCAGCAGCAGCCAGAGTCACCTTTCTTGATTTTTTTTTTTTTTTGACACAAGGTTTGGCTCTGTTGCCCAGGCTGTAGTGCAGTGGTGTGATCTCAGTTCACTGCAGCCTCCTGGGTTCAAGCCGTCCTCCCACCTCAGCCTCCCGAGTAGCTGGGACTACAGTCACATGCCATCATCCCTGGCTAATTTTTTGTATTTTTTTGTAGAGATAGGGTTTCACCATGTTGCCCAGTCTGGTCTCGAATTTGTGAGCTCAAACTATCTGCCTGCCCTGGCCTCCCAAAGTGCTAGGATTATAGGCATGAACCATGATGCCTGGCCTGGAGTCACCTTTCTGAAGCACGTGTGTGCCTGGCCCAGTCCATCGCAGGGCCTTTCAGTGGCCTTCGTTTTTTTTTTTTTTTTTTTTAACGTGTTGTACAGGACTCTTCGTTTCTTCCCTGCTCATCTTTCCAGCCTCACCCCTTCTTGGCTACTTGACTCTGTTCACGTTGTTTTCCATGCTTAGACTGTTCCATTTCCTCTCCTCGAGGCTTGCCTCTCACTGATGTTAGAAGCCCTCCGCTGTTGTTCTCCCTGCCACCCCCAGTCTGGGGCACTCTGGGATGGTTGCCCTGTAACCCTCATAGTTTGTTTACGTATGTTTCTCTAAAACCAGTCCATGTCCTCCTGGGACAGTTTTGTATCCCCAGTGCCCACTGCAGTGCCCAGCACAAGAAACACACAAGGGGCTCTTCTTGAGTTACTCCACCCGAGCACCATTCCAGGTGTTTTACATGCTGGCTTAGTTTTGCTTCCCTGGAAAGCAGAGCCTGAGATATGGATTAGAGTGTAAGGGATTTATTTGGGATTTGACATCAGGGAGCAGGAATGAGGGCTCAGGGAGAGTAAGACAGGAATGAAAGCAAAGTCAATAAGGGTGCAATAATGATCTGGTTACTGCTGGGGACCCTCTGAGGGACTGTATATACTGTGCCTGTGTGGTCCGTCTGAAGGATGGGAGACTGGGACATTTACCCAACAGCTGTCTTCTCTCACTGGTTGAGAGTTTCCCCAGAAATGGAAACTGTTTCACACTTCCACACTGCTTTACTGGCTTGCTCACAGAGCTTTGGAAAAAGCCCCAAGGCAGCAGAGACGTAGAGGGTGTTTGAGGTGGGACTATGTCTATGGGAACTGTCCACACAGCCGCAGCTGAAGTCAGAGGTGGGCCAAGGGTATGTGGCAAGGACATGAAAAGCATCTGCTGCCTATACACTATCTTGTTTAATCCTCATAGCTGTCTTGTGGAGGAATACTTATCTTCTTTTCAGAGAATTGTAGAGTTAGAATATGAAGGGATTTGTATCCATCTTCAGAGCCAATGCGCTTTCTACTCTGCCTGTGTACAAATATCCCTTCATTAACACCTCTTTATTAAGCACCCATTGTGTACCAAGATGGATTAGGTCATCGATGGACCAGCCAGGTTGGCCAGATTCATCTAAAGCCATACTTGCCCCTGGATGTAGAAATGGGGCCAGGGCCAGGAGGTTGGCTGGCGGGGTAGAGTCAGGGAGGACCCTGTAATTGTCATGGTCACCTTATAATCCCGTTTGTTTCTACCTGGGCCCAGCCTGCATTCACATATTTATGTGGCCCACTCACTTGCTGTGTACCTTGTGTTAAATTAATTCTATTCTTCTTATCCATGAAATGACATGGTAGTACCTGCTTTGTTTGGGTGCCGTGAGGTTACACAGGATAAAATACTGGATGTGGGCCCTGGCACGTTGTGGGTACACACTGTATTTAGTTTTGATGGAATCTGGGCAACAGTAGGTGGGGATAACTTGGGATACTGGCTAGGGGACAAGGCCTAGCAGAAAGCTTGGTTCTCCCACTTCCTTCCCTTTTGGAAAAACAGGCCAGACCTTCTGAAAGTGGTACGGGAACTGCTTCTGGGACAACTATTCTTGACAGAGCAGGAAGTTTCTGGAGAACACCTTGATGGTAAAACTGAGAAGACACCTAAGCAAAAAGGTGAACTTGTACATTTTGTCCAAACCAACTCATTTTCCAAGCCACATGATGAACTGAAGTTGTCTTGTGAGGCCCAGCTAGTAAAGGCAGGCGAAGTGCCCAAGGTAGGACTGAAAGATGCCTCAGTGCAGACTGTGGCCACGGAGGGCGACCTGCTGAGATTCAAGCATGAAGCAACAAGAGAGGCTTGGGAAGAGAAACCGATCAACACTGCACTCAGCGCAGAGCATCGGCCAGAGAACCTGCACGGGGTGCCTGGGTGGCAGGCTGCCCTCCTTTCCCTCCCTGGTATTACCAACAGAGTAAGTTTTTCCATGTAATAATTATGTACTTACTTTATCCAAACAAAAAACTTTAAAAATCACCTTTAATCTCACCACTTTTTTCCCATTTATATGACAAGAATGTCCAGTGTCTCCCTCTGCTTGCACTTACCCTGGCCTCCACCCAGAGCTGCATGTCCTCACTGACCTTCCCCTGCCTCTCCTTCCCCTCACTCCCTCTGTCTCTCTTCCTCCATCTCAGCCCTATCTAATTTATCTATATATTGTGACATTTATGTGTTTTCCTTAGAAAAAACACACGTGAGGTCTTGTTTATACATCTGTCTATCTGTCTGTAGCTGTCTCTTTCATGTTATGAGGAACATCTTTCCTTGTAATGGCTACATAAGGTTGCATTGTGGAGATGTCCCAAAATTTATACAGTTTTCATTGTATTGATGAACATTTGCTTTTGCAGGTTGCAGTCAAATTGTCATAACCTGACTTTAGGGGTAGGGATGAGAACCTAGGTTTTATCTTGTGCAGACTTTGTGTAGGAGAGGTATTATTCTGAGGGCTTCATCTATATTCTTTTATCCTGACAACACTCATCAAAGATCTGGAAGCCACACCCCATGTTCCCGTTGTTAACCGGTGGTTAAGGGGCTGAGCTGGGACTCCCACTGTACCTGACTGCACAGCCACACCCTTTCCCTGGATCAGGCTACCTTCCAACCCGGGTTTGTTGAGTGAATGTTTGCATGTTGATTTTCCTTCAGCTTAGATACTGTCTCTAAGCTCTGCACATCCTATCAAGTATGCCAGATTGTTAAAACCAGATTCTTTTGGCAATGTTTCATTGGACCCTTATGAAAATCCTCTTGAGGTCACGGCTTGACCCCCCCACGGCCAAGAATCCCTATAGAAGGGAGATGTGTTCTGGGAGAGAAGGAAATAGGTCGTGTTTCTAATAGTGGTTCAGTGAAGGCTGTTGATATTCTTGTTTCTGATGGGTGTTTTGTATTTGAGAAATCAACTGTACACACTGCTTTATAGCATCAGAATGGAGAATTAAGTTTATTTTCTGACCACTAAATTACTGCTTTTGCGCATACAAAAGAGAGTTAGATATATCATTAGCAAAATTGCTTTTGATTGTTTTAAATTATGCACCAAAACTGTAATTTCTAGAAAAGAGTTTTCTAAAGATATCAGTAGAGACCAGAGAGAGAGAGAGAGAGAGAGAGAGAGAGAGACTGCCATTATATTAACGGTACTAGAAATGCAAATTTGTGCAATTTGGCTATAATAGAAATGCTCTCATCTGCCCCAGCTCCTTCAATTTGTACCTGTATATCAGGAAAACTAGGTGTCTTTTGTTTGTTTGTTTTTTTTGTTTGAATTTTTCATTGTGTGAGAGATGTTATTCTGTGTTCAGGAAAACTGGAGAATTGAATGGACTTAATTTCCCCAAATATATTAAAATATGTATTTTTTTAGTTTGAAATTATTCCTCTTGCTATGTCTTCAAAAGGAAGGAAACCGTATTTGTTTATTATTATTTTTAGTATCTATTAGGGATTGTGCTAGATACTCTCTGTTTGTCTGTATATATATTATATATATAATATATAATATATATAATCTCATTTAATATTCTCAACAAGAGTATGAATTTGGTAGGTATTACCTACATTTTACTTATGAAGAAATATAGGCTCTTAAAAGGCTCAGAAAACTGTCCAGAGTGATTTAGCTGGTAAGTGGAGTGACAGGGATATAAACTAAAGTCTGGTTTTAAATGCAGACAGGGATATTATAAACCTGCCTTTCTCTGGGAGAGAAGAGCCCTCCAATCACCACCATGGCCTCCAGTCTATGCAAAGTAGAAGGAAATTTAATGATATTTTTTGTGGTCTTTGGTAGTTAAGGAGTTGATAATCCTATGGCTTACCTCTTTTAATAGGATACTCTGATATCCTGTTAAAAGGAACATCACTGCAGCCCGAGGGTGAGACAAGGAGACCAGATATCCTTACAGTTGTTTAGTTATAGAAACACGGAGACCAAGTATCCTTTCAATTGTTTAGTTACAGACAAGAGGATGGACTTTACTGATATACATGTGTTTGCATCCGGCCTGGCCACTTACCTGCTTTGAGCCTTTGGCAAGTGTCTAGTACAGTACCTTGTACATGGTAGGAGCTCAGACTGTGTGAGTTCCTGTTTCCCTTCCATTCCCAAGGAAGAAATTCCAATGTGACATCTTCAATAATGTGGTAGGTGGGACTCTGTTTAGAGTCCATAAGGTAGCATTTTGTGTGGTGTTATTTTAGAACAAGCATTAGGTTGACTGACGGCAGTCTTCCAGCTTGAAATTGGCTTTGGCATTTGTGCACTTGCAGATATGTTTTCTGCTGCCATATGACACACAGATTTGGATCCAGGAATAAAGATTGGTGGAGACTGAGGACGAAGCAAATGATTGTTATTTTCCAGCCCTCTTTGCTGAGGCATCCACCTCCTCCCACGTGGTCTCCTTTTGCCACCTCAAACTGTTCTTATCCTTGAACCTGCTCTCTCCTCTTACCTGGAATTTCAGAGCAGAAAGCATCTCACTTTTCCGAACTGAGCAGTGGACCCTGAAGAGCTAGTCTGAGGTCTGACTCTTGAACCTTCTTGCACTGTGACATTGGACTAGTTGTTTGACATCTCGGTTCTTCATCTGGAAAGTAAGAATGATAATGTCTCTTATCCTGTGAGTTCTGGGAATGCAGAGTTTACTTCTGGATTATGGGAAAGTGTGCTTGAAAGCATTTTATATCCTAGAATGTTCAAGAAGGGGCCCTTACTCTTCTTTCCTTCTTAAGAGACCTCAGTGATCTCATTTCTTGGGTCCCAAATATTTTCTGTTTTCCTCTTGGGTTCCTTCTCCTCTGCTATTTAAAAACTTTAAAAAAAACACAGCCTTATTGAGATTTAATTCACATGTCATACAGTGCATCCCTTTAAGGTATACAATTCAGTGGGTTTTTTTTTAGTCTATTCACAGAGTTGGACAACAATTTTAAACATTTTCATCATCCCAAAAGAAACCTTGTACTCATTAACAGTCATTTCCCATTTCCCCTGAACTTGCCCACCCCAGCCCTAGGCAACCACGAATCTACTTTGTGTCTCTTTCAATTTGCCTATTCTGGATTATTTCATATAAATGGAATCATGTCATATGTGGTTTTTGGTGACTGGCTTCTTCCACTTAGCATACTGTTTTTGAGGTTCATTCACGTTGTAGCATGTATCAGTACTTCATTTATTTTTATTGCCAAACAGTATTCCATAGTATATCCATGTGGATATGCCACATTCATTAGTTGATGCACATTTGAGCTGTTTCCACTTTTGGTTATTAGAAATAATGTTGCTATTCATGTACAAATTTTGGGGGTGATAATGTTTTTATTTCTCTTGAGTATATACCTAGGAGTAGAATTGATGGGTAAGATGGTAACTCTATGTTTAATCTTTTTGAGGAACTGCCAGACTGTTTTCTAAAGTGCCTGTACCCTCTTTACATTCTCACCAGCAGTGTGTGAGGGTTCCAATTTCTCCGCTTCATCAACACTTGTTGTTGTCCTTTGATTATAGCCATTCTAATAGGTATGAAGTAGTGGTATTTTATTGTGATTTGATTTACATTTTCCTTGGTGACTAATGATGTTGAGCATCTTTTCACATGCTTATTGGCCATACACATATCTCCTTTGGAGAAGTGACTATCAGAGTTTTTGCTCATCTTTTAATTGGATTATTTGTTTTTATTATTGAGTCGTAGTATTTCTTTAAATATAGCCTGGATTTAAGTCCCTCTTCCCAGCTTTTGAATGTTTAAAATTCCCCAGTTGGAAGAGACCCCCATTTGGCCTCTTAAGTTATTGTTTATATGTTCATTCCACAAATAGTTGTTGAGTACCTACTGTGTACTAGTTCTTATGCTAGAAGCTATACAGAGAGTATGGCCAAGATATGCAAAGCCTCTTAACCCTGGAGCTTACAGGTTGGTGCAGAAGATAGACAAGGAACAGATAATTGCACAGGCATTTAATTAAAATGATACTAAGGTTCTCTGAGGGGATATGTAGGGGACAGTGAGTGTCTAATAGGGAGCCCTGCCTTGGTCTTGGAAATCAAGTCCCATTTTCCTGAGGAAGGCCCATTTGAGTTGAGTTTTAATGAATGCTATTTAGAGTTAGTCGGGGAAGTAGGAAGGAGTAAGTGTTCTGGGCAAAGGAGTCGGCATATGCTAAGGTCCTGAGGTAGAAGGAAGGCATTTTGAGGAACCAAGGTCATTGTTGCTGAAGAGCAGGGTGAAGTGGAAGGGGGTATAACTCAGGCTGTAGGTCCTGCAGGACTTTGTAGGCTGTGGTATGGATGTTGACCTTTGTCTTGATAGAACTGGAAAGCAATTAAAATAGTTTTAGGCAGAAGAGAGGAGTAGTAGGTTTGTCTTTTTGCTGTAGCGTGGACAGTGGCTTAGAGAGGGCAAAAGTAAATGTGTGGAGACCACCCAGGAGACTGTTGCCATGACTTAGGTGAGAACTAACAGCATCTTGGAGTTGAGTGGTAGCAGTGGAGGATGAGAAGAGTTGAAAGAATGGAGAGACAGCCTGGGAGTTATAATTAATGGACCCTGATGAGTAGTGAAAGTGGGTGGCAAGAATAAAGGGAAACTTAAAAATCATTGCCATGGTTCTAGATTGTGTAGTAAATGGATAGTCATGTGATTCACCAAGACAGAGATTGTTGAAGTGGCGTAGATTTGCAGCGGAGACACGGGGTGATGGAGCTGAAGAGTAGAATTTTCAGTTGACTCTGTAGTGCCCGTAAGTCACTACAAATGAAGATGTCTGGGAGTTCTGAGCCTGGGAAATATCCGCTGGGTTGGCAACTTAGTAGCCACCAAAGTAAGGGGTGGTTCTGGGGGACTAGCAGGGGTTGATAGGCCAGACCAGATTAGACTGAGGAATGTTTGGGAAACAAGGAAATAGATAAGGAGCAAAATAACATTTCCCAGAAGATCAGGTTGGAAGAAGAACTGCCATTTATGGAGTGTCTGGATTGTCCAGAGAGACGATAGGCCAGGGCCAGGAGGGTGGCGAGGAGAAGCTTGGCTCTTGATGATCAGAGGAGGGACCTGCCAAGATACAAGCTCCTTGGCTGGTGGATAAGCATAGCTGCCATTATGGGAACGAGAAGTCTGGGCAGCCAGTTCGAATTCCGTTTTATAAGGCTGGCATGAGAATGTTGACTGTGCAACCAAAGGAAGTGTGTTCAAAGTGTATTCATTGTTGCATATGTGTGTTTTCAGGAGGCTAAGAAGTCCCGCTTGCCAATCCTAATAAAACCATCCCGGTCATTAGGAAATATGTATCGTCTCCCTGCCACCCAGGAGGTGGTGACGCAGCTGCAGAGCCAGATCTTGGAGCTGCAGGGGGAGCTGAAGGAGTTTAAAACTTGTAATAAGCAACTTCACCAAAAGTTAATTCTGGCTGAAGCAGTGATGGAGGGGAGGCCAACGCCCGACAAAACGTTGCTGAATGGTAAGCACCAAGAAAAATGTATTCCCTGTGAGCTAGACAAACGGCTCGATAGAACTGCTTGAAATGTCAACCTTGTTGTTTAGAATTGCAATAAGTTTGAGTATAAATTTCATGAATTGCAGTGATTAATCTTGACTCTTGACAAATGCACAACAGAGGGAACACAATAAGGAGAATGAATCTATTGCTTTCATTTTATTCTGGAGTCTGGATAAAGGGAACTTGCAGTGCTCATAGGTCTGAGGGGGCACTGCTGCCTTCACTAAGGATTGTCCGCAGATGCCCCAGTTGTGTTTGGCTTTGTCTGTGGATGCCTCTGGCGTGTGGCATCAGAGGTATGCAAGTGAGGGTCCACTTTGCAGGGTTCTCTGTAATGTCCAGGCCAACTTGGGGCTAATTCCAAACCTTACTAACCTTGCGTCTTCCTCTAGAAGTAACCCACTTCCCCACCCTCTTTGAACCTGCTGGCTCTGCTCTCCTGGGAGGCAAGACAACAGCCCCTGTGTTAAAATGTACCTGAATAGTTAGGATCCAGAGACTTGGAGGAAGTGTGTCTAGTGGCGTCCTCTAGTCTAGGACAGTGGTGCTTAGAGATTTTGGACCACTAACCCTTTGAGAATCTGAAGAAAGCAGAGGGCCCTCCCACAGAATGATGCAGCTGAGCATATAAGTAGCATTTTACATCATTTTCTCAGGGCTCATGATCCACAAAAGTGCATATGTTGACTCCTAATTTTGAACTTCTGTGAGCAGATGGCAGCAGCACCATAACAAGAACAACAAAAGTAATCTTTTATTTATTTATTCATTTCTTCTGTGTGCCAAGCACTATTCTAGGCACTGAGGAGAGAGGAGTGACCAAAGCAGATGAAGTCTTTGTCTAGCTTACATTCTTGTGTGTGTGTGTAGGGTCGGGGCGAAGACAGAAAGCTGATAAGCATATGTACAACGTGAGAAAATAAATGCCGTGGAAAAGAATGAAGCAGGATTCAAGTGTGGGGAATGTGGAGGAGGGGCAGGATTTGCTTATGTCATGAATGCTAGAGAGCCTCCATGGTGAAGTGGCATTTGAAGGGAGACAGGGGAAATGAGTGCACTAGTCATCTTGGGAAGAAGGAAGAAGGCAAAGGCCCTGGTGCTGCTGTGAACAGGGGAAGATGGATGAATAGTAAGGAGGCTAATTGTGTGACTGGAGTGGAGTGAGGAAGAGGGAGAGTTGTATGTAGAAGATGAGGTCCAGGAGGCAGCAGATCAGGCAGGCTCTCAAAGGCCATTCTAGGACTCTTTTACTTGGTAAGATTGGAAACTTTTGGAGGGTTTTGAGCAGCAGAGTCGTGATTTGACTTAAGCCTTAAAGTGGGAGTTGACAGGCCGAGTGCGGTGTCTCACACATGTAATCCCAGCACTTTGGGAGGCCAAGGCGGGCAGATCACCTGAGGTCAGGAGTTCGAGACCAGCTTGGCCAACGTGGCGAAACCCCATCTCTACTAAAAATACAAAATTAGCCAGGCATGGTGGCGCGTGCCTGTAATCCCAGCTCCTCAGTAGGCTGAAGCAGGGGAATTGCTTGAACCCACGAGGTGGAGGTTGCAGTGAGCAGACACAAGAGCGAAACTCCATCTCAAAAAAAAAAAGTAGGAGTTGACAAACCACAGCCTGTGGGCCAAATCCAGTTCACTTCCTGTTTTTGGAAATAAAATTTTATTGAAACACAGCCACACCCATTTGTTTGCATATTGTCTCTGTTTGCTTTTGTGCTTTGATGGCAGAATTGAGTAGTTACCATAGAGACTCTATGGCCTGCAAAGCCTAAAGTATTTATTATTTGACTTTAAGAAAGGTAGTCCAACCTCTGCTTTAAAGGATCACTTTGGATATGAACCTTTGGAAGGATGGAGTTGTCATTCACTGAGATGAGAAAGACTGAAGACTGCATGAGAGGCAAGCATGAGGGAGACATTAGGGGTCTGGTTTGGACATACTCGAGATGCCTGTTGACCATTCCGGTGGAGATAATTAGATAGGCAATTAAAGACAGATGAGTCTGGAGTCAAGGGTAGAGGTCTGGATTAGAGATACAAAGTTAGGAAATAGCAATATTTTGGTAATATTTGAAGCTATATGACTTGGAGCCATAGCAACCAGGTCCAGGAATTGAAACTGAGGCTCTCTAGTGGTTAAAGGTTGGACCAAGAAGACCAGCCAGTGAGGTAGGAGGGATCCAAGAGAGGGTGACTCCCCAGAAGCTGAGTAAGGAGGGGATTAGCAGTGTCAGATATTGCTATCTGGTAAGACAAGGACTGAGGATTGGCTTTGGGATTTAACAATGTGGAAGTCATTGGTGTACTTGAAGGGAGCTGTTTCCGTGGAGTGGGTGCAGCGTGATTGGCATGGGTTGCAGAGAGAGAATGGAGGAGAGAGATTGGAGACAGCAAGCATGGACAGCCCTGAGGAATTATACCGTAAAGCAATGTAGAGAAGGAAGGCAGTTAGGAGCCACATTGTCACCGAACCTCAAGGGATTCAGTGAATCAGGGGACCATGGATGATTACAGTAAAGTGGGGTCGTTGGTGGTATCTTCTGGAAGCATGAGCTGCAAAAGTGGAATTTTCAGGTAAGAGAGAGAATGATGTAGAAGTGGCAGCGAGGAGCAAAGACACTTACACACTTTGGGCCCATGATATGAGAGCTATGGGAAAGAAATGACCACAACTTTGAAGGCTGCGGGAGAAGCAGTGTCCTTGGGGTCATCCCAAGTTCACTTAGAGTGATGGGGAGAGATGAATGTTCAGAGAGGATATTGATGCTCTTTGGGACTTGCCAACGAAGGAAATGAGTACCAGGGCAGGAGGTTGCATCAGATTAGAGGATTTCCAGAGTGGGTCAGGGATTGGAGATGACTCTGGAGTCTTGGACATACTGTGGTATTAATAAAACAAGCACCTATTATTTACTGAGTCTTGCTATACACTCTAAGTACATGATCTAATTGGGTTCTCTCAACAGTCCTTTGAGGCAGATACAGAAATTACTACCATCTTATAGTTAAGGCAGCAGTTTCAGAGATAAAGTGACTTGGCTACAGTCACACTGTGACTAACTTTTCTAGCTAGGTGGGAATCAGCCTGCCTAATTTCAAAGTCCATGTTCTTTACTGTTTCACAAAGCCTAGTATGTGATACTTCTTGTATGGATTTTATGAAGATCCATAGCCAAAGGTATGTTCCATTTAATTTTAAGTTTTCTTTTGGGTTTACCATAGTTGAGGTTTCCAGATAAGAAGACCTTTGGCAGAATTGCTCTTCCCTTACCACCTCCTTATCTACCTTCTTCTAATCCATTCAACCATCATCCAGACATCTTTTCATTCATTCAGTGAACATTCCCTGAGCACCTGCTATGTTTCCAGCCTCATGCACTGGGGGTAGGAGAGAAATAAATCAGATGCAGTCTCTGCCTTCTGAGAACTCCCCATCTGGTGTGGGCTTGGGGAGGTGGCAGTTAACTAAATCAATACAGGGTTGTGGGGACCTTCATGGAGGAAAGATTTTATGGCAAAGGTAACTCAGCTCAACAGAGGCCCTGGCACTTTGCCCATAGCTTGCCATTTTTTAAAATTCAAATTTAAATTTTTTATATTTTGTAGAGATGGGGGTCTTGCTATATTGCCCAGGCTGGTCTTGAACTCCTGGCCTCAAGTGGCCCCCCTGCCTCGGCCTCCCGAAGTGCTGGGATTATAGGCATGAGCCACCATGCTGGCTCCTAGCTTGCCATTTGCACTCAATACTGTTTTTATTTTTTGCTGAGACACCAGAGTGCCTCAACTCCAGGTGCTACCTCAAACAGTTGCCCAGGAGACCCTAGGGCCTCTCTCTTCTTGGGAAAAATGGGCACGAATTGATAGAATTCATTTTCTCACTCAGCTTTTTGAGAGCCTGGACTTAAACCATTTCAGACAAGCTGCAGTATATTTATGCTTTTTATGTCCTGTTATGGCAGCTCGATAGATTAATTTTATCTTATAAATTGCATTTTGCCTCCCCAGTGTTTTTATTTTCCCTGTTGTATCTTTGTGTTCTTCTCAGTTGCTTGGCTAAGTTTCAGGTCTTACGGTTTTATTTATTTTTCTTTCTCTTTGTGATTGCCTGTAGCTCAGCCCCCTGTGGGAGCAGCCTACCAGGACAGCCCAGGAGAGCAGAAAGGAATTAAAACCACATCTTCTGTCTGGAGAGACAAGGAAATGGACAGTGATCAGCAAAGAAGCTACGAGATTGGTCAGAATTCAGCCCCTGTGTGTATTGAACAGCTTCCATGTGCCAGGCACCATTTGGATGTTTTATCTAAAAATTATTACTAAGCCCATAGCAGCCCTCTCAGGGCATTATTATCATTCCAGTCTAACACATGGGAAGCTGAGGTTTTAAGAAATAATTGACCCAGGGTCACCCAGCTGGTAAGTAGGAGAAGAGTCAAGGTACAGTAGGATGTCAGAACCCACCCGTCCATGTGTCAGCATGCTTCTCTACCAGGCAGTGGGCTGGGTTCTGGTGGTTCAACATGAAAAGACACAGCCTGCTCTTAGGGACCCCACAGCTCGGAGGAGACAATCATCCCAACAGCCTGTTAGTATTCAGCGCGGGGCTGCCTGTTGCTGAGGTGTGCTTGGTGTTGGTCCGTGTGCCCAGGAGGAGTGGGTCAGAAGAGAGCCTGAGGCTGAGACTGGGTTTGTGGGGTTTGCCAGGCAGATCAGTGGAAAAGGTGCAGAGATACGGGTGAGGGCAGAGGCAAGTTGTATTCCTTTCTTTTTAAAATTATGAAGTATTAGAAGCATACATAAGCACAAAAGATAATATAACAAATACTCATGTTCTCATTCAACCAGAATGAACAAATGCCTACATTCTTTTTATGTTAGATATTTTTCCCCCTTCATTAAAAAAAATCACTATTAATCCAGATCTAATTCACTCTGTTAGAAATAATTGTCCTCAAGAATCCTAAATTTGTCATGGGATGGCCATGGGGACACCAGTCTCTGGAAAAATACTGAGTTGTGGTATATACACTGTTGTATACTTTTGCAAGGTCCAGAGTCACTGCAGTGAACACATGGTCACATGCTTCTGCGTGTTCTGGGCTTTGAGGAGAAAGCTACTCTACCAGGCAATAAAGTCCCCCTTAGCTGAATTGTGGAAAGTTGTAGAACTATAGTATTTCTTATAATGCAAATATTCATAAATGGTCTTGGGGACATCTTTTGATTTCTTCTTGATAGTTATTAATACAGACTTCTTAACTAATCGACAGCTTCCCTTTCCCTGTCAGTACTTCCCTTCATTACTGAATGTCTTTCATTTTTCTGAATGTGCTTCCAGAACTTTGTATGTGAATTGCATCTGCCTGAACTTCCACCTTTTAATTGTTGCGCAGCTGAGGCTGGGTGCTGCGTGTGACATCTTCATTGCTGTTTCTTTTTCACAAGGCCCTTGACAGATACTTGGGATGTGAATAAAGGATTTTACAGGCATCTTGGCCTTCACATTGAGGGTTAAGAACTCTCTCTCTCTTTGCTCATGCACCGCGGTACAGGAGATTGGATTGCAGGAGTGTTACTTCGGGAAGCATCATTCAGAGTGTTAGAGGCAGACTGCCAGGCTTTGAGGAGGGGCTCTACTGCTTACCTACCCTGAACCCTAAGCAAATTCTTAAGCTCCCTAAGCCTCAACTTCCTCTTCTGTAAAATGGGGGTACTAGTGATGCCTCATAATTACTTAAGGAAAGTCCTGGGAACTAATCTTTATTTCCATGAGTGAACACGCTTCTTGCCATGAAGTACAGACCAAATTCTATTATCATGAGGTTATTACAGCAAAGATATTTTCTTGTCTTGGAGGGTGATTCACTGGAAAAAAAGCCTTATGGAGAGATATCTCCCTCCCCAGTTCCTCTTTCTCTTTCTTGTTCAGCCAGAAATACTTGGTGAGTACATTCTCTGTCGCAGACCCTGTGCTAGATACTGGAGAAACAGACATGGATGACACGGTCTGCACCCTCAAGGCTCTTATTGAGTAATTATCATAACATTGTGTATAATAAAAATACTGTATTAGGAATGCTTCCTTTAGGTCAGGTAGCAGCTGCTTTCTGAAATGAAATGCCATACTTTATGGTATTTGCATCATGAACAGATACAAGAGTGTACCTCAAGTCACAAGGAGCAGATTGCAGAACCAGAAATTGGGACATGCAGTCTGATGAGGATTTGTGTGTGAATTTCTTTCTGAGAGATCTCCTAGGTCACCCAGTCCAACCCACGTTGTTGCTTTTGTAGCATTTTTCCAGGCTGGCCTTCGCACGCACGCCTCCGGTGAAGGGCATCTCCTTCTATCTTGGAATGGTTAGAGGATGTTTGTGTTACTTGGATTCCTTCACTACTATGTGCCAGACACTGTGCTAGCCTTTTTTTTCTTTTTGCAGATTTTGTTCCATATAATCCCTAAAAACAAACACACACACACAACTTTTCAGTGATGTTCTTTCCATTTTACAGATAAAGCTACTAAAGCTCAGAGAGGTCAAGTAACTTGCCTATGTGACAGAGCCAGAGTTTGAAACCATGTCTGTTGAATTTCAAAGACAGGTTTTTCTACTACATTCCGCTGCCCCTTAAGTATTCAGACAGCTCTCTATATTGAACGGAACTTTCCCTGGGCAGCCAGCAGTGTGGCACAGTGGTTAAGAACAGAAGCTGCACTACAACCATATGAGACATCTCTTTCTACATTTTAGACACAGGGGAAACTGAGGCTCTTGGATAGTAAAGTCACTTGCCTCAGGCTGTGTGGCCTTCAAACTTCATATTCTTTCTGCTGTACTACTCCACTTCTGAAACAAGTTTGACTGCATCTCTAAGGGTTTAGCTATTACTAGCTATAAGGAAATATTTCCTGGCAGTGTTGTGAGTGAGTGAAACACCTCACTAAAGGGGATGTCAGGGCATCTCCTGGAAGCCATTAGACATGGAAATGAGAAGACTGTCACGTGTTGTGGATATTCAGAATTACCACTCTTTACTGTTGCTTCACAGAATCTCTCAATATTTCTCACACTGGCACTGACTTCTGGTCTGGGTTAGGTTCTGTACTAGACGCCGAGAATGTGAAAATGAAAGGCCACATCTCTGCTGTGAAGAAACGTGCAGTCTGGTGAGGGAGAGCTACATTCAGATGACGAATTGCTATGTGAATCAATAAATAAGCCACTTAAAATTTTTACTTTAGCACCCAGCACATAGTATATTTGTCTTGAGTAATATGCATAAGGTGCTACAGAACCACAGCGAGTTGTGACTTTTGCATAGTTTGGCAGTGGGCTTGCAGAGGAAGGAAAATTAGATCTGGGTATGGAAAGAGTTCATTAGGTAGGAGTAGAATAGAGGGCTGAAGGTGTTCCAGGCAGAGGGCACGGCCCATGCAAAAGCATGGAGGCATGACACAGCACGCAATGTGCAGGGAATCATGGTTAATTTTGTAGGAAATCTCCAGAGTGGTGCCAGAGATATTCCTGGAAAGGTTGCCTGGAACTAGATCATGGAAGGTCTCATGTAGATACTGGGAATGTCGATGAATTTTAGGGGGTGTGTGTGTGGGTTTATCATGGTTAAAATTACTTTTTAGAACAGTCACTCTGAGGAAGAGGACAACTGAGGGGTAAAGAGGGAAAGACTAGGGCTTTTTGAGGGAGGCTTGTTAGGAAAGACTGGAGGCTTTTTGAGGGAAGTGTGTTAGGAAATACTAGGGCCTTTTTGAGGGAGGCTTGTTAGGTCACTGCAGTGGTCTTGGCTTGGCTAGGGCTGTGAGGAAGGAGAGAGGGTTTGGATTTTAGTAAAAGAGATACTGACATAAGTGTATTTGATTTTCAGACTCTGAGATTTGCCCACCTGATGACCTTGCCAGCTTGCCATCATGCAAAGAAAATCCTGAAGATGTTCTGAGCCCAACTTCAGTAGCTACTTACCTGAGTTCCAAGAGTCAGCCTTCTGCTAAAGTCAGTGTGATGGGGACTGATCAGTCAGAGAGCATTAATACCTCAAATGAGACAGAATACTTAAAACAGAAAATCCATGACTTGGAAACTGAGCTGGAAGGCTACCAGAATTTCATATTTCAGCTTCAAAAGCACTCCCAGTGCAGTGAGGCCATAATTACAGTTTTGTGTGGGACAGAAGGGGCCCAGGATGGCTTGAGCAAGCCCAAGAATGGTTCTGATGGGGAAGAAATGACCTTTTCAAGTTTGCACCAAGTGCGATACGTGAAACACGTGAAAATCCTCGGTCCGCTGGCCCCAGAGATGATTGACAGCAGGGTGCTGGAGAACCTCAAACAGCAGCTGGAGGAACAGGAATACAAGCTGCAGAAGGAGCAGAATTTGAACATGCAACTTTTCAGTGAGATCCATAATCTGCAGAATAAGTTCAGAGATCTCTCACCTCCCAGGTACGTTCCACCTCTGCCGTCTCCCCGTTTAAGCCTGTAGTCCCCCAGTATTGCCACTAGGTGGGAGCCCATGAGCTAAAAGAGAACACTACTCTGTGATGGGTAGAGTGTGTTCTGGGGAAGGCTTGATGGTGGGGTTCAGGCAGCCAGGTCCTGTGGAGAAGGGAGAGGTGAGGCCACAAAGAAGAGGAACAGCGACCACGCACTTGAACGTCAGTTACGAGTCTTGGGTCCTCTGGAAATCTGCAGGGCAGATTTCGCCCTCCTCAAGTTGGGGGCTCAGGGTAAAGGTTTCATACCAGTCACTTGGTGAGTGATAGTGCCTTTGCTGAACTGCAGTGTGTACTCCTGGACTCTGTTACTGGCTTTTGCTGTGCTGTGAAACTAAAACTGATGTCTAGGCAAGGTAGGAGGAATATAAATATTTTCCATATCTTTACCCTTTAAGGTCATCTTAGAGAAATAAGCTTGTGTTGAAAGAGAAGAATTCTTAGGTCATGAAGATAATGCTTTATGGGCATAGATATATACGGTTTTGCTTCATGAGATATGGCAAAAATGGGATCATTAGTAAAGTTGACCTTCATTTGTCACTAATTTGAGTCAAACACATTGTTCTGAATTGTCAGGAGCCAGGATGAATTTTTCAAGACTTCCCAAGCAGTGAGATTGAAGGAAGCTTGTAATTATTGAAAGGCTGTTGTCTCAGGCCCCTGGTTAGGCACTTTTCTTATCTAATCCTCAAAATCACCTGAGAAGGAGGTATTCTTAAACTAGTTATTACAGGTAGGGAAACTGAGCCTCAAAGTAGCTGCAGTGACTTGGCAGAGAACATTCACAGAGCTGGTCAGAGCCATTGCCAGGGTTCAAGCCCACATCATCCCACTCCAGTACCCATGTTTACTCATGTTACTCATGAGTTACCCATGTTTACCCATGTTACTCCAGTACTCACATGATACTGGCCCCCACCTTTAATGCTGGTATCATGTAATCTGCATGTGCACACTCTATGTTGAAGGTGACTGCCAGCCCATGTAGTGTTGTCATTTCCAGGAAGGAGAAAATTATGTTGAACTGAAGTGTCAACATCTTTGCCAAGCTACTCTCTGGAGCAAGGTTATTGTGGCCAGTTTACATGAGTCACATTTCCCTTAACCTGTTTACTTCTCAGTGTCTTTCTCTTATGGGCTCACGTAGGAAAAGGTGGCACATGACGGTAAAAAGGTAATATTGCATAATGATCTTCAAAGTGAGAATTGTGTTTGAATCCAAAATCTTTACCACTTAATTAGCTTTGCAGTCAGTTTATTCTTCTGTAAAAGGGGACATTTATACATTTGTTGGAAGACTGAGAGGATCAGATAACATATAAAGCACTGAATTCAGTTACTGACAGGTCCTAGACCCTCAGTAAATGGTAGTTAGCATCATGATTATTCAGTGACGTTTTGTTCGGGAGGAGAGAGTCCTGTCTTTTTTTCTTTGTGGTACACTTTCTTTATCACACTTCATGAGAATTTTTGGTAGATCCTCTGACCCTTGGGGCACTTGTTTCTACAATTCAGAATAGTATTTTTGAAGAGTGTATGGAAACTTATTGTTTGCCTGAGTTCTTGCCAATCTGTACTTTAATTGGGGGCTTTATAAGGTTAAAAATGTTGCAGAAGAATCTTTGTTCCAGCCTTTGTTGGCTGTGTGAAATCAAAGAAGAGCTGACCTTGTACAGTTTCAATTTTTCTAAAAGTATATATACTTGTACAGCTGCAGGCTTTTAAAAATTGTACTCTGTCATTTTTCCAATTAGTGTTAAGGTCACAAAAATTCAATTCTAAAATGGTCCAAGTATTTTCTTTCCCCTCTTTTATCAGATACGATTCATTAGTTCAGTCCCAAGCCAGGGAGCTCTCCCTTCAACGGCAGCAGATTAAGGATGGCCATGGCATCTGTGTCATCTCCCGTCAACACATGAACACCATGATTAAGGCATTTGAGGAGTTGCTGCAGGCCAGTGATGTGGATTACTGTGTGGCCGAGGGTTTCCAGGAACAGCTGAATCAATGTGCTGAGCTGCTGGAGAAATTGGAAAAGCTATTTCTCAACGGTAGGTAGGGTGAGGTACGCGAGTCTTAAGACATCAGTAATTGACCCAGGACTTCTTGGAGGGGCACAGGAGGAGCTAACTCCTTGGCCTTAGTTATCTTTCACCCCTCTGCCTTGATGAGGTGACAGCAGAACCACACTGGCTGCTGCTTCCTCCCAGTGACCACTTCCACATGGCTTGTGGTCGGCACTGTTACAAACCAGGAGTCCAGTTTAGACGCCTCAGGGGCCGGGCTGGTGAGGTACATGAGTGAAGCCAGCCAGAAGGCACTGCCTCTCACTCAGCAGTGGTCACGTAGTTGCCAGTTCTTGCATCTTACAAATTTTCCAGAAAAGATGGGATTTTTTATTTATTTATTTTTTTTTGTGAAAACTCATGTGTTTTAAATGTTGGCAAGCAAAAAATCCAGTCAACCAAGCAAAATTTTTATCAGTTAAAAAGTATATCGAAGAGTTAAGGATGGCCAGAGGAAGGGTGAAAGAAACCTTTGCTATGTGCTAGGTAAAATTTTTAAAATAATTTTTTTTTGAGACTACAGCAAAGAACTCCCATTTACTGTGCACCCAGCTTCATCAGTTGTTAGCATTTGCCACATTTGTTTTATCTTTCCCTGTCTGTACACACACGCGCTCTATTATTATCTTTCTGAGCTCTATGAGAGTGGATTGATGCTATGATGTTCCTTTCTCCCTAGATAATTCAGGGTGTGGTTCCTCAGACCAAGGAAATTCTCGTGCATAACCATGGTATTGTTATCACAATCAGAAAAGGTGTTGTCTAATATACTATTATCTAATATACAGCCTATATTTGAATTTTTATAATTAATTCAATAATGTCTTTTATGACAGTTTATTCTGGATCCTGATCCTGGTCCGGGATCCAGTCTCCACGTTACATTTAGTTGTCATGTGTCTCTCGTCTCCTTTAATCCGGAGTAGTTCCTCACCCTTTCTTCTTTTCGTGATGTGAACATACTTCAATAGTTCAGGCTAGCCCCTCGCTTTGGGATTATCTGTTCTTTCCGCAAGACTCAATTCATGATTAGATTAAATTGGTTAGATTAGATTGGCTATGCAGTTTTGGCAGGAATGCTGCATAAGAGATTATTTTGTTCTTATGGTGTTTTCTTAAGGAGGCACACAATATTAATCCCGTTTTTGGTGATATTAACTTTGATCACTTCCTTAAGGTAATGTCTGTCAGTTTTCTCCAGTGTAAATTATATTAACCTGTGTAATGAATAATTTGTAGAAGATACTTTGTTATTCTGTAAGTATTCTCTTCCTCTTCAAACTTCTACCATGAGTTTTACCATATATTGATGATTCTTGTCTGAGTCAAATGTTCCTATGACAGTTTTTTTCTAACACTAACATTTTTTAATCACATTCCTTCTTCATTTATATTAGGTGGCATGTACTAGAAGAATGCATTCTCTATTAATTCCTTTTATTACTATATTTCTTGTTTGTTTATGATCAGTGTGGGCTTAAAGATTCTTATTTTATTCAATGGACTATTATCCATTCTGACATTCATATTATATTGTCCCAGATTTGGTAAGTGGCAGTTTCTTTTGACATGTCTCCATCTTTTTGGGAGTACGTCCTTACTTTCTGGGACAAAATAGATTTTCCATGCTCATCCTGTACTGCTTCTGCCCTGAATGAGCCATTTCTCCAAGAGCCTTGATTCCTTTTAGTGAGGAATGATATTTAACCACCAAGATTTGGTGCTAGGTGTGTTCATTGCTACGAGGGTATCATTGTGTCTAGGCCCTTTAGCAGGCGTGTGTGTGTGTGTGTGTGTGTGTGTGTGTGTAAATGTGTAATTTATTTTTTAAAAAAATCATTACTTCACAATGGTGCCTTTAATTCCAGTCCAGACTCACTGGGTTCTTTCCTGTTTTTCCCGCTTCCACATTTTTACTTCCCTTCTCCAACACTAAGAACCCTGGCTCTGACAACATCACCATATCTGCTGATTTACTCAGTTCTGTAATATATACACATAGTTCCAGAATTACTCCACCCTTTCCACTGTGAAAAACAAACCCACTGGAAGAGTTTAAGATTTGTTTATTAAAGTAGTTCTCTTTGTTTTTAGGCTAAAAATACATTATAGTATGTTCTTGAATTTAAAAGTTGTTTGGTTTCATTCTTTGTACAGCTGTTGTTGGGTTAGTCATTTGAAACACAATTAGATTCATTTGTTTTTATTTGTATTCAATTTTAGAGTTTTCTACCCTATTTTTATTGATTTAATTTTTTGAATATGTATAACATTAGCATGATTCCAGAGTCAAAACTGTATCCTTTTAAATTGCTGTGTGAAGTCATTATTTTTCTCCTTTTCCCTTATCTCCAGTAGTATTGCTTTCCATTCCCCTTTCTCTCTTAAACCCATTGGGACTGGACTCTGAGTTATCTCAACCCCTCCACTGAAACAGTTTGCCTGACACTAACAACTTCCACTTTGCCAAATCCAAGGATCAGTTTTCAGTCTTCATCTTGCTCAGACTGCAGCAGTATTTGACGTGTTGATCCCTCCCTCCTTGGCTGACTTGGCTTCCAGACGATGCCACTGAGAGTTCAGTTCTCCTCTCCCTCCCTGGCTGCCTCTGTGCAGCCCCGCCTTCTGCACGTCTTCCATCCCTGACCAGTCCTCACCACCAATTATTGCTGCCACCGCTTCAGCTCGCCTCTCTTCTCTCACCTGGATGCTGCAGGCCTCTCCTGTTTGGCCTCTGGGCTTCCATCCTTGTCTCACTGTAGTGCATTTTCCACACAATAATCAGTGATCTTTTAAAAATGTAAGTCAGATCATGTCCCATCTCTGCCCCCAAATCAAAGCCTTTCCTTTTCATTCAGTGTAAAAGTCCAGATAAGGGCCTGCAAAGCCCTGTACCATCGCCCTGGCTGCACTCTCTCCTTACTTCTGCCGCCCCACCCTCTCCTGCTTCCCCTCCCCAGCTACTGACCCTGCAGTTTTTCTAGCATGCCCAGGCCAGCTCCTCCTTCAGGGGCTTTGCACTTTCTCTTCTGTCTGGTGTCCCTGATCCCTTCAGGCCTTGTCTCAAATGTCATCATATTAACGAGGTGCTCTTTGACAGCTCTTTATGAAATAGCAAGGCACCCCTGCCTATCACTGACATTCCCTTTTTCCCTTACCCTGTGTTATTTTCCTCGGTTCTACCCACAACCATCTCGCATGTTATGTGTTTACTACCCGTAACCATCTTAACCATCTTGCATGTTATATGTTTTTTATTCTGCCTTCCCTGTAGAAAGTAAGCCCTACAAGGGTGCATGGATCTTGTCTGTTGTGTTTGTTGCTGTAGTGCTAGGATATAGATAACGTTTGATGTATGGTGGACACGTAACACATATTTTGAGAGAATGAATAAATGAGTGAGTGAGTCAGTGAATCTAGTGTTACAGCTGTGGAGAGTGTGGCCCAGTGAGAGTAAGCAACTCATCTGTGACCATTTGTGGAGTGAATGGCAGAGCTGGGATTTTAAATCAGGTCTCTGGACAAAAAACTTTTCCTACTAGAGCTACTTGTATTATAGTTGGTATCATATAGGTTATTTGATTTAAACTTCACAATGACCTTGGAAGCACAATGTATTAGTTCAGTTTTATAGATGATGAACTGAGGCATAGAGAAATAACCTTACATATTTAAATAAATGGGCCTAGTAGTGAAGAATGCAGTCATTGGAGCTGGGCTGGCCAGATTAGAGCTCTGGTTTCCCACTCGTAAGCTGTGTACCTTGGGAAATTTACTTAATTCCTTGCCTCAGTTTCTTCTTTCACCTGTAAACTTAGCATTCTAATACCTAATTGGTGGAGCCTTTGTAAGAATTAAATTATGGATGTGAAGCCTTGCTTGGCTCAGTGCTGGGTGCATGGTTCTTACGTACTGAGTGCTTATTAGTATTTGTACTTGCTGTGAGTTGGGGCTTAATCCTCAGAACAGCCTGTTTTTCAGGTGAGGAACTTAGACTTAACAAATAAGAGTTTGTTGTTCAAAGTCACAACTGACTTGGCGGAACCAGGATTTAACTCTGTTCCTCTTGTCTTCATATGTACAAAATAGATGGTTTATGATGGCCCACATAGTTCATTTAATTCCAGGATAGAACATGGGATAGTTTACCCATCTGGGCCTAGTGAATGTTTTCCCCCAGCTTTTGCGAAGGGCCCAGCAGCTTAGACCTGCTGTAGACTGGTTTTGCTAATACCGGTTCCCAGGACTTTTGAGGACCAGGGTATATAGGAGTACCTGACTTTTCCCAGCTTTATGAAAACCTACTTCCTTGTAGCTAAGGGTATTCTAAATAAGCTAGTTTTCATTTTATTAGTGGAGAACTATCTGGGTCCTCATGATAAAGCCGTATCTTCCAGGCCCAAGTCATTTTCTGTCGGCCTCTTCTTGAAGGCTCTCACTCTAGGCCCTAGGAAGTGGAGAGCTGAGAGTGGGTGCCTCTGGCACCAGCTGCCCTCCTTCCTTCATCTAGCCACTCCCCTTGGTTTATTTTTTAGTTATTTACCTTGACACACCCAAGGAGAGCCTACTTATTCTTTGTGGGTTCTGCAGGCAGACGAAGCATTTTAGACTTAGCAGATAACACAAACATAGAACTTGATTTTCTCCTACAAAAAGCATAAAAGTCCCAGAAACCTCACCACAGCTCCTTTTCTTGGGGACTAAAATGTAACACAGAGGTAGCTCTTTCTTGGATTCATATAAGGGGTCTGGCTCTTGAATTATGAAACAAGCTTATCATAAAACAGTTTTATATTCGAGGCAGTCATATAGCATGAGTTCTTAAAAATTTAAATATAGCCTTTAAAAAAATTAATACAAAGCAATACATGTTTACTGTGGAATAAAAGATAAGCAAATACTCCTATAGTTGCATCACACAACAAAGTGTGAATACCCTGGAGTATATATGCCCAGACCTTTTTTATTCATATGTGTATTTTTTATGGAAATGGGACTGTTTGCATCCTCTCCCTTTGTTCAGTTATAGATAATAAGTATACATTGTAAGTTTTAGTGGCTGCAGGGCATTCTTTTGTATAAATGTACCATAATTTATTTAATAATTCCCCATTAGATGAACATTCAGATTGTTCCCATTTTGGGGCTATTATAAAGAACACTGTACTGGAATCTTTGTGCATATCCTTGCTATTTCTTTAATAATGTTTGGTTGGTAGGCTCCAAGAAGTAGGATGGTAGCGTTGTTTCTTAATGCTTATAAGGGGACTCTCCCTTGGCTCCATTAAACTAGGGATTCCACTAGGGATCTGGAAACCTGCAATGTACATTTTTCTGGGGTGAGGGTCTATAACTTAGATTCCCAAGAGGGCTGGGATCAAAATAGATCAGGAACTGGTGTTGCAGCCAGAGTTTCCACTGTATCCTTGTTCTTGGTGCCTCCCAAGAGCAGTTGTATGAATAAGGCAGGTGGTATTTTGTCTGTAGGTATTTTTGAGTAAGCTGTGTTTGACACTGGGAAAGGTACAAAGAAGACAGTTTGATCAGTGAGCTCACCACATGAACAAAGATAGCTCCTGGAATCCTTTGCCTTAGTTCTCTGCTGAAAGAAGTGAACCTGAAACATTGGTTTCTTCTCAAGGCCTTCCACAGTCTGGAGGGGGCCTTTGCCAGGGGCCTTTGCCAGCCCACCACCCTCTGATGATGATGATGATATGAAGAAGTTGAAGGAGAAACAATGAGGAAGTGAGAAAGACTGATCTTTATTGGGTGCTTGCAATATGCCAGGCATTGTTCTCAGCCTAAGAGGAAGTATTATTTATTATCCTCATTTATTAACAAGTGAGGAACGGAGAGGTTCATTCACTTGGTCTAAGTCAGACAGGAAGTGACAGAGTCTGAATTTGAGTCCATGTAGTTCACTTTCACAGTCTACCCTCCTAACCACCATGATATCGTGCTTTTCACACTCCTATCAAATTGGATTAACTGGTCAAACATTTCTTCTTCTTCTTATTATTATACTTTAAGTTTTAGGGTACATGTGCGCAATGTGCAGGTTAGTTACATATGTATACATGTGCCATGCTGGTGTGCTGCACCCATTAACTCGTCATTTAGCATTAGGTGTATCTCCTAATGCTATCCCTCCCCCTTCCCCTCACCCCACAACAGTCCCCAGAGTGTGATGTTCCCTTTCCTGTGTCCACGTGTTCTCATTGTTCAATTCCCATCTATGAGTGAGAACATGCGGTGTTTGGTTTTTTGTCCTTGTGATACTTTACTGAGAATGATGATTTCCAATTTC
Source organism: Homo sapiens (assembly GCF_000001405.40). Lineage (NCBI taxonomy): Eukaryota > Metazoa > Chordata > Mammalia > Primates > Hominidae > Homo > Homo sapiens. The sequence goes on along the minus strand of NC_000009.12, from coordinate 120,430,972 downwards.
ATCCATGTCCCTACAAAGGACATGAACTCATCATTTTTTATGGCTGCCTAGTATTCCATGGTGTATATGTGCCACATTTTCTTACTCCAGTCTATCATTGTTGGACATTTGGGTTGGTTCCAAGTCTTTGCTATTGTGAATAGTGCCGCAGTAAACATATGTGTGCATGTGTCTTTATAGCAGCATGATTTATAGTCCTTTGGGTATATACCCAGTAATGGGATGGCTGGGTCAAATGGTATTTCTAGTTCTAGATCCCTGAGGAATCGCCACACTGACTTCCACAATGGTTGAACTAGTTTACAGTCCCACCAACAGTGTAAAAGTGTTCCTATTTCTCCACATCCTCTCTAGCACCTGTTGTTTCCTGACTTTTTAATGATTGCCATTGTAACTGGTGTGAGATGGTATCTCATTGTGGTTTTGATTTGCATTTCTCTGATGGCCAGTGATGATGAGCATTTTTTCATGTGTCTTTTGGCTGCATAAATGTCTTCTTTTGAGAAGTGTCTGTTCATATCCTTCGCCCACTTTTTGATGGGGTTGTTTGTTTTTTTCTTGTAAATTTGTTTGAGTTCATTGTAGATTCTGGATATTAGCCCTTTGTCAGATGAGTAGGTTGCAAAAATTTTCTCCCATTTTGTAGGTTGCCTGTTCACTCTGATGGTAGTTTCTTTAGCTGTGCAGAAGCTCTTGAGTTTAATTAGATCCCATTTGTCAATTTTGGCTTTTGTTGCCATTGCTTTTGGTGTTTTAGACATGAAGTCCTTGCCCATGCCTATGTCCTGAATAGTAATGCCTAGGTTTTCTTCTAGGGTTTTTATGGTTTTAGGTCTAACATTTAAGTCTTTAATCCATCTTGAATTAATTTTTGTATAAGGTGTAAGGAAGGGATCCAGTTTCAGCTTTCTACATATGGCTAGCCAGTTTTGCCAACACCATTTATTAAATAGGGAATCCTTTCCCCATTGCTTGTTTTTCTCAGGTTTGTCAAAGATCAGATAGTTGTAGATATGCGGCATTATTTCTGAGGGCTCTGTTCTGTTCCCATTGATCTGTATCTCTCTTTTGGTGCCAGTACCATGCTGTTTTGGTTACTGTAGCCTTGTAGTATAGTTTGAAGTCAGGTAGTGTGATGCCTCCAGCTTTGTTCTTTTGGCTTAGGATTGACTTGGCGATGCGGGCTCTTTTTTGGTTCCATATGAACTTTAAAATCATTTTTTCCAGTTCTGTGAAGAAAGTCATTGGTAGCTTGATGGGGATGGCATTGAATCTATAAATTACCTTGAGCAGTATGGCCATTTTCACAATATTGATTCTTCCTACCCATGAGCATGGAATGTTCTTCCATTTGTTTGTATCCTCTTTTATTTCATTGAGCAGTGGTTTGTAGTTCTCCTTGAAGAGGTCCTTCACGTCCCTTGTAAGTTGAATTCCTAAGTATTTTATTCTCTTTGAAGCAGTTGTGAATGGGAGTTCACTCATGATTTGGCTCTCTGTTTGTCTGTTATTGGTGTATAAGAATGCTTGTGATTTTTGTACATCGATTTTGTATCCTGAGACTTTGCTGAAGTTGCTTATCAGCTTAAGGAAATTTTGGGCTGAGACAATGGGGTTTTCTAGATATACAATCATGTCATCTGCAAACAGGGACAATTTGACTTCCTCTTTTCCTAATTGAATACCCTTTATTTCCTTCTCCTGCCTAATTGCCCTGGCCAGAACTTCCAACACTATGTTGAATAGGAGTGGTGAGAGAGGGCATCCCTGTCTTGTGCCAGTTTTCAAAGGGAATGCTTCCAGTTTTTGCCCATTCAGTATGATATTGGCTGTGGGTTTGTCATAGATAGCTCTTATTATTTTGAGATAACGTTCGATCAATACCTAATTTATTAAGAGTTTTTAGCATGAAGGGTTGTTGAATTTTGTCAAAGGCCTTTTCTGCATCTATTGAGATAATCATGTGGTTTTTGTCTTTGGTTCTGTTTATATGCTGGATTACATTTATTGATTTGCGTATATTGAACCAGCTTTGCATCCCAGGGATGAAGCCCACTTGATCGTGGTGGATAAGCTTTTTGATGTGCTGCTGGATTCGGTTTGCCAGTATTTTATTGAGGATTTTTGCATCAATGTTCATCAAGGATTTTGGTCTAAAATTCTCTTTTTTGGCTGTGTCTCTGCCCGGCTTTGGTATCAGGATGATGCTGGCCTCATAAAATGAGTTAGGGAGGATTCCCTCTTTTTCTATTGATTGGAATAGTTTCAGAAGGAATGGTACCAGTTCCTCCTTGTACCTCTGGTAGAATTTGGCTGTGAATCCGTCTGGTCCTGGACTCTTTTTGGTTGGTAAGCTATTGATTATTGCCACAATTTCAGATCCTGTTATTGGTCTATTCAGAGATTCAGCTTCTTCCTAGTTTAGTCTGGGGATAGTGTATGTGTCGAGGAATTTATCCATTTCTTCTAGATTTTCTAGTTTATTTGCGTAGAGGTGTTTGTAGTATTCTCTGATGGTAGTTTGTATTTCTTTGGGATCGGTGGTGATATCCCCTTTATCATTCTTTATTGCATCTATTTGATTCTTCTCTCTTTTTTTCTTTATTAGTCTTGCTAGCGGTCTATCAATTTTGTTGATCCTTTCACAAAACCAGCTCCTGGATTCATTAATTTTTTGAAGGGTTTTTTTGGTCTCTATTTCCTTCAGTTCTTCTCTGATTTTAGTTATTTCTTGCCTTCTGCTAGCTTTTAAATGTGTTTGCTCTTGCTTTCCTAGTTCTTTTAATTGTGATGTTAGGGTGTCAATTTTGGATCTTTCCTGCTTTCTCTTGTGGGCATTTAGTGCTATAAATTTCCCTCTACACACTCCTTTGAATGTGTCCCAGAGATTCTGGTATGTTGTGTCTTTGTTCTCGTTGGCTTCAAAGAACATTTTTATTTCTGCCTTCATTTCGTTATGTACCCAGTAGTCATTCAGGAGCAGGTTGTTCAGTTTCCATGTAGTTGAGCGGTTTTGAGTGAGTTTCTTAATCCTGAGTTCTAGTTTGATTTCACTGTGGTCTGAGAGACAGTTTGTTATAATTTCTGTTCTTTTACATTTGCTGAGGAGAGCTTTACTTCCAACTATGTGGTCAATTTTGGAATAGGTATGGTGTGGTGCTGAAAAAAATGTATATTCTGTTGATCAAACATTTCTGTGGGCCAGGCCTTGCATTTCCCCTCTTCCATGATTCCGTTCAAACCATTATTTTTTTCTGTAAGACTTCTACTCCCTTTCCACTTAGAGAAATTAGAGAAATTCTGCCTATCCTCCAGGAATCTTTCTTTGTTCACCTGAAGTGGAAGCAAAATTTATTCTTTCCACCCCCTCCCACCCCCGGTTTGTTTATAGCTTGCACTTGATATTCACATCTGAGTTTGTGATAGAGGCTGTTGCAAGGGTGTTGGGTTAGAAAGAACAAGACCTTTGGAGTCAGACAGACTGGAGTTCAGATCCCAGCTTTGTGGGTCATTTATCCTTTGAAGGGCCAGATTTCCTCTATGGGGGAGAGCAGTACCTGTCTTATAGAGATGTTTGTGAGAATGAAATGACATTATTTAAGCTTGTCCAATCCGTGGCCCATGGGCTGCATGCAGCCCAGGACGGCATTGAATGTGGCACAATGCAAATTTGTAAACTTTCTTAAAACATTATGGATTTTTTTGTTTTTTAAGCTCATTGGCTATTGTTAGTGTATTTTATGTGTGGTCCAAGACACAGAGTGGCCCAGGGAAGCCAAAAGATTGGACACCCCTGATTTCTCTCATTTTTAAATTTCTGGCCAAACAAAAAACCCAATAGACACTCCTGATTTGAAGGGTGTCCTGCCTTGACAAATAGGGGGAGCTCAGGAAGATACATCAACCAAAATTAAAATTGTAAATCCTACAGCTAGGTGAGGGGACCCTTCCCTCAGCTAAGGGAACCCAACAAAACCTTAAAAACTAGTTCAGACCATGATGGGAAAGTGGGGGGCGGTCAGACATGCCTCATTATACTCTCCTCCCTTTGGAGCTGGCACACAGCTGACCAGTATTAACACTAAAATAGAGATCCTTAGGCTGACTGAACAGACTCTGTAGCAATAAGAAACCAAATTCTAACCTGACTCCATTATAGCATCACATGACAGATTGCAGGGCTCTGAAAGAAATCAAAGTATTGTACCCCAAAATATATTTCTTTGACATGTTTTGAAATGGCCCTGAAATGCTGTCTCTTGTAGGGAACACTTACATTCTATAGAGAATCCCCTTCCCTTTCTCCTTTTCTGATCCTGAAGAGATTGGCTGAGAGTCCAGCACCTTTTAACGATCTGAATAGGAAATATTTGCCTCTGAGGATGGCCACCTCTGGGACTTCATCCACATAAGAAAAGCCTTGGTCTCTGTAACCCCTTAGCTTAACTCAGACACTCCTTTCTATTAATTCCAGGTCTTTAGATAATAACTCTTTCAACCAAGTGCCAATCAGAAAAATGTTTGAATCCACCAATGACCTGGAAGCCCGCCACCCACTTTGAGTTGTCCTGCCTTTCCGGACCAGACCAGTGTATACCTCACATATGTTGATTGATATCTTTTGTCTCCCTAAAACATATAAAACCAAGCTGTAACCCAGTCACTTTGGGCACATGTTCTCAGGACCTCCTGGGGCTGTGTCACCTGTCATGATCCATAACCTTGGCAAAATAAACTCCAAAACTGGTTGAGATCTGTCTCATATACTTTTTGGCTTACAGTGGCAACAATAATAATGGGGCATGCATGTCATGGTTAACAGAGTGATGCAGGCTTTCAGAGAAAATGGAGGGTTTTTCCTCCTAAGAATCCCTGGAACTGCCCTCCCCAGAGTCCCTTAAGTGTCTTCCCATCTTTATAAAGCAGTTCTTCCCTCCATCAAAGATATGGCTCCATTGCCACCTCCCCGAAATGTTCCTTGATGGTCCAGGCCAGATTCTGTTTGTCTCCTCTGTGTGCCTTCCCACAGCATCTGTTGCGGCCCCTTATCACAGTGTGTAGTGCAGTTGTCTTTTGGGTCCACCCTTTCCACTCAGGTGAACTCACTGAGGATAGGGTGGCTCCTCATTCATCTCTGTATCCTCAGTGTCTGGCACAGGAACCTGAGTGGAGCACTGTAAATATTAAAATAGAATTAGTTTCTACCAATTACTAGAGAGGTGGAAAGGAAGAAACATCTGGGTCATGTAGGAGATGCCAGGCTGTGACATTTGAAGTTAACTCTGTAGGACTGATGGATTTTGAGCTCGGAAGTACTGTTTCAAAAGTGGCTTCTTAAGCACTGTACAGAATGGATCAGTGCAGAGAGGAAAGTGAAGTTGGGTCAACCAGTTGTAAGTTTGTCTGGCATAATAGTCTTCTCTTGCTTGTTCAGTTATGGATGGGATAACTAGATGTTTTTTATTTGAAAAGATGAAGTCCTCCTATTGTCTCACACTACACATCTCTTAGGTGTAGCAACAAGATTTGCCTGAGAGATGGGAGCAGCATTTTCATGACATGCATCCTAAGCTTTTGAATAGCCAGACAGATGGTACCCTGTTACCTGTGTGAGGGCAGTTTCCACCCAGAAATTCAATGCATTAGTTGTTGTGATCTCCCTGTGAATCCTACAGTAACTATTTGTCACTTGGTTTTAAAGAATTCTGTTATAATAATAGGGGAACGGGTGGAATACAGTTGTTGTTGAGTTGTTGCAAGCTCCTCGAGGGTCTGTTATTTGATGGGGAAACTCATGCTGCTGGTGGCATCAGGGCACATCCTGGTGTGGTCATGAGTTTGGTTAGGAATGGAGGAGAGGTTTTTGATGGGTCTAAGATCTGGAGACCCGGAATGCTTAAAGCCTGCCCCAAACCAAGGGTCCCCACCCTGTGAAGTTCCTGAGGAAGATATACAACTAAAGAACAATGTGAATGTGGCCAGGTGCAGTGGCTCACGCCTGTAATCCTAGCACTTTGGGAGGTCAAGGCAGGTGGATCACTTGAGGCCAGGAGTTTGAAACAAGCCTGGCCAGCACAGTGAATACTCTACTAAAAATACAAAAAAATTAGCTGATGGTGGTGGTGTGTGCTTGTAGTCCCAGCTCCTCAGGAGGCTGAGGCATGAGAATTGCTTGAACCCAGGAGGCAGAGGTTGCAGTAAGTCGAGATCGTGTCACTGTACTCCAGCCTGGGCAACAGAGCAAGACTCCATTAAAAAAAAAAAAAAAAAAGAGCTGTGAGAATGTGAAGCAGAATGTCATGTTACTTTGTTTGCCTGGCTAGTACCTGAATAAGTCCTAAGCTTTTTGGAAGGCTGGGCTGGCACTGATGGTCCATTCTCAGGGTCTGCAGGGTTAGTCTTATCTGCTGAATGTTGGTAAGCAGCCCAGTGCAGGTATGAGATGAAAAATGTTGACTAAGCTGTTCTTTTAACACACAGTTGTCCCTGCCCATTAGGGATGGTCTTACAAGCTGGTTCTTCCAGTAAAGGTCTGGAACTCTGACTCAGTCAGGTTTGGATTTCCCCCTTGAAGAGGATTGTAGAGGACAGAAATGTGGAGTCTTGAGAGCATCCACTGATGAAGGCCTGTCAACCTCTATCTACCTTTCAAGAAGCCAAAATACCATGCCATTTTTGGCCAGGATGTAACCAAGAGGCATAGGTTTGTGATTGAAGTAGCTATAAGGATATCTCCATCTGTCTTGCTTAACTATAAAATGTAGTAAAGTAAGGGAGAGTGTGATCAGACAAAGGGAGAGTTGAAACATTAAACCTCCTGGATTTCCACTTCTTTGCTTTAAAACAGAGGTACTAACACCGTGCTCATAGGATCATTGTGAGGCCTGAAGGAGATAGTAGATATTAAAGAGCCATACTCAGGCCCTGGTGCCTGGTCACTCAGGCCTGTGTGACTCATTTCTGATGGTGACAGTGCCCTGCCATAGTAGGTGACTTTCTACCACTTAGCATGTTGCACTGACTCTTGGTGCCCAGGTGGCTGGCCTGGTGGGCGATAGGGAACCTGGATGGCCATACCAGCCAGCCGTGTGAGTTTGTAGGTGGGAACTTCTAGACTTAAAGCAAATGTGCAAGGATTCAGTGATCTTTTCCTCTATACTGTGGTGTTTGAGAACTTTTCCTTTTAGGAATAGTTTTGAAAATTGCATGTGTGGGTGCAGTTTAATTATAGTCTCATTTTTCAAGTACAACTGTAGAAGAGTTTGTTTTTTTCTTTAGCCACGCATCAGTGTCTTCAAAGAGCTCATCCCAGCCTGCAATTTCCAGGGTTCTGAAGTATTTTTAAAATAAAGTTGTTAGTCTCTTTGAAATCTAGGCTCATGTGCTTCCTTTCAAACAGCAAATGATAACATGCAGGAAGAGAGCAGAGCGTCTTTTGCCCAGCTACATTCTGAGCTTTATTTTGTTTTCTTTTGTCATTTTTTTAAATCATTTCCCCTGCTGTAGACAGTGGGTTTTTCAGCTGTACTCATGTACTCCTTTTCCTAGTTTTAATCCTGCTTCTGAGACCCTTCCTAAAGAAATAATTAAAATGCAGATAAAGCTGTATGCACAAAGATGCTTATTTTATTTGTTTATAAAAGTGAAAATTTGCAAATGACCTAAGTGTCAAATAGAGAACTGGCAAAATTGTGGTAATGCATGCCTACAGTGGAATATTAGCGCAGACATTAAAAATGATGTTTCGGAAGCAAATTTAGTAAGAGAAATGGCTATAATAATAATATACTAAGTGAAAAAATTATGTTGTAATATGGTATCTTCCATGCCAAAATGCATGAAAAAAAGAATGGAAAGAAATCCAGTAACTTGGCTGTGGGAGTGCCAGGATATTGATCTTTTTTTGATTCCGTTACCCATTTTCTGTAATGAGCATATATTCTGTTAGTATCAGAGTTTGAGAGAAAGAAAAAGACACCTGCACCAGCAATACCTTGTGATTGCTTTTTAGATTCAGTGCTGTCACCTAGCACTAGTGTCAATGCAGTGATAAAGGAGAAGTCTATAGTCTGAATTGTACTCTTGGTAATCCTACTTTAAATATCCAGGATTGTTACAGAGTGTTTAAACAAGTGGAATAGTGCTTCTGCAAATGTATGAGCAGGAAATTATTAGGGAACACTTAAAAACATTTTTTTCTCCTCCTTTCTTGATGTTATTTCTGCTTCCAGGAAAATCAGTTGGAGTGGAAATGAACACCCAGAATGAACTGATGGAGAGGTGAGTGTGTAACATTTGTTAAGAAGACTTCCCAGGACTTTCTAGGTCTGATTTACCTGCCAGCTTTTAAAATATTTTGGCTCCTTCCCATTCTGTTTGTTTCCTGCTTCTTGTAAATAAGGTATAAACATCTATGGAACTGACAATGGCCATACAAAACCAAGAGCTCATGCCATATGTCCTGTTGCTTTCATTCATTCATTTCAGGTTACTTGTGTCATCTCTATCAGGTGATTTGAACCAGATGACATATTCATTTGTTGGCTCCCAGATACCTGCAAGATAAACTCCAGACTCCTTAGCCTGGCATTTGAGGCCTTTCTCATTCTGACCCCAATTCTCTTCTCCCCTGCCCATTCTCCTCGCTTCCCTTCCCCTGATGTACCCCATGTTTTAGTCCTATTTGGCTTTGTATTATTCTCCACACCATAGCTGTGCACTCTGCCTTCCTCCTCTTGAAGTTCGAAAATCATTCTTCAGAGTCCATTCAAATGTAAATGAACCTGGTTCTCCCCAATACCCTCCCTCTCCACCACATCCCAGCGTCAGTGATTCTTGCTGTAGCACTTGGACATAATTACATTACAGCATTTACCACATGGTATTGTAATGCTTTCTACATTTATCTTTCTATTCCCAGAGTTCCTTGGAAGAGGAAAGGAGCTAGCTAGTGTTCACTAGGTATTGGTGTGTGTCAGCTGCTGTTGTAGGCATTTCACATTTACTAGTTCTCACCATATAAAGTTTGAAGTAACTATTTTAGGATGAGGAAGCTGTGGGTCAGAGTTGCATATTTGCCATTACAAGGCAGAGCTAGGATTTGAACTTGAATCTGTCACACTCCATCCAATGCATGTCCTCTTCCTGTTATTCCACATTGTCTTTTGAGGGCAAAGCCTATGTCTTGAATATCTCTACCTGCTCCAGCTCCAAGTTGCTGGCATGTAGTTGGAGATCAGAAAATAATCATGGAATACATGAATTGTATAATTTCTTAGCTTGTGTCTATGGCCAACTGAAAATGCCAAGGTCTTGCCCTCCTTTATTTAGTTGTTAAAGATTCTGAATGCTATTATTGTTGCTGTGTACTTTCCTCTTCTTTAAAGATGTGGTCCTTTGGGCTTCTGGGAATAAAATAGAGACCAGTCTAGGGTGCAGACTTGTAGATTTTATTGGCATCACGAAGGGCACTTGCATCGTTAGAGCGAGTGGGCAGAGAGGTATCACAGCTCACAGGAGGAGTTTTAATCAGGGCTTTTGCAAATTTAAAAGAAATACTCTTCTCCCATTGCAGCATTGTCAAAGATCCCTCCCAATTCAATCCTCCACTTCCATTCTTATAATAATAGATCACATCCCACTGGCATGCTTTAGAGAGGGCAAGGAAGGCTTCCCAGAGTGGGGCCATTCTTAGCTGAGATCTAAAGGGTGAGAGTTGAAGGGGCTGGGGGCTGTCAGGAGAATGTCCAAGCCTGAGGCAAAGGAGACACGGTCCCTTTGAGCATGTAGCTGGCACATAGAGGGTCAAAGCTGGAGAGGCAGGCTGGTTCTTGTTGGGCTGGTCCTCAAATGTGTTAAAAGTCCAAACACTATTCTATAGGAAGTAGGGAGTCTTCGAAGGAAGGTAAGCTGGGACTAGACATGATCACATTTGCCATTTAGGAAGACTGCTGGGGTTGCTTGCAGAAGGAGTTGGAGTGAGGGATGGAACCTCTTTAGCCTCCTCAACCAATGTGCCACTCCTTTTCATTTCTGACAGATTTGTTTTTTTCCTTCTGTTCTGCCTCTCTCAACTGTAGTTTAACTTGGGCCACTTCTAAGTCAATTAAGTGGGTGCCCTTGGCCCATGCTGCACTTCTGCAAGCCAGCAGCAAGCCTGTGCATCCATCACACTGTCTGGGCAAAGTTGCATCAGGTGTTTACCTGTTAATGAATGCATTGCAGCCTTAGAGTCTTTGCTGTTGTCTGAGCTCATGAATAATGAGACTGTGGCTGTTGACAAGAAGTAATAGGAAGACGTGGGAGAAAAAAAGAGCATCAATTAAGGAGTTTATCTCTAATGGAGATTCATGTGGGCTTTTCACAGCATTTTTTTTTTTTCTCATGGCTTAGGTGGTCCTTGGGAAATACAGGTTAATAACCAGATGATTGCTAGAATAACGATATTGAAACCTGCTTGGGAACCATGAGAGTTTTGAGATTTTTAAATCCATAGGCCATCTCATGGTTTTGGGCTGGGCTCTCACATTCTCCTGGGGCCTTGGAGCCAGGCAGGCCTGGTTGAAATCTAAACTGTGCCTCTGACCAAGCCGTGAGACAGTGGGCCAGTTTATGATGAGCCCCAGTTCCCCCAGTCTAAATGAGGATAGTAATCCCTACCTCAAAGGGTTTCTGTGAGGCCCAACTAAAATCTCAAATGCTTGGTATAGAGAGGTTATTTGGTAAACAGCTGCCGTCGACCCAAGTCCTCTTGGGTCCCTCCCCTGTAAGCCATGCTGTGGGACAGGCACAATCCCCTGCTTCCCCTTGTTGGCTTCAAACTCAAGCGCACTGAGCCTTTCTTGCTTTTAGAATGTCATTGCTTAATGCTGTAGGGAAATAAAAGGTCTGACTGAAGTTGCAAACATTGGGGAGTTACTAAGAGTAAAGTAATCGTAAGTATTCGTAAGTCATAGTCCTGGCTTGGGATTTTAGCATGGGAGATGATTTATCTTTCAATCTCAATGGTTAAGGATTGAGGAAGACAACTTAACCTACCAACATCTTCTGCCTGAATCTCCTGAGCCTTCAGCCTCTCATGCGCTCTCTGATTATGAAACATCTGAAAAGTCCTTCTTCTCACGAGACCAGAAGCAAGATAATGAGACAGAGAAGACTTCAGTTATGGTGAACAGTTTTTCTCAAGGTAAGCTAAGCCTCATTAAGTGTTTTAAACATGGCCTGATTAAAACAATAATTTGCCATCTTAACCTTAGTAAGCAGAGTGTGGTGACATTTGAGTATTTCTCTGATGAAAGGAGATCCCATTAGGGCCAATGCTGGTCATTCAGAGTATCCTTTATCACTAGAGAAAGCTATGGTTGTTGAAAGTGTTGGCGATTGGGGAAAAGCCATTTTTATTTTTTAAATGACGACTTAATATGTGACTTGCCATTTCCTGCAGGCTGTGTGTCATTGAACTTGTATGTCAGTGCAGATTTGGTTAATTTCCTATTGTTTATTTCAAACTCATCCTAAGGCAGGGTCATTTCAGAGACTCTTCTGCTTTGAGTTGCCCAAGAGTATCTAGCCCCCTGTTCTGATATTTTTATATAAATACAACATTTGTGATTGTAGGAATCTACTTTGTTTTCCTTTAGTGTGACCCATGGCCCATTGGGTCAGGCCTTTTGTCTTAGTCTATTTGGATTGTTGTAACAGAACGCCATAGAATGGGTGACTTATAAACAGCAGAAATTTATTTCTTACAGTTCTAAAGGCTAGGAAGTCCAAGATCAGGGTAGAGCCAGCATGGTGAGGGCCTTCTTCCAGGTTGCAGACTGCCATTTTCTGGTTGTATCCTCACATGCAAGAAGGAAGGCGAGAGAGCTGGGGTCTGTTTTATGAGGGCACTGATCTCACTGTGAGGGCTCTACCCTCATGGTCCTATCATCTCCCAAAGCCCCCACTTCCTAATACCATTACATTGGACTTAGAGCTTCAACATAGGAATTTTGGAGACACAAGCATTCAGTCCATAACACCTTTGCTCTGCCTCCGACCATGGACTGAGTTAGCAGGTGAAAATTTTCACAGCGGCCCCATGCAGTGTGTAAAAGAGATAAGTATGGTGCCTTTGTCCCATGGTGGCCTCTGAGTCTTCTTGAGGACACTCAGGACTCAGAGGAGCCCAGTTTGAAGACAGAAGACATACCTAGAGTGTGAAGTCCACATTGTTGGCGTAACTGAGGTATCAGCTGGGGTCCTCCAGCAGCGTTATCTAGCCCTAGTTTCTTTGGATTTCTGGCTGTATCTCTTTGCAGTTTTTGTGAGTTTCTGAGTACTTGGTTTTTCTTGGTCATTTCTGGCTCTGCATTCTGCCTTTCCCAAATTTAGGTCACACCACGAATTGTTTCCCTGTCCCTAGTGCCACTTCTTCTGTATTGTATCCATTCAGTGTGTAACTCAGTGACTTTCCAGGAATCCCCAGAGACCACTCCCACGAGGACTTTGTGCAGACTTGATTGAGGAACCAGAAGGAAAGTGGTGTTTACAATGCAGCAACCCAAATTATTTAAACGGGAACTCTTGAGATCCCTATTCTTTTCACTAGGCAGTTCCCTCTGCTCCCTCTTGGCTGCCCCTCTTTTTCCACCCTTCGCCCTGTCCACCACCCCAACCTTGTTCTATTTCTAATGTAGAACCTTTTAGGCATTTCTTCTATTTCTTGCTCCTCTGTGGACCCATGACCTTGGGCTTATGATGCCCTCTTAGTGGGTTACCTGAACTGGGGCAGTGCTCCCTGGAGTCATCCCAGTAAGCCCACCATCATCTTTTTTGGTGTGTCTTCAGCCTTTTGCTCTCTGCATCTAGTTTTTCTTTTGTCTTTTGTCATATTTATGATTCGGTAGAGAGATAATTTAGTATTTTTCTCACTTAACGTTCTGTCCTAAGCTTTCCGACATGTTATTACATAACATCATTTTTAGTGGCTTTAGAATAGTCCATTGAGTGGCTGAATTGCAGTTTTCCTTCTGTTCCTCTGTCGCTGAACATTTAAGTCATTTCCAGATTTCACAATTGTAAACAATGCTGCAGGGGATATCTGTGAACGTGAAGCTTTTCCCTTATTTGGGGGCTTTTCTTAATACAGATTCTATAAATTGGAACTGCTAGGCAAGAGATACACACTTTTTTTTTTTGTGGTTGCTTATTGGATTTATGTTTTTAAAAAGTCAGCATTTGTCAAAAGGGCATTATTCTAAGAGAGAGAGATTTTTCTCCCATTTTGTAAAGGCTAGTATAGTGTTTCCTTCTCTTCAGTTTGGCTGTATAATTAATAAGTGGTGTCCAGTTCAACTGGGAATGTTTCCTTAAGCCCAAGTGATGATTCCGCCTCCTGGCCAAAGACTCAGTGGAAGATGGCATGTTTCGATTGCTGCTAAGCATTTATGTCCCCTTCTCACAGTCATGAGTGTGTGACTTGGATAAACCAGCAAGGAAGGTTGCAGTCAAACAGAAAAGTTCCTGACTGACTCCTACCTGACTAGCTGCTGGAGGAAGATTTGCAGGGCACCAAGGCAGGAGCAAGGAGGTACAGTGCCATGGGTGCCAGAAGTTTAAGGAGTGTGGAGGTGCAGTGCCGTGGGCGCCAGAAGTTTAAGGAGTGGGGAGGTGCAGTGCTGTGGGCGCCCGGAGTTTAAGGAGCGTGGAGGTGCAATGCCTGGGCACCTAGAGTTTAAGGAGCGCAGAGGTGCAGTGCCGTGGGCGCCAGGAATTTAAGGAGCACGGAGGTGCAGTGCCGTGGGCGCCAGCAGTTTAAGGCGTGGGGAGGTGCAGTGCCGTGGGCGCCAGCAGTTTAAGGAGCGGGGAGGTGCAGTGCTGTGGGTGCCAGGAGTTTAAGGAGCGTGGAGATGCAGTGCCGTGGGTGCCAGTAGCTTTTTGCAGACAAGAGTCCTTCTGTGCTGTGCTGCAGCGAGAGCTACGACATTCCACCAAATTACTTGCCACATTTCTGGCATTAGCAGGAGATAGCTGAAGGTCTGGGAATTAAGTCATCTCATAAACATTCAAATTCATGGTAAAATTACTATTTAATTAGGAAAAGATCTGTAACACTGTGCTACTTTTAAATGAAAGTCATTTTGGAGGAATTAAAACTGGGTCATAACATTAGTGTAATGTTTTAAAACAAACATTACTAAGATATACTGAGTATACCCTAATTGATAAATTAAAGACATTAGTTTTGCCTTTGGATACTTAATGTGATGATGCTTTAAACACTGATTCTAGAAACCTACCCCTGGATTGGAATTGTGCTTTCTTCTTTCTTTGTTAAAGTGAGATGTGGCAGAGGCTGAACAAATACATGCTCATTTTGGAAAATTTAAAATGTTGTGTATTATTAAGTATTATGTTAAAATGTAATATAGAATTTTTGAAAAATCTAAAATCTGCCACCTAAAGGCAACTGCTATTAATATTTAGATATATTTCCTTCTTTCACATATTTGTGTCTTTCCTTGTCTGTACAAATTTTTAAGTAGAGTTCTGTGATATTGTGAAGTATATATTTAGTCTTCCTTGCAGTATCCTTCATAATGAACCAGTAAACATAAGCAAATGTTTCCCTGAGTTTTTGAGCTGGTCTAGCAAATTAATCCAACCCCAGGAGGCGGGTGAGGGAACCGAATTTTTAGTCAGTTGGTCAGAGGCACAGGTGAAACAACTGGGGGCTTGCGATTGGCCTCAGAAGTTGTTGGAGGGGCAGTCTTGGGACTGAGCCTCAACCTGTGGATCTAACGCTATCTTCAGGTCCAACTGAATTAGAGGACGCCCGGCCGGTGTCTGCTGCAGAACTGTTTGCTTAGTCTGTGGGGGAAAAAACCCTCACATGTGGTCACAGAAGTCTTCTGTGTTGATTGTTGAGTGAGTGTATGGGAGAAACTGAATTTTTTTTTTCTATAAGTTGTGATTATGTTATCAATCTTGGATCTAAGATTTAGTATATTTTTTATGATATATAGTCTTCATAACATAATTTTAATAGCTATGTAATACTGCATCATCATGAATGTACTACAGTTACATTTGGAGTTACTTCAGTTCTTATGGTTACATCCAGTGCTAAGGTGAACCTTTTCCTCCATTCTGGCAAACGCTTGTCAGCATCTCTGGTGGTCTCTTTAAATAGAGTCCTAAGAGTTGAATTATTTGGTAAAAGACATTGGAAAATAACTTTTCTAAGGCTAAGTATAGAAGTAGCCCCAAAAGGTCATACACATTTATACTCATGCTAATAAGATGTTCTGTTGAGATCACTTTTCTTATTACCATTCTCACTAGCATTGTTTTGCTTTATTTAAGTCTTAAATTAGTAAATGATAAATGGATAACATATTCCTTTCAAAAAATTAGTCTCGAAAATATCTGGATTCATTATGAAGGTAGTTTAATCAACTCTCAGGCAATTCAAGCAGACTTGAAAGTGATCTGTTAGTTTCACCATAAGGAAGATTTTAAATTAATATTTGATATTTGGAAGAATAAAAGGCTACATTAGAGTTAGCATTAAAATTGTATGGAATATAATTTTTTCTATGTGATGTAAAATATCTTCCTCATGGAGGGCTGCAGAGAATCATTACAGAAGTGTGTCTGTGGGCTGTGGGAAATAGCTCACCCTCCCCATGCCTAGGAAAGAATTGCCAGTTGCTAACCATCTTAACACATCCAATACTGTTTGGAATTTCAGGATCCCTGCATAATCCATAAATTAT
The DNA here is from genome assembly GCF_000001405.40 of Homo sapiens. Classification (NCBI taxonomy): domain Eukaryota; kingdom Metazoa; phylum Chordata; class Mammalia; order Primates; family Hominidae; genus Homo; species Homo sapiens. The sequence continues at coordinate 120,415,211 of NC_000009.12, read as the reverse complement.
TCAATTTGTTGGGGGTTCAGACTTTAAATTAAAAATGGCTTCCTTCCTGTAGACTTACTAATGGAACACATACAGGAAATTCGAACTTTGAGAAAGCGTTTAGAAGAATCTATTAAAACAAATGAGAAGCTACGGAAACAGTTGGAACGGCAAGGATCTGAATTTGTTCAAGGTAAGGAAAGACCTTCCTGGAGGACTGTACATGTCTGTGAGTGCTTCACTGTGACGCATTTGCCTGAGTAAGCATCTGTGTACAAAGCAGGTGCTTGATAAATGTTCATTTTTCCATCTTGGAGAAGTCTGCCAGCCTCTGGCATCCTGAATTGTGACTGGCATCTCATTTAACTTTGGAAGCTGGAGAGAAATAGATAGGAATTTTAAGATAAAACAAAGCAATATATTGTCTTTTCATCTATAATGGATTATAAAAATATCAGCATTTTAGCAATCTGGTAAATTTCACATGCCAGTCTAAAGATCACACATATTCCTGCATAAACACAGTTAGCTCCGAATAGAGTGATCGTCCATGAAGAACTTAAAAACATTACCGCCCACTCCCCGCCACCCCGCTGGCATAGGTAAGACATTCATGTGCTTCAAAAAATTTAAACCTCCATTCTTTACCCATTAACCCTGTTTTCCCTTCCTTCTTCTCCACTTTTTTCTTTTCTTCTGTATCCTTAACAGTGTTTTTTTAAATGCAAATACCAGCATATATTCTTACTCTTCTCTTCATCCCAGAGGTAACGTACTCTATATCCATGATTCTGTCCATTTGTCATGGAGCAGTAAATCTTGGACATCTTTCCTTATTGCTCTAGAGAGAGTTCCTCATTCCGTAAAGCATGTATCTTGAAAGCAGCTTGGCGCACTCAGAAAAGCCCGAGTTTGTCTGGTTGAACTGGCCGGAGTGTGGACCCTGCTGTCCCATTTATTAGCTTTGTGACGTTGAGCAATATACTCATTTCTCCCAGTCTTAATTGTTTCATAGAACAGGGTCATTGCGAGATTAAATGAGGCAATGTTATGAGTAGGGCCTTGCTCAGTGCCTCACTCAGTAAATGGTTGCCTTTATCATCATTATCAATTTTATTTTACTATTTTATTCTGTATAACGTTGCAAAGCTCTGCAATGGGCAGGGACTCTAATGTCATTCCCATTTTTAGAGATGGTAGAATTGAGTTCTGGAAAGATAGTGCCCCATGGCAGCAGCACCCGAGTCCTTGGACCCTTGTCCAGGTCTCATTCTTCTCTAGCCATCATAGCTACCAGCCGGGAGGGACATCTTTCCCAAGTACCGTGCATGCTGCAGCTTGCAAGGGAAACCGAATGGCTCCATCTCGCCCTCTCCCTCCCTCCTCCTTCCCTCCTCCCTCCTCCCTCCTCCCTCCTCCCTCCTCGCTCACTGCGCCCATTTCCTGCATATACCCCCCTCACCCTCAGGGAAATTGATTGATCTGAGTTATTAGTTGTATCAAACACAGGAAAGAAATACACGCCTGGGCCCTTCACATTCACTCTTGGTAATGCCTGAATTAGATTCATTCTGTTTTACATTTTCCCTGGCAAATCCAATTATAGAATTATTTGGGGGCTCAAATGGCCACCAGCTACAATGGAGCAGACAATTGCTCTGGAGAGTAATTCACTCTGACGGGAAGGTTTACAAAAGCATTCATAAAGTATTTACACTGGTGGAAAGACGTGCTGTTCTCACCATGTTGTCACAATGTCTGAAAAGACAAAGGAATACAAAGGAATAAAAGTGGCTCCGCCTCCCCCTGCTGTGAAATGTTTACCTTGGGGAGCAGGCCTGAGAAAGGTATGGCTTCTTACAATATCGAGGTGGAATATTGTTAAAAACCGGCCTCTCATGTGTTAGAGCTTCCAGCTTGTCACTACTTGTACAGGCTGATAGTGATGACCCTCAGAGGAAAGAATGGCCTCCTAGCATCGGAAGTGGATCTCACTAGCTCAGGTTTAGGTCGGTCAGGAACTGTTCTTTGGCCTATTTCTTTGCCAAGAAATACTGCCTCCAAAGCTACCACCTTAGCTTTGGTTGTGGTAGACTTCTGTAGATTTTTTCCTGCTGTTCACATTACTTTTTGGTGCTATTTTGGGTCCAGTCTATCATTAATTGTTTTAGTAATACAAATGGTAATAGCAGTAACTTTTTATTGAGTTAATGGAGACTTAGGGAAGTGATGCGATTTGCCTGAGGTCATGCAGCTATTAAGCCAGAGCCATGGTTCAAACCCAGGTGTCTCTGAAAAGATACCAGAGTTCGCAGGGGAGAGTGGAGGAAGATGGTGGGGTGAGACATAGTGAGTAAAACAATTAGATAACCTTGCGGTAAGTGAATCATTAACATGAGAAAAAGGTAGTGCTGTAGAGTGGAAGGACTGTCAGCTCCTTGGAGAACTGATGCCGTACCTTCCCTACAAGGAGTTTGAATAGGATAGGTATTCAGTTGTGTGCCAGGATGCTTTCAGCTGCAGACAACAGAATGGGAGTAGCAACTGATGGTAACAACAGGGATTTGTGTTTTCTCATGTAACAAGAAACCCAGAGGCAGGGAGTTCCAAGGCAGGTTTATGGCTCAGTGACAGCAAAGTTTGGATTAGTATCTGTGATGACTGCAGTAGTACAAGCATTCCAGTCTCTCAGACAGCGTCCAGAGCATGGGAAAGAAGAAGGTGGGGCTTTTTCCTGTCCTCTTTTCATCCTGGTGGAAAATCTTTCCCAGAAGCTCCCAGCAGACTTCCTGTCAGGCCCAATTGGCCAGAGGTGGCACGTGACCATGTCCTCACTGCAGGGTGGCTAGGAAAGCAGGAATCTGGCATTTTGGCTCTGTGGTGTAGTAAGTGGACTCAGTGAGTGTGGAGGACAGGGAGGGAAGCATCTGTCTGCCACATAGAGAAGGCACCTTGCACACAGTAGGCACTTTCCTGAGGGTGGCCGTGAATGTGAATGTTACCTGTGAAATAGAGGTATCTAGACAGAGAAGTTGGCCCTTGTGTTTTGTTGTGTGATTGTCTTTTGCCATGATGGGCCATCAGATGTTTTTGAGTAGAGAGTAACTTAAATGGAATTTGTTTAGGATAATAACCCCATTGGCAGAACAGCCGGGAGGCAAGGTTAGAGAGTAAAGTGATAAGGCCTGAACTTTAGGACGGAAAAGAGTAGGCCAGTGTTGGAAGCATTTTGGAGGAAGCAGCAGCAGTCATGATTGCTTGACTGGGCAGTGGAAGAGAAAGGGGTTTAGAATGGCTCCCAGCTTTCTAGCTTAGGTTAGGGATTGTGGCGATACCATCTCCTGAGGCAGGAAACAGGTGAGAGAGAGCAGGTTTGGAAGGATAAGGAGTTCAGCTTTGGCTCTGAGGACTGAGTGACAGAGCTGCCTCAGTGGTGAGGCGCGGCAGGCAGCTGGATATGAATTTTGACCTCGGGAAAGACATCTGTGAAGGTGAAGACTCTCACTCACTCATCCCACTCCTGGCCCAGGTCTTCTGCTTTGTTCTCCCTTAGGTAAGATGTGGGGGAGCCCTTCCTGCCCCCTCTTTCAAGCTTACTCTCATTTCTCTTTGGCTTCTGGTAATTCCTAACATAGTTAACAGGAGGGATTTTCATTGTATGTTGTGTTAACTCTTTGTTTAAAACTGCTTTCTAGAAAGTTCTGTCTATACTGATCTGGAGACTGTTTATAAATCAGTTTTTATGTGTGTTTTTATAGGTTCTACAAGCATTTTTGCTTCTGGTTCAGAGCTTCATAGTTCTCTAACATCAGAAATTCATTTCTTGAGGAAGCAGAACCAGGCCCTCAATGCAATGCTCATTAAAGGATCCAGAGGTAAGAGTTAAAGGAGTCACTGGAAGTCTGGAACGCCAAAGCCTTCTGTGTCATGGAAAGAATGCAGGCATTGGAGTCTGACCAACCTAAGTATGAATCCTGTGGCTCTGTGATGGCTTTACACCATTTAATTGTCACAGCAGCCCTGTGAGGTGTTTCTGTTTTATAGCTGAGAATACTGGAATCAGAGAGGTTCAGGAATATCTCATAGGGCTGTTGTGACAGTTGAACGGTGTAAAGCTCTCAGCACAGTGTCTCTAATAGGGGCTCAGTAAATGTTACTTTATTTGCTTGTCACTCATCTCCCCTGTAGCCACGTGTCTCTCATCCTAGTTCACAGTGGAAGAAAGAAGGGCTGGAAATATAATACTGCCAAAATCTCAATTAGTGATTTCCTACTATCAGCAAAGTTTATCCTGTACTTCTTATAAAGATCGCTTGTCTTAATTCCTTCTATTTGGAGCTTGGCTCCCAAAGAGCTTTCACTTACATTATCTTTCACTACTGAAAACAGTTCTGGGATGAGGTATCATTAGCCCTATTTGACAGGTGAGAAACTGAGGCCTAGGGAATTGCCTGGCCTGTGGTCACAGAGCTAGAATGTGGTAGAGCTAGAACTTGGGCCAGCTTATCCCACTTTTCCTAAAAGGATATTGATGCTCCTTTTGGCTTAAGAGATGAAATTGGGGCCTCTGTCAGTCACTCATTCACTCAGCAACATTTCCTATCTCCTGTGTTACTTCAGGGCCGTGTAGACTGTGATACAGAAACGGATGAGATTTCATCCCTTCCCTCAGGGAGCTCATAGTCTGATGGGAGAGACAGCCAAACAATCTTGGCAGACCAGTGTGAACCTCAGCCACGATAAAGTTAGGCTCTGGGAACTGCAGGACCCTGGAGAAGGCATCCTGACTCAGGAAAAGCTTGCCTTCAAGAACGGAGGATGAGGAGGGCTTAGCGAAGGTGCTGAAGATTGAGAGGAGCCAGGGCCTTTTAAATAGAAGGAAGAGAGCAGACAAAGTCCCAGGGGTTAGCAATGAGGAGAGTCTAGGCCGTTCAGGAAGGGTAGGCAGCATGATGTGTCTGGCGCTTGAGGGAGGAGGTGAATGCTTGCTTAGAAATTATCTTGTTGTGTTTAAGAATGGAATCAGACTGAGTCCGAATTCTGGTTCTGCCACCTACTGGCTGTGTGACCTTAGGGAAGTCTCTTATCTGGAAAACGGAGAATAATAGTGCCTGCCTTGGAAGTCGGCCCTGGAGATTAAATAGGGCGATGCATGAGAAGGCCCTAATGTCACACCTGCACAGGTAGTGCTGGTGCAGGTCAACTGTTACCACCACCAGCACTGCTGGGAACTCGTCCTTATGAAGCTTCCAGCCCCCAGAGTGCTCCTGACTCCCTGTGATAAACCCTTTATAGATGGCATCTCAGTGAATCCACACAATAACACATGTAAGGAAACAGGCGTGGAGAAGTGAAGAGCCTCACTCAAGGTTATGAAGTCAGTAAATGGAGAAGCTGCTCTTGAATGTGGCCTCTCTGTCCCCAGCCCCCTGCTTTTGACCACAGTGTCTCTTGTGCCTCTGGGTGTATTTTATTCCTCAGGAGAGGTGCTGTCCTCAGCCTGAGGAGTGAATGGGCCTCAAGGTGCCATCTGCACAGCCCTGCCGGCCTCCTGGTGCTAGGCTGGTAGAAGGCCTGCGGCCAGGCCAGCACCCATTCCCAGAGTTCTGGGCCCTGTGTTTTCCTCTGTACTTCCTACCCACTGTTTGCTCTGTGAAGGCAAAGTAACTAGGTTTGCATGGCCTGTTCTTTAATAGAAAATTAAACAGGCCCATTTTATCCCAGTGACGTTTAATCTGCAGCCTTGATGTTGACAAATTTATCTGCCCAAAGTGTGTAAGATAATTGGAATGCCAAAATCATAAATGCCAGATCGAATCTCATTCTTTTTTGTATTCTTGAAGTGCTGTATTTATATAATAAGGTTGGAAAAAACAAATGGTGGCCCTTCTCAGTGGCACCTTTTTATGTTTGCAGATAAACAGAAGGAGAATGACAAATTACGAGAGTCCCTCTCCAGGAAGACCGTGAGCCTGGAGCACCTTCAGCGGGAGTATGCCAGCGTGAAGGAAGAAAATGAAAGGCTGCAGAAAGAAGGCAGCGAGAAGGAGAGACACAACCAGCAGCTGATCCAGGAGGTCCGCTGCAGCGGCCAGGAGCTGAGCAGGTAGTGGCTGTGCTTCCCTGGTGGCCTGCTGGCCGTACCACGCATGCAGGCACTGGGCTGCAGTCGTGGAATCAGCACGCAGGCCTCTGCCTTAGTGCACAGTGGCAGGCAGTAGACACAAACACATTGTACGTCTGGTGCGCCTACAACATATGGAGAAAGATCCTGTAAGGAGGAGAGGGCTTGGCAGTGGGTTGCTGTTTTTTGTCAAGGGTGAGTCAGGGAAGGCCTTTGTGAAAAGATGCCATTTGCTCAGAGAGCTGAATGCAGTGAGGAGGTGAGTGCTGCAGCTACCTGGGAAAGATCATTTCAGGCAGAATGGGCGCAGGCCCTGAGGCAAAGTGGCTTAGGCCTGTGCCGGACAGAGCAGGGCAGTGTATCTGGAGAGGGGGCTGGCAGGATACCAAATCACATCGGGCTGCAGAGTCAGTGTGAGGACTTTGGGTTTTCCTCTGAGTGGCATGGGAAGCCACTGGGAGATTCTGAGCAGAGGAGTGGAATTAGGATTAGAGAGCACATGGAATTCTTAACCATGCTTGTCACTTCTTGGTCCACACTCTTGTGACTGAGGGTGGAATTGGCCTGCTCTGTGGGGTTTGAATAAGTTACCCTGAGGTAGAATTAACCTGTCCTTCTCATGCCTGTGGGGCCTTCTCAGGGTGCAGGAGGAGGTGAAGTTGAGGCAGCAGCTGCTCTCACAGAATGACAAGCTATTGCAGTCTCTCCGAGTGGAGCTGAAGGCGTATGAGAAGCTGGATGAAGAGCACAGGAGACTGAGAGGTACTGAGGCCCTTCTCACCTTGAGGCTACTGTGCTTTGGGCTGTAAGACCACCCGACAGCTGGCTGTAGGCACAGGAGGGCAGAGCTCAGCCCTCTCCACTCTGGCCTTGTGGGTAGAGTGGATGGGTGTTGAAGCTAGCTCTTTGACCCACTCTTCTTCTGAAGGAACAGCAGGAAACATAGAAGGACTGAGGCTCAGCACCCAGGCCAGCCGAGGTCCGGGTTCCCACTCACTTGTTCCCAGCTATGTGACCCTCAGTAGGCCACTTCACCCTTTGAGCCCATACCTATCTCTGTAAAACATGTCTCTCAGCACCTGTTGTGTGGAGAATTGTGTTGAAAATTGAATGAGACCATTTATTAAAAGCATCCTAGCAAGATACCTGACACATAGTAGGCACCCAGGAAATGACCTTTATTATAATCGTCCTGCTAGTATATGTTACTTTTTGCCCACTCATTCAGCAAACATTTATGGACACCTCTCACGTGCTGGGCATTGCTCTGGGGATGGTTGTTGGCCTCGTTGCTCTCTGTATCCCAGGAGAGATACCAGCTCAGAGTGCTTCAACTATAACGTCTAATGTTTCAGAATCAATTTTGAGGTGTGGTGAGGTGTTTTTTTTTTTTTTTTATTTTACTAATTTTCCAGATGGTTTCTCTCTATTGAAAGTTTATCTAGAAAGGGGTCATCTCACAGCTTTTATTTTCTCCTCAACTTGCTTTTTTTATTCTTGCTGTTGTGTCTTTTTAATATAGTGTGGCTCTTAAAATCATCCCCTTTCATTCTATAATTCTAGCCCAAATAGATTTTATTACTACTAGACATAATTTCGGGGTTTGGTGTGCAATTTGCTAGGCTTTTATGGCCAGAAGCGAAAATTAATTTCCAGCTCTTATTTAGCGTGTGGAATAGCAGCAATTAAGTCTGCCAATATTTTTGTTTCTAAAGTCAAGTTGTTATTTTAAACTGTACCTAGTTCTTAGGAAGGGGGAGGGCGATGGTGGTGGTGAGTGTAAAATGCGATTGAGTTCCTTCGATGGCTGACCCTTTGGTTGTGGAAGATGTCAGGGCTTCTCTTTGCACATGTCCTCAGAGGCGTCGGGAGAAGGCTGGAAGGGGCAGGATCCTTTCAGGGACCTGCACAGCCTCCTGATGGAGATCCAGGCTCTGCGCTTGCAACTAGAAAGGAGCATCGAAACCAGCAGCACTCTGCAGAGCAGGCTCAAGGAACAGCTGGCAAGGGGGGCAGAGAAGGCACAGGAAGGAGCCCTCACTCTGGCTGTCCAAGCCGTGTCCATCCCTGAGGTGCCCCTTCAGCCTGACAAACACGGTACTGCCCCTGCCTCTCCCCACTTGCTGAGAATGCAGCTCTGAGCATCTGTGTGTGACATGTGAACTTCTGAATGATGCCTTTGCCCCACAGAGGTGTCTTTCCATTGATAGCTGACATGCTGTACCCTAGGAGCCAGGGGACCTGACTGCTAATTAATTAGCGGTCACCTTGGGCAAAGTGGCGTAATCTCCATCTGAGGCATCTTGATTCTCAGGGAAGTGGAATTTGGACTTCCAGACACCCTCAGTGCCTCTGGCCTTGCTCCCTCCTATCCATTTAGTCCTGCCTGCATCACTTTGATGCTGAAATTTCTTTTAGTTTCTCTTACTGCCTTTAGAAGGGAACCTAAACATCTTAATCTGGCTTTCAGTGTCTTTCAGGATCTGAAAATCATCCTGATAGGTTTAAAAAGTGGATCTGTTTTGCATTTGTGTGCAGGTTAATTGCCTAGCCCTGGAGAGGCTGTGGGGGGTACGAGAAAGAGGACCAGACACCTCTACCACCCGCCCACCCAGGGTGTGGAGCAAACCAGTAAATGGTTAGACTCCAAGCAATCAGGCAGCCTGTCCTCTTTGCTCTAGAGATGAAAAACAAAGGCCCAGAGAGTGGATGGGGCTTGCCCAAAGTGGCACAGCAAGTAGGCAGCAGAGCTGGAGCTAGAAACCATTTCCAGCTTCGAGTCCAGGGCTGTTCCTAAACCCCACTGGACTCTCTGGAGCGTTGGGTATCCTGGGATTATCATCCTGACACCCATAGGGTAAATGTGTGTATCCAGTGGGATGAGGAATGCCAGCCTGCTTTACAAGCAAGTATTGTACTAAAGTTTGGACTGACTTTTACTTGGATACCTCTAGTTAAAAAAATAAAAATAAATCTCTTAAGGAGCACCTGGTCAGTCCGCTCGTAGTGATTAGTTCATTGATTTCTCATTGACAAGGATCTTAAAATTTAATCAAAAAGATGATGTAATAATATGAAAAAAGTGAACAGAGAAAAAAAGTTCATGATTCTACACATTGATCATTTTTTAAAATTTGCATATTTTTTCATTTATTAAATATGAGCATGAATTTATATTTTTCAAATTGGATTTTGTGTCATTGTGTGTCCTTTCTTTGTTTTTGCCCAATATTACATCATACATGTTCCCTGTGCTTTCACATGGGCTTCCTAATGATTGTTTGCAGGCTATTCTCAGTCACCAATCCATGACCCCGTTGATTTATTAAAGTGGTCTCTGATTTGGAGCCATAATAGACATCAATGTTAATATGCTTTTTGCTGTTAAATAATATTCTTAGGAGAAAACCCTACAAGGGGAACCTCATAAGTTTGGAAAGGTGCCATATTGCCACCTTCTAAATAGTCTGTACATCAGCAGTGTACAAAGGTAGTGGTTTTTGTGTGACCTCAGCATTGGGCATTACTATTTTCAACACGGGTCTGCACCTGGCCCTTTTTAAGGCTTTGAGGAGATGGGATTCAGGAACTTGTGGGGTAGGCTAGGGGAGTTTGAAGCAGGGAGAACAGTTCTGTGCTTGGGGTACCCAGGAAGGAGAGTTGGGTAGCTGAAGTGAGGAGGCCATCAAACAGCCTTTACCTGCTTTTGAAATTTGCCGAAAGCAGCCCTCATCATGCCTGGCAAGAGGCATCCAGGAGAGCATTCAGAATTCACAGTGCTGCCTCAGCAGAAAAGTTTTATAATTTCCTTGAGTCAAGATCAGAATTATAGGCAGCAGCATTTCTTCCTTTGCAAAAGACTTCTCAGGTCTGTATTTAAGTGCATCTGTTTTAAAAATTCTGTTCTAAAGGCTGATGTCTTTCACTGAGAGTGATTCCTCTTGGGGCCAGCTCTATGGAGCTGACCTCCTGGCTCCTTGGCCTTAGGAACTGTAGCACACCCCTGGGAAATGCTGGAGTGCAGTCAGCCCACCGCCCAGTGGTGCAGGAGCTCGGAAGGGGGATCCTAAGCCCTAGGCTTCCTTGCTCTGTGCCACTGACATGCTGGGTTATGCTGGACAGATCACTTTCTATCTCTGCCCCTTGGTCTCCCCTTCCATGAAATCTGAATTACAGTGTGTTTTGCCCACTGAGCTATTGAGTCCAATAGCTTTTCATATGTGAAAGTGCTTTCCAAATTATAACGTGTTGCACAGGTCATCTGTACAGCATCTATTGGTTTTGCCTCCTTACAGTGTTGCAAATACATCACCCCCCAGATCCTATTGTGGGTTACTCTCATCTCTAGCTTAGGTTAGTGTGGCAGCCTCCAGACTTACTCTTTCAGTACAAAATACAGACCTCAGCTTGACATTGCCTTGCCCAAAGCCCTTGAGTGGGCCCCTCAGTCCTCTTGGTTCTGGCCTTGCATTCTACTTTGTCCTTCCCTGCACCCGGGCCTTGGGTCTATGAACTGCTTATTTCTCCCTGAGCGATGATTCCACTCTTTGTCCCACTGTCTGCCTCTCACCTGCCCATTGTGCTGCCTGGCATTTCTTTCCCTCCTTCTTACCATAGGTCAGTCACAATCAGTCTTAAAACATAAGGTTTTAAAACGGGTATTAGCCTTTGGGAAGCCAAGTTGGGGGTAGTGCCCCTCACCTGAGCCCCAACAGCCTGTGTTTCCCTCCCTTGTCCTTGATCACACTAAAATAAAATTGCTTATTTACTTTTCTGCTGAGAGTTTTTCTAGGGAATGGACTGGGCCTGGTCACTCTGTCTCCCTGGTGTCCCACAAAGGTGGGCTTGGCAGGACAGAGGCCCAGTGAAGATTTGAAGGAATGCTGTGTGTGTATGGATAAGTGAATGTGAGGGGCTTGACTGTATTCTCTTTCAGTTCTCTCTTGAATGCTGACAACAGTGAAACTAACAGTTCTCGTGTTTTGCATTTTGTAGATGGTGACAAATATCCCATGGAAAGTGATAATTCATTTGATCTGTTTGATTCCTCCCAGGCAGTGACACCAAAATCAGGTACAAAGCTGAAGTCCAGGTAACTGTGGGAGCATTGGATGTGACAGTAAGACTTTTTAACTTGCAGAAAAGGGGGGTCCCTGGTCCCAACTCAGGAGGGTATTTGGTAAGGATTTGGGATTTCAAGTTCTCAGCATCCCCAGCTGGTGATCTTCTCCTTCAAGCCAGTTAATCCACTCCTAGGTGTTACCAAGGTTAGAACATCATTGGGTCCCTCTTGCCTTAGATTAAAATTGTGACCACCTTTGTGAGGCTTTCAAGGCCCTCCAGGATCCAGCTCCAGTGGGTCCGTCCAGCCTTATCCCTTAACCTGGTGTAGCCACACAGGGGTCACCATCCTGCAGACAGGCCCACACTTTCCTCTCACTGTGACTTTTAGACCCCCTTTGTCCCACTCTTTGCCGGTAGAAGTCCCGTTTCCTCAAGACTCATCATGAATACACATTTCTCTGTGACATGCCTTTGCTGCTGTCCTTGGTCAGAATGACTCATCATTCGTGTAATTCTTGCTACTTGCTCAATCCAGTTCAAATGCTGCTCCTTCTCAGAAGCCTTCCCTGTTCTCTCCCTCCCTGCACAGATAATTGTTTTTTCTGGCTCTGGCCCTTCATCACTCTGCTGTTGCACCTTCTGCAGTGTCTGTGTTCTGATCAGACTGTGGGCTACTGGAATGCAGGCACCAGCTTGAGTCATCCTTGTGAATCTGGGGTCTTCTGCCGAGTGGGTGGTTGATAAGTGTTGGTTGAGTTGACTTGAGCCTCTCCTACAAGATGACTCATAAGCCCAGTGTGGGGTAATATACAGAGGTCCAGGAGCGTGCCTCTTTTCCCCTCTGGGCTTGTGTTGGGTGGCATTTGGGCACGAGGGCCTCTTCTAGCCCTCCTAGCTAGCTTCAACATCATAAGCGTCTTGAACGCAGAGTGTTACCTGAAACAGATTTTACATCCTACTTCTCATTTTACAGTTTCAGAGACTCCTCCACTCTCTGGGAATGACACGGACTCCCTCTCCTGCGACAGTGGCAGTTCGGCAACTAGCACTCCGTGTGTGTCCCGCCTGGTCACTGGCCACCACCTGTGGGCCAGCAAGAATGGCCGCCATGTCCTGGGCCTGATTGAGGACTATGAGGCCCTGCTCAAACAGATCAGCCAGGGACAGAGGCTCCTTGCTGAAATGGACATTCAAACCCAAGAGGCTCCCAGCTCCACAAGTCAAGAGCTGGGAACAAAGGTAACCTGACCACAGAGCTGGGGGGCACAAGCTGCTCCCTGGGAGTGTCGGTGGAAGGGGGAGGGGAGTCAAATGGCGCAGTTGTCCTCATTAGGACCCTGAGAAGAGGGACCAGGAAGTGTGGCCTCAGAGAGCTCAGAGGTCAGGTCCAGTGTGGGGAACTATTGGTGGTGGCTGTGTTTGGTGGGGTTTGTGCCTTGTGTTCCTGCAACTGCTCCATGGGCTCTGCTGTCTTGTTCCCATGACGGCCTCTGTACATCTGGTCTCTCATCCATTCTTCTCTCCATCTGCACCCTGGTGTGTCTGTCCATTCATCTGCCCATCCACCTGGCTGTCGCCCATTATGAAGTGGAATTACTAGTTCAAAGGTTGTGAACTTTTTAGGGCTCTTGATGATAACTGTTGCTCCATTACTTTGCAAAACAATTCTATCTCTGTTCATGAACGTTTGTCTCACTACATTTTTGTTTTTGTTGAGGTTTTGTTGTTGTTGTGTTTTTTTTATTTTGAGACAGGATCTAGCTCTGTCACCCAGGCTGGAGTGCAGTGGCGCGATCATGGCTCACTGTAGCTTCGACCCCACCTCCTAGGCTCAAGCAATCCTCCTGCCTCAGCCTCCCAAGTAGCTGTGACCACAGGCGTGTGCCATCACACCTGGCTTTTAAAAAAAATTTTTTTTAGAGACAGGGTCTCACTCTGTTGCCCAGGCTGGCCTCGAACTCCTGGGCTCAAATGATCCTCCCACCTTGGCCTCCTAAAGTGTTGGGATTACAGGCGTCAGCTATCATGCCTGGCAGTATATATATAAAATTTTTTTTTTTTGAGATGGAGTCTCATTCTGTTGCTCAGGCTGGAGTTCAGTGGTGCGATCTTGGCTCACTGCAGCCTCCTCCTCTTGGGCTCAAGTGATTCTCCTCCCTCAGCCTCTTTAGTAGCTGGGATTACAGGCGCCTGCCACCATGCCCGGCTGATTTTTGTATTTTTAGTAGAGACGGGGTTTCACCATGCTGGGCAGGCTGGTCTTGAACTCCTGACTTCAGGTGATCCAACTGCCTCGGCCTCCCAAAGTGCTGGGATAAAGGCGTGAGCCACTGCACCCAGCCCAGATATTTTCATTTATAATGATTTTTTTGTTACTTTGATATCTAAAAAGGATGTGTCTTTTTTCTCTCTTTTTTTTTTTTTTTTTTTTTTTGAGACAGGGTCTGGCCATGTTGTCCAGGCTGGGGTACATGGCATGATTATGGCACACTGCAGCCTTGACCTCCTGGACTTAAGCAATCCTCCCATCCCAGCTTCCTGAGTAGCCAGGACTACAGGTGTGCACTGCCACACCTAGCTAATTTTTTATTTTTTTGTAGAGATGGGGGTCTCACTATGTTGCCTAGGGTGGTCTCGAATTTCTGGGCTTGTATTTCCCCTTTTCTGAGTCACATACATAATTTTCTTGTGCCCTTGATACCGCCCAATTTGAGTTTGCTCTGCCAGCAGTACAAGACCCTGATATCATATTCACTACAGCAGGGCCATTTAACAGGGACCAGTAAAGGCAAACCATTTATTGCTTGCTGTTGGTGTCATTTTCTCTGGGCGAGTCTCTGTGGGTCGCCAAACAGTAAGAATGGCCCTCCCACAGACCCTTTACTTGGAGTAGTAACTGTAGTTAATGCTGGTGGTTATTAACCATGGTGGTTATTAATCATGGTTATTGATTGGGCTAAGATCACCACTGAAATTCTCTCATAATCTACAATTCACCAGTCTTTAAGAACAATAAATTGGTGTTATGTGGTACCAGGCTTTCGCTCAGCGTGTGAAACAGAAGCCCTACAGTCTGGAGATTTATACTGCATGTTAAGGCTTGCTTGTCTAAAATCTTTTTCAAGACTGCACGTAACAGCCTTCATATCCCCCGTGTAGGGTCCACACCCAGCACCACTGAGCAAGTTTGTGAGCAGTGTGAGCACGGCCAAGCTGACCCTGGAAGAGGCCTACAGGCGGCTGAAGCTTCTCTGGAGAGTCTCACTCCCCGAGGATGGCCAGTGCCCCCTTCACTGTGAGCAGGTAGGTGGTGACACATGTTTCAGAGGCTCAAGGATGCCACTGGGGCCTGTGTCTCAGTTTCCTCCATGCCAAGCAGGGGCCCACAGCAGATGTGCCCACCATTTGGGGTATGTATTAGGGAGGAGATGGCACCGTTTGCCATGGCTTCACTGTGTTCTTACTTGATCCGTCCCACACTCCTGTAGCCATGACCCGTCTGAGCGTGTCTTTGTTGAGTAGAATCCCGTCCGCATTCTACACATGAGGGAACCAGGACTCAGGGAGCTGAGGCACTTAGTCAAGGTTAGAACTTGTTTGAAAGGATAAATATTGGAACCCAATGTTTATTCTTTTATTTTATAGGCTCTAAGTCCTAATTTGTCCTCATGGACTAGCTCATTCTTTTCTACTCATCATCTCTTTTATTTTAGGTGCCTTTTTCTGGACCTTCTGATTCCTATCGACAGCTTTCATCATCATATTTGAGTGGACCTTGTTCAAAATCTGTTTTAAGTACTTAGGAATGACAGGCTCCAAACCAGGAGTCAGGCAGAGTAGAAGCTGTCCTCTGATTTCTGTGTGTGGGATGCATGTGGTGTCATGACAAGGTGAACGCCCACTCTGGCTAATCAGAGAAACCTCCCTGGAGGAAGGGACCTGCAGGTTAAGGAAGAGTTAGAACTCTCTGCTTGGTGGTGTGATAGATATTTCACCCTTTGTTTATCTAACCTATCTGTTCTTGCCAAAGGCCAGTAGGAAGGCAGAAGGGAAATTTACATTTTTTGTCATTATCTCATTTAGTTAACCCCCTTTTGACAGCTCTCAGGTCTCTCAAACATGACCATGAAGTAGCAGGTGGGGCAGCTCTCTCTGCTCTGAAGGTTCTAATGAGCCTGTTCTAAGATTTCACTTTTGGGATCCTGGGGACAAAGTTTGGATACACTAAGCTCAGGGAAGTTGATAACTATTCATTCCATAGAAAAATCTTTTTTTGGCCCACGTTTAGCTGGTGGCAGTATCAGGTGGGAGACAGAGTATCAGGGAGGAAGGCTGAGACTCACTGGGGTCCAGCCCCACATTGGTCTTTCCCTTCTTCTAATCCACCAGGTCCTGTTCCATCTTAGGCTTAGGTGACACAGATGGCCTGACTGCCTGGAGTGTCCCATGTCCTGCTTCTGGCTGGCTCCTTCTCACCTTTCAAGTCTTAGCTTAAATATTACCCCAGAGTCAGAGAGGGCTCCCTGATTCCTCCATCATAGCATCCTCTTCTGTTTCATCATAGCCTTTCAACAAGTTATAATTGTATATTTGTTTAATGCCTGTCTTCCTCTATTTTCCTTCAGAGGATGGTGTCTGTTTTATTTATATTTTTTGAATGAACCAGTGATTTTTTTTCTATACACCCAAAGTAGTGCCTGCCTCATATGATTTTAACATAAACATGTCTGAACTGAACAGTTGACCCTTAATGCAATGTTTTTATCCTTAGCACATTGTAGTAACTGTTACATAGACAGAAATACAGCTCATACACTTACATATAAAATATATATACACACAAAAAAAGTTATAGCCACATTGATTCTTCCCTACTTGCAAATCATTCCAGGAGTGGTTGGTGCTCCTGAGTACCCCTTTCCTTCCAAAGGTTTCTTGAGTAATTGATTATGCTCACTCTGATGTCATGGAATTGTGCCAGAAAAAGGACCTTTGAGATGCTCCGATGTGGTTGCTGGGGTACATACCCCCTGTGTAGTGTTAAATTGCCTCTAGCCACTTTTCTGTCACTGCTGTGTTTCATACAGTGCCTTTGCTTGGTGTGAAATGTGTGTAATGCTGATTTCCATTTCCAAGTTTTCACCAACAACCCAGGGGTTTTTGAACTATCTGGTTTTCTCTTGAGTGTTATTAATTGCCTTTTACATTTAGTATACCATCCCATGTAGTCTGGACTGCTCTGGAAAGTGTGTATCATGTGCACCAGTTGTGTGGAGGGGTACAAATGTACACACATACTTGTTTATAATAATTTTTTTAAATGGAGGATAAACAATAACAAACCAGGCTACATATAGTAATGGAAGGGGAGAGATTGGAGTAACAGATAGAAGGTAGATTTCTCTGAATAGACCTTGTTTTGTAGATTTGACTTAGCAAGTATATAAATGCATTACATGATTATAAAAAATCAAAATGAGAAAACAATTCCTAAAAATTCTTGGCAAGATGAAACAAACCTTACTGTATATGGCAATGTAGGCATAACAACACAAAAAGGAAGCATTTCAGTGACTAAAGCATAGTAATTTGACCACACATTTCTAGTAGAAGTATTCTAAGGGCAAGAAAAAAATTTAAACTCTTGTTAATGGTTATATTTTTAGTAGTAATATTGATATTCATATTCTGAATTATTATATTTCTATTATAAGATAAAGCAAATACTTTTATTGGGAACTGATTTTTTACTGTAAGGAAAAAGAGATAAGAAATCAAAGAAATAACCCTGTAATCCTAAATTTGAATAGCACATATCAGAATGAACTTGTGATGTATTATCATCCATTAAAAGAATTTTATGAACTTTGTCAACATACAAGGCTTTAGAAACAATGTCTGTTCTAGCACCAGTGAGTGCCCTTGATGCCCAAATTATGGTTTCTAGATACCTTTGCCCGCTAAAGGGAACTAGGGTTCCCTTGGAGAAATGGGTTGTTGCTAGGTCTGGGGCAGGAGATGTACAGTATGAGCCTAGAACGTATTTCATCCTAGTAAGAAAGGATCCAGCGTGGGGAAAGAGGGAGAGAACCCTATGGATTTACAGTGGTTCCCATAAGTGTGGGCCCTGGACCTGCAGCATCTGCATCACCTGGAAACTTGTCAAAAATTCACCTTCTCAGGCCTCACACCAAACCTGCTGAATCAGGAACTCTGAGAGTGCACCCCAGCAGTCTGTTTTTGTAGCCCTCTAGGTAGGTTTGAGAACCACTGGATTTAAAGAAACTCAAGAGATAATCAAATGCAAAACATGGATCTTATTTGCATCCTGAATTGAACCAATTGTTTAGAAAAGAAAATTATGAAGCAATCAGGGAAGTGTGCTCACTGACTGGATGTGGTGATACTAAGGAATTACTGCCTTTTTTTTTAAGGTGTCATAATGATACTGTGTTGGGCTTTTTTTTTTTTCTTTTTTCTTTTTTTTTTTTTTTTTTTTTAAGAATGTTTTTATGGCCGGGATGGTGGCTCATGCCTGTAATCCCAGCACTTTCAGAGGCCAAGGTGGGAGGATCACCTGAGGCCAGAAGTTTGAGAGCAGCCTGAGCAACATAGTAAGATGCTGTCTTTATTTAAAAAAAAAAAATCTTCTAGAGAGATCTAGTAAAATATTTTATAGATGATACAATTGGATTCTAAGGTTGGTTTCAGAATCATCTTGGGGAGAAGATGGGCAGGAATGTAGTAGAGGTAAGTATGGCCATGAATTGATCATTGCTGAAGCTGGATGGGCACTTGGGCGTTCATTATCCAGTTCTTTCTGCTTTCGTAAATGTTTGAGATTTTTTTCACCATAAAAAGAAAACAAGCAAAAATTCCTGTCCCCGAAGTCAGGCAGAACACTGACGAGGAAGCCTGAGGCCTCCTGGGAGGGAGTGGCTTCAGCACTGCAGCTCTGTGGCCCTCAGGAAGGGTTCTTCTGGTGACCTCCTGCGGACACTGGGCATGCTGCTTACACCCAGCATCTCATTTGATCCCTTGCGGAAATCTTGAGGGAGTTAGCTGTGATTCTTCCCTTTTTCCAGAGGTAGGAATGGAAACTCCAAGAGATTAAGTGACTTGCTTCAGCGTCATATAGCTGGGGAGTGGTGGAGCTGTACTTTGAGCCCCTGCTGTTGCTACCATGGAATATTCATCCTATAAAATGAAGATTTGAATCCAGGGGAACAACAGACATGTAAACAATTAAAATTCCCTGTTGTAAGTACTGGATAGAATATATACAGGATGTTAGGAGAGCACTAGTGAAAATTAATCCACCATGAGTGGGTAAATGGTGTCACAGCACCTACTCTGCGCCAGACACTGGTGGTTAGAGGGAGGAAATGAGTGTGTGGTCAGTACAGGAAGCAAACAAGTAAAGGACCAGTCACTCCAGTGTGCCATGGGCGGTGATGGGGAGACACTGAGCCCCGGGGCACCCAGAGGAGCAGTAGCCATCCTAAAAGAAGTGCCAGGTCAACTTCCTGGAAGAGGTGAAACCTGAGCTGACTTTAGAACAAGGAATGGGTCAGCCAGGCCAAGTTGGAAATGATCATTCCCACTGTCTTCCATTATCTCATTTGAGTCTCACTCTACTGCAATGTGATAGCTGGATCAGGGATGATTATTCCGATTTTACAGATGTGGGACTAAGGCGTTGACTGTAGAGAGACTTTGTCCTGGAATGTGTGGCCTCTGGAGCCATGACCAGAACCTAAGTCTTTGTGAGCTCTTAGCCCCAAGGAAAAGAATCAAAGCAAACCTAATGTTTAAAATTAGGATCTGTTTGGGAAGAACTGTCAAAGTCCTTGTACCTGACATGACTGGTTAATCTTAAAAGTAGGTTAAGTCAGGGAATCAAAAATGATATGTACCTTAAACATTTTAGTTTAACTTAAAACAGATAAATGTACATTCATTTGCCATTCTTTTGATGTAGGGCCAGGGCCTTTTCTTTTGAATATGGGTCTGCTGATTGGAGTTTCACATCTTCTTTCTTTCATAAACTGCATCCATAATGTATGTCTGTCACTTCCAATTTCTGTTTCTTTAAGATGAAGAGAAAACTTAGACACTTGCAAAGCAATTTGAATATAGAATTCTTCTAGACTGTGTTCCTCCCACATCTTTTATAGTTGTCTCACCCACACCTAATTTGCCAGAAATGTGTTTTTTAGTGACTTGCTTTTATCAAGTCTTTCCTGAAGCATATGTTAGTTTTCATACAACCAGTTCTCTCTTTTAATACACATATTTCATGGGCTTACTTAATATTTAATTAAATTATGCAATTTGATTACAAGTACAGCTACCATAAACAAGTTTGGGAACAAACTAAAGTGACTCTTCGTGAGCTGACAACTCACCAGCTCTCCTGTTGGAAGCAGAAGTGTTTCGGCGCAGCAGAGAGCGGCCTGTGCCACGGTGCTTTTCTGACAGAAAGGGAGTGTCCTTCCCCCTGGGAGCTGGTTTGGTGGAGACTGGCTCAGAGGGCTCCGCCGTGCATGTATGTCACCTCAGAGCACTGGGGACTCTGGTTTTGCCACCCATCCAGAGTTTACTCTGGAAAACCAGAAGAGTTTCTTCTAATGGAGCATACTTTCCTAGTAATACTTTTATATGATCTTTTGAAGATTTAAACATTGAAAAGTTTTTAAAATCAGCATTATAGTTTTTGTAAAAGAAAAAGATCACGCAATTTGAAATCATAGCTCATGGAGAGAATTGCTGTTAACATTTTGATGACATCTCAATATACACATCTATGGATGTGGGCGTTTATATTCAGTTTTGTGGAACAGGAATGCCTTTTATACAGGACGTGTTGTTCTGGGCTCTTTTGTCACTAACTGTGATCATTTTTTGATATCAATGCATAGAGCTCTACAACGTCATTTTTAATAGTTGCTAAATTATTGTATTATATGTAAGTACCATAATTTATCCAGATCTATACTGAAATCAGGTTATTTTTTCCTACCATGAACAATGCTGAGACGAACATCCTTGTACATAGGCATCTTCTTGTGCTTATGTTATTATTCCTTGGGGGAAATGCCAGCGTGTAGAATTGCTGGGGCAAAGAGTTAAGCGCATCTCAGTTTGGTAGATCTTGCCAGGGCGTTCTCACTGGGCCATGCCATCCCGCACTTCCACCAGAGGTCACGAGGTGCTTTCCCCTTACCCTCAATGAGTTTTGTCCAATTTTGCCTTTTCCTGGTTGTCAGGAAAAGGCTTCTAGTTTCCATTCAAATATTTTTGCTAGTGAGGTTGAGCATCATCTTTTTATATGGCTTTGTAATTCTTCCTGTGTAACATGATGTTTATGTTCTTTGTTCATTTTTCTAATTTCTCTTCTCTTTAGATTGGAGAAATGAAGGCAGAGGTCACCAAACTACATAAAAAATTGTTTGAACAAGAAAAGAAGTTGCAAAACACCATGAAGCTTTTGCAGCTGAGCAAGCGCCAGGAAAAAGTCATCTTTGATCAATGTGAGTGAGTGTGGGGGTGGCCGCTATGCCTGACCACTTCCTGCCTCCGAGGGCTCCCAGTTCTGCCCTGGATTACCCACTTTGGAGCCCAGATGGTTTGTAATCATGCCTCCTATCTGTGGGCTTCTTTTCATACTCCATCCTTTCTGACTCACATAGACAAATGTATTCACTTAACACACCTTTGTAGAGCGGCCTTTTGGTGTCAGGGACTGTCGTCTCACTGGGAGACAGTCGTGTGGCATGTGCAGTGATGGGAACATGCAGAGCACTGGGGTGGGAGTTGGGTGGCCGTCACTCTGTCCCGGCAAGGTGGGCGTCTTAGACAAAGTGACCACCTCGCTGAGTGTGAAATGAAAGCAGACGTCGTCACATGGAGCGGGGAGTGGCAGTCCCTCAGGGAAGAGCATGGACAGAGGCACAAAGGCAGGAAATAAGTTTTTGTATGTGAGAAACCAAAACCAGTCCCTGTGGGGTAAAGGCTGCAAACAGTGAATTAAGGTGGGAGGGATTGGGGGTCAGGGAGTACTTCATGAAAGACTGTAGGTGGCAGGCTCAGGGCAGAGGATTGGCCTGTCACATCTGTGTGCAAGAATGGCTCGCTGGTGGCTGCTCCACCAGTGAGGGGGAGGCTGACTCACTAGTCAGACAGGAAAGGTGGCTAGGACGCTGGGGATCCAGAGGAGGGCATGGATTTGAGAAATACTTCTCAAGGCAGATGCCGAGACTCAGGGTTGGTGAGGTTAAGTAACTTTTGTAAGGTCAGTCCCAGTTCTGATCTAGCCACTTTGGAGATTGTTTGGGAGCAGCTCTGTCTCCTGGTTTAAACCCTCAGCACTCCCTCCCGCTGCATTTAGAGGAGCAGGCGGTAGCTGAGTTTCCATTAGTGCCTGTTGGCAACATGGCCCTGGCCAAGCCTGCGCTGTCTGTGTGTCAGTTTCCCTGTCTTAAGAGAACTGCTGACTGCAGCACTTTTTCTCTGGAGGTGCCAGCCTGCCTTGTGCGGCTCTCCTGTCAAAGTCCAACATTTCTGGGGCATTTCTGAGAAGCACAGGACAGAGATTATTGCCAAGTAGGAGTTCTCCTTAGCCACCCCTGGGAACCTTCTGAAAATAGACTCTGTGAGACTGCCAGTGTTTGGACTGCAAAAGAGAGGAGCGCAGCCACTGAGCAGGCACTGAGTTCCTGTTCTTTGCCCCTTACGCCAGGTCCTGGGGACAGAGATGAACGAGACAGTCTTTGCCAGTGAGGGTCGTGGGCTTAATAGGGGAGACACAGAGCTTAGCTGCAGGACGATGTGCTGAGTGCATCCTAGGAGGCCTGAGAGGTGGTTCAAGACTGACTGGGTCTTGAAGAATGACTAGGAATTTGTCAGCGAAGGGGCAGGAATAGGATTCTGGCAGATGGCCCTGTGGACTTGCTGGTGTGCTCCCAGGGGTGAGAGAGAACTGAGTGCTCAGGGACATGCTTAGGACGTGCAAAGGGTTTTCCTCTGAGAGATGAGTGAGAGGGAGAAGCAGGAACCAGGTTGCAAGGAGCCTTGTGGACAGGACTCCAGGACGAGCAGCAGGGACCGGCGGGGTCCATGCGTGTATTACAAGATCCCATGGCTGAGCTTGGAGGGGCCAGGAGGCCGGGAAGACCTCTTTGGGGGCTGCAGCAGTCCCCCAGGTGGGCAGTGGGTCAGGACTGTGGGGGAGAAGGGATGGTTTTGAAAGATTGTAAGGAGGTCAACCTGGCAGAGTGGTGGATGTCTGTGGGGTTCTGGTTGAGGGTTTCGTGTCACTCGTAGAGAAAAAGAGCACTGAGGGGAACCTGGAGAGAGACAGTGCCAGCTGTGGTCCTGTTAAGGCAGCTGTGGAATATTTAGGTTAGACTCTTGGAGCAGCAGTGGGGTGGGGAGCAATGCTCTGCATAGGTCTAGAGAAAGGCAGAACTCTCTGCATTGGCATCTCTCCTCCTCAGCAGCCTTTGGCCCTGAACAGTCACAGGGCAGGTAGCTAACCCTATTGACAGGTGAGAAAATTGCAGAAGTAGGTTTCGATGGGTTGAGTACTGTGGTCGGTCAAAAGGACAGAACTAGAACCCAGATCCCCTGTGTCCTAGGTCAGAGAACATGGAATTATTGATTGAGCACAGTTCAGATCTCCATTCTCCTATGTGACCTGCATTAGACTAGAACCCTAAGCTTTCGATTCCTCATCTCTAACTGGAGACGTGAGTTCCAAAGGACTCAGACTAACTAGTTGGTCCCGGGTTCAATAGCAACTTTATAAAAAGCACCCCAGTTTTCTCATCTGTAAAATAAGGATGATAACGCTACCTAAACTGTATTGTACTTAGCACAGTCTCGGGGGCAGAGGAGATGCTCAACCAGTCCCTCCTCTTTCTTTCCATTAGGCCAGACCAAATCCTATGCATGGAGGTGGCAAATCATTCATAGTAAGAAGAGCCGCAAATGTCTCATAGCACTTCCCCTCCTGAGCTGGTATTGTCCATCTCCATATCTCCTAGGCCTGGCACAGAGCAGGCTCCGCCAGAGCAGGGTGAGGGGCTTGCTCCAGGCAGCATAGCTGGTGGCTGACCCGGGCCTGCAACTCCTCCTTTGCCAGGCTCTGCAGCTCATCCCAAGGAGTCAGGTCCTTGGAAATTCTCCAAGCCCTGCGGACTTCACAGACCTGCTCTGGGTCTAAAGGGACTAGGAGAAAGTTGGCATAGCACCTCCTCTTCCTCCGTCCCCTCATGGTGATGGGGAAGAGCAAAGGCCAGGGCTGATTGCTACCTGGTCAAACTGACACCATACCTTCTCAGAGTCTACAGGGGAAAGTAAGGAAAAGGCATCCCAGTGGGACCCTAAGAGTCCTGATGCCCTGGGGCCACTCACTGGCCATGTGACCTGGAACCAGCTGCCTCAGGTCCTCATTTGCAAAGCGAGGACAGTAGTTCTGCCCCATAGGGTGGGGGAGTATTCAGTGAGGCCACCGTTGGAAACCACCTGTCACCAGGTCAACACTGCTCAGCTCAGGTCGGTACCTTCTTCCCAGCACTCTGCTGAGGTGGGAAGAACCATGGACTGAGTTGGGCAGGCCCACATGTGAGTCCCAGCTCTGTGCTGGGGCCAGTCTAGATTTGGGACGAGTCCTTTGTCGCTGTGTTCCTCGGTCTTCTCCTTGCAGTGGGGATTTCTGTGCTTTGGAACGTGGCAGTGCTGTTGAGGTGTAGGGGTCCCCTCAAAGCTTGAGCCAAGTGATCCTTAGTTCTTCTGCCATGAGCTTTGTTCTCTAGGGACATGGAGTGCTCTTTCACAATCATCTTCAACCTCCACAGCTGTGATACTTAATCTTTTCTGGGTCTCAGGCCCCTTGGTGAATCTGGAGAAAGCTGTGGTCTCTCTGTGGAAAAATGCGGACGTCCAGATACATACCCCCATTTGCACACAGTGTCGGAGGGTTTAGGACTGACCCCCCAAACATATCCAGGGCCCCATGTCAGGAACTTTGCCCTGCAGCAGGAGGTCAGGTTGGGGTAGAGGGGCAGTGGCCACCTCTGAAAGTCGTTTTGCTTGGCTAAAAACAAAGTCCACACCGTCTGTCCCGTCCCCAGTGTCACAGATTGCAAATAAACTCCATTACCTCCAGATGGAAATTTTCGTGAGGCAAGAAATCAATATTTTCTCAAGGCCACCACACGACAGACACCTATTCTGAAGAAGCCACTGGGGAGTCAGGCTATGTGTGTTGGGCGTTGAGTCTGTTACAGCCTCTGGCACTGTTGGCTAAAGGCGCGGCTCCAGAAGCCTTTGGTATTTCCAACGTGGGGAGTAAGCTGATCTTACTCTCACCAAGCCCTGTTGAGAACAGATTCCCTATCAGGCTCAGAACTCTGATCAAGAGGGGCATTCTTGCCACTGCTGGAGTTTGTGTTGGACAAGAAAAAGCCTGAAGGAAGACCCACCTTTACAGTTGCTCCTGAAAGCCAGGGCTCGCCTGCCCCTCCTGGGAATTCTCATGCACGGGGGATCTTTCTAGTACAGTGCTCCGGGCGTCAGTGTCAGCAGGGACCTCTGAAACCATCCCACCCAACCAGCTCTTGTCCAGGCAGAATGTGACTTGCCCAGAGGAATCAGGCTGGGCTATTCCACCAGCTAAAGGGCAGGCAAAGGAGAAGCAGCATGCCCACGGTTTTTTCTTCCAGGCCATTTGGAGCTGGCTCTAAGAGCTGCTGGGTAAAAACCTGGCTTCGTAGAACTTGGACCCTCATATGTGGGTCTGCCTGATCGGGGCACAGTCCCTTCCCACAGCTGCTTCCCAGAGGGCCTAGGAAACTAAAGAGTGCTGGGCAGGCCCAGGCCTCTACCCTCCCTGCGCCATTGCCCTCCCTGGCCCACAGAAGTGAGCCTGAGGGATACCTGGACAGCCAGGTGGCCGTGCACAGCTGTAGGGTGTTCTCTGAACCGGCATAGCATGCTGTAGCCTCTGCATCACTGTCAGGTGGTGGCTTAGCGGGGCCTCAAAGAGGTGTTGTTGATGCGTTATTTGGCCCTGGGGTTTGTGATGGGTCAGGTGGGCCCTTTGTACCTCCCTCTGGTCTGGATGCTTCAGACCTCGTGTTGTCTACATGTCCGAGCCCTTTGGGGTGGGGTTCATCCTCCCTGCACTTGGCTTTCACACAGCTCTCCTGGATATCCATGGCCCTAATCATTGCATTCTTTGCTCTCTCCTCAGTGGTCGTAACCCACAAAATCCTTCGGAAGGCCAGAGGAAACCTGGAGGTATGCCCTTTGAGTCTTTTCACTGCAGGCCAGTGGAAGGTCAGGAGGAGTGCAGGGCCAGAAAGGACCTCTTGAAAAATGAAGGTGCAGGTGGAACCAGGGGACATGTCCTCCTCAGAGAGTTGTTTCTGCCAGCAGTGCATGAAAAGTTGTGTTTTATCATGCCCTGTCGCCAGTAGGGGTTCTAAGTTTTAAATTTGTATGCTATTTTTACCAGTAAGAAATACAGCAAACAATGCTTGACACATAGTAGGCATTTGATGAATATTTCTTGAATGAATGAATACAGTATGATCTCATCGTTGTTTATTAGGTAAATATTTACTGACCAAACTATGTTTTTGAAAGCACTTTGAGAATAACAGTCTCGCTTTCACCTCTGTCGGGGTCTTACTTCAGAAACCTCCTTTGGACTTAAAATTCTCCTTTTTTTTCTTCCTTTTCCTAGCTTAGGCCTGGGGGAGCCCATCCAGGAACATGCAGTCCCAGCAGACCAGGCTCCTGAGAAGAACTTTCAGCCAATAAAGCTTGTGCTTCCCCCACCGAGCTCACGCTGTCTCTTTGTTCCAAGTGTGGTTCCTATTTATTGAGGAAGAAAGAGCTGTCTGGCCAAAGGAAATCTATTTTTTCCCTTCATGTTTTCTCTCTGAAAGTTGGCTTGAGAGTTGTTGTCAGAAAGGTGCAGGTGCTCCACAAACGGGTGGTAAAAAGGCCTCGAGCTCTTGGATGTTGTATTTCAGATCAGGGGCAGGCACCGGAGTTGAGGCTGTGCGCCTTGGTGGGCTTCACGTCTTCCCCTGGATTTGCTTAGTACTCAGCCAGTGCCACAGTTTGAAGATTCTCATTAAATGATTCATTTCATTTCACCTTGACGATTCTGTTGTTTTGTGTGGCGCCTCAAAGCCCAGGTCCCAAAATCCCAAGTGGGACAGGCCAGGGTTCCACGAGTCGCATGGCTCACTGCTGAGCTCGTTCAAGTGTCCAGAGAAGAGCACCTCCGTGCAGCGTGGCCATGGGCACTGGTGTGTGCTCAGCATCTCACAGTCTGCTGGACAGCAGCCCTTGCAGTGGTGCCATTCCCGATTTAGCAAAGAGCAGAGTGAGGCCCAGAGCTGGAATGTGGCATTTGCATTGTTCCCGTGATGACAGGGGTGTGTCATCAGCCATCCACATCGCTGCCTCTGACCAAGATGCCCCCAGCCAAAACACTTTAGCGGCTTCCCACTACCCTCTGATCCAAGCCCGAGCCCCTAACAAGGTTTACAAGCCTTGCTGGCACCTCCAGCTCCTTGCCCATCTCGCCTCCTCCCGCTCCACTCTGTGTTCCAGGCAAACGGAACAGTGTTCTCCCCAGTCTAACCCAGGCTGCGCCCTCTTGGACATGCTCCTCCCACCCTTTCTTTTTCTAGTTAGCTTTGAATGGTCCTTTAGAAATATTTTTTCTGCCCTTGGGGAAGCCTCTCCTGACCCGATACTAGGTGAAATGCCCCACCTCTGCTCCCGCAGCCCCCACACCACTGTGCAAATCCTCTGAGCCCCTGGAGAGCAGAGGCTTGTGTTGACCATGGAATTGCCAGCACCTGACCTGGCGCCCAGCTCCCCAGACACGATGGTGAGGGGAGGAGACGGGATTGCACTTGCTGGAAGCGTAGGGTGCAGCAGCCCCGGCTGGGAGTCCGGGGAGTGGCCTCATGCCACTTTGCCTGTCTCCCCATCCATTAAGAGAGGGGCGGAGGAAGTGGGCAGTACAGACCCTTTCTGCTTCGGTTCCTGCCATCTGTGCTCTTCCTGAGAAATATTTGCACAGGTGTACCTCGGTAGAATACGTACCAGTGTGTGAAAACTCAGATTGAGCCATAATGTCACTGGAGTGCCTTTCGCAAGCAGTCACAACAGTTGACTTCCTAAATGGAAGCTGGGTCGGTGTGGCGCTGTGGAGCAGGAGGCCTGGTTCCCGTCCCGAGTCTTGTGCTTCTGTAAATGAGAGTTACTCTTGTCCAGTACTGTTACAGAGTTCGGAGCCTCAGATTTTGAAAGCAGCTGAACAACAAGGCCCTTTCCACAAATCGGTGACTCTTCTTCACTGTCTCAGTGGCTGGTCTTAAGCAAGTTTTAAAGTACTGTTTTAAGTTCTATGGCTGTGTTGTGCCAAACCCCTATTAACCTCAGTAGGGGAGGCACCAGGTTCAAGGGGCCTGAGAAGAGACCCACAGAGCCAGCAAACAGGATGTGGGCTTTATTAGGGGCTTACATACAGGGGAACAGTCCAGAGGCGGCAGGCTGGACAGGAGAACTGCTTTTCGTACAGAAACAGATGGTTCAGTGGCAGCGGCTGAACAACACAGCCCACGGCCCAGGTGGGGCAGGAAAACCATCACCACTTATAAACAGCATGCAGTTTATATAGCATTTTCACTTAACCTTCCCCCAAGGACCTCTACCTGGGAACCTTTTTTTAACCCAAAACTCAGGGCCTCAGTTCCCTGTACAGCCCATGTCCCATGAGACGGGCTTGGGGGCTCAGATACTCCTCACAAACAAGGAACAAATCTCCGGGTTGGCCACTCCTAGATTCTCTAGCTCAGAACAACATTAAGACGCGTCTGCCATACAGGGTCGTTCTAAGGTTGTGCTTAAGCTATTGCTGTCAGGGTGTTTACCCTCCAGGCAGGTGTGCGCAAATGTAAGCATGTGTGGTTGCGGGGGCAGTGGGGAGGAGGGGAGGAGGTTGTACAGTGTAGTAGATGCAGCTCAGGCAAGGCCTGGAAGTCAGACCTGGGCTCAGATGTCCCCACAGGGGAAGAGTCCTACCTTGCCTGGCACATGGTCAGTGCACAGCCCATGGGAGCTGAACTTGGTCATTGGCAAGGGCTTGAGGTGCAGGGATTGGAGGAGAGATCCACATTGGATTCTGGTACATCCCAGGCCCGTCTGGTTGGTGAACCCAGGCACGCCTGGAGCAGGAGCTGCAGAGGAGGGGCTCCAGGAGCCCAGCTGGCCATTTGCTTCAGGTCACCCACAGCTTTTCAGGAACACAATAATCTAAAACGAAGTGCATTTTTATCCGCCAGTTTAGAGTCACGTAAAATACTTTCAACCTTGGGCTAGTGAAGGCCCTCCCTCTTCTGGGAGGTGGAGGAGCAGCCTGGTTTGTTTGGGCTGGATTAATGCCAAGAACAAACTGCAAATAAGACAATTTGGACCTTGGAAAAAGCTCCATTGTCCCTGGTGAGTTAATTTTACCAGCAGCTGAATTCGGGAGGCTTTGAAGCAGTAATCAGAAAATGCGTCAATTTCCCTTCAGTGAAATTAATCACCACGTGTGCTGGAGGAGCTGCACCTGAGAGAAACAGCTGCAGGGACTAAATATATAGTGAGAGGATTGGGAGACAGGCCCAGGGCCCCCTGCTTGCCCTACCTTGGAAATGGTGCTTTTATCTCACTTCCGAGGCCCACATCCCAACGTCCCTATCGGGGTCCTGGAGAGTAAAATCCTCGCGCCTCAGGCCGGCGCTCACCTGGGATGGCAGTAGCCACACTGTGCATCTCAGTAATCTGCACCACCTCACCCATTTTACAAATGAGAAGACTGAGGGATGTAGCCAGAATTTGAACCTGAGTCTGTTAAAACCTGATGTCCCTTGGATTATCAGTATTCCCCCAAAATGCCATCTCTTCGAGAAACTGCAGCATTTCCCTGTTACAAATCGAAGTATTCTCAGTCTACCCTTTCCAACAAAATGTCTCTGGATGACCAGAGCAGGAGCCCAGAGACCCACAATTGAATTCCTCAACACAGCAGCCCCGAGAACTGCTTGTAAGTGGGTGGTGGAAGGGAGAAAGAGTGATCTTGTTAATAAGTTCTCGGCATTGTGGAAACCGAGAAACCTGCCTGGGGGATCCGGCCCTGCCAAATTGCCTCTTCAATCTTGGCCATATTTTAAGGCTAACTCAAAAATGCAATTATCAAAATCACTCATCCCATCTCCTGAGAAGCCCCGGACTCTGCCTCAGGGGCTAGACCTGTTTACCTCTTGCCACAGATGGGTGCCAGGTAGGATGGGGGTGAGCAGATCCAGAGACCCGGCTCCCCAGGTGGGGCCTTCTAGTGGAACCAAGCCTCGGTTTCCTTATTCACAAAAATTATGAGATGTGGAAAGATATACAGTGGCTAACTGTGAGGCCCAGACATGGCCAAATTGCAGGGGTTCATCTATTCACCTCAGTGAAGGGTCTGCCTTTGGCCAGCAGCACATGCTAGAGACATCCTTGCACCTCCTCCCTCACCCTCCATATCCCATCCATGATCAGGGCCACTCTCTCCACTTGTATCTCCCAAGGCCATCGCTTCATTCATCTCCAGTGCCACCTCAGTCCAAGTGACCATTAACTCTCACCTGGACAGCTTACTGTCCAGTTGGCCTCCCACATCCACCCACCCCTCCAAATGTCTGCCAGACCACAGCTAGAGTGATTCTTTAAAAGGGAAAGCAAATCATACTATCCCCCTTGTTTAAAATATGGGATGCCTCTCACCACACCTAGTGTGGTCAGCAAGCCCTCAGTTCCCTGAGCCCCCCTGTCTGCCTTCTTGGCTCCCTGTGCTCTAGTCTCTTAGGGCTTTTGTCTCTGTCCACAGGACCTTTGCACATGCTGCAGCCTGCCTAGCATGCTCTCACCGTGGCTTCTCCTGCTAGTCAGAGATGGCTTCCCGATCAGGAGCCCCTATTCTGCATGATCAGAGCGTGATGATCCCCCCTCACTGGCACTTGGCCGCTGTGTGACTTTGGGTTCTTCCTCTCCCTGTCATTGACCTGAAGCTCCGTGAGAACACAGACCTCATGTGATTTGCTCACACCAGCCCCGCTGCCTGGGACAGGGCCAGCAAATATATTCACTCAGCAAACATTGCCAAAGCTTCGCCAGCCTCCTTCTGGAGGAACTCAGGTTGGTCGGGAGAACAGACAAGTAATATAGTGAATAGGGAACATTTGCTTAGACCTGGGGTCCTGGGAGCCTGGCTGTCTTTGGAACATCATCATAGGCAGTCATTGTGACAGCCCTGGGTGGGAGGGACTGCTTTTTTCATATGAAGGACTGGGGCACAGAGTGACCCGCCCAAGATCACACAGCTTCAGATGGAGGCCCGTAGGCTACAGAGCCCAGCTCCCTGCCGCTGCGTGTGAGTGCAGTTTAGTTTGGCGAGTGCCCAGGCAGCTGGTCAGGCTGGAGTGCAGCCCACACTGGCAGCGTCTGCTTCCACTTGCGGCCCACTCA
This sequence comes from Homo sapiens, assembly GCF_000001405.40. Lineage (NCBI taxonomy): Eukaryota > Metazoa > Chordata > Mammalia > Primates > Hominidae > Homo > Homo sapiens. The sequence continues at coordinate 120,384,463 of NC_000009.12, read as the reverse complement.
GGCAGTTCCTGCCAGTGGTCCAAAGTCCAGCCCTGCTCCTGGTGAGGCCCAGAGGGGCCTCATCCTCGCTGGGAGGCAGGCAGTTGGAGTTGCTTCTGACTCAACCTTTTAGACCTCTTTGTCCTCAGGGTTGCCCAAGTCCCCTCTTTTCCCATTGACCCCATTCCCTGGGAAGCCGCCGGCCTTGCCTGACCCGAGAGGGCAGCACTGGGCAGGGCTCACCCCTCCAGCTGGATCACAATGGGACTAAGTGCATGGTGGCTACCAAGCGCCCTCCCACACGTGCTTCTCTCAAATGCGAAAGCACCTCCTTGTTAACAGGCATTCACGGGAGAGCTTAATTACATGGTTTCAGGTCTAAAACGACCCTCTGTTTGTATTAATGCCACTTTCTCGTTCCAAACAGAACAGCATGTGGTCCCAGCTCGTGTGTGACACTGGCCGACGGTGTGGGCAGACACAGGGAAATAAGAGAACAAGGTCGCCCTGGCCTCGCCCTCTTCTTTAGCCAAAACAATGGTGGGGTCGGGGGCCACAGACAGAGAGTGACCAGGCCCAGGGCTCCTTTGTGGTGGAAGCCAGTGGCTGGGAGCCCACCTGGAGAGTGTGGAGTGGGTGTGGGAGGGAGAGACAGGTGGGCGAGGTGTGGACACTCAACATAGGAAAGTATTTGGAGACAGTCACAGTTACACACTCAACATCTGCTGGCACCTACCCAAGCCCAGAGCTCCCAGAGCCCCGCGGGCCCCCGAGGCACTCCCAGTCAAGCATGGGAGACAGGCCAGCACACAGGTGATCCGTGGTCGTGATAAATGGTCACAAGGGGCCGTGGGCACCCAGAAAATGAGCTCCTACTCGGCCTTGGAGGTGAGCAGGGAAGGTGTCCTCGGGTGACCCTGGATGAACAGTAAAGGCCAACTGGGAATTGTGGGGTGGAGAAGGGGTGGGGGTGGGGCTCCTAGGCAGAGGAAACAGCAGGGACTAGGGTCTGTGAGTGGTGCATTGGTCTGGCTAGAGCTTAGAATTCAGTCAGCGGCATAGGCAGTGCCTCCAGTGGCAGCTTGAGGCGGGTGGGTGTCATCGGGAGCAGCAGGGGAGGCACGGGTAAGTTTTTGTCTGGGAAGGGGTTGGGGGATGTTGCCGAGTGTCCAGGGTGCAGGCTGGAGTGTCCTCACCTGGTCAGGGGCCGGCAACAGAGAGGCAGGGTGGATTTGGGACACTTATGAGGACCTGAGGACCCGTGTGTGTGTGTGTGTGTGTGTGTGTGTGTGTGTGTGTGTGTGTGTGTGTGTGTGTGCGCGCCCTGGCGGCGGGGGTGAGGAGGAGAGGGTCCATGCTGCAGGTTTCTGGCCCAGCCAGTGGTGTGGGCACCTCCACAGAGAAAGAGCAGTACGGAAAGTATGGAACAGTATGGAATGCCAACTGCATCTTTCAAGGTGGGCAGAATCTACAGGGTTGTGGTAGGGGAGGAAACAGCCTGTGCAAAGGCATGGAGGCCACTGAGGGACCCATGGTAGTGGAGTGTGGCCGGGGCATGAAACACGAGGTTGGACACAAGGTACTGGAGATTTGGGCCTTTTTTGTGTGTGTGGCATTGGGAAAACAATGGTGATTATTCCAGCGATGAAGGAGAAAGCCCTGGGAGGAGGCAGAAAGAAAACTCTAGACGAGAGGCCAGTCAGGGGAGGGGGTGAGGGACTCGGTCATTGCCCAGGCAGTGAGCCCCATGGCTGTGAGGACACAGAAGCCCACTCTCTTCTCGCTGCTGTTGCAGGAAGGCTGATGGCAAGAAAGGAACCCGGCCTCCTACTCAGATGAGGCCAGGGGGTGGCCTCCCCGGGGACTACCTGGGACTCCTGTTTTACCTGCAGTCTCCTGGCCCCACCTCTAGTGAGCCAGTGACCCAGCCGCAGGCAGCTCCTCTGTCTGGAGACAGGACAGTGGTCCAAGCAACTGCCTAGCAAGGGGCTGTGTCACAGAAACAGAGGTGATTTGAACTCTCCCAGCCTCAGTTTCCAGCCTCACCTTTAAGGTGGGGGTAACGACTTTTTTCTACCCAAGCCTCCTCCTCCCTGGAGAGTTCCCTGTCTTTGAGTTCAGAGCTCCTCCAGGCTCTGCAACAGGCCATCCTGTCCTCCCCCCAGCCCAGCGGATTCTGCTTCCTTCTTCTTTCCACTCTGTCGTATCCTCTCCTCTCCTCTCCTCTCCATGTCCACCTCCTACTTAAACACCGCTTGCCTGCAGCCAGCCTGGGCGCCTCCGGCCTGGGTGAAGGAAGCAGTCTTCTCACGGGTCTCCCTGTCTCCTGCGCATGCACCCACCCCTCACTGTCTCTGCCCACATCCAGGATGATCTTGTCAATTGCAAGACAATCATGTCACTTCTCTGCTTGCAAACCCTCCCAAGACCAAGTCCCCACTCCTCCACTGCATCCAAGCCTTCCCATCTGGCCTTGGCCTTCATCTCCCATAGATCGGGGCTTGTCCTTGATGATCTCCCCGGCCCCCATCCATGAAGTTGCTATTCTTGCCACACTTCTTGCAGGCCCCTGAGACCATCTCCTCGGCATCCTGCAGCTCTGGGCTTTGCACCTGCGTCTACTGTTCTGAAATGTCCGTCACCCACATCCTGGGCCTGACTCACTCCCACTCATCTTTACCTCAGGCATCACCTCTGGGCCTTCATCCTTTATGCCTCAATTCGTCTCCCTATAACAGGGGTATGATCCCTTGTAACTGGAGATGGTCTTAGGGTCTTAATTGACTACAAGCAACTAAGTTAACTGAGACCAAAGAAGAAGTCTAAAATGCTAACGATGCCTTGGCTGCATTAATAGAGATACAGAGTCCAAACAAGAGAGGTGAATTATTTGGCTCTTGTCAGACCTCCATGACTTGTCCAACTGTTCTGTGGGCCTTGTGATCATTTCCTGTGCCTTGCTTTAGGAAGGATATTGACAAAGTGGATCATATCATTGATACTTTCACCTCAGTTCACTGAATTTGCTTGCCATTCGTCAAACATGTATATGCCAGGCACTACAGGTGTATAGTCACATTTAATGCCATAAAGCATTATGATCTCCTTTGTACAGATGAAGAGGAAGTCACAATAAGTCAGGTATTGTAATGATAAAATAGCGCCTGTGGTAGGCAGAACAACAGCCCCTAAAGATGTCCATACTCTAATCCCGGAACCTGTGAATATGTTACTTTATATGACAAAAGGGAATTTACAGAGGTGATTAAAGTTAAAGACCTTGAGATGGGAGATCTTTCTGGATTATCCAGGTAGGCCCACTCTAATTCCATGGTTCCTTAAGGGAGAAGAACCTTTCCCAGCTGTGGCCAGAGAGAGATGTGACACCAGGGAAAGGATCAGAGAGTGGCTGAAGACAGAGGGAGGGGCCAAGAGTCAAGGAACATAAGTGACTTCGGGAAGATGGAAAATGCAGGAAACAGAATCTCCCCTAAAGGCCCCAGAAAAACAGCATAGTCCTGCCTACTCCTTGATTTTAACCCAGTGAGACCCATGTCAGACTTCTGCCTATGGAACTGTAAGATGATAATAAATGTGTGTTGTTTTAAGCCACAAGGTTTGTGCTGATTTGTTATGACAGCGGTAGCAAATGAATCTCGTGCCTCAGTCAGTACAAGTTTGATCATATAAATTTAGAGATGATATGTATATGCTTGTAGTGTGTAATTTCCTAATGACAGGGGCCACTGAATAGATAACCTGTGAGGTAGTGAGCTCCCCATCCCTGGAGATATGTTACAGAGGCTGTCTGCTAGCTGTTGATGATGTTGTAGAAGGGATTTCTTCTCAGTGGGCAGGTGCTTGGACCAAGGACTTCCTCCAGAGAGTCTTCAGAGATTAGAGTGAGAAGCCACGTGGCCCAGGATTGGAGGAGGTTTTGCTTCTCCCTGCCGGCTGGGAGGCCTGTCACCACCCATAGGGTCTCCCTTTAGGCACGTTATTATATATGGTTCCAGGACTCCATTACTTCAGAATGCTTGTATGTAATGTATTGAAGGAATTATTGAAATGTGTAATTACAGTGTGCATTGTATTCTATTATATTCATTTGATGGAACTGTGCTCCATAATATCTATTCTCATATAAAAGACTCCACCATTAGAGTGTTATATTGTGTGATGATAGTTGTCCTTCAGCAGACACTGTCTCCTGTCTTCACCCAGTTCCCTTTCTTCTTCCCAACACTCCTGCTACCATGAAACTGGAATACCCCAACTTCCCAGGTGAGAAGGCACTTTGGGGTGATTGGGTCCACCCCACATTAGACAGATGGAGAAGGTGAAGCCCTGAGGCCAGAGCTGGTAACGCCAGCATCTCCCAAGTCCCAGCCAGTGTCCAGCCTGTGGTTCCCAAACACCTGTGAATTGGAACCGTTTGTTCAAAAAGAAATCTTGTGTGGAACCCCAATATACAAAGCAGATGGGTCAGCTCTAGGGCAAGCCAAGATGGGCCCCCCAGGGTCCTGAGTGCTTGGGAGCACACTAAGCCTCACCCCCACTCTGAGGTCCCTCTACCAAACATTAGGGCTTCAAGGGACATCCCGTGAAAACCAGTGCCTCAACCCCTTCCTGGTCCAGATGGGAAAAATGAGTCCCTGAGTGTGGCGAGTGCTTGCCCGAGATCACACCCCGAGCTGGAGGCAGAGCTGGGATCAGCACTCGTGTCTTCTCAGCCTGTGTCTCTCCATCTCAGCTGCATCGAGAACCCTGGCTGTTCTCAGCTCTGGCTGCGTTGGAATTACCAGGGACTCTTCAGCATGAGGATCAGAATCCTGGTCCCACAGACTGCGGTGTGATGAGTCTGTGGCAAGGTGCAGGGCTTCTTGTTTTTGAAAAGAGCCCCTGAGGCTCCTGCTGCACAGAGCAAGTTAAGAATATCTTCCTCCTAAACATTGCTTTGGTTTGTGCTCCTCACTGCATCTCCCCGCTCTGCCATAAGTCAGGCCCCATCACCTGCAGTTGTCATCTTTCCACAAATATTTACAGAGTAGGCACTGTCCTGGGCCCTTGGGATAAAACAAAGGCCCCTGCTTAGATTTTAGCAGTGGACGCCTGTAATAAGCCCATGGTCTCCTCTGTTAGAGGGGAAATGTGTTATGGCAAAAGGGGCTGGAGTGCGGGGTAGGGGAGGGTGGTAGAGGGGAGCTGGTGTTAGGATCTAACTGGGCGGGGACAGGACAGGGGATCCTAGTGGAAAGGGGATGTGAGCAGAGAAAAGTCATCCCAATACCTCCATTGCCTGGATCTGTGCAGTAGCATATTGAGAACAGAAAATGAGAAAATACTGCTCTCCCAGGTTGCCTGCCTTGTCATTGGGTTCTGAAGCCACCCTGCTTGGGCTGGGTTATCACAGTTCCTCTGCCTTCTGCCTGCAGCCTTGAAGTGAACGGCGGTCAGATCTAGGCCTGGGCTGGGCTGGAGACAGTCTCCTCCTATCTCCACCCCAGAGCCATGGAGCCTCAGCTTCATGAGTCTTTTTCTCCAAAGTCCTGCTGGCTGTGACATTAACCCATGTAAGCAAATGCCTCTGGTTCATTGGAGGAGTCAGACATGGAAGCTCGGATTGCAAAGCTCTACACACAGTCTCAGTTCTTACAACATCACTGTGTGGCTGGGTTTAATTCTCCCATTTTTCAGAAGAATAAATAAAGCTCAGTGAGGTTAATCCACTTGCTTAGAGTCATGTACCCAGTAAATCGAGGAGCTGATAGTGCAGCCAGATCTGTTTGACTGTTTCTACTACGTCGTGTCACCTCACTAAATGTTTGCTGAACTGCTGAGTGGAGGTGTGGAGTATTAGGCTGTCTGAGTTAAAATCCTCAGAGTGGCAATTTAGAGCGTGTTATTCAAATCCAGCCGACTCCTGTTTTACAGTAACCATCATCAAAGGCTGCTGTTAACGGGAGCCCACATCTTCCTTTGTGCATTTGAAAAAAATCCATCTTAAAGCCATCACGCCCGTGCGGTGACCACGGAGGAGTCAGTAGGAATTAAATCTGAAGCCAGAAACAGGAAGAAGCCAGAGGAAGGTCATCTTTTGAAATGACAAAGAGGTGCTGTTTTCTCAGTCGGGTAGGCCCAGCTACTGTAGCACCAACTGGGCCGCGAATTTTAATTCCAATCTCTGCAGCTGCTAATGTGCTTGTCGCTTGGAGAATAGACACTAATTGACAAGCAACTAAATAAATAACGTGTAACATGAAAGCAAACACAAGCTTTAAAAGAGAAAAAAAAATAGCAAAAAGGATGAAATTAAAAATGCGGGGGGTTGAACGGTGTTTTCCACACTCCATTAAAGTGACATCAAAAGGCTTTTCAAAATATTTGTTTTATGGTGAAGATAGAGTTAGGAATCATCTGAGCTCCTGTCCCCACGCTGCTGCGCTGGAGATCAGAGGTGGCGCAGTGAGAAGAGGAGAGAAGATTCTTCAAAAGGAGCTGGAGAGACGCAAGCTGCGTGCCTGAGGGATGACGTGTCAGCCTCTTGGTCTTACAAGGGGACAGACCGAGGTCCAGAGAGGCTCAGTGGAGCACCAGAGTCACCCACTGGGTCCCTGGGAGGTTAAGCCTCTGGTATGGATTGAATTGTGTCACCCCAAAAGATATGTTGAAGTCCTAACCCCTAGTACCTCAGAATGTGACCTTGTTTGGAAATGGGGTCGTTGCCGATGTAATTAGTTAAGATGAGGTCATACTGGAGCAGGGTGGACCCTTGGTCCAGTATGGCCGGTGTCCTTGTAAGAAACGGGAGAGAGGGGAGAAGAGCACCATGTGAAGATGCAGACACAGCAAGAAGATGGCCACGTGACCACAAGCCACGAGGCAGGGACAGATTCCACCCCGAGCCTCAGACGGAGCACGGCCCTGCTGACACCTGGGTTTCAGACCTCTGCCCTCCAGAACTGCAAGAGAATAGACTTCCGTTATTCCAAGCTGCTGAGTGTGTGGCGCTTTGTTCCAGCAGCCCTAGGAAACAAATCCAGCCTCTGCCGCCTGTGCTCCTGCTCCCCACTCTGCCCCCAAGGTGGACACAAGTCCCGCATCCTGGCTGGAGGCACTGCTTCTCAGACCTCCCCTGACGTCCTCCCGCCAGTTGTGCTCTGATCATATAGCCATGAAATTTCACTGACATTCCCCCATTTTCATTATTCATGTAGTTCTTGCTACCTAGACTACAAGAATCTTTTCAAATTTCAATTCGATTTGTTCAACAAGAACTTCTTGAGCTTCTTAGCCAAATATGCCTGCCTTTCCCAGGAGCCACCAGCCCTTCTCCCCTCCTTCTCCACTCCCTCCAGACTGGCCGTGGGGCTCCCTTGCTTTTCCCTAAGCACGCCCGACATCCTCTGCTTCAAAGACTGGCCGCTTTCTCTGCTGGAATCCCCTTTCCGCAGACATCCGTGTGGCCTAGCCTCTCACCTCCTTGAAGTCACCGTCTCAATCAGGACTACACTGACCACCCATCCCTATTCATAATCCCAACCTGCCCCTGTGTACCTGGTGCCACTTAGCTGGCTTCGTGCTGTGTGATTTTTGTATGTGTTATGCTTATCCTTGGTCATGTTTTCCCGCCATAGACTATAAACTCCATGAGGGCAGGGACTCCTCTGTGTTGCTCACCTAGAATGGTGTCCGCTGCTCAGTAGATACTTGTTGATGAGTGACACTCTCCCTATGGTAGGCCCAGGGCTGGGCACTGGGGAGGCTGATATGTGGTCCTTAAATAGCTCACAGCATCCTAGGGGACTAGCATGTGCTGACAATTCCAGCTCAGGTGCTACGAGCAGCAATAGGCTGACTGCCATGGCAGACTGAGGAGTGGTGAGTCCAGAGGGGTCTTCCAGAGGAGGTGTTGTCTATAACAAGTAGGCAGGTGGTGGTAGGAGGGGCTGGCCTAGGGGCACAGTATGCAAAAGCGTGGAGGCAAGGAGAATGGTGAGGTCCCATCCCCACGAGACATGACGGGGTGCTGTGGTGAGGCTGTGCGTGAAAGATGGCAGGGTGGGAGATGAGCCCGGATGGGCAGTGGGGCCTGAGCCTGACTGAGGGCTTCGTATACCCATGGCTTCATCCTGGGGTGAGGCAGGGACAAGTCATCTCCAGGTTGCAGAACATCCACTTCTAGCCCCTTCCCCCACCGGGCTTAGTATCAATCCACTGGAGACAGTTCCCGCCACATCAGGCTGAGCTCCTCCTTTCTCCCAGCTCTATGAGCCCAATCATACCACTTGGAACTCTTGGGTGACAAGTGACAGAAACCCCATTCAAAGGAAGTTAGACCTGGAAGGGGTTTAAGTGTCTTGTGTAACCAACTGGGAGGGGCAAGGGTGGGGCAGCCTCAGAAGGGGCTGGAAGCAGGACCTCTCCATGCTACTCAGTGCTCCGTACCTCTACAGGCGACTCACATCTCTCCTAGGTGGGCTGGGAGTGGGGGCCACATAGTGGAGCAGCATCCATGCTCACACTGTCTTCTTCTTTTTTATTTTTATTTTTTTGAGACAGGGTCTCCCTCTATCACTCAGGCTGGAGTGCAGTGGCACAATCTCGGCTCACTGCAACCTTCACCTCCTGGGCTCAAGCGATCCTCCCACCTCAGCCTCCCAAGTAGCAGGGACTACAGGTGTGCCCCACCGTGCCCAGCTATTTTTTTTTTTTTTGGTATTTTTTTTGAAGAGACAGGGTTTCACCATGTTGCCCAGGCTGGTCTAGAACTCCTGAGCTCAAGGAATTCACTCACCTCCCAAAAGTGTTGGGATTCCAGGTGTAAGCCTCGGCCCATGCTCACACATTCTCAGCTTCATAACCAGAGAGGAAAATGCTCTCTGCCTGCAGCTGTGAGAACAATCCCAGGGAAGGAACCAAGTGGCTCCAACCGAGTCGTGAGTCTACCCAGCAAACACCCCCGTGGCTGAGAGTAGGGTCCTGGGTGAAGCAAGCACCTCTCATTTGGACTCCTCACAAGGGCAGGGTGTGGGGAGCTGAGTTAAGGGGAGCAGATCCCCACACAAGGGTGGGAGGGGGGAGACATTTACCAGAGCACTGGGCAGACTCAAATGGTGTCATGTAGGACCTGTCCAGGCAGCATCTAGGTCTAATCAGAGACCTCCAAGTCACCATTTGCAACAGACCCCATCTAGGTACCAGGGTGAAGATCTGGAGTCAGAGCCTGGGTTGGGAGCATTTTTTCCAACATGTCCTAGCAATTTCTTCTCTGTGAGGCTCAGTTTCCTCACCTGTAAAGTGGGGAAGACAGGCTTGGCTTTAAAAGGGTTTTTGTGGGGGGGTCCGTGCTATGAAGAGTGCAGAAGCCCTTGATAAATGCTCGAGGGCTGTGCATTCATGAGGCCACAGGCCTCACGTAGATCCTGCGATGGAGGGAGGGATAAGCTCGTGGAACCGCGTTAGTGCCACGCATTCATTTCTCATCGGGGAGACTGAGGCCCAGGAGGGGGAACAGCTCATCTGAGGCCTCTGGTGCTTGCTCTGGGAGGTCTGCCACAGCCCCTCGAAGTGAGAGCTGACGTGACAAAGTGGTGCCGAGGAGGGCGCCTGGCATAAAATGAAATTGCTTATCAGAGAAATAACGCTAAAAGTAAAATAAATTAGACTTTGCACTGACATCGTAATTTTAAAAATTAATTAAGAATAAAAAGAAGATGCATCTCGAAGGAAGGGAGAAGTCTAATTTTGACAGACAGTAATTAATTCCTTTGTTCAGGGATTCATTAGCGAGCCTGAAGTACAAATTACTCCTTTGCAGGGCCTGAAATCCCCAGGGGCCTTTGCAAGGCAGTGCCAGGTCTAAGGGCCCATGGCAGGGAGGCTACTTCTGGGGACTTGTGTCCGGGGCCCCCCAACACTGACTCCAGGCTGGACTGCTCTGAGTTTTGGAGTGGGTGGTCCCCATGGAGTGTGACTATGGGCCTCCCATCCCTAACCATGCCTTGGTCAGGCTGTGGGCTCTTAAAACTGAGCACCTACTGTGTGCTATGCTGGGGCTGGCTGGGTGCTGAGTGCCTATGGGGAACTGGATAGGGCTTTGGCCCTTGCTGGGCTCACAGTCAGATGGAGGAGATGGACCCTCCTTACAACATGTGCTACTTGCTGTGCTGTCATTGGGGAAGGAGAGGGGGTTGGTGATACATGGGATGTGGAGGAGGTGGCTCTTAAGGTGAGTCTCAGAAGTTGGTTAGGGATTGTCCAGGAAAGAAGGGGAGTGGGGCATTCAAGGCAGAGCAAAACACAAAGGGGAGAAACAGCATGGCCTCCGGGAGCTGCTTGCATGGGCACTGTCTGGAGTGTGAAATGTTAAAGGGAATGCACGAGGCAGGCTGGATGCCGTCCATAGGGAGGGTCTGGTGGCCTTGAATGCCAGGCTCAGGAAGTTGGGCTTTATCCTGAGGACAGCAGGAGTCATTGAAGGGTCTAAGGCAGGAGGGTGGTTTGTATTTCAGAAAGAGACCACAGTGTCTGAAGTCCCACCACTACGTCTACTCCTCTGTACCCTGAGTGCTGACCTTCCAGAACAGAGTTCCTTTCCTTCATGTTCCTAGGGCACATTGCTGCTTTTTACAATAGATGTCTTAATTTTGAAACAATCCTAGACATACAGAAAAGTTGCAGATATGGTACAAAGAACTTTCTATTCCTGAACCATTTGAGAATTATGTGCCATCTGATACCTCAGTACACCTGAATAGTGTGTCTTTCATACAAATATGGACATTCTCCTACATAATCATATAATAATGGGTAACTGTATTAGTTACCTATTGCTGTGTAACAAATGACCCCCAAAGTTAGCAGCTCAAAACAAAAAGCATTGATTGTTTCACAGGCACAACTTAACCAGTGGCTAGAAGTCTCCCATGAGATGCAGTCACACTGTCGGCCAGGGCTGCAGTTGTTCTGACCTGACTGGGTCTGAAGGACCCACGTCCAAGTTCACTGAACTGGTCGTTAGGAGGCTTCAGTTCCTCCTGGGCTGTTGGGCTGAGGGCCTGTGTTCATCACCGTGATGGGAAAACCTCTTAGGGCTTTCCACAGTATAGCAGTCAAAAAGACCACAGTCTTTTTGGAACCTGCTCTTGGAAGTGACTCCCCATCTCTTCTGCGATATTCTCAGTCAAGGGAGTGAATACAGGGGGTGAGGTTCACTGGGGGCCATCTCAAAGGCTCCCTACCACAGCAACCATTGCCATCGGAGCATTCACATTGATACATTACTACTGTCTAATTCAGACTCCACCCAGGTTTCCCCAAACATCCCAATAATTGTCCTTCACAGCCAAAGGATCTGGGATCAGTATCGTGTGTTGCACCCAGCTGTCATGTCTCTAGTCTCCTTTAGCCTGGAAACAGTTCCTCGTTCTTTCTGGGATCAGTATCACAAGTGTTGCATGTAGCCATCTCTATTCTCCTTCAGCCTGGATCAGTTCCTCACTCTTCCCGGGGTCAGTATCACGAGTGTTGCATCCAGCCATCATGTCTCTAGTCTCCTTCAGCCTGGATCAGTTCCTCACTCTTCCCGGGGTGAGTATCACATCTGTTGCATGTAGCCATCTCTAAGCTCCTTCAGCCTGGAACAGTTGTTCCTCACTCTTTTCTAAACTTTCATGACCTTGGCATTTTTGCCATTATTTCCCAGAATGTCCGTTCATCGAGGTTTGCCTGATGGTTCCTCGCAATCAGATCCAGATCATGCTTCTTAGGAAGCATATCCCAGAAGCGATACGTCGTCTCAGTACCTTCTACCAGGTTGTGTGAGTTTGGATATGTTGCATTACTACTGGTGTTCATTTTGATCACTTGATGTACATGGTGTCTGTTCCTTCTTTTATCTTTGTAATTAGTAATTATTTTGTGGAGGTGCTTTGAAACTATGACAATATCCCCTTCTTGCATCAAACTTTCAATTTAACTTTTCAATTAATTCACTTATTTCCATCTGTACAGACTTACAGTTTTATTTGAGTCTGTGAGTTATAATCCATTACTATCATTCCTTATGTTGATGCCCACCTTGTCTAAGGTTGGCCAGCAGGAGACCCTTTGAGCTGGCTCCTGGGTCTTCCTGACAAGAAGCATTCACTCTTTGAAACTTTTACCTCTTCCATCATTTCATGCAAGTCCCCCAGCGGCCCTGTGACCACTATTCCCATTGTTTGTGGGAGGATGTGGAGATAGCTGTCTCCACCTCACCTTTTGGCCTCAAGCCTACTGCTTTCCAAGGTGCTTTGTGAGCCTCATGCCCCAGGGCCCTTAATGGAAAGGCTGAGGAGGAGGAAGTGGGTGTATCCCTCAGCACAGCCCCTGCCTCAGCTAGACCCTGGGAAGCAGGCTGCCTCCCTTCACCACGTGTTCTTGCAGGTAGAATATTCTTTGTGGGGCTCAAGCTCAGCCATCAGACCCTGGAGGGCCTTTGAGAATCATTTGGTCACCCTTCCCTTCCTGACAGCTCAGAGAGGGAAAGGTACTTTCCCAGTGTCACAAAGCACACTAGTGGCAGAGCTGCAGTTAGAGCCCATGTTCCCTCTTTCCTAGCCTGGACCCTGGAATAATGGAATGTGGTGGATATGTTCTGCGGACAGGGGCACAGATCATGAGAAAAGGCGTGAATGTGGAGCCATGCCACCCTTCCCTCAATGTGAGCTCCATCTCCTGACCTGTAGGGTGGGACACTCGCTCCAGGATCTTTCTGGCTGGTCTTCCCTGGCCCTCTAACCTCCTCCACTGCCCTCTTCCCTTGTGGGGAAGACAGATGGAGTGGCTCACTTATGCAGAATCAGTAGGCACCTATTACTCGGGTTAGAGTGGAAGACCTGGTTTGAGGTGATTTAGAAAACTACACATTTATCTTCTGGAACTGGGAGCTGAGAGGGAGGGGACTTATTTGCATAAGCAACCCAGAGCCTTTTAGGAGAACAGAGCAGAGACCACAGCTTCTGCTGCCAGCGACACACAACTTGGGGGAGATCTATCAGGGAGGACTGGCATGGCCTTCAGTGAGGTTTGGAAGCAAGGAGGCCAAGGAGGTCTGGAAAATACCTTGCCTTTGGGGAAGGGGGACTGTTTCATGTGTGGGTGGTGATGGCACCCTTGGGACTGGCCACCTGGCATCCTGGATGTGTTACTGTGAACGAAGAGAGCAGCAAGGCTAAATGTGCCAGCTATGACAATGCATACAAATGGTTAAAGCCTCTTATTGAACTGATGAAAACATTTATGCTGAGTGATCAGTAGTGAAAAACTAGAAGTACCTAAAATATTCAATAATAGGAGCTTGATTAAATAGATTTTGGTACTCTGGAGTATGATACTGGCCAAAAAAAATCTTTGAGAATTGTTAATGAAATGGAGATATGCTCATAATATAATGTTGAATGGAGAAAGCAGGATGCAATATGTGATATGATTTCAGGGGTGTTAGTAAAACTGAATGGAACAGAGTCCGCCAAAATGTTAACAGGGTTTAAATCTGGATTGTGGGATTGTGGGTGACTTTTATTTCCTTCTTTATCTTTCTGTGTTTGCTGCAATAAACAATATTACTTATATTACTTGCAATAAAAATATTATAAAAACAATATTACTTTTACAATAAGAAAAAAAAACCCATAAAAATTTACAAAAGGAGGCTGACACCACTTAATTCACAAGTGACACTATCTTAGTGGAGAGCCATTACTATTCCTTCCACAGTGATTTTTCTTACCATATCCAGAGGCACAGATCACCTGAATCATACCCTGCTCCCTCAAATATCCCATTTCTGCATGAGGATGGCATTTATTTATTTTTTTAAATTTTCTTTTTTTTTTTTTTGAGACGGAGTCTCTCGCTGTTGCCCGGGCCGGTGTGCAGTGGTGCAATCTCAGCTCACTGAAACCTCCACCTCCCAGATTCAAGCAATTCTCCTGCCTCAGCCTCCCGAGTAGCTGGGATTACAGGTGCCCGCCACCATACCTGGCTAATTTTTTTGTTGTTGTGTTTTTATTGGAGATGGAGTTTCACTATGTTGGCCAGGCTGGTCTCGAACTCCTGACCTCGCGATCCGCCTACCTCGGCCTCCCAAAGTGCTGGGATTACAGGTGTCAGCCACAGCGCCTGGCTGAGGGTGGCATTTATAAATGCAAAATAGAGTTAAAGGAAGAAAGGACCGGACGATCAAATACCTAGTAGGAAGAAGAAGGAGAAGCAGGAGGAGAAAATGAAGACAATTGTAGCTGAGTGACCCATGATTACTGGGGGAGCTATTTTCATTCCAGTGATTGGAAGGGGCTGCAGTGAGTCATTCACACTCCCTCACCCTCACCACTTGGGAATTATGGCATATATATATTTGTGGGGTGGTTGGGCAGAATTAGGTAGGATGCAATCTGTGGTCAGAGAACAGAAGCAGTTTGACTGACCAAGGAACTGAACTAATCATCATAAAAAATGAAACCCCAGAGTGTTTATAAAGTACGTTTTCCTGTTTTATTTCACCATCTCAACAACCCCATGGGGTAGATAGTATTATCTCTATTTTGGTAACAAGGAGGCTAAGGTCAGAGATGCTAAGAATTTTGTCCAAGTTGCATAGCTCCTAGCAGGATTTGGACTTTTGGCTGGCCGTCCAAATGTCGAGTTTTGATCACACCCCTTGTGACCATCACTGTACCAGATGGTGTTCTGGCCACTGAAAAACACTGGTGGCCTGATCCTGAAAGCCTTAGGGTCACCATTTGGGCTGTGGTTCTAACACCTTTTCCTGGAATTCCTTGCTGGTGAACTCCTCTTCTTTCTAGAAGATTCCCTGGGTTAGCACCACACATTAGCAGAACATATGAGCCAAATGGCTTTCCCAGCCTTTTTTTTTTAAGCAAAAGGGGAATTCAAGCTCGGCATGGTGCCTCATGCCTACAATCCCAGCACTTTGGGAGGCTGAGATGGGTGGACTGCTTGAGCCTGGGAGATCAAGACCAGCTTGGGCAACATGATGAAACCCTGCCTCTACAAAAAATACAGAAATTAGCCAGGCCTGGTGGCATGTGCCTGTAGTTCCAACTACTTGGGAGGCTGAGGTGGGAGGATCACTCGAGCCCAGGAGGTTGAGGCGGCAAATGAGCTGAGATCATGCCACTGCTCTCCAGCCTGCGTGACAGAGTGAGAGTCTGTCTCAAAAAAAGAGGTAGGAGAGAATTCAATGGGTAAGATAACAGAAATCTGAAGAATAATATATGCTTCAGGCACATCCAGGGATTCAATAATGTCATCAGCTCTGATGTTGCTTCAGTCTATATGCAGATTCGTGTCCAGTAGCAGGCAGATGGATACAGAAAGCCCCAGGGTACCATTCTCCTGACTTGACAGTGCTGGCCTAAAATCAGCATCTTCCCCAACAGTGCTGGTGAAAAAGTCCCAGGGAAGGTTCTGATTGGCCAGGATGGGTCATGTGACCACTCCTGTGGCCACAAGGGCAGGTCTGCCCTACCTCACACATGCAAATGGGTATCCCCAGGGAAAGAGGGGTGTTCTCACCAAACAAAAACAGATGTCTATCAACAATTGAAGCTTTAAATATAGTTCTATTTCTTGACTCATCTTCTTTGGACATATTTGTTGCCTCTCTGCTGAGAAAGTTGAGGAATTGAGCACACTTTATTGCCTTCCAACTCTCCTGTCCCTTGCTGAATTTTGCAGTTACAGACATTATTCTTATTTCTTCTACAGATTGCCTTTTTAAGTTTTAATAACCTACTATCTATTTCTTGATTTATTTCTTTTGGATTGTAAGTATTGATCTCTGCTATGAAAAATAAAGAAGTCCATGTACTTACACTTTCTTCTGTGTTTCCCATCTGCACCCAATTCTTGTTAAATAATTATTCTTACATTGTCAAGGTTCATAACATTTATATTCACTCTGTTACCATAATGGTCTTTCATGATTTCTCCATAGGTTATTTCTAAAATTTTAAGCCCAATAAAAATATCATTTATATATTTTAGATTGTGGAAATACTCACTGCAGAACCAAGTGATGTGATTAGGCCTGTAGAGATGAGAATGTAATCAATTCTATGTCTGGAAACCCTTACTGCTCAAAGGGAATGTTCTAAACATCAGGGTCAGCAGATTCTCTTATAATTTGGTTTGCACTTTCCTTGATCTTAACTTATCCTTAGATATCATTATTTCCTGTGTCTACTCTTTTTCTCTTTAATGCCAAACTTACCATTTTAATGATTTTAAAGTGTATAAATCAGTGGTGTTAAGCGCATTCATAATATCATGCACTCATCGCTGCTGTCTAGTTCCAGAATTTTTTCCTTACCCTAAAAGGAAACCTTCCATCTATTAAGCAGTCACCCCTCATTCCTCCCTCTCACCACCCCCAGCAACTACTAATCTGCTTTCTATCTCTGTGGATTTGCTTGTTGTGGACATTTAATATAAAGGGAATCATATAACATGTGGCCTTTTGTGTCTGGCTTCTTCATGTAACAAAATGTTTTTAAGGTTCATCCATGTTGTAGCATGTATGGGTGCGTCATTCCTTGTTCACAGCTGAATGATATTCCATTGTATGGATGCACCATATTTTATTTATCCTGTCATCAATTGATGGATATTTGGGTTGTTTCCACCTTTTGGCTATGGTGAATAGTGTTGCTGTGAACATTTGTGTATCAATATTTGTTTGAGTTTCTGCTTTCAATTCTTTTTACTTTTTTTTTTTTTGAGACAGGGTCTTACCCTGTCACCCAGGCTGGAATGCAGTGGTGCAATCACAGCTCACTACAGCCTCGACCTCCTGGACTCAGGTGATTCTCCCACTTCAGCCTCCCAGGTAGCTGGGACTACAGGCCATGCCCAACTATTTTTTTGTATTTTTTTTTTTTTTTTTTTGAGACGGAGTCTCGCTCTGTCGCCCAGGCCGGACTGCGGACTGCAGTGGCGCAATCTCGGCTCACTGCAAGCTCCGCTTCCCGGGTTCACGCCATTCTCCTGCCTCAGCCTCCCGAGTAGCTGGGACTACAGGCGCCCGCCACCATGCCCGGCTAATTTTTTTTTTGTATTTTTAGTAGAGACGGGGTTTCACCTTGTTAGCCAGGATGGTCTCGATCTCCTGACCTCATGATCCACCCGCCTTGGCCTCCCAAAGTGCTGGGATTACAGGCGTGAGCCACTGTGCCCAGCCTGCTTTCAGTTATTTTGGGTAGATGCTTAGGAGTGAAATTGTTAGATCGTATGGTAATTCTATGCTTAATTTGTTGATGAACCACCGAACTGTTTTCCAAACTGTGGAACTATAGAACCCTGGGTAAAACTGCTTTTCTTTGGAATTTAGAAGCTGTGGGAGGCTCAATGGTTCCCCTAAAATATCCAGGTCCTAATTCCTGGAATCTGTGAACATTATATGGCAAAGGGGACTTTGTAGATGTGATTATGGAACTTGAGAGGGAGAGATTATCCTGGACTATTCAGGAGGGCCCTAAATGTAATCCCAAGAGTCCTTCCTAGAGGGAGGTAGAGGGAGATTCATCTAGAGAGGAAGAAGATGATGTGACTACTGAAGCAATGTTCTGTGCTCCTGCTGGCTTTGAAGCAGGAAGAGGCCGGGAGCCAAGGAATGTAAGGAATGCAGCTCTAGAAGCTGGAAAAGGCCAGGAAACCAAGCGGAGTGTCCTTTGGAGCCTCTGGACGGTGTGCAGTCGGACAGCTTGGTTTCTGTCTAATGAAACTCATTTCAGGCTTCTCACCTCCAGAACTGTAAGAGAGTAAATCTGTGTTGTTTTAAGCCATTAAGTCTGTGGTCATTGATTACAGCAGCGCTAGGCATTTAAGATAGAGGCCTTGCTATTTCCTACAGCATTCGGTAGGGTGGATAACTTTGGTAGGCAGTGTTTTTGCTCTCCAGAAGCGTTTAAAATTTTCTCTCTTTTTTTTTTTTTTTGAGGTGGAGTCTCGCTCTTGTTGCCCAGGCTGGAGTGCAGTGGCGTGATCTCAGCTCACTGCAATTCCCACCTCCCAGGTTCAAACAATTATCCTGCCTCGCCTCCCAAGTGGCTGGGATTACAGGCACCTGCCACCACGCCTGGCTAATTTTTCTTTTTTGTAGTAGAGACGGGGTTTCACCATGTTGGCCAGGCTGATCTGAAACTCCTGACCTCAAGTCATCCGCCTGCCTTGGCCTCCCAAAGTGTTGGGATTACAGGCATGAGCCCAGTGTGCCTGGTACAAAATTTCTTGCTTATCTTTGGAATGCCAAAAATCTCACCTAGAGCTGCATCTTTCTCATTCATCCTGCTTGGCGTTAGTGCCTTCTGTTCTCTAAGGCTGCAGGTATCCCCAGCATCCCAAATGCAGCCCCTTGACAAATCTCCTGATGACATCCCCATCCCTGAGGCCAGCACAGCTGTTGGCATTAGTGACTTGGAGCCTGGACCTTCTTTTAGCCTCTCTGGAAGTCGCAGGGTAAGTTCTGCTGTCTTGGATCGTGGTTTGCTCAGCTTTCCCCTGTCAATTCGTTGGTGCGTTTTTACTTATTTTTTTACTTCAAACATTTTAAAACAGATACAAAAGCAGAGACTAGCATGGTGAAATCCCAGATGCCCATGATCCAGTTTCAACAGTGATATGGTTTGGATCTGTGTCCCCACCCAAATCTCATGTTGAATTGTAATCCCCAGTGTTGGAGATGGGGCCTGCTGGGAGGTGATTGAATCATGGGGACAGATTTCCCTGTTGGTGCTGTTCTTGTGATAGTGAGAGTGAGTTCTCATGAGATGTGGTCATTTAAAAGTGTGTGAACCTCCCCCTCTTCTCTCTCTCCTTTCTGCTCAGGCCCTGTGAGATGAGCCTGCTTCCCCTTTGCCTTCCACCACAATTGTAAGTTTCCTGAGGCCTCCCCAGAAGCAGAAGTCGCTATGATTCCCTATACAGCTTGAAGAACCATGAGCCAATTCAACCTCTTTTCTTTTCTTTTTTATTATTTTAAATTCTGGGGTACAAGTGCAGAATGTGCAGGTTTGTTACATAGGTAAATGTGTGCCACGGTGGTTTGCTGCACCTATTGACCTGTCACCTAAGTGTTAAGCCCAACACACGTTAGCTATTTTTCCTGAACTTCGCCCTCTCCCCACTTCTCCCCTCTTCTGACAGGCCCCAGTATGTGTTGTTCCTCTCCCTGTGTCCATGTGTTCTCATCGTTCAGCTCCCACTTATGAGTGAGAACATGTGGTGTTTGGTTTTCTGTTCCTGTGTTAGTTTGCTAAGGATAGTGGCTTCCAGCTCCATCCATGTCTCTGCAAAGGACATGATCTCATTCTTTTTTATGGCTGCATAGTATTCCATGGTGTTTATGTACCACATTCTCTTTATCCAATCTATCACTGATGGATATTTAGGTTGACTCCACATCTTTGCTATTGTGGATAGTGGTGCAATAAACATACACATACATGCATATATATATATATATATTTTTTTTTTTTTTTTTTTTTTTTTCTTTTTTGAGATGGAGTCTCGCTCTGTCACCCAGGCTGGAGTGCAGTGGCGTGGTCTTGACTCACTGCCAGCTCCGCCTCCCGGGTTCACGCCATTCTCCTGCCTCAGTCTCCCGAGTAGCAGGGACTACAGGCGCCCACCACCACGCCCGGCTAATTTTTTGTAATTTCAGTAGAGACGGGGATTCACCATGTTAGCCAGGATGGTCTTGATCTCCTGACCTCGTGATCCGCTCGCCTTAGCCTCCCAAAATTCTAGGATTAAAGGCGTGAGCCGCTGTGCCTGGCCACATATATCTTTATAATAGAATGATATATATACTTTTGGGTATATAACAGCTATCAATATTCCTCTCTACTTGCCTTACTTCCCCTGATTTCTTTTCCTTTTTCTCTTTGTGAAATTAGTGCTCTCCCCACCACCATTAAATATTGAGAAGTGATTCTACATGTTAGAACATGTAGAATATTGAGAAGTGATTCTCAATATTTAATGTGCTAACGAATCACCTGAGGATCTCATTAAATTCCAAATTCTGATTTGGTAATTCTGGGGTAAAATCTGAGCATTTGCATTTCTAACAAGCTCCCAGGTGAAATTGTTTCTGCTAGTCCCCAGGGATGCACTTGAGTAACAAATTCTAGACCCCATGTAATTTCACCCCATACAGCCCAGCCTGTGCTGCTATAAAACATGTAGAATTGGTGCACCTTTAAAATAATCAAATATGCATGCATACATTTTCTTTGTTTATGTGTTGTTCTGTTTTTTTTTTCTTCTGTTAAATTATATACGTTCCTCAAAGGCAGGAACTTTGCTGGTTCTTGTCCCTCTGTATCCTAACCATCTGGTATGGATCACCTTCCTCACTCTGAGAAGATTAAGAATTGCTTCTCTTACTGACCACAAATCAATCTCTCTCTCTCTTTCTCTCTCTCTCTCCCTCTCTCCCCCCTAATCATTGCCTTGCCCAAGCCTCTGCTAGTTCTGTTCTGATAAGATCTCAAGCACTAGAGCAAAGTAGGGAGGTCACAGTGCAGTGCAGGGAGCTTTGGTGTAGGAGGCAGAGGCCTGGGATCTGGCTGTCAGCAGTCGCCTCTCTTAGCTGCTATTGGTGGTGCTTCAAATGTGCTTGACTTTGGAGTCGGCTACTCTCAGTTTCCTCTCCTCACTGCAGGATCCAGGCTGACCACACTTTCTTTGGTCTTTGCCTCAACAGCTAAGGAGAGGGAGGGCTCAAGAAGAGAGCTGCCTCTGTCCCCAGGGAGATGAGAACTATCTCCTAGGAATTAGCTGTGCAAATCCAGACCTGAAAAAGGACAGCAAATGTCACCTTTTCATTCCCCTGCATGATTAGAGCATTCAGTTAGGTCCCATCTAGGACTCAATGGCCCATCTATAAGGCTGTAGTAGGTCTGTGGAAGGTGCAGAAGACAGATCCGGTCCCTGCCCTTGAAGCACTTCCACCTAGACTGTCTTAGTCAGAGGGCTGCTATAACACACTACCAACTGTGAGGCTTAAACAACAGATGTTTAGATGTTTATTTCTCACAGTTCTGCAGGCTGAGGAATCCAAGATCAAGGTGCTGGCCAATTCAGTTCCTGGTAAGTGCTCTCTTCCTAGCTTATAGATAGCTGTCTTCTCGCCATATCATCACATGGCAGAGAGAGAGAGGGGCATGGGTCTCTTCCTCTTCTTATAAAAACATGAATTTGGCCAGGTGCAATGGCTCATGCCTGTAATCCCAGCACTTTGGGAGGCCAAGGTGGGAGGACTGCTTGAACCCCAGAATTCGAGAACCAGCCTGGGCAACATAGCAAAACTCCATTTCTACAAAAAGAAAAAAAAAAAAAGCCAGGTATAGTGGCATGCCTGTAATCCCAGCTGCTTGGGAGGTTGAGGTATGATATGGTTTGACTCTGTATCCCCACCCAAATCTCACCTTGAATTGCAATCCCCATAATCCCCATAATCAAGGGCAGGACCAGGTGGAAGTAATTGGATCATGGGGATGGTTTCCCCCATGCTGTTGTGATAATGAGTGAGTTCTCATAAGATCTGATGGTTTTATAAGTGTCTGGCATTTCCCCTGCTGGGACTCACTCGGTCCTGCTGCCCTATGAAGAAGGTGCCTGTTTCTCCTTTGCCTCTGCCATGATTGTAAGTTTCTTGAGACCTCCCCAGCAGTGCAGAACTGTGAGTCAATTAAACCTCTTTCCTTTATAAATTACCCAGTCTCGGGTGTTTCTTCACAGCAGTGTGAGAACCAACATAAGATGGGAGGAGGGCTTGAGACAGGGAGGTCAAGGCTGCAGTGAGTCACGATTGAGCCACTGCACTCCAGCCTGGTCAACAGAGCAAGACCTTGTCTCAAAACAAAGCATGAAAACCCCACAAATCTCATCATGGGGACCCCACCCTTAGTACCTCATCTATACCTATTAATAATTACATCCTAAAGACTGTACCTGCAAATACCACTTGTTTAGAATGAGAGCTTCAGCATGTGAATTTGAGGGAGGTACATTCATTCAGTCAATAGCACAGATCAACAAGAAACAGATTTCATATTTCTCCAGGCCAGTGAGTAGCCAGACCTCTTGATAGTGGACACCCAGAATCAGGTAAGGGCATTCTGGGGATTGTAGTTTGGATGAGTTCAAGATTTCAAAGAGGGTCAAGAGCCAGGAAAAGATTCTTTCTGGAAGAGCTGTATCAAATGGAAGCCTCTGGGCCTCTGTAAACTAGCCTGGGAGCCGGCACCTCGGAGGCTCTCAGGAGGACAGAGTCAGAGAAGATCTGTGACGGTGGGGCAGGTGTGGTGGGCCTCTTTGGCACTCTGTGCAGTGCTTGGGACATCATGATGCTTAGTAAATATTGGATGAGTAAGTCAGTGTTGTTTTGTATTCTTCTTGAAGAAATGGTTTGGGATCCATGAAAAAACATTGCTGGATGAATGAATGAAAGAATATTGCTCAAAACTCAGAATATGGCTAGACCTCTGAAAAGTGTTTTCTCCAGATCCAGAAGAAAATGTTAGAATTGTGTGTGGACCTTCACTCGAAGCTGGGCTCTTAAGAAATTGGAGCAGAAAATCATAAGGAGGGTAAAGCCGAGATGAACAGATACTTCGATGAAATATAAAGAGAGATGGATGAGATAAGGAAGGATTACAAGGATTTAAAAGGCTATAGAATCATTACAACATCCCTGGAAACATTGATGTTGAAATCAACTTTATGGAAAATCAAATCAGTGTTGTAGAGGATGATCTTAAGTTCTCTTTGAAGGCAGAATAAAAGGATAAAGACAGAAACTTTGGGGGCGATAATAGATATTATGGTGGTTCTTGAGGAAGAACAGGACTATAAGCCCCAAAGCAGAAATTTTAAAATGTTGTTTATTTATTTATTAGGATCAGAGTCTCGCTCTGATGCCAGGCTGGAGTGCAGTGGCGCTATCTTGGCTCACTGCAACCTCCGCCTCCCGAGTTCAAGCGATTCTCCTGCATCAGCTTCCTGAGTAGCTGGGATTACAGGCATGTGCCACCACGCCTGGCTAACTTTATATTTTTAGTAGAGACGGGGTTTTGCCATGTTGGTCAGGCTGGTCTCAAACTCCTGATCTCAGGTGATCCACCCACCTGGGACTCCCAAAGTGCTTTGATTACAGGCACGAGCCACTGCACCCAGCCTTAAAATTTTGTTTTGAGACAGGATCTTGGTTTGTTGCTCAGGCTGGAGTGCAGTAGTGTGATCAAGGCTCACTGCATCCTTGAACTCCTGGGCTCACGTGATCCTCTCACCTCAGCCTCTCAAGTAGCTAGGGCTACAGGTGCATGCCACCACTCCTGACTAATTCTTTTTAATTATTGTTTTTAATAGAGACAAGGTCTTGATATATTGCCTAGGCTGGTCTTGAACCCTTGGGCTTAAGTGATTCTCCTGCATCTGCCTCCCAAAGTGCTGGGATTACAGGGAAAAGCCACTGCACCCCCCCAAAGCAGAAATTAAAGATCAGCTGTACAGGTTAAAAAAGCCCCCTTCTTCCTGATGAAGCCAGTGGAAGGAGACTCAGGCTTGGATAAATCCTGGACTATGTGTTGAAATACAAGGAAAAAAGTAAAAACAAGTAGCTTGCAAGGATCTGGACAGGAAAAAGCAAAATATTGAAGAGGCAACTCAGCAAGAAACAAGTCGGGCTGGTTTCAGATTTCCTTTGAAGCAACAGGCCAGCATCTATGGAGTGGGGAAGAAATGGTTGTGGCCCGCTGACTTTCTCTTCTTCCAAAGAATCTTATATATAGAAAGGCTGACCAGGTGTCATGGCTTATGCCTGTAATCCCAGCACATTGGGAGGCCGAGGCAGGTGGATCACTTGAGCCCAGGAGTTCGAGAACAGCCTGGCTAACATGGTGAAACTTTGTCTATACCAAAAATGCAAAAATTAGCCAGGCATGGTGGTGCATGCCTGTAATCCCAGCTACTCAGAAGGCTGAGGTGGGAGAATCGTTTGAACCCGGAAGACGGAGGTTGCAGTGAGCTGAGATTGTGCCACTGCGATCCAGCATGAGCAGTAGAGTAGGACTCCATCTCATAAAAAAAGAGAGGCAGACTGTTTCCTCATCTGCAAGAGGGGGATAAGAACAGTGCTTCCTTATAGGATTCTTTTTGCATAAGGTCCTTGGAACAGTGCCCAGCATATTATCAGCTCCCAATAAATAAAAATGCTGACTTCCTTTGGGCTATGTTCAGTTGGAGGCATCTTGGTTATCCAAGTGGAGATGCCCAGAGGCCTGGCTTCCTGCATTTGGAGCTCAAGAGAGAGGTCCAGGGTGAAGACCACCTAGAGGTCTAGATGGTCATCAAAGCTAAGGGTGCAGATGAAGCCACCAGCAAAGTGTTTGGTGAGATCATTGAAGTTGCAGGAGCACCAGTGTTAGGAGCTGGGCAGATGAGGACGTGCAGTGGGTCCAGGCACAATCTGGGGTTTAACTTGGGTTCTTTTCTTGGCTGTGGTGCTCACCTGGCAATCTACAGTCAAGTAGTTGCCTGACCCAAGACAAATATCTCCTTGTGGATGTGCCTCTGCCAGGCTTGAAGGCCTAGCCCCAGGAACCTGCCCCAGATCGTGGGAGCACCAAATTGCCCACTGCAGCCAGAGCCCCTCTGGCACACCCCTGCCCAGGAGGCTCTCCTCCTGGTACCCGGGAAGGCCCTGGATTTTCATTTCAGAACAGCGGGTCAATCACTGAGCACTCCAGGCTCTGAGTTTTTATTCCCCTCTTGTCAATAAGGACATCTCCCCCTCCTTCTAGATCGGGGCAGGCTAATTGGGACTAGGACATTGAGTGTCTGAAGATTGTATGATTGCGGAAATGCACAAATTTAATTTCACCTGGCCAGATTCAATTCTGCTGTAATCAGATAAATAGAAAACTCCAGTGTAATAATGACGGGGAAGATGAGTTTGTAAACACTTCCCAGGAGCCGAGGCCTCTGGACTTGCCTTGATGGGGCTGGGGAAAGTGAGTAGGTTTGGTGGAGCTTTGTTATCTAATCTCAATAGGTCAATATCCTCTTTTCCTGTAGAGCCTGAGAGTGAGGCCTTTGAATGATGCCCTGGACAGAGCTTGGAACATGAAGGTGAATACTGTTGTGGGGAGAATGCATCCCTTTGCCTGGCTCTGAGCCAGGGCCAGCTTTGGATCCTGCTAGCCCCATGGATATAGAGGTAAGGCTGAGGACCTGGTGGCAGTGCTCTGGGCTAAGGGGAGCCTGGGGCCGGAAACCTTCACATAAAGAGTGACTCAGGTGCTGGCGGGAGGCTGTCCCTTAACCCCTGCGCTTGTTCTATGCACCTTCCTCTCTGTTCCCGCTGCTTCCTCCGCTGGAGTGCCCTTCCTCCCTGGCTCCACCAGGGTACCTCACTCATCCTTCAAAACCAGGGCAGAATGTCCCTTTTGAAAGCCTAGCTGCACCCAGGAAAAGCAGGTCGCTGTGCTCTGCAGCGGCATGGCTACATGAAAGCATCATTATTGTTTTCTTGCCTTTCTCTCCCTGCATCTGCTTTTTTTGTGGAAGCACTAGTTAGATCCAAACTCAGGCCATCTCTATCCCCCGTAACTCAGTCTTAGAAAGAAACAGAGGCAGGTACCATCCTACAGTGTTGGTGGTACAGGGGACAGGGTAGATCCTCAGGCCAGCACTTTTGTGTCACAAGGGCAAGCGCCCCTGGAGCTGCAGGCCTGGCCAGCGGAGACTCTGGGGCATATGCCATGGTGGACTGGTAGACATAAAGGCCTTTGCTTTTGGAGAGGGGTGAGTTCCTATCTTTGTGTCCACTGAGAGAGGAAGGGGAGGCCAGGACCATGGTGGCAGTGGTATGTGGCTTGGCCTTGGCCTGGCCTCTTGGACTGTGCAGATGGCAGTCCTACATGTGGGTGTGGGGCCTGAGCCCTGGTGCTGCCAGGTCAGGGGTTTCTGTAACCTCTCTGGGTCTGTTTCCTCATCTGTGAAATGGGGATAATAGCAGTCTTTCCTTATACATTGTTAGAGAGGATTCAGTGAAATATCCATGCAAAGCTCTTAGAACAGTGCACAGGCTAGCACTCAAGTGTTAGTTGTTAGTAGCAGTGTTTTTTTAGTCATTAGCAGCAGTGACGTCTTTCTGGAGAGGGGTTAGCACCAGAAGCTGCAGGAACAGTCTTTTGGAGGGATCGTGTCTTTCTAGACCCAAGCAGTGCTGTTTCAGGCTTCAGAGATGCTGTATGTTTTGAAATTGGGAAGGGGACCGAGGCACCACAGTTATTCTTTGTTTGGGAGTGCAGAGAAGCAGCTTAGCACCTGCTCTCTGCCAGCATCTTGTGAGCTCTTATTTCATCTTCACAAGAACCTCAGGATAGCTTGACAGTGCCACAGACCCATTTTACAGATCGGAAAACTTAGGAAGCCTGATCATCAGTGCGATAACCAGAATGCAAACACAAGTTTGTCCAACTCTGAAGACTGTGCCACAGGCATTAGCATTCAAAACCTTGATCTCATTTCATATTCCCATGGGTCATGACCACTGGTCTGATTCTCCTCCTTAACTGCCCAGGAAACCCAGCCCAGAGATGCCCAGCATCCTTCAGGTTATGAGCTGTAGGACTGGGGTTTGGTCCTAGGCCTCTGCTTTTTCTTCCATACCAAATGGCCAAAATGGAAGGGTGGTGGGGCTGATGCAGGTTTTTCCTTCCCACCCTGCCCAGGGACCCAAGGATCTGGCTCAGAGGTGACAGAAGGACTGTTCTAACAGTGGTGAGTCATTCACCTCAACAAGCCTTAGCCCCATTTAATGCTAGCCCTGGGATCATGGCTGTAGGAAAAGAGCCTTCATTGCTTACTATCTTTTGAAATTTAATGACCTGTGAATGATAACAGATAATTTGCAAATTTGACATAATCAGTCCTGGCCAATTTTCATTCAATTATTTGTTAATAAACATCAGGACCCCTGGCTGGAGTTTTATGCTTCCAAATTTGAAATAAAAAGCTGGGAGGCTGAATAGAGTAGAATACCTGTCTCTTCGCTTGCTGAATTTTTATAAAGAATTTTATTTCAGCAGCGCTGGGTAACACCCAAGGTTTACTCGGTGTTCATTTGCATTGTGAATTTTTTAAAATAGTAATTATCTGCAAAAGGTCAAATATTTGCTTTATCTATGTAATTCAATTTCCCAAAGGCCTTTGGGATTCAAATTAATGCCCTTGTAATATCTTCATTGAAAAAGAAGATTAATTATGCTTACATGGAACCTAATTTGGCTTATCAGACCTTTAATGTGGCTGTGATCATGGGTGCATTGAAATTTAGGATTACGCGGGTGATCTCGGTCCCATATTTGGGAGACTTTGAATATTTGTCATTATTTTTATGCATATCATTTTTCCCGCCTGCTTGGGAAAATTAAAATGTCGGTTCTGAAAGAAATAAACATTATGTATTGACATTGGTAATTATGTTTTGGTATTTAAGGATGCATAAAAAACTGCACACAGGGCCTCAAATATAAATTTGCAGTTAATGTCCCTAGATGGAAACTGGAGGTCTTCTACCAGACTCAGTAAATTGGGAAAAAGCTCTCTCTGGGGCTGCTGTTCTGTGTAGCCAGGGATAGGGATGTGGGCACATAACTTTTAGCAGTGCTCAAAGATGTTGAAGGTTTGAGTGGTCCCAGGAACTCTGGATTTAGTAGGGTCAGGAGGCCTGGGTTTCCTTCTCGTCACTAAGGTGCTATGTGATTATGATCAATTGGAGGCCCTTTCTGAGTTCCAGGTTCCTGTCTGTGAACAGTAATCATTTGTTTAGGTTCTTTCTCTCTGGACGGTCAGTCGCTCGTGGCAGGGCCGTATCTTATTTCATCTTGAGCTTCCAGGTCTGTCAGCACAGTGTCTGTTACATGTGGACTATATGTAGGATTTTTAAAAATAGCACTCTCTGATAAGGAGATATGTATAAGGTTTTGATTCTTAACAAAGGCAGTGGGATCTTGGAGATAATAGGGATTGTGAGTCAGAGTTCAGCTTTGTATCAGTTAGTTATTGCTGCATAACAAATTATACCAAAACTCAGTGAATTTATATAAGAACTATTGATTATTTTTCAAGAGTCTACAGGTCACCTGTGTGGTTCTGATGATCTGGGATGGATTGGCTAATCTTGGATGAACTTGTTCATGTGTCTTAGATCAGCTGGCAGGTGGGCTGGGGGCTGGCTGGTCTAGGATGGCCTGGGATGAGATGTTCTCCATATTTTCTTATTCTTTGACAGACTAGTCTGGGCTTGTTCTCATGGCTGAACAGGGGTCAGAGGGAGGGAGCCCAAACATGCTTTTTCAAACTTCTGCTTGCATCTGCTTTGCTACTTCCTGATTAGCTGAAGTAAGTGATATGGCCTCACTAAGAGTCCACAGAGGAGGGTCTACCAAAGAGCAGGGAAGTGGAGAGACAGCCAGACTGGGGGCTACCAATGCAATCAACCAACCACAGGCTTTACTGTGGCCCTACCCTTTACTAGCTATGTGAACAGAAGCATGTGACTTAAAACCCCGAGTCTCAGTCTCTTCATCTGTCAAGTCTGGCAGAGATGTGATGAGGTTTAAATGAGATAAATACATTTTAAGTATTAGGCACCTGGTACCTGATGAATATCCAGGAATGCTTACCCAAGGGTGTGAAGATGAATGTTGAAGGATGGGCATTGGAGCTTTGTTTTTAAGAGTGAAAAATCAGAAACTACCTAAATGCTGATCAGAAGGGGCCTGGTTAAATAAATCCTGGTACACTTGTTTAATGGAATACTTTTTAGCCTGTAGGTCAACAGATCAATATGCTGGCACGAAAGGGTGTCCATGATAGATTAAGTGGAAAAAAGGAGTAAGTTTCAGCATAAACCGTAATGTACAATGTAATTGTATGTGTGTGTGTGTGTGTGTGTGTGTGTGTGCGTGTGTGTATGAAATGAAAGCAATGTTTATTCCTGTTTATAGAGAAATGTCTGCAAGATTATGCACGGAACTATGAGTAGTGGGATTCAATGCTTCCAGATTGTTTGAATTTTTACACTGAACATATATTGCTTTTGGGATGAAAAAAAAGACTAAGGAAAAATTTTAGGTAAAGGACAACAAAAATGATGATGTTTATGTTCTGAGTAAGCTGAACTTAAACTAACGGTCTATAATAGTAATAAAATTATCAGCCAACATAAAACTAATAACAGCAAGCTGGTCAGGGTGGCTGAGCAGTCTGAGGGGCTGCGTTCAGGTCGCAGTCTGCCCTGGAGGCGTGGGTTCGAATCCCACTCCTGAAAGTTACCATTGGCCGGGAGTGGTGGCTCACTGAGCGCCTGTAATCCCAGCACTTTGGGAGGCCGAGGTGGGTGGATCACAAGGTCAGGAGTTCAAGACTAGCCTGGCCAACATGGTGAAACCCTGTCTCTACTAAAAATACAAAAATTAGCTGGGTGTGGTGGTAGGCACCTGTAACCCCAGCTACTTGGGAGGCTGAGGCGGAGAATCACTTCAACCCGGGAGGCAGAGATTGCAGTGAGCCAAGATCGTGCCACTGCGCTCCAGCCTGGGAGACAGAGCAAGACTCCATCTCGGAAAACAAACAAAACACAAAAACAACAACAACAAACTGATAACAGCTACCATTTGTTGAAGACCCATGATGTGCTAAGCATTTCATGTCCTTAATCTATGAAACCTGAAAAAGAGGTGAGAGCCCCCACTTTCTGGGTGAGGAAACTGAGGCTCAGAGTCAGAAAGTAACTTGGTCCAGTTGAGAGCTGCTCACCAGGATCAGACAGCACTGTCTTTGATGGCAGATCTCTGCCTCTTAGACTGAGAGGCCACATCTGTTGGTTTGTAAAGTAGAGGTCCCCCATGCTTGGCCACCCACCAAAAGTGCTAGAAAAGCTTTTTCCTCCCAAGTACAGATTCCTGGGTCCCACTCCATTTCCTGTGAACCATTCTTCTTTGGGGTGGGGGCCCAGGAATCTGTATTTTAGTATGTATCCACAGGGATTCTGGAGCAGTCAGTCTGGTGTTCAGGGACTCGTCTGGTGGCTCATTTGATCTTCATAATGCACAGGGAAATAAACAAGATGAAGATTGTGGCCATCACTCCCATTTTATAGGTGAGAAAACTGAGGCTTAGAGAGGGAAAGTTACTTGCTCAGGGTCCTGGAGCTAGGAAATGGGATTGGAGGCCCTCCTGACTCTAAACCCAGGTGCTATTCTAACCCACTGAGTGGGCTGACTGTGGGGAAGGCTCTTGGGAGGGTGACAGAAAAGAGGGGAGCATGGGGGCTACCTGGCGTCTTGTGGCTACCAACTGCCCTCTGCCCTGTGCTCTCAGCTGTTGGAGTGCAGATGGTAGAATCTGCCAGGCACTTGGAGGCAGATACCAGTGTGAAGCTGCGGGTGGAATTATTGGCTATACCCACTTTCCACTAGGAGCACCCCCCCGGGTGATCCCCAAAATTCAGCCCAATCCTCTTCCATTTTCTCCTCCCACCCTTCCCAGCCACTGGGACTTAAAGAGCTCTTTTCCCTCCTCTTCTTTTCTGTTTGTTGCTGCCTGGCTTTTATTAGTGACTTTCAGGGAAATGATCAAAGGCGGCTGTAATCAGAGAGCTTCGTCATCTACCACATGAGTGCCAGAGAAGGCTCTGCCTGTGTCACAGCCTTCAGAGCTGGTGGGAGCCAATTGCTTGGGAAAGTGGGCCTGGGAACAGCCATCTGGGTTGGTGGGAGGCCCTGCAGATGTCTCCTGGGCCCCCCTCAACATCAGAGGGACTCTCCTGACACCGTTGCTCCCACCTTGGCGTGTGGGGCCGAGATGCTGCCTCCTGGTTTTTTCCCAGGATGAGGAACCCTGCGATGCCAATCCCTCTCCCTCCCTGTCCCCCCGCAGGCCTCTTGTCTCCTTTCAGGCTCCTGGAGATTTGTTTACAGTTTATTTTTCTTTATTTTTATAACAGCTTCATTGAGATACAAGTCACATACTGTTCAAATAACCCATTTAAGCTGTACAATTCCGTGGTACGATTGAATGGGATTCACAGAATTGTGCAACCACCCCTCCATCAATTTTCAAATATTTTCATCTCCCCAAAAGAAAACCTGATACCCTTTAGCCATCATCCCCAAACCTTCCATTCTACTGTAGCCCTCGATTTGCCTATTCTGAGCATGTCATATAAATGTAGTCATACAATATATGGTCTTTGGTGACTGGCTTCTTTCACTTAGTATGTTTTCAAGGTTTATCCATGTTGTAGCACGTATCGGTACTTCATCCCTTTTTTATGGTGAAATAATATTCTATTATTTTGATAAATGGACAAAAATATCATTTTATTTTATAAATATTTCTCTTACAAAATGCAAACAGTACTGTCGGATTAAAAACATGAGACTATTTCTAAGAATTTTTTGTAAGAAGAATATCACACAAATGGGAGAAATAATCACACTGGGAATTCCATGGCTGCTTGCTCTATAATGACCAAAAATGAGAAAGAGCCTACAGTACATAGAAACAGGAATCTGGCTAAATAAATGATGGCAATCCATATTATAGAATACTGTGCAGTCATGTGGATTTATATTCATTGAAATGAAAAGCTATGACATATAGTTGAGTCAATTATATGATGTTGTTTTTATAAAATTATACTTTCATTTTATGCCCATCTAGAAGGATGTCTACCAAAATGTTGACATGAACATTCACCTTTGAGGGGGTGGAATTTCAAATGGCATGTGTGTATTTTTATTTTGGGGGAATAAAAGCATAAGGTCATTGGGGCTAGGAGTAAACAAGTATAGCAACATAAGATGTACCCAAGGGAGTATATGTTCCCCAAAATGTATGCTGGGAAGCCATCTGCACTGGTAGAAAAGACCTCCACATTGTTTCCTTTCAGTGGGTACTGGGAAACTGGTAGGGCTGGATGATCACAGTGTATACATGGCTCTGAGCTCCCTAGTAGGTAAAGCAAAGAGTAAAAGGAGCATCTACAACTTGTTTGCTGTTGCCCAAAGGAGCCACAGCTGTTCCTGGGAGAGGCTGAGAGGCACTCCTGGATCTCTGAGAGGGGCGTCTCCCAGCTGTGATGAACAATGTCCTCCACAACACGCTTTCACTTCACACAACGAGACCCCAGGGCGATTCCTAAATGCTGGCCATGGTGTCCTCCATGGTAAGGGCAGTGAATGAGGCTGTGAGGCAGGAAACGCGGCAGGGGAGGGGAGTTGCTCTTGACTGCCAGCTCCTGATATTTGGTTGTGTGCCCATGGGGCTCAGCAAGCTGCCTGCAGGGGAGGGAAGTGAAGGAGCCCTCGTGGGTCCCTACTCTGGGCTGGGCATTCCTTCTCCTGTTCATCCTCATGAGAGGTCTGGCTGATGAGGCTCATCATGCCCATTTTGCAGCTGAGAAAACTGAGAGGAGACATTCATTGCCAGAGCTCATCTAGCTGCAGAATGGCAGAGCAGGAAACTCTGGCTGGGTCCTGTTTTCCAGCTCAGCCTCACAAGGTAGAGCCGCCTACCCCTCAAGCAGCCCCATCCCTGGGGCTCTGACATGCTCTGGCTCTGTTCCTTGAGGCTGGCCTGGCTCTTGTCCACTCACTCTGCATACCTACTCTTGGGTAGCCTTGGGCAAGTTCCTTAAACTCTCTGGGCCTCAGCTTCCTCATCTGGAAAATGGGGATTATAGAAGTACCTGCTTCATTGGCTTCTGGTGAGGAGGAAGTGAGCTAATAAACGTGCAACGTGTTGAGGGCATGGCCTGGTACACAGTAAATACTCCCTGGTGTCATACAGCTGGTTTATTTCCTCCCACTCATCCTCCTCCTCACATCGGAAGGACTTTTCTGAAACTCACCTTTGAGGATGCTGATGCCACCTCCCCTTTCCGGAAGCTCATTCTCATCGACAGGATTCTGTGTCCTCCGGCCCAACTCACCTGTGAGTGCCATGGCCATTGGCCTGGGGCCTCATGCTGGCGGGTTTTATTCTTCCTTCCCACTGACATCTCATGCCTGCAGGTCTCAGGGGAATGTGGCATAACCAGGCAGAATGGGGCAGAGGTCGAGTGAGGGACATGCGCTCACCATTCTGGGCTCTGCGCACTAATGACTCCCACGTGTCTTGGCTCATGGTTCAGAGAATGCCTTTTTTTTCAGCACGTCTCCATCATCCCCATATGCTTTGGGGCACATTTCTCCTTGGGAAATGCTTTGTTTGGGCAGGTAACAAGTTCCCTGATCGGGGATGACGGCACGCAGAGGCTGAAGGATGAAGACAGAAGTCAGGTGCTGGGAGCTGGATTTGGAAGGGACCATGTTTAAGGTCCTCTTGGGTCCTGTGAATCTGAGTGTATTTGTGGTTCCCTTATTTCTACAGGCCTTTCCCCTTGCAGCATTAAGTGGGGCTTTCCTTTGCTGATCGGAGCCCAAAGATGGGGAATTTGTTGGCTGGAATGACTGCCTCACACTCTCTCTGGCTCCCCCCTGTCCCCAGTCACACATTTGCTCTGCATCTTGAAGTCAGAGGAATGCTTCTCAGATAATAATCTGGCCATGTCATTTTCTTCTTCAGAAGCTGGCAGAGGGCCCACTGTGCTCATGTTTGGAGTCTTTTGCATGATCAGGCCCCCACTGCGTTGCTGGCCACACTGCACTCTTAAGGTGTCCCCGCATTGGGGTCATTGCACGCAGAGACCTGTAGCTCTCCTGCCCATCCTCATGCTCTTCTCTTGGCTAACACACCCTGGTCCTTCAGGTCCCAGTTCAGATATCACCTCCTCCAGAAGCCTTTCCTAACACCAGAGACCGGGTCCAGGGCCCTGCTAGGTGCCTGTCTACCTCTGTCCCAGCCCTTATCAACCTGAATTGTAATCCTCATGAATCTGTCTCCTTCACTGATGGAGGGCTCTTTGCGGACATCTTGGTGTCTCCAGCATCTAACACAGAGTTGGACCTCAGGGTCCCAGGCCTGACCCTGCCGTTCACTGGCTCCAGTGGCCACTCTCAGTTATCTGAGGTTAGTGTGTGAAACAAAATCCCTACCTGATGCAAGGCAAAATGAGGTACAAGGCCGGGCATGGTGGCTCATGCCTATAATCCCAGCACTTTGGGAGGCCGAGGGTGGTGGATCACCTAAAGTCAGGAGTTTGAGACCAGCCTGGCCAACATCGTGAAACCCCATCTCTACTAAAAATACAAAAATTAGCTGGGTGTGGCAGCACGTGCCTGTAGCCCCAGCTACTTGGGAGGCTGAGGCAGGAGAATTGCTTGAACTCAGGAGGCAGATGTTGCAGTGAGCCAAGAGTGCACCACTGCACTCCAGCCTGGGTGACAGAGCAAACTCCATCTCAAAAAACAAAAAAAAAAAACACAAAAAACCAAAAAAAAAAACCAAAAAAAACCCCAAAACCCACCATGGTACAAACCATTGTAACATAAGGTAATGTAGGCATATACTTAACCATTTTCAGAGCTCTCCATTATCTTGTGACATCTCAGTACCCGTCCCCTGAGCTAGGCTGGGCTGGGGTTATTATTTCCATCTCCGTCTGAGAGAACTGATGCTCTGAGAGTGGAAGTGACTTGTAGCACATCTGGCAAGAGGCAGGAGGAGCTGGTGCAAAGCTGGCCTCTGACCTCCTGCTACTGTAAAGAGCTTGAGTGACCAGGGAAGGTGTCTCCGGGAGGCAGCATTTCTGCTGTGCTTCGAAGTCTGGGAGGGACTGGAAAGAGGAGACAGGGGCAGGCAGGGAGGTGTCAGGAGGGAGAGGGGCAGCCTGAGGTGGGAAACTGGGATGAGAGAAGAACTGGGTGCTCCTGGCCTCTCAGAGCCTGGGCAAGGAGGCTCAAGAGTTAGGTTGGGACTAGATCCTGGTGACCTCTGGAAGCCAGACCGAGGATTGAACTTAATCCCTAGGCTACAGAAAGCTGTCGAAGGCATTTGAGCAGGAAAGAGGCCTCGCCCCAAAGGAGGATGAATGAGGGGGCTGGGAGGCCACTGAGAAGGTGGTAGCGACGTCCATGCAGGAGACGGTGCGCTGGTGGGTGGCAGCGAGCTGGAATGGAGGACATACCTACCACCTCTCTTTGTCCTCTGTCTGACTTTGGCGGGGGTTCCCCAGGATGCATTCGCATTCGGCCAGTGGTCTCTGCCTCAGAGGCGGCAGCTGGTGGGTGGCCCTCCTTCAGAGGGTCGGGGGCTGCTGTCAGGGGTGCTCGGTTGGGAGAATGGGGGGAGGGGAGAGGGGCTGCTGGAGGTGCGAGCAGCGGCTGCTGCCTCTGACTTCCACAGGGGGTCAGTGTAACATTAAAGTTCCTCCCGACTGCTCTGCCCTATGCAACTCCAATGGAGGCCCTTTGGCTCAGGAATCTGGGTCAGCTGGTTATATTTGGAATCCTTGGTGGGCAAGCACAAGGCCAGGTGGGCTGGGGGATTCTGAGCCACTTGAGAATCAATTTTGTTTGTTTTCCTTTTGGTTTTGTTTTTAGAGTTTCAGAAGAATCCAAGAATGCCAGGGACTGATTTGTAAACACATGTCTGTAACATGCAGCGGACAGAGCCCCTTCTTCCTAAAGCCCCCCAGTAGGCTTGAAGCCATTCTTGTCAGAGACCCCTCTGCCTCTGTCTTCATCTGGGAAGATGGTTTCCACCTAGAGGGCAAATGACAGATTCCAGGGCCCTAGGAGGTCTCAAAGTTTGGTTAGATTATCCTGCACATTTTACAACTTTATTGCTTGGTGGTGAGAAAGTTGAGAAACTGAGACCAGACAGGGTAGTCTAATTTGCTGAAGGCCTTGTAGTAAGTTGGTGGTGAATTCAGGTTAGAATCTTGGTCTACTAACCCCCCAAATGGCTCTCCTAACCCCCAATGTCTCTCTGATTTCAGTGGAACCAGCCTGGGATGACAATGTCACCTTCAGCAAAGAACACTCAGATTTACATAATCAGCTGTCATTTACACAGCAGTTCCCATCCACTTTCTCAGTGGACACTCAGTAAGCTTCCTAGAATGGGTGCTTTTCTCTTGTGGAAACTGAGGCCGAGAAGAAGTTGAGGGACTCCCCAGCCAGTCAGGCTTCCTGACCTCAAGCAGGGAGTTTCTTGGAAGATGTCAGTTGTCCCAAACTCTAGTGCATACCAGAATCTCTTGGGAGATCTTGTATGAAATATGGGTCCCTGAGCCCCACCTCCAGGGGTTCTGTTTCACTAGGCTTGGGGTAGGGCCTGGAGATCTGCTTTCTAGACAACGCCCCAAGGACTTCTGAAGCAGGTTGTTGGCAGATCATACTTGGAGATGACTGTGACCTCGCCCGGGGCTTCTCAGACTTTAGCGTGTATAGCCAACACCTGGGCATCAAGTTCAAAAAAACAGAGGCTGGTGAGGTTCCAGAGAAAAAGGAACACTTATACACTGTTGGTGGGAGTGTAAATTAGTTCAACCATTGTGGATAGCAGTGTGGCGATTCCTCAAAGAGCTAAAAACAGAATTACCATTTGACACAGCAATCCCATTACTGGGTGTATTAGTCTGTTCTTGCATTGCTATAAAGAAATACCTGAGGCTGGGTAGTTTATAAGGAAAAGAGGTTTAACTGGCTTATGGTTCTGCAGCCTGTACAGGAAGCATGGTGCTGGCATCTGCTCAGCTTCTGAAGAGGACTCAGGAAACTTATAGTCATGGTGGAAGGTAAAGTGGGAGTGAGGCATCTCACATAGAGGGAAACAAGGGCAAGAGAGAGTGAGGGGGGAGGTGCCACACACTTTTAAATAACCAGATCTCACAAGAACCCAGTCACGATCGTGAGAATAGCACAAAGGGGATGGTGGTAAACCATTCATGAGAAATCCACCTCCATGATCCAATCACCTCCCACCAGGCCCTATCTCCAACACTGGAAATTATAATTTGACATGAGATTTGGGTGGGGACACAGAACCAAACCATATATATCACTGGGCATATACCCAAAGGAATATAAATTGTTCTACCATAAAGACACATGCATGCGTATGTTCATTGCAGCACTGTTCACAATAGCAAAGAGATGAAATCAATCTAAATGCCCATTAATGATAGATTGGATTAAAAAAATGTGGTACATATACACCATGGAATACTATGTAGACATAAAAAGGAATGAGATCATGTCCTTTGTGGGAACATAGTTGGAGCTGGAGACCATTATCCTTAGCAAACTAATGCAGGAACAGAAAACCAAATACCGTATGTTCTCACTTACAGGTGAGAGCTAAATGATGAGAACACATGGATACATAGAGGGGAACAACACGCACTGGGGCCTATGGGAGGGTGGAGGGTAGGAGGAAGGAGAGGATCAGGAAAAATAACCAATGGGTACTGGGCTTAATACCTGGGTGATGAAATGATCTGTACAAAAAACCACTGTGACACGAGTTGATCCATATAACAAACCTGCACATGTACCCCTGAACTTAAAAGTTAAAAAATATCCTCCCAAACAAATAACAAATGCCTGTTCAGACTCAGTGGATCTAGGGCAAGGCCCAAGAATCAGTGTTGTATTTCTTTTCTTTTCTTTTTTTTTTTGAGATGGAGTCTCGCTCTGTCACCAGGCTGGAGTGCAGTGGCGCGATCTCAGCTCACTGCAACCTCCGCTTCCTAGGTTCAAGCGATTCTCCTGCCTCAGCCTCCCGAGTAGCTGGGACTACAGGCGTGTGCCACCACGCCCAGCTAATTTTTGTATTCTTAGTAGAGACGGGGTTTCATGATGTTGGCTAGGATGGTCTCCATCTCTTGACCTCGTGATCTGCCCGCCTTGGCCTCCCAAAGTGCTGAGATTATAGGCGTGAGCCACCGCGTCCGGCCCTCAGTGTTGTATTTCTGAAGAGCTCCCTGGTGATTCTGCTGGAGCGTGGACCACTGTGGTTGAGATCATGCTGTTATCCCCTGGGCACACGTTAGGAGTAGGTAAGTTGCAAAGTAAGCAGACTCTCCCCTGCTGTCCCCTCTGAGGAGGGGCTAATTTATAGTGTCATTTCACTTTCTGAAATTTCCTCTGACCCTCAAATCTAATCCCCCTCCCCGCCCCATATTCCCTACATCAGAGATGGGTGCGTCCTGAACACAGAAGAAAGAAAAGGCAGGACTCTCATCACATCCCATTGCTTACAGGAATCCACAGAGCAACTGTTGGCAAAAACTTTCCTTGGCGTTCCAAGAGCTTAGGGAGGGACAGGAACTATTGAATGCTTTGGGAAACTTAGGTGACCCTAACTCCCTAAAGGCATCTTTTCTATGTCTCTTTTCCATACCTTCCCAATATTATTTCTGCCCCCTCCTGAATCTTGTGTGATGTTAATAGTTCCATATTTTTAATTAGATTTTCTAAGCAAAAGAAAGTTTCCAAAGTTAATTAAAAGTTGCCTCAGTGTAATTGTATAAAAGCAGCTTTTGCTTCTGAAATTAAATTATTATAATTAAACTCCTCTATCCGTTTAAAGATTTTAGTAGAATGTTTATTATTCGTTTATTATGAAGAGACCCTGGGAGGGATGCTGCTTGCACAGCCATGGTCCAGCTGATGCCATGTCATGGACTCAACTTTTCCCTCCCTTTGATGATTTCATGCCTCCGGGAACCAAAAAAATCAAATCCTGTGTGAGCTTTGGTGGTTACATGAAGTGCAGACTTTCAGTGCATCCCCAAATTCTGGCTCACTGTGGTAGGTGCCATCGTAACCCATGCATATTTGCTGCTCCTCCCTGCTCTGCCCTGGTTTTAATCAGACTTGGTCACATGACTTCCTCTCACCAAAGAAAAATGGAGAGAAGTGACATGCCCCACTTCTAAGCAGAAACTGTAGGAGCCAGCATGTGGTTTGGTCTTCCCTCATCTTTGCTATTGTGACTGACAATGTCCCAAATAGACAGAGGCTGCTCCATCAGCCTGGGACCTGGAGGGGAGACAAGGTGGAGCAGAGCTACAGCCAACCGGTAGCAAACACGTAGTGCATGGGAGAAATGAACCCTTGTTTGTTACTGCAGCCAAACTCAGGCTTTCCTTGACTCTCATACACTGTTGCTTGTGAGTGACATAGAGTGTTCTTGTGTTTTGTTGTCTGAAAAATGGAGATTGTTTTGTTTGAATCTGGACAATTGAAAAATTATAGCCCCCAGTTCTCCATACTCTCCAGACTCACCCATTCCTGGTGGTTTCTCATGTACTCTGTGATTTCTCTTAAATATTTGCCTTTGTCCAAGCTGTTTCCTCTCCTTGGAATGACTTTATTAACCTCTTTACCTGGATAATTTCTGTCTAATCTAATGATTCAGTTTAGATGTCCATTTCTATGGAAAACCTTCCTGGCTAACAAGGCAGGGTTTGTTGTTATTACCAGGCTTTCTGATCTGTAAACACCTATGCTGCTATATCTAATTGTCTGAATACATGCCAGTGTCTCCTTTAAATTGAAGTCATATAAAAACATTTAGAGTCTTATAATCCAATATAAAGGCAGACCCATAGTAAACATTTAAATACTTGTTGAATAAACAACAAAGCTTTCGGGCGGGGTGGGGGCGGGGAGGTCAGATGGACCTGAATTCAAATTTTATTTTTCTCAGCTTACTAGACAGCTGATTGTGAACAAGTTACTTAATCTCTCTGTGCTTTAGATTCTTCATCTTTAGAAAGGGTCTAGCAATTAAACCTACTGTTGACTCCTGGTCCACTCCCCATCTCTGGATGGGCCCAACCCTCTGGAAAGACAGCAAGGGCAGGGGAATAATCTAAGCAGCGGGTTTCCCTACTTTTTCCCTACATGGAGTCCTGGGAGGATGAGTATTTGTCTTTTTCCAGACTTGACTGAGAAGGATTTGGGATTTGCTTCCGGCAGTGATGGTGATGAGTCACCTGCTTAGGCAACCTGGATGTACAACCACATAACTTATGATTCAAAACAGACTCTGACTACAGCTAGGGGGAGGGACAATAGATTGACAGGATTTGGAAGGGAAACCTTTCCCTAGTCTGGAGGCTCAAGTTGGCCACAAGTCATAGTCTTTCTTTGTATATCATTTTTTTCTGTGGCACAGTCCCTCCCAAACTTCTCTCCAGACCTTTATATAGATGGTGGTAACTACACCATGAGTGGTTCCTCTTGTGGGAAGCAGAATAATAACCCTCTCCCAAAGACACCCATATCTAAATCCCCAGAACCTGCAACTACGTTACATTACCTGGCAGAGGAGATTTATTTTTTTTTGAGATAGAGTTTGCTCTGTCACCCAGGCTGGAGTGCAGTGGTGCACTCTCAGCTCACTGGAACCTCGGCCTCTCAGGTGCAAGCTATTCTTCTGCCTCAGCCTCTGGCGTAGCTGGGACTACAGGCATGTGCCACCAAGCCTGGCTAATTTTTGTATTTTTAGTAGAGCCAGGGTTTTACCGTGTTGGCCAGGCTGCTCTCAAACTCCTGACCTCAAGTGAGCTGCCTGCCTCAGCCTCCCAAAGTGCTGGGATTACAGGTGTGAACCACTGTGCCTGGTGACACAGGAGAATTATGGTTGCAGATGGGATTAACATTGTTAATCATATGACCTTAGAGTAGGAGATTATCCTGAATGCTCTGGATGGGCTCAATGTAGTCACAGCATCCTTAAAAGTGAAGACGGAGGCGGAAGAGAAGTCAGAGTTAGAGAGATTGAAAATGCTGTCCTACTGGCTCTGAAGATGGAAGAAGGGGCAAGGAGCCAAGGAATGCAGATGGCCTCTAGCAGGGGGAGAACACAAGGCCAGGGATTCTTCCCTAGAGCTTTTCCTTTTTGCAGGAAAGTGGCCCTGCAAGCACCTCAGTTTTGGCCTAGTGAGGACAATTTCAGACTTCTGACCTCCACAACTGTAAGATAATAAGTTTGTGTTGTTTTAAGCCATGCAGTTTGTGGTGATTTGTTACAGTGGCAAAAGGAAATGAATATACCTCACATGCACAGTGTCTTCATTTCTATATGTCTTTTACCCATTATAATGTCATTACCATAAAGTAGGTTTTCTATTTTTAGGGCACTAGGGAGTGATAT
This sequence comes from Homo sapiens, assembly GCF_000001405.40. Taxonomy (NCBI): domain Eukaryota; kingdom Metazoa; phylum Chordata; class Mammalia; order Primates; family Hominidae; genus Homo; species Homo sapiens. Next base: position 120,343,288 of record NC_000009.12, on the reverse strand, counting down.
ATTAGTACTTGGCTTTGATGGAGATTTCTGTCTCTCCCAAGTGGGCTTCCCTCTTGAGACTTAAAAAATGTAACGATTCCACAGTTCTGCTTGCTTTTTCTCCTTGTTTCATCTTTCTCCCTTCCAAGATCTGACTGATCTGCAGATTTTCTCCTGAATTTACCAACTACTGTTTGTTTCTAGCCACCTTAATACTTTTCCACTCTCCTAAATCATAGATTCCTGTTGATCAATATTTTACATTCAGTATTCCCCACACTTTCCCTAAGTGTCCTTTTACATATTTTATCTCCCTATTAAAATAACTTGGTTGTAACTTTTTTCATCTATCCTTGTTTTTTCTTTTCCTTCCCACCCCCACCCCGAACGTTGCATTTTTTCCTTCTTTCTTACTACTTTTCTACCATCATGGGTGAATAACATTAGGATAATGATCCTCTGAACTGCTGTAGTTCTGTATACAAAGCAACAGAAAGTGTAAATTATCCCAATACCAGCTCCCTCTTTGCCAGTCCCGGGAGCAGCATCCTTTGACCACTGTGAATGGTCTCATTGTTCTAGGTATTGCCATCCTTCAACTTGTTTTTAACTATCATACCATGTCTTCTAATTTTTATTTTTATTTATTTTTATTTTTTATTTATTTGTGTTTTTGAGACAGAGTCTCATTCTATCGCCCAGGCTGCAGTGCAGTGGCACGATCTTGGCTCACTGCAAGCTCCGCCTCCCGGGTTCACGCCATTCTCCTGCCTCAGCCTCCCGAGTAGCTGGGACTGCAGGTGTCCGCCACCATGCCCGGCTAATTTTTTTGTAGTTTTAGTAGAGACAGGGTTTCACCGTGTTAGCCAGGATGGTCTCAATCTCCTGACCTCGTGATCCACCCACCTCGGCCTCCCAAAGTGCTGGGATTACAGGCTTGAGCCACCGCGCCCAGCCCCATGTCTTCTAAATTTAAATTTTCTCACCACTTGGCTACCTGAGGGAGACAAACTCCTTTGTTTCCATTGTATTTTGGTGTACTCTGGAGGATCAAGAGCAAAGTTCTGACCAGAACAATAAATAGGGGTTTGTATGCTGGGAGGGAAGAGAAACCACCTGCCCTAATTCCTTGAATTCTAAATTTCAACTCCTCTACTGAGCACCCCTATAGTGCTAATTTTCACAAAGGCCACATTCCGTGGGGCAGGCAATTGCTACCGTTTGCCCTTGGGCTAAAGTCCAGATGTGGAGTGTACATTTTCAATACCACAGATGGAATCTCCAAATGCCTAATAAAGATGACAATCAATGGTTGGATATAGATAAATACTCATGCTCAGGAATCTCCAAATGCCTAATAAAGATGACAGTCAATGGTTGAATATAGATAAATACTGATGCTCAAGGTTTTGTTCCAAAGTCTCCCCTAGTTTTCTCCACAGGAACCTCATTACCTTTCCCCTCTCACCCCTCCTCCTCCTTCTTCTGAGCTGGAAAGAAAGTCTTTAGTGCTTTAATGGGACAGAAATTGATACTCTATAATCACTAATGTTATTTATATTCTATGAACATATTACAAAGCATGAGCAGTTTAACTGTGAAATAAATCAAGAATCCCAAACCTTTTCCAGTCAGCCCACAGATATATATTTGGGTTTCTTTAGTTCTGTTCTCTGTTCCCAAATTTTATTTTAAATTGTGGTAAAATATACATAACACGAAATTTGCCATTTAAACAATTTTCAGTGTACAATTCAGTGGCATTAGTTACATTTGCAATGTTGTACAGCCATCACCATTATCTGTTTCCCAAATGTTTTTATCCACCCAAACAGAAACTATGTACCATTAAGCAATAACTTCCTATTCCTCCCTTCCCTCAGCCCCTGGTAACCTCTCATCTACTTTCTGTCTCTATGAATTTGCCTATTCTAGCTATTTCATGTAAGTGGATTTATATGTTTGTCTTTTTTATAGCGGAATAATATTCCATTATATAAGTGTATCACATTATATACCTATATACATTTATGTGTATATCACATGTTGTTTGTCCATTTATTTGTTGATGGACACTTGGATTGTTTCTATCATTTGTCTACTGTGAATAATGCTGCAATGAATGTTGGCATACAAGTATCTGTTTGAGTGTCTATTTTCCATTCCTTTGGTATATACCTAGGAATGGAACTACTGGGTAATATGGTAATTCTAAGTTTAGCGTCCATCAAACTGATGTCCATAGGTGCAGCACCATTTTACATTCCCACCAGCAATGTACAAGGTAGAAACTCATTGTTTTAATCAATTTCCTTTTGCGTTATATTTTCCTTTTTACCGGAGCCATCGTTGACTATATTACCCTCCAGTTTCTTAGAGGCCATCAGGTACATACCTCAAAAAATAAGGGGTCTACTTTCTCATTTTTACTATTCACAAGATTGGCCCAAGACATGAAACATGCAAACTTCCACTCCGAAAAAGTAATGCCCATGACACTACAGCAATCCTATGCTGTGACTGAGCTGGGCTCCACATGAACTAGCCATAAAAGACCAAAATACAATGGAATTACAGCACATTTCAGGTGCAATTTCATTTTTTCACATTACATTTAGGTATCCCTGAAGACCAAGTAATTTATAGATATTTTTTGCCCATTCCCAGATTTTTTTATTCCAACATAAAATGCAAGGATTCAGTAAGTAATAGTCATAGGAAATTTTAGTGCAAACTATCCAAAGTTTGGCATGAATTAACACATGGACAGGCCTGCCCCCACAATTTTGCATTGTAAGATACTTGCAAAACCATCACAGAGATAAAACAGTCACACTTGAAAATAATTCAAGCTTATACAAAGCAAACAAAAAACAATTGATCTCAAAGAGGTTTCCCTTCCAGGTAGAAGGAATCCTGCAATCTTGTGTGGGAATCAGTGAGTCGAAGTATAAAAAGCACGTGGTACATTTAGGCACACAGTACATGCTCAATATGTTGATTAAACAAAGACTATCTGGATATGTTACTTAAGACTGAGTCCAAACACAGATTTGGAATCCATGAAACAGAGAGAATAAGTGTTCAGCTAAAACTCAAAGCTAGTTAGTGGATAGTACTGCATGTGACTTAGGTCTTCCAGTTCCCAGTCCAAGGCCCTCTACTTTCATCTCCTAGCCAACAATGGGAGTTCACTTAGCATTTGTCATGTGCAAGACACTATGCTGGGCACAGATGCCAAAAGGCAATCTGAGATAAAATCCTTGACTAGCCAGAGATAAAGACCACGTGCTCTAGATAGGATTTGTTTTATGCTGAGTTAGACACACAGGACTTAATGTTGGAAATTTAAGTGCTTTTAGGAGCTCATGGTATTGGTAAAATACGGGAGAACTCTGGCGACCTGGGTTCCAGTTCTGGCCCTGTCACCACTGGCTGTGTGATCCCAGCTTCCCAGATCCTTGATTTCTTCATGAGATGATTGAAACACTGTCTGCCAAGAGCAGGTGCTTTGTAGATATTTGTTCTCTCCATAACTCAAGTGATGGATGTTTTCTAGGAGCCCAGAACAAAGTAACACCATTGCCATGCCGAAGGTTATATGAGAAGGCCAACATAAAATGCAAGGATTCAATAAGTAATAGTCATAGGAAATTTTATTGCAAACTATCCAAAGTTTAGCACACATTAACACATGACAGGCCTGCCCCCATAATTTTGCATTGTAAGATACTTGCAAAACCATCATATAGCTTCAGTTTCCAAGATGGTGGATGATGCTGTCTGCACTGTGAATGCTTTTGGGCTCATATTGATAGAATGTAAGAACAAAGAAGTCTGTACAATTGTAAAATGAAGTCTTGTACAATTTCCAGTCTTCAAAACCTGTGCTTATTTGAATTTATATAATCTCCAGAACGTATTTTATTTGGTCTTCTGGAGATGGATCTCTTTGGGAAAACTGAGGAAGCAAGTAGGATTTCCTGACCCATTCTACTGAAAGCACTCATTTCTTCAGCAGTAAGTCTGGGAAACCAAATGAGCAGATAAAACTCTTCTGTACATCTATTCATGCATTTCCTTTCCCCCTTTTTTCCCTTATTTTCTTTCCTTCCTCCCTCCTTCCCTCCCTTCCTCTTTTTTCTTCCCTCCTTCCTTTTTCTCTTTTCCTCTCTCCTTTCCTCTCTCTGTCTCTCTCTTCCTTCCAACAAATACTTAGTGTTGCCTACCCTATTCTTGGGCACATTCTTAAGCATGTGAGCACTCAGAGTTTGAATTCAAGGCATTTATCTTCTAATGGGTGAGACAAATACTGTAAATGGATAATTCTGGTGCATTGTGATGTGGCTCCTAACAAATGCTTTTTACATTCTACTGTGAGAGAATAGAGGAAGAAGCAGCTACCTCTGCCTGTGACATTGAAAAAGCCATCACAGGAGCTGATATTTGAATAGATTTTTTTAGGGTGAAGAAAAATTTATTAGATAGAGATGAGGAAAAGGTATTCTAAGCAGAAGACAATGTGCATGCAAAGGGATGGAAGAGGATGGTTCACGTGGGGAGAAACTGGTAGATCATTAGTAGGCAGTGTGATTGGAGGGAAGAGACTAGGCTGCAAGAGAGGGGGAAGGCAGCCTAGAAGGGTGGGTTGGTACCAGGTGGTGGAGGGCTGGGGACATTGGGCTTTGTCCTGGAGGAGAAGGATGTTGCCCCAGTCAGACCATCGTGCTGGAGAACTTGCTCTGGCTATATAGTGTGGTGGGCTGTAGGGGGAGCAAGCTTTAGGGTTGGAAGACCTGTTAATGTGGTTCTAGAGAAAGAGATGGTAGTGAGTTGAACATGGAAGGAGACGGAGAGAAGTTATCATGACCTGGATACAGTGATTGATTGATGATGGGAATGGGAGAGGGAACCACTGCAGGTGACCTCAGGACCTGGGAAAACTGAGAGATGCAGCTGAGAACACAGGATCAGGAGCAGCTTTGTGGGGGCAGGACATGTGCTGGCCTCCTGTGCCCAGGTCCCTGGAGGAGCACTAGGTGGAGATGCCTAGAAGACAGAGGCATTACAAAAGAGACCCGAGGTCAGGTGTGTAACAGTGAGAGAAATCTAACACAGCTGACTCCATCTTGCTCCTAACCTCACAAACTAACTGTCTTTGCTCATTGTGCATGTAGGCCAAGCTAACTATGGGAGGAATTTAGTTTATAGTTTAACTTTAAAGTAAGGATGATAATAGTCCCTTCCCAAAAGTAACCCCTGAGGAAATAAGGAGGACATACACACAAGTAACAATGTTATGTTAAAAATTGATAGGATGGGGGAGAGCCTCAGGAAAAATAACTAATGGGTACCAGGCTTCATACCTGGGTGATGAAATAATCTGTACAGCAACCCTCCATGACACATGTTTACCTATGTAACAAGCCTGCACATGTACCCCGGAGTTTAAAATAAAAGTATAAAAATTTATGGGCGCATTGTGACCCGAGCAAGGACAAAGAAGTCTCAGACTTCCTGAGACTCCTGCTGGTGCCCAAATGTCAATGTTCACCAGGTATCTCCTGACCTCAACCTCCACTTTCCCCCCTCCTCAATATAAAAGAAGCTTGAACATTGTGACTTTTAAGATGGTTCTTTAGCACGTTAGTCTGCCATCGTCTTGGTTTGCTGCCTTTCCAGAATAAAGTTGCCTTCCTTGCTCCAACTCCTTGTTTCTTGACTTACTGGCTGTCATGCAGACATAATGAGCAGAACGAGTCTGGAGTTGGTTACAGGCACAGAGGAAGCAGCGTGGAGTGAGGGGAAGGCTTCCCAGGAAAGTCTGGAGCTGAGGCATGGGCTGTTGAGGAGTGAGTCAAGGTCCTCCCTGGAATCCACAGATTCCGACTCTACCTCTGGGGCACATGGTGGGGGGTGAAGGTTATTGTTGGACAAGGGTTCTTCATCTCAGGGGAACTTCTGGAGACCCAGGAGAGTGTGTGGTCACTGGGGTGGGGGCGCTGTTGGAGGAGGGAGATGGAGTGTCTGATGTGTCTGATGTAGCAAATCAGGTTCATGAACTTGGAGATGGCAAAATGACACCAGGAACGGACCTTTCTGCCCTCCTGCTTCTTGAAGGCTCTCAGCACATCATGGCCTTAGCTCCCCTTGGTGGAGAGGAGTCAGGTCCCTGGGTCACCTGGGAGCCAGGCCTGGGATGAGTGGAACCCAAGATCACATGAATTATTTCTAATCATGCCATCTGCTTCCTATCAAATGCCGTCCTTCTTTTCTTTCTTCCACCTTCTCTTCCTTCCTCGGACTTTAGTTGAGCATTTCTTCTGTTGCAGGCCCTGTTCTGGTCACCAGGGGTCCAAGATAGAATGAGACACTGTCCCTGCACTCCAGGGCCTCCCAGTGCGGAGTGGCAGACAGGTGAAAAAGCAAACACCTCCATGTCCTGTGGGAGGCACTGGGGTCAAGGAGACCCAGGACCACATGGAACCCCACTGAGGCCCCAGAGGAGGCAGGGCCCTGGCTGCGGCCCCAGGGAGGCATTAATAGAGTCTGCTCATGTTCCTCGTGTAGTCGCACCCCTCATCTTTCTGACTCCCCACCTTGAGGCAAAATCTGGGAAACAGTTTCCCTTTTAGAGAACAAAGGATGGAGCGTGAGGCCAGCCTGATGCATTTACAAAGCCTTCACAGAAAGTGCTGGCAAGGGGCCCAGAACACAGGAATAAACTTCATACCTGGCCAGTCTCAGACACACAGCAGTTGGTTCTTTGGATTGATATTCTGCTCAGAGCTTTGGTTTCATTTATATCCTCCTGAAATTGGGGCCATTTTCTTCCTTCTGTCTTTGGCAAACTTGACTTAATCTTATGTCATACTTAGGACAACTCCAGGCCCATGGTCTCTCAGTGCCCCGGGCTTTACCCTGGGTGAAGAGGCATAGAGACCTTGTACTGTGGCTCGGGGGAGGGGGAAGAATGGGAATCTCAGAGAAGCCCCTTTCTTTCTAACCTGTTTTTATTGAGGTGAAGTTCACATATCATACAATTAACCATGTACAGCTTATGATTCATCATGCTGTGTAACCATTAGCTCTTTCTAGTTTCAGAACATTTTCATCACCCCCAAAGGAAACCCTGATTCATTTGGTGCTCACTCTCCTCCTCTGCCCCGGTGATCACTAGTCTGCTTTCTGTCTCTATGGATTTGCCTATTCTGCACATTTCATGGAAAAGAAATCATATAATATATGACTGTTATGGGCATATGTTGAAGTCCTAACTTCCAGTACCCCAGAAGTTTTCTGTGTTTGGAGGCAGAGTCTTTAGTAATTAAATTGAGGTCATTAGGGTGATCCCTAATCCGACCTGATTGATGGCTCTTGTAAGAAGAGGAGATTAGGACACAGACACACACAGTGGGAAGACCCCGTGAGGACACAGGGAGAAAGTGGCCATCCGCAAGCCAAGGGGAAAGACCTCAGAAGAAACCAACACTGCCAACACTTTGCTTTGGATGTCTAGTCTCCAGAATCACGAAGAAATGAATTTGTTGTTTAAGCCACCCAGCCTGTGGTACTTTGTTATGGCAGCCCTAGCAAACTCATACAGCAACTTGAAAAAAATAGACTTTATTTTTTTAGAGCAGTTTTCTGTTCAGAGCAAAATTGAGCAAAAGGTACAGAGGTTTCCCATATATCCCCCAGCCCCACATATGCACAGCTTCCCTGATCAACATCCTATAGTGACAGGGCCATTGTAGGATGCTTTCAAGGTTCATTCATGCTGTAGTATCTATCGTTACTTAATTCCTTTTGATAGCTGGATAGTATTCCATTGTCTGACTATTCCCCAATTTGTTTCTCCATTCCTCTGTTGATGGACATTTGTGTTGTTACCACCTTTTGGCTATTGTGAATAATGTTGCTATGAACACTAGCGTACACATTTCTATGTGGACAGGTGCTTTCATTTCTCTTGGATATATACCCAGGAGTGGAATTGCTGGGTCATACGGTAATTCTATGCTTAACTTTTTGAGGTGTTTATAGCCTTTTTCCTTGACAACAATTGTTTACAGTGTACCAATCGACTGTCCAGAACCCCATATAGTGTTGTAAAGAAGAACGTGATTCTGATGATGAACTGCCCAGTTCATACTATGGATTCAGTCCTTCCTAGGTGGGGGACGTTGGGCAAGTTAGTAAACTCTGTCACTCATTTTCCTGAGGTGGACCTTAGACGATGGTTGTGTAGATTAAACGGAAATGGATGCAAAGGACTTAATATATATGTCATTCAGTAAGTGTTTGCTGCTTCAAAATCTCTGAACGTATACTTAGGCACATAGCAAGTGCTCGAATTACTGGCTGTTTTTATTATTGTAGTTCACCTTGAAGGATCTGGACATGTGACAATGTCAGGGAAATCTAGGAAGAAGAAAGAGTGAGTCAAGGAATGGTTTAGGGACATATTGGGAAGGTGCATTTGGCTGGAGTGAGGCATAGGAGAGGAAGTAAGTAGGGGCCAGACTTCAGAAGCCTTGAGGACAACCTACTCTTAGTAGCGCCTTGAATGCCAACCTTGGTCTCAGTCCTGGAAGTTCCAGAGCAGAGGGTCAGATGTCACTGAGATCAGCGGAATGAGGGTGGGGTCAGTTTGCCCTCTCACGTGTGAATGGGTAGGAAGCCCTTAGTAACTGCAGCTTTGCTTGCCATGGTTTATGATACTGTAGCTAAATGGCTATACTCGAAATTTTCAAAATTTGTGGGCAAGTAGAGATTTGTTTAATGCAGAATTTTCTTACACCAGAGCCAGAAAAATGTGCCCTTAACATCATGATAACTGATGGAAAGTCCATTCCATAACCATTTTGCCATGCCTTGCAAAAATAATATAGGGAAGAATGCAAGAATAAAAAAGACATCTCATTGTAAACCAGGGTGGCTGGCATAAAAACTTAAAAACAAATATAGTTGGCATAAGATAAAATGTGTTTTTGCATTCTGAAGAAGATAATTCAGGAGTGAAGTTACCTGCCATAGCAGGCATTTAAAAAAATCAGTTTTTCATAAAGCCAAATTTACTCAACTTATGTAACTGCCATTTCTCATGACATTAGGACTTTCCAAATATGTGTATATATATACACATACATCCATAAAAAACATATATGTCATATATCTCTAAATATATATTTTATGTACTATATAGAACCATTTACATATGTATAAGTTACTATTTTAATAATTAAATGTTGTTTATTAAAAATAATGTGTACATGCTTTAAAAATTAAATAATATGATTTTTTAAAAAAGCAAAGAAAAAGCTGCCTCCCACAATTATGCTCACTTTTCATACTCACAGAGATGGTTTTTAATATTGATAAATCTGGTTAGTGCATGCATCTTTTGGAACTTATACTTACAGTATTTAAGCAATATGTCAGACTTTTATTGCCTTCTCCAAAAATGTCCTATTTTTGGTCCAGCCAAATGTGGGGCTTTTCAGGTAGGTAACATAGGGTCTGCCGAGGATTATAGTGAGGAAAGAAAGGCTTCAGGCTAATATCTTCCTTGGAATACTCAGTGCCAACTTACACAACTTTCTAAATTAAGAAAGGATGTCTCCAGACCAATAGAATCATTGTCTGAAACAAGCCCGGAAATCAGGGTTCCTGGGTTCTTGTCACAACATTCCCTGGCTTTTCTCCTTCTCTCTGTTACTGAAGGTGGAGTGGAAAGAGCACAGGCTTGGAATACGAAGGTCTGGGACACACCGGTTCTCAGGCAATTGTGGCTAAGCCCCTTGCTTTCTCTGGATCTTGGTTTTGACATGTGGAAGTAAAGGAGTTGGGAGAGATGTTTGTATCTGTATTGGTTGGGGTTCAGGTACAAAATCACCCAGGGTCTTACAGACTATTACAGTGCTTACAGAATCACTGGGAGCATTGAAAAAACAGATTTTAGGTTGAAATTTTAGGAGCATCTCCCAAAGCCACACACAGAACTGGGACACCAAGGGAGTTGCTGTTGCTGCTATGATGCCGGGTCAGCAGGTGCCTGCCAGGTTGAGAGGCCCCCCTGCTGCTGCAGGTTAGGGCCATGCCACCTCTCCATGATTCAGAGAGGCTGAATGGATGCCCAAGCCCTGCCTTTCTTCAAAGTGAGGGATCAAGCTCTGGGACTTCTGCTACAGCTGCATCAGAGACACCTGTGACTGGGCTTGTCTGCAGAAGGGGCAGCTGAGGCATTTTCTCTCCCTGTGATGCTCCTCTTCTGCCTTCCAAAGCTTGCATGGCAGCATTTGGTTGGCAGAACCTAATCACAGTTAAACCCCAGGTGCAAAGGAGTCCAGGAAGTATAGCTTGTAAATCCCCACACTGCATTCCAGACACATGTTCAAAGAAGAAACCTCCAAGTGGAAGTTGAAGGAGCCGGGATTCCAATTTTTAGGTTTAGCAACTCAAAATCTTAGATTTGAACCCTGGCTCCTTCTCTTGCTCTTTTTCTTTGTTTCTTTTCTTTTCTTTTTTTTTTGAGATGGAGTTTTGCTCTTGTCGCCCAGGCTGGAGTGCAGTGGCACAATCCCAGCTCACTGCAACATCCGCCTCCTGGGGGCAAGCGATTCTCCTGCCTCAGCCTCCTGAGTAGCTGGGATTACAGGTGCGTGCCACCATGCCTGGCTAATTTATGTATTTTTAGTAGAGATGGGTTTCGTCATGTTGGCCAGGCTAATCTTGAACTCCTGACCTCAGGTGATCCACCCACCTTGGCCTCCCAAATTGCCGGGATTACAGGTGTAAGCCACCGCACCTGGCCATGTATCCTTCTCTTGCTGACTGTGTGACCTTGGATGAGTCATGCTGCCTCCTTGAGTCTCAGTTTCCTAGGTTGTAAAATGTGAATAATAAAATCAGCTACCTCCCCAAATTTTATAAAGGCATAAGAAAGTGCCTGGCATGAGGTAAGTGTTCTATAAATACAAGCTTGCCTGGCCACATTCTATGTATTTAACAGATATGAAACTGAGGTTTAATGAGGGGACATCAGGGCTGGAACTCAGGTATCCTGATGCTGAGGCTCTTGCTAGTTGGGAAGAAATATTTTTAGGATTAGTGTCTCCCTAGAGAGACTGCGGGTGGGGCGTGCTGCTGGGCGCTTGGGAGACAGTAGGGAAGGCAAGAGAAGGATGGGACCCATGATATGAGTCAGTTAACCATATACCATTGTGGTATAACACACAAGCTCAAAACTCAGTGGCTTAAAACAAAAATGATTCATTCTCATGGATTTGTGACTTGGCTGGGATGAGGTGATCCAGGCCAGGCTTGGCTGAGAGTGGGCTTGTTCCATATGTTTCTTGCCTTCCTCCTGGGGGACAGTGGCCTAGCTTGGGCATGTCTTTCTCATGGCGTTGAGAGAGGTAGCTTTGTAAGACTTAGGTCAGTCACATCATGCCTGCTAACATCTCATTGGTTAAAGTAAGTCATAGACCCAAGCCTAGAGTCATGGGATGGGGAATTTGCCCTTACCCCTTACCCCTTCCCTCCTTGGAATAGGCAGATCCCACAAAGTTACATGTCCAAGGGTCGTAATATAGGGAGAGATGAAGAATTGGGGCCATTAATACAACCTTCTTCAGTAGGGTTACTGGTTGCTCAAGCCTACTGTTTACAGACCTGGCAGTAAGTAGATTTTGAATTCCCCTATTCTGTATTCTTCCTCCTGTATCTTGGGGCCAGGAGATAACTCTGCCCCTACCTCCACTCACAAGTTTCCCCAAGCTGGTTGATTCCATGACAGGCAGTGAGAGGCTGCCCAAGTCTCCTGGTCTTTCTCTTTTTTTGTGCACTGAAAGCCATGTTAGAGTGAAGGTTAAGAAAAGTTAAGCAGAGACTAAGGATTCGAGAGTATGGGAAGAGGAGATAATACTAATACTAGTGATAAAAATGGTAATACTACTGCTACTACTAATAGTCCAAAAACAAATAAAACCACCAACAATGAAGGAAGAGCATTATTCTAGGAAAAAAAGATCAATTTGCTTTAAGAAAGAACATCTGACCACTTTCCTCCTATGACCATTTTGTCCCAGACCCATACAGTTCTGCTGCTGGACATTCAGATGCTACTGCATTATGTTGTGTTGGGAGGGAAGATGGAGTGTTTGAAGGGCTAGGGGCAGTGCTTGAAGGCTCAGAGAGAAAGGATCATGAACTAGGAAGTGCCAAAGGAAAGAGAAGCCTGGCCTGGAAGAGGGGAATCGTGAGTGGATTTACCACTAATATGCTATGCACACTGAATATCTCACCTGGTACTCAACATCCATCCTCATCCTTTTCTATGTAGTTTCCAGGAAATCTAATAATGGCATTTCCTTGGCTCCTTTGCAGCTAGGTCTGAATGTAAGTTGTGTGTTCCACTGATGAGATGCACTCATGTGAAACTTTGGAAGGCAAAAGGGAGGAGAAGGAGACAATTTTCATCCTGCTATTGCTGCCCATAAGCAAAGTTATAGAGACTCGCATGTTTGTAGCAGGTAGAGTTAGTATTCCAGGTTCTACTCACCAGCTCAGAGGGGTAAGAGCAGATGTGTCAGCAGCAGTGGCAGTGACTTTCTGCTTTTTGGATGTCAGCTCCTTGTTGTGTCTAGTGAATCCCCTGTATTAAATTCCTTCCTGCATGTGAAACACCGAGGATGGTTTCTACTTCCTGTCCTGGACTCGTGAGATCTTTGCCAAGTCTCCATACCTCTGGAGCTCATGTAATGAGTGGTGTGGGTGAGAGGTTAACAATGCACTTTCCCGTTTTGCATGAGATTTGACCTTTCATTAACTTGGTAGCTCTGTTCCTCTGGTAACTGGATAAAAAGGATATGTCAACCTTGTTACTAGGCAGTATTGCTTGTGGCAGAAATGATCCCTTATTGGTAAGCTACTTGTGACTGGGGAGAGTTACCTGATAGGAGGCCATATTTTTGAGCTTCTCTGAGTGCCATGACCCTGGCCCCAGAAGTAGTTACAAGGGATATTAGCTCATGTGGGGCGGGCAGGTTCTCAAGCCGGCCTGATGTGGGTCTTGTCTCCCTGCACTTGAGCTATATTGCTTTGTGGGCTTCTTCAAGGGCTCCTGTAGTTTAGGAACCCTTGATGCCATCCTGTTGGTGAACAGTGTCCCTATACCCTTCTGAGTAGACTGAGCTGAAGATGACCTATGATAGTCTTGTAAGTCACTAAAGTTGGACCTGAGAAGACTCCATGGTGGGCCTTGCAAGGGAAATTCAATGAGATGGAGTCTCTTATTGCCATTCTAGAATTTCCTCTTTCTAGGGATGAAAAACTCACCAGCCACATTGTAACCCATCAACTCAAGTTCTCAAGGAAACAGAACCATAGGCAGCAATTTATATATAGTCATTTCTTGATATCAGTGGAGAATTGATTCCAGGACCCTGACAAATACAAAAATCTGTGGATGTTCAAGTCCCTGATATAAAGTGGCATGGTATTTGCATATAACCTATGTACATCCTCCCACTTACTTGAAATCATCTCTAGATTATTTATAATACCTAATACTATGTAAATGCTATGCAAATAGTTGTTACAGTCTACTTTTTATTTGTATTATTTTTTATTGTATTGTAATTTTTTATTGTCTGTTTTTTCCAAATGTTTTTGATCCATAGTTGTTTGAATCCGGGATGCAGAACTAGTGGATTTGGAGGGCTGGCTGTATTATCATTACAGGGGAAAGCTATCCCAAGGAAGTAAGAATGGGGTAAGCCAGGCACGGTGGCTCATGCCTGTAATCTCAGCACTTTAGGAGACTGAAGTGGGTGGGTCGCTTGAGCTCACAAATTTGAGACCAGCCTGTGCAACATGGTGAAACCCTGTCTCTACAAAAAATACAAAAATTAGCTGAGTGTGGTGGCTCATGCCTGTAGTCCCAGCTACTCGGGAGGCTGAGATGGGAGGACGGCTTGAGCCCGGAATGTGGAGGTTACAGTGAGCTGAGATGGCACCACTGCTCTCCAGCCTGGGTGACAGAGCTAGACCTTGTCAGACCTTGTCTTAAAAAAAAGAAAGGGGTAAAGGGCAGTGAGGCAAGAGAGAAGTTCTGCCAATCCAAGGGAGTGTGTTACTGAGTTGACTAGTTTTGTGCAGTTCATAATAGCTTTGCAAGATATCTTCAGAGGGTCTATTGTAGCTTCAAACAGTTTGCCCAAGGGAAGAAGGCAGAAGCATTTTTCTACTGGCTTCCTTCTCCTATGGGCCAAACTTTTCTCCCATGAGGTAGCAACTTTACCCCTCAGCAGCCACTGGGGGATCTAAATTCTAAGATGGCAGCAAGTGGGCATGAGTCAGAAGCACATACACCTGTCTGCCTGCCTTCTGCCACCTGGGGTCCTGGTTGGGGGAGCCAGTACTCATGTGTGGTCACTGAGCTTTTCCCATGGCATCTAGTACATCCATGGCCAAAGGGAAGGGGCAGGAGGTAGGAGAAGCTGTCAGGTCAAACCCACAAGCATCTTCCAGAGTAGCTCAGTCCAGCTATGTAGGTGGAATACCACAAGCTCAGGACCCCATTGTGGGGATGAAAATGAAGCCCAACAAAACTCCTTCCTATAAAGATCTTGAATTATTCTCTGTGACTTAAAGAAGGGCAGTCATGGCCAAGCAGTCTTCCCGGAGGTTACTGGTAACACTGAGCAGAAAACTATGGCTAGAAGCACAAGAGAGTTGCATTAGCTGAGTCTGATAGGATTGATTAGCTTTTGCATAATGTTGAAATCTGGGCTCTCACCTTCCATTCTCTTGGCGTCAAGCAACTTGCATACGACCACACTGATGGGATAGTCGGGGAACAGTTTAGGGGCAAAGAGGGAGGGGCTGGAAGGACTGGGTTAAAGGGGATGTGTGGCTCCAGAATGCTTGTAGCTACAGGAATGTGGGCAAATGTAGCTGAGACTGTTTGAGGTGATATGCTGAAATGCTAGGTAGAACTTTCTGGACCTTGGGGATCAGATGCAATAATGGATACCCAAAAAAAAAACATTGCATGTGAATTGTAAAGACTTAGAATCCAAGGGAGAGAAGGGGCCCCAAGAGTCACCTTAGTCTACCTCTTCTTCAAGATTTGGATTCTCTCTATAGCAGGATATCCTTCACTCACTGCAACAGGGAGCTCTCTACTGTCACCCCCCACCTTCTGCCCCTCACATTTCCTCTCCTGGCCCTGGGAAGCCTCTTGGGATTTCTGACTTCCTCTTCTCAGCCTCAGCACACTAGTTCTGTTCTTGTCCCTCATGAAACATAGATTCTAACCTTCGCTAGTGAAAACTCCACTGGCCAGTGTCCCTCTGAAGGGCCAGCACCTGGGAAGAAAGTCCTCACTGCAGACCAGTCACATGCCACTGAAGATGCATCAGGCTCAAACCTTTACCAGGTTTGGAGAGGGTTGGGGGCAGAGCCAGTGGCCTTTGGCAGCCCAGCCCAATCCCGTGAGCCCCTGATTCCAGGCTGCCAGGCTGCAGGCAGGCCTTTTCATTAGTGCCAGCAATCAGATGCCCATCTGAGTGATGCCTGGTGCAAGGAGATGGAGGATAATAAGCCCCTTCCATCTCTCTGCTCCCTCCGGCTCCTCTGTCTGGATCGGAGAGCATGAACTCCACTCCTCCCCTTCCCCTCTCAAACCAAGCTTCCAGTGCTCATAAAATCAATGATTGTTGGGTCTGGAAGGAGCTAGGGAGCCCTATCCCTCTGGATATCTTTCCTGTCCACTCACCCATGACCTTGGCTCCACCTGCCGCCTTCAAGCTGGCTTCCCAGACTGGCATTTCTGGCCTAGGTACCTCCCTGGTGCTCCTGATCCATAGATCCTATGGCCTCATGGACATCTCCATTGGGATGACTATGGGCACCTTCCACTCAACATGTCCCAAAACAGGTCATCTATCTCCTCCAGCAAGTCTGTCTTCCTCCTGGGTGAACCCTTACCCCAGTGCACACACCCTGGTCTCCCAATTACCCACTACCTTGCCATTGCAACAGCCATCCGATGGTGGTCCCCAGCCCAGCCCTCCCTGGCCACTTCCCCTCCCCAGTGGAACCAGGTCTCTAATCCCATCACTGTCCTGCTCACAATCCCTCAATGGCTCCCCATTGCCTCATTGTCTGGTTATTAAGTTCTAACTTTATCTCCTGCCCATCTTTCCAGCTTCACCTCATCCTCTTTTCTCTTGCATTTAACTCCTCTGTCAGACCACACCATGTGTGGTTCCCTCAAACACCCATTCTGTTCTGTGGCTTCAAGCTCTTCTCTTTCTGAAGAACGAAGAGTGTCAGCACCTGCTCTCTGATCTGAGCCCTCCAGTGAGTACTTTTTGTACCTCAAAACCCTACTTAGGCATTGGCTTCTTCCTGAAGCCTCCTTCAATGTGTTAGAGATCCTTATCACTCCTCTTAAATTACTTATATATCCTACACACACCATTCATTCATTCAACACATTTTGTTGAGCGTCTACTAGACATGTGAACCCCACCATCACGAAGCCTGCAGTCTGGTGTGGGAGACAGACTTTACATACACAGACACACACACACACACACACACACACACAGAGTAATACATGCAATAAAGCAAAAGAATAATGAAGGAATAGAACACACTGGTGGATAGGGGATGGGAAATATTATTTAGCTTGGGGAGTTATGGAATCCTTCACTGAGTAAGTGACATTTGTGCTGAGACCTGAGTAGTTCTTCAGGGGAAGAATAGAGAAAGGGCATTGCAGACAGAGCAAACATCTTGTGCAAAGGTCCTGAGGCAGGAAGGAGTGTGGCACATTCAAGATAATGGAGAATATATGAGAGTGGCTAGATCTCAGAGTGCAAAAGAGTGGATGGGCTGTGATGAGGCTGGAGACAGAGGTTGGGACCAGACCACACAGGAAGAGAGGAGGCCTAGGGCAGTGTTTTAGATGAACATGTGTGTGCAGGAAGGGACTGGGAATTCTGCCAGTTGCCAGCAAAGTCTGCCTCCCTATCTCCTTTCCAGCCTCTTGGGGCAGGGACGCTGGTTGGGGAGGGAGAGGAGGTTAGGGTGTGTCTAGTGTGGGTGAGGCTGCATGGAAAAGGGACCATGTGTGTAGCTCTTGAGCAGAGTCATTGCAGCAGAAACACACACAAGGAGCCGGAGCAGACCAGGCGAAATCTAAATCCTACACCCAGAAGGCTCAGGGGGAGGCGGGAGGTGACTTTGGGTTTCTGACCTGCCCGGTGAGTTGGGAGTCAGAACTAATGTCATTTGATTCTCAAAGCTGCAAGGTGATCCTGGCAGCCACTCGTGTGACCTTGATGTCAAGGTAGATTCTCAATAAATGTGGATGTGGATATGAATGGAACTTGATTGGTCCCTTAGACCTGGAATCCCTCTGAGACATCTTAGTCCCAAGCAAAAAGGGGCTTTGGCTTTCTTCCACAATCCCCATTCTGCTCTCTACTCCAATTCCTGTTTGTTCCATTAACCAGACCCCCTTCCCTTCCCTGGCCATCCCTCTCTCCATTTGTGGCTTGCAAAGATTGTCTGATGTGATGCCTTTTAAAAGTGCATTTAAACATGACTCCCCCAACCCTGAATCCTTTCCAGAAGCTCTTGCTTTTTAAATATGGGGGGCTCTGGGCTCCATGGGGGGAGGGCTGCAGTCCACTCTTGAGCTGATCCTCCCTCTTGCCAGGCCCCTTCCCCCGCTCTTGAGCACTTAGAGCAGGCCTTGCAGAGTCAGCGATAAGCGATCCTATAGCAGGAAACACACACTTCAGCATTTAGCTGGTGGCCACTAATGTGCCTGGATGTAATTGCTTAGAGAGCCCAGGACAGGAGTTGGGGGTGGGGATGGCACTGGGGCTGCAAGCCCAGGATTCAGAGTGATCTGCTTCCTTTTGGTTAATTCAGCAGTAAGTGTGTCTTGCCCAGGACTCCTACCTAGAGCCTGGTTTGAGACCTGCACACGGTAGGTGTTCAGGAAGGACCCATGGAAGGCAGGTGTGAGGGAACAAATATCCCTGTCAGTTCTTGGTTTTCAGGTGGGCACTAGGGGGAGTCATGGGTCACTGAGGGGGCTGACCTGGGAGGGAACAGAGAAGCAGCTTTAATTTGCTGCTTCACGGAAGGGACCTTCCCCCAGGGCATGCCCTTTGTACTTCCCCATTTGTTCAATGGGGACAATTATGCCTGCCTCACAGGGTGAAGACTAGAGAGAAAATACATTACAGACCTGGCACAGTAGGTTCTCAAGAAATGGGAGTGCTTCAAAATCATAATAACCAACATCCCTGCTGCCATGTTCTTCCACCCTAATCCATTGTCCCCAAAGCCTCCCAAACTGCTCACTTAGGCACGAATCTGAACCCATCTACCCCTCTGATGGCTTCCCATTGCCTGAAGGATAAAGCCATAACTCCTTAGCTTGGTGTTCAATGTCTTTCCAGTTCTAACCCAGCTTCTCTCTGACCTCATTTCCTACCACACTCCTACCCACACTGCAGACATTCTGAATGTCCTGCACTTGACTGTCTCTGGGTAATGTCAAGTACATGGGATGCTCATTCACTTTCCTAGAGGTGAGTGCTGTGCCCCAGCAAGGATGGGTACCCACCTCTAGTCTGGCTAGTGCCTGCTCACCCATCATTCTCAGCCTCCTGCCCCTCACAGCTAGGCTGAGTGCGAGGTGGTACCATGAATCGGGAATCCTGTGGCCTCCAGTCAGACTGCATGGGTGTGAATCTATGCCCTTCTGCTCAGAAGCTGACTCACCTTAGGAAATTTTATGTAACCTCTATGAGCCTCAGTTTCCTTATCTATAAACTGGTGACGCTAAACGCAGCACCTTGCGGGGTTTTTGTGAAAGTGAAAGGAGTTACTACTCCACGGTTGTACCTACACGCCCTCCATTGCTGCGGTGCACATTTGCCTTTAAGACCAGAAATGCTTCCTGGAGGATGTGTGAGTAAATATTCTCTCCTTAAATATTTGATTTAAAGAGCTTGACTTGGAGGACAAAATAAAATAAAGCGGCAGCTTTTTGCCATGTATTATTAATGTCTGTAAATGGGTGAAGGTGCAGGCTCTCTGTCCGATGATGTCATTTCTCGGAGCAGCGGCCTTCAAATAAGTTTCCCTCATTGAGAAGTGGGCTGTAAGAGGGGGAAAAGGAAATCTCTCTCCACAAAGATGAGGCAGCAGGTATCCTGCATGTGGGCCGAAAGGAGGCTGGCTGTGGGACCTGGAGATGGCAGGGAGAAACATGGTTCATTATTTCACCCATCCATTCATCCACTCGTTCCTATCTCAGAGCGCATTGGTCTTCACACTTCCCTTTTTTCTTCCCTTCTAGTCCCTACCTCCTTTCCTCCTTCCCTATGTACCCTTCCTTTCCTTTCCTCACTCCCTTCCTGCCTGCCAGCTTTTTTCCACACTCAATACCACCGATGATGGTAAGGAATATTGTCTCCATTGTATCAGTGAGAAATCTGAGCCTCTGGAGAGTGAACTTCACACAGTGAAGAAGTGGTGGGTAGGGGCTTTGAACTCTGCTTAGGACCATACGTAACTTGCTTGGAGGCGGGAGTTGTGTGTGTGTCATCTTTGTCTCCCCATCTCCTGGCCCGGCAAATGGCTCAGTGAAAGTGCCAATTCCTTGTCAGATGACCAGGACAGGAATTATCCAAGAAGGCTTCCAGGAAGAGAAGGACTTGAAACAGTCTTTCAAGGACTGGAAGGACTTAGAATTCAAAACAGAAAGATGATTGTGATCATCAGTAAAATCATAGTTATCACTTACCAAATATCTACTATGTTTCTGCCACTGGACCAAGTACTTGTACATATCTAATTGCACTTAATTCTCACAACAGCCCTATGAGGTAGGACTGTCTTACTGGTGAAGAAACTGAAGCTCAGAGAGATAAAATGACTGGCCTGAGGTTACACAGTGAGTAAGCAGTGGAACTGGTGTTTGACCAAAAATCTATCTGACTCCAAACCTGTGTACGTTCTTAACCTCAATGCTCAGCTGGTCTCAACCCTGATTAGGTGAGCATCCAGTCACAGGCTTCCCTTGTGAAAAAAAGGGAGAGGTTTAGGAGGGAGTGGTCTCTCTGGGGGCCTCTTGCCTCTGACCACAATGTGCTGATGCTGAAATTGTCCAAACAATGTCCTGTGGGGCTGCTCTCCCTCCCTCTCTCTGGTCCCTTCCCAGGGTTAACTTTTGGGTTTCTACAATTGGGTAAAGGAGAGCAGAGCCTCAAGTTCTGTCTCTGGACGCCATATGGGAGACAGGGAGCACACGAGGCTCCAAGGAATTCCCTCCTTGGACTTGGCCTTAGGGAGCAGAGGAAAGCTCTGCAGCCTTTCTCAAAGTCAAAGATCGTCTAGTATGGAGTTTCTCCATCTACAGATAAATACATCTGTAGAGCTAGCTTGGGAAACACTCATTTGGTTCAACCTTTTTTCTTTTCTAGAGACTGGATGGAGTCAGCTCTTCATCCTTGCAAAGTCCACTCTGTCAACATACAGGGAAAAAAATTCTCAGGAATACGAGCTCTGAGGAGCATCCTAGCCAGGACTCACACCACTCAAGCAAGAGTCTAACTTCTTGCTAGAGTCCACTCATCATGGCTGTCATGTCAGGTGTGGGGGCGTCAAGGATGCTTGCTGGGCTTCTGGCTTGAGCAGCTGGGGCAGTGACAATGTCATTGATTGATATCAATGTCAAAGATGTGGGAAGAAGAGATGCAGGGTGCTGAGCTCCACTTTGGATAGGCTGAGTTTGATATGCAGATGGAGAGATCCTCAAGAAAACTGGACATATGGGTTTAGAGCCCAGGAGAAGGCTCTCAGCTGCCGATAGAGATTTGGAATCTGTTACTTCAGTGGTTAGATGGGAAGCTCCAGAAAGGAAACTTTTCAGAAGGGAAACTTGCCTGATGACAGTGAATAGAACGAGAAGAAATGAACCCTGCATGTTGAAGATGTACTCAGAGGTCATGGACCTCATCACAGAGACCCAGAAAAATAAACCCTGTGTTCTTGGAGCTGTTATTCAGGTGTTTCTTCTACTGCTGGTGGAGGTTAGATTTCAGGCTTGGCCTTCTTGTTCATTTCAAATGAACAAACAATGGTAACCCCTGCACTAAAGATGGGAGCACAGAGGCATCACACATGGATCTGCCCTCAAGGTGTTTACACCCTAGTGGGCAAGCCAGACAGTATCTTGTGTGAAGTGTAGAAATTGAAAGCTGCACACCAGTTCATCCAGACACACAACAGATGGGAGAAAACGGCGCCTACAAATGCTTCGGTAAAGGAAGGACCCGTTCAATTCAGTAACAATATTGCCTGAGTACAGGAAGATGTTTTTCCCCCAAGATCAAATTGATAACAACAGGTCCCTTCACTGTGCCTGATTTATCTGCCAAGCAGATATCTCCCCCGTGTGACCACGTTGCTATACCTGTCACCCCCGATACAGGGACTAGACAAATGCCCTCTCTAGATTTCAGGTACCAGTAGGAGAATGAAATCATAACTCACTTTAGAAGCCAGTGATACATATTTATACACTGACTGGCACAGGGCTGAAAGAGCTTTTCACTTTGATTGTGCATTTCTTGGTGTCGGATGGACATCAATCTTCTCTCCAGTTTGTTAACACGGCTGCCACTCAATCCAGATTTACTGTCACATGACTGACTGTGCAGAGACAGTTAATCATGGGAACAGTTACTTAATTTGCCCCATCCGAATTTTTCCCTGCAACGCTGATGCCTGATAGTGCTCTGTAAACGACATTTATTTTCTGTTTAAAAAAATTCTTTCTGCACCCAGCCGCCCATCCTGCCCCACTTGTGTTTTCCCCAACTTCTTGTTTAACAGAAGCTGCAAATGTCAAAACTATCTATAACTCTGCTGAAGGGATGCCAACATCCAAGGCCAAACAAAACCCATGTAAACTGTCCTTGGCCCATGTCGAATGGGCCTGATTTAATGAACTGGGCTAATTATTTTTTGGAGACTTAACTTAGTTTAGCTATATTGAAAGTTGAAAGTTTACATTGAAAATTTAGCCATATTGAAAAGAACAATCTATTTAATACTTTATATTCTCTCTCGGGATTACGTGCTCCCTCTTAGCACTTTTTCCCATAGAGCTTTCAAAGTTCTTTCTACTGTCTTTTCAAGCTGATTGAAATTTCAGCTGTAAGCACCTACTCTTTGCCAGACATTGAGATAGGCACTTTTCATTTATTATCTACTTTAACTATGGGAGGTAAGCATAATTAGAGATATCAAAACTTGTGAGGTAGATTGAATTCACTTGAATTTTTCTGATTCCAAACCCATGAGCATTCCTTACACGTTCAAGATTAAATTCCAGATTTCCCAAGGTCAAGGGAGTCTTTAAATTGTCTCTGTGAAGTGAGGGAATGTGCTGTAAAGACTGAAGCCCAACCTTTTAGGGATAGAACAAAGAAGTTACCTAGGGCTTATTAATTACCTAGGGTTTATTATTGTATGCTGAGTAATATGGTTATTTTATTTAATCTTCATAATAATCCTAAGTGGAATGTTCTACTTTTATTCCCATTTTACAGATGAAGTTCAGGTCTGGAGAGGGGAGGCACTATGATTTGAATGTTTGTGTCACTTCCAAATTCATGTTGAAACTTAATCTCCAATGCAGCAATATTAAGGGGTGCAACTTTTTAGGAAGGAATTAGGGGATGAGCAACCTTATAAAGGAGTCTGTGGCCAATAAGATAGGTTTTATTTGCCCTTTGTACCTTCCACGATGTGAGAACACAGCATTTGTCCCCTCTGGAAGACACAGAAGTCAAGGTGCCATCTTGGAAGCTGTGACTGAGCCCTCACCAGATACTAAACCTGCTGGTGCCTTGATCTTGGACTTCCCAGCCTCCAAAATGGTGAGAAATAAATTTCTGTTGTTTATAAATTACCCTGGTCCTTGGGTATTTTGTTATGGCAGCACAGATTAAGACAGGAGGTAATTTGCTTGAAGTTGCACAGCTGATAAATGACAGCAGTGGGATAAAACTCAGATCTTCCCAACACCCAGGTCTGTACCCATAATCACTCTGCTGGGCTCCCTATCACTTGGCTCCATGAATTCAGATTCTATGGCTGCAACCATTGGCGTGCTCAGTCAAGAGCTATCCAGGCTGGAGTCATGAATTCATGACTGAAGGGGTGGGGAAAGGGGTCGGGGAGGAGATCAAGATTTAAAATGAAAATAAGGGACTGGATTCGTCTTTGAGGGAGGAGATTTTTCAGTGTTTGTAATGGTATTGTCAGTTACCTTCAGCGTTTCTGGCTGGAGAAAGGTTTTGTTGTTGTTTTACTTTAATGGGGATTTGTGGGAAACGTATGAAAGAGAGATGGGTCAGTACTTGGGGGTAGGTATTCGGGAAATGGACACAAATGTGATGGAGGCCTTGGTATTGAGCTTGCTATAGTCCAGGGGTCCCTAACTCCCAGACCACAGACCCTCTTAGGAACTGGGCTGCACAGCAGGAGGTGAGTTGTGGGCAAGTGAGCGAAGCATTATCTGTATTTACAGCCACTCCCCATCACTCACATTACCTCCTGAGTTCTGCTTCCAGTCAGATTAGCAGTGGCATTAGATTCTCATATGAGTACAAACCTTACTGTAAACTGCATATGCGAGGGATCTAGGTTGTATGCTTTTTATGAGGATCTAATGCCTGATGATCTGTCACTGTCTCCCATCACCCCCAGATAGGACTGTCTAGTTGAAGGAAAACAAGCTTAGGGCTCCCACTGCTTCTATATTATGGTGAGTTGTATAATTATTTCGTTATATATTACAATGTAATAATAATAGAAATAAAGTTCACAATAAATGTAACGCACTTGAATCATCCCCAAACTATTCACCATCCACCCCAGTCCACAGAAAAATTGTCTTCCACAAAACCAGTCTCTGGTACCTAAAAGGTTGAGGACCACTACTACAGACAACAGTTGAAGAGAACAAATAGAAGAGAGG
This sequence comes from Homo sapiens, assembly GCF_000001405.40. Lineage (NCBI taxonomy): Eukaryota > Metazoa > Chordata > Mammalia > Primates > Hominidae > Homo > Homo sapiens. Next base: position 120,319,221 of record NC_000009.12, on the reverse strand, counting down.
GATGCTGCAGGCTGACTTGGGCAACAAGGACAAACCTTTCAACTCTTTACAGAGAAACTGGAAACAGTTGTGATTACAATGCTTGCTTCCTCAAGTCCTATTAAATAAGGAAGTATCTCCAGGATGTATTCTGCTAGGGTGAGCCCTTTAGGGAGTCCCTGGGTGCTGGTGGTCTTCAGGACTCTGTCTGTCTTTTCCCTCTTGTCACTTCATATCCTTTCCGTGAGGAGCTTCATTCACTCCCATGGAGTCAACTCTCCTGCTTATGTCTCCAGCCCAGCTCTCCCCTCAGTTTTCCTTCTGGAATGCTCCACCATGTCCCACAGGTCTTTCAGCATGAGCATGCCTGGAACTGACCTTATCATCTTGTCTTCAAGCCTGCTTCTCCTCTGTGTTTCATGTCTTTCTGAATGGCATCGTCCTCCATTGAGTCACCCACTGAGAGAGGTTCTAGGGCCTTTCTTGCCCTCAACCAGCTGGTCACTAACTACACATTTCCTACATTAAACTGGTCATGTTCCATACACATTTCCTACATTATCTCATTTAGTCCTCACTGATGACCTACAAAGGATGATCACCCCCATATTACAGATGAAGAAACTGAGTTACAGAGAATGTAAATGACTTAGACAAGTCATTTAGTGCTGGTATATGGTAGATTTTGGACTTGAACCCAGCTCAGTCAACTCTACCTACTTTCTAAATGGTTTTTATGGATCAGGAAGAGATGTTGAAAAGTTACCACCATTGTATTAATTTGCTGGGGCTGCTATAACAAAGTACCCTAGACTGGGTACTTTGAACAACAAACATTTATTGTCTCATGGTTTGGGAGGCTAGAAGAAGTTCTAGACCTTGGTGTTGGCAGGGTTGGTTTCTTCTGAGGACCATGAGGGAAATATTTGTTCCAAGCCTCTCTGCTTGGCTTGCGGATGGCCATCTTCTCTTAAATGTCTTCACTCTAATTATCTCTGTAAAGACCCCATCTCCAAATATAGTCATAATCTGAGGTACTGTGGGTTAGGACTTAAATATATAATTTTGGTGGTGGGGGTGGGGGGGACAAAATTGAGTTCATAATAACTGTAAACTAGAAAAAAAAACTTTAAATGGAAAGGCACCCCTTGTTTGGAATAAGAAGTGTTAACATTGTACAATTGGTAATTTTCCTTAAATTTACTTACAAATTCAATATGATATCAATAAAATAATAATAAGTAATGACAACATAATTCTAAGATTCATATGGAAATTAGAACATGTGAGGTGAGAAAAGACAGGAATAATCTGAACATTGGGGGTGAGGACTAACCCTATGAGATATCAGAACATATTTTACAATGATAATGATGAAAATACTATGATACAGGGCATAGATAGAAAGTCCAGGAAGATTCAAAAACATGAAGGAACTTGACTTTTAATAAGTTAGCATTTGAAAGAGTATGGAAAAGATGGATAAATGGTATTGGGTCTGCTGGCTGTTCATTGGTAGTAGAGGATGGGCAAGCTGTATTCCTACTTGTTTGAATTGCAAAATAGACTGCAATTTAATAAAGATTTAAATGTAAATTATGAAACCATGGAGTACTAGATGTAGACATCACTGAAATTAAAAGAATATTGGAGTGGCAATGGTTCTTCTAGGCATTGCATATAACTATGAAGCCAAAAAAAAAAAAAAAACAGAAGATAGACTAATGCATTAAATATAATTAAAAACACTTGTGCATGGCAAAATGCCATATGTAAGTCAAAAGCAAACACTAAACTGGTGAAAATATTTGCAAAAAAACTGACAGAACCATTTTTTATTAAGAGAAGTTTTTAAAAGTTATAAAGGAAGAGCAAAAGAGAAAAATGGGCAGAGGGTATAAACAGGATATTTCCAGAAAAAGGAATACAAATGCACAATAAATGTTTGAAAAGATGGACAACCTTACTCATAACTAAACAAATGAAATTTAAAATAAAAATAAAATTGCATTTTATCTATTATAGATTAATATATATCAAAAAAGCATAGAGAAACTGAAAAACTTAAGTGTCATTGGTATTGTAATGGCACATTCATTTGGGTAGGAAATTTGGCAATATGTAATACATTCGAGCAATTCTATTTCCAGGTATACCTTAGAAATTATCTTAGTTTTGCATGCAAGGGACCATGAACAAACACAGCAGAATTGCTGGGGTGCAGGGTATGAACATTTTTGAATTTACAAGATAGTGTCACATTATTCTCCAAAGAGTTGTACCAATTTAATATTCCATAAGAAATGTATGAGAGTTGTTTCTCTACTCCTCACCAATATCCAGTATTGTCTAATGTTTTCATTTTTGCTAGTCTGATGGGTGAAAGGGGATCTTATTGTAATGTGCATTTTCTGATTAACAATGAGGTTGATTATCTTTTCTTATGTTTATGTTAGCCATCAGGCTTCCTCTTTACAGAACTGTTTGAACATCTTTTGCCAATATTTTTATTGGGCTGTTTGACTTGTGGGAGTTCTTAACATATTCTGCATGCTAACCTTTTGTCAGTTACATACATTACAATATTTCTTCCCAGTCTGTGGCACATCTTTTATCTTTATTTAAGACAGTCTTTGTCATATATTAGTTTAAAAAATTAATGTAGTCAAATTTATCATTTTTTTCTTCGTGAATTGTGCCTTTAATGTCTTATTTAAGAAATTGTTTGCTACCCACGGTCAAAAATATTTTATGTGTTCTCTTCTAAAACTTAAAAAAAACCCATCATTACAATAATTTTCAAAGACACTCAAAAGTAGAAAGAATTAAGCAAGGTATTCCCACGTCCCTTTCCCTTAGTTTTAACAACCATCAACTTAATGCCACTTTGCTTCATCTGTTTTTCTCCTGCCTCTCCCACTTTTTTCTAGGGTATTTCAAACAAGTCTCAGACATTGTTTCATCAATAGCAATGTTAGGGCTGATTCCATGCCGCTCCCTTGCCAAGAAGAGTGAGTACAGATAGAGACGTGAAGGGCAGGTCTGGGCTGGGCATTGAGGAGAGTATTATGCTATGAAGTATACCTCACCTTTGCTCAAATCTGGCTGGTTGTCCTCACCCCATTGCCCCTGTCGAGCTCGGTTTCCTCTCTCTCCTGCACCCAGGGGTCTTTCCAGAGTATTGCGTCTTCTCCAGCCGAGGGATCTGCCTTCTTTCCTAAACTACTATGGAAACGGTCCTGATGTCGAAGACACTGTCCACTGTGCCGCAGCCCACCCTCTGCTTTCTCTAGCCAGAGCACACGCTCAGCCTGTGCCAACTTCAGATCTCTGCAGGTGGTTTTGTGGAAACGTCATGCGCACTGGTGCCTTTTCCACAAATGTGAAAGTTGAAGCATCAGGAAGCTTAATTATTGGGCTGCACAGGATTTGCTAAAAGCAAAGGAGAGAACCCCATTTCCTAGGCATGTGTCTTGTGAGCCATTTTCATTAGTCCATTTAAGTGGACAAGCTCCAAAATGCAACCTGAAGCTGCTGATGATTTAGGCATTTTACACTTGAGATCATTAGGCTCATCTCAAGTTGGGCCTGACTCATCAGTGTCTCAGAGACACAGGTGGGACCTGATCCCTCTGGAACAGATAGTGTTCCAGCTTTGTGGGACTACTTTTAAGATGTGGAGCACTTGGAGTCATTTGAAACCCGTTATCTTCAGTAGGGACTTTCCCTTCTAGAGAGCATGTGCATTTTGATTTTCCCTGTCCTCAAACTGACCTTTTGCTCATTTTAATAGTAAAAAACACACCCCCGGGTGGAGATTTAAGATGCTAATGAGACATGCAACATATGAATATCATGTACAGCTACTGCACATGTGTACCCAGAAGAGCACCCAGAACATGTTTACTAGTAACACCTCTTTCCACCTCCTTATGAATAATCATGTAAAACTCCCAGAAAGGGGATTTCTCCAGCAGCAATCAATGCTGCATCACCCTTACGAGCAGGCAGCCCTGGAATCTCTCAGGGTGTACTGTCTATTGTGCACTTAATTTTCAAAATAGTCTTCTTATTTTGCAATAAATTACTCTATGCTGTAAAAAAAAAACAAAGTTGTAGGTAACAGATAGACTGTTTAAAAAAAGTTTAAAATGTTGCTTTTCACATATAATCATTTCCCTTTTACTGACTGAAAATGTCAACTAAATCATATATATATATATGCTATATATATGTTATCTGCTATATATATGATGTGTGTGTATGTGGGTATACATGCACATATATATATATATGGCTCTCTATTCCAGTCCATTGATTTATTCATTTACCCATGGGAAAATAGTATGCTGTTTAAAATACTTTAGCTTTATTGGAAATGTTGATATCTGAGCCAAGTCTTTCTCATTATTCTCTTTCAAAATTATCTACACCACTCTTGACTCTTTATTGATTCATGTGAATATTATAGTCAGACTATCAAGTTCTAAAAAATAAGATTGTGAAGTTCTGTGAAAAATTTCAATGTTCATCTTCACCGGAATTTCCTTGAATTTGTAGATTTATTTGGGGTCAGTCCTGGTATTGAGTCTCCACCTGTACAGAATGCTGCATTTCTTCATTAATTTATGTATTTTTTGTTATCGATAATGTTTTATCATTTTTTCTTAAAACTCTAGGAACCTTATAGTTTCTATCACTATTATGAGTGGGAATTTTTAAAAATTACATTTCTAATTTGTTGCTAGTGTATATGAAGTTGTTGACATTTATATGTTGATCTTGTGTTTAGTGTCCTTATTTAACTTTCTTATTAATTTTCATATTTATTTGTAGATTATTTTGAATTTTCTGTGTAGGCAAACATATCAATTGTGAATAAAGACAATGTTGTTTCTTTTTCAAGCTTTATGCGTTTTACTATGTAACACATTTTTCTTGCCTTATTGCATTGGCTAGGAATTCCAGTACAATGTTAAACGGAAGGTGTGATAGTGGATGTCCTTGTTTTGCCCCAACTTTAAAGAGGCTGCTCCTAATATTTAATTATTATGTGAGATACTTGCTGTTGGTTTTTTAGAGACACACACTTAAGCAGATTGCCAAAGTTTTTTTATGTCTTGCCTGCTGAATTTTTCTTCATCTTGATGTGCATTAATCTTATTAAATACTTTTCTCTGCATTTATGGAGTCACCACATAGCTATTCTTCAGCCTACTGATGATGTGGATTACCTTTGTAGAATTTTAAAGGTTAAACCATCCTTAAATAATGGGGATAAATACTACCTGATGAAATTGTATTAGAAAAAAATTGCTAGCTTTAGTTAATAAAGCTTCTAGTTTTTAAAGATTTTAGTTGTTTAATTTTTAAAACAGCTTTTAGTTATTTAGCTTTTTAGTTAAGCTAGTTAACTTTTAAAGTTATTTAGTTTTCCAAGCTTTTAACATTAATGTAAATGATACTAGCTTAAGTTTTCTTTTCTGATGTGGTCATGTTTTCCACTTTTGTGGAGTGAATTTTTGTAGTGTGTTCATTTTTTTTTTCCAGAACACTGTCCAGTTTGTTTTCACATTTATTAATATAAAATGTTCACTATTATCTAAGGTTTTTATTAAATTTCTAGTGTATAGAGTTATCCTCCCTTTCCATTCCTAATTTGTTTAAATCTTAATACTTTCTAGCTTTTTGTCTGGTTGAATGATCAGTTTCTGAGAAAAGTGTATCAACATTTGTGACCCAGACTGAGGATTTATTAATTTATTCTTACAATTCTGTAAATGTATGCATCATAGATTGAGGCTTTTTGTTATGTATGTACATGTTCAGGATTGCTGAATCTTCAAGGTTAATTGTTGTTTTTTCTTAATTCCTAATAATACTTTGTTTTAATTCCTGTTTTGCCAGAAACTAAAATTGCTATGGAAGTTTTGTTTTCCTGGTGTTTTCCTGATATGTCTTTTCTGACCTCTTTATTTTCCATTATTTTGTATTTTCATATTTTAGATAGGCTGGTAAAGTATATCTAAGTAAGCTAAAGTAAGTCTAATTTGAGAATATCTGTTTTTTAAAACAGTGGAGCATAATCTATTTCTATTATGTGGTTACTAATATTTACACTTACTGTTACCCATGTTTCCTATTTACCAGTATTTTTCTTTGCTTATGTTGTTCTCTCTCCTTAGTATCTTCCAACTGAATGATAAAATTTTTCTTATGCCCTTATTTTCCTCTGTTGGTTTGGAAGTTGCTTACTGTATTGCCATTATTTTAGCGGGTACCCATAAACTTCTGACATGTACCCACCAGCGGTCTGTCCATAGGATGGGGAAACAGGCCCCAGCACCACTAGCTCACAGGGGCTGGTCTCCAAACTAAGGTTGTCCGTAGCAACCTTTTTTTCTAAGTTGCGATGCTTATTGCCAATTCTGGGAAAAACAGGAAAGATTTTTCCTGTACCACCTGCTCTGTAAGTAATTATTATGAATAAATTGGTTTCCTGATCAAATCAGGTGAGGCCATACATAAAGCAAATGGGTAGAGAGTTTAATATGATTGTATTAGTTTTTTCTTGCTGTGTAACAAATTACTACAAACTTAGTAACTTAAGATGATATCCATTTATTACCTCACAGCTCTACAAGTCAAAAGTCTGGTTAGGCTTGACTGGGTTCTCTGCTTAGGGTCTCCCAGGACTGAAATCAAGATGTCTGAAGGATGGGCTCGTATCTGGAGGCTCTGGGGAAGAACCCACTTCCCAGCTTATCCAGGTTGTTGGCAGAATTTAATTTCTGTGGTTGTAGGATCAAAGTCCCTGTTTTCTTGCTGCTGTCAGCTGGGGGTCACTCTCAGTTCCTGCACATGGTCCCCTCCATCTGCAAGCCTGTAGCATGCATACAATCCCTGCATGCGTTGGGTCTCTGACTTTCCCTTCTGCTACCAGCCAAAGAAAACTCTTTACTTTTAAGTGGCTCATGTGGTTTTGTTAGACCCATCTAGATAATCTCTACTTGAAGATCAGCTGATTAGCAACCTTAAGTACATCTGCAAAAACCCTTCACAGCGGTATCTGGATTAGTGTTTGATTGAAGAACCAGGGGCTGAGAATCTTGGGTGGCCAGATCTTAGAATCCTTCTTGACACAATGATGAAAAGAGTTAACATGTGACCTGATCTGGAGAAAGGGTGTTGGAGGCATTTTGGCTGTTTCTGAGAAAGAAAAGAACGCTTCCCTGGGAGTCCAAATTTCTATATTATTCTGACAATCGTTTCATAATTTAACGTCTTAATTCTTCTAATAATCGATTGAGCACAGCAGGAAGGGGGGTGCGGCGGCTAGGCAGAGTGCTAGGCACTGGGAACATGGCTTTTACTGCTAATGGAAAAATGACTTGCTTTGGTGCCATACCCAGCTTGCCCACACCCCAAATCTGCCCCTAATTTGGTGGTGACTATGGTCTTGCCACTTGGCCTATTAGATGTTTTCTTCATCTGTAAAGTGGGGATGCTACAGCCTGATCAGCTATCACATGACAACTTCATTCCTAAGAAACTCACATTCGCAAAAATTGTCTTTCAGAAACATTTCTAAAACGAGGGTAAACGGGTAAAAAGGGGTAAAAAGAAGGCTGAAGACTTCTTTTAAACTCGCAAACTGTAGTTTAAATCATGAGGGAGTTTTAAACATTAGCACTAGAGATTATTTTGTCATTGCACTTCAAAATAATAATTTGGTTGATTAAAACTGATAAAACAAAATCCGAGCAACACAGTGTGTTCTACCAAAATTAATGTGTTAACTACCAAAATAAATGGCAGCCACCAACTTGAGCAGAACAGCAGGTGAAACTATTTCAGCAACCCCTCCCTGCTCCTGACAATATGTGTCCTTCTAACTTGGCTAATTTGTCCTGGGGATATAATTGGCAAAGTGGGGCAGGGGGTTAATTGTGTCCCTTAACTAAACTCTGGCTCTCAATTTCATCTATGTTGGGAGCATTCGTGCAAGGGAAGAAATGTCTTCAATACAGAGCCTCAGCGTTTCCATCTGTAGCAAAAGGGTGGCTTTAGAAAGCACTGCCAAAGGTGAAGCACTTGGCTCAGTGCCCAGGATGTTGGAATTATTTAACAATGTTAGTTATTATTTTTCTTATTATTCATTGCCTCCACCCCAGTTCCTCCTACTGTTCTTTATGGGCTGCCACTATTCCCGCTCTCCTTTGGACATTCTCCAGTTTAAAAAAATGCCTTTTTCCCTGCTACCTTCAAGGAATCTGTAGTCTGGGGATTGAGGGGGAGGTGAGCATGTGTATGGCTTATCATCATGCTGTGTGGTAAGTACTGTAAAGGATGTGGGTGGTGGGAGATGAGAAAAGGGGGTGATTTTTGCTGGACTTGGGGTTTGTCACATTTAGCTGTCATGGAAAGATGATGTTCAGGGCAGAGATACAGGGGAATGACATCCCAGTTAGAGGGAGCAGAGGGCTCAGAAGCCTGGAGTTTCTGTTCTGACTTTAGGGGCTCCCAGGAGAGAGGCACACATGAAGACCACCTACTCCTGGTAAATCAAGTGAAAGAATGTAATTAACAGATCTGGAGTATGGTAGGTGCTCAAAGATGTCAGTCCTTGGACTTTAAGGCCTACTTCTGATACCAGCCTTTCCCTGGTGCAAACAGTGAATTAAGTTGACTTCCCTGAGGTAGTGGCTAACATTTTTTTATCCTATGAATCTGGCTTGGTTTTCAGCTTCACTGGATTTTAATCAAAAACCGTGTTGAGAATTGTTTGTGACCCTGGGGACCATATGACAGGTAAAATGACCAAAGGGAGAAAAGGGCAGAGCAGCCCCTAGAGGATGCTGGAAACCGACTTAATTATAATCACACCAGCAGGCTGGCTGCTGCCCATGGATGGCTGCACTGTGTCGCCGGGGGACTGTGTGGGTTGGCATGGGGTCCTAGGGAGTGGGGAGGAGCTGCCATCTAGGGGATTTCATATGTGGATGCCACCCTCCTGCCTTGGCTTTCTGATAGGGAGGCTGAGCTTGGGAGAGGTTTATAGGGGCAGACTTGGCCTTGGCCTGAGGGTCATCCTAGGGCTGGAATCCTGGTCTGGAGAGACTTTAAGTCTGAGCTCTCAGTGAGCTCCCCTTGGAATTCAGGTTCTTCTTTGAGACTCCCCCAGAGAGGCCATCCCTGGGGCTGCCAGGTCAGTGAGAAGATGTGGGTTCCAGGAGGGACTCCGTCCAGACAAGGACTGGTCTCATAGCCCTTGCCATTTATTGAGTACCTACCCTATGCCAGGCACTTTACCATGGAGTATTGTCATGCCCATTTTATAGATGAGGAAACTGAGACTTAAAGAGTGGAAGTGGCTTGCCAGAGGTCACGCAGCATGCAAATAATAAAGGTATATATTAAAAAAAAAATTGGCCGGGCGCAGTGGCTCACGCCTGTAATCCCAGCACTTTGGGAGGCCGAGGCAGGTGGATCACGAGGTCAGGAGATCGAGACCATCCTGGCTAACATGGTGAAGCCCCCGTCTCTACTAAAAATACAAAAAATTAGCTGGGCATGGTGGGGGTCGCCTGTAGTCCCACCTGCTTAGGAGGCTGAGGCAGGAGAATGGCGGGAACCCAGGAGGCGGAGCTTGCAGTGAGCTGAGATCGTGCCACTGCACTCCAGCCTGGGCGATAGAGCGAGATTCTGTCTCAAAAAAAAAAAAAAAAAAATCATTTCATCTGTAAATATTTCAAATGGAATTTCTAAAAGATAAGGACCTCAAATAGCATTACCACACCTAAATGAAACTAACAATAATTCCTTAATATGTCCAATACCCTGTCAAGGTCCACATTTCCTTACCTCTTTCTGGTTTGATATTTGAGTTGGGATCAAACATTGTGATAGATTGGTAACTTAGCTTTATTTCAATCTGTAGTTTCCCTCTCCATCTCTGTTTTCTCTCATTACCTTATTTTGTGAATGAATCCAGGTAATTCATCCTGCCAAATTTCCCACAGTCTGGATTTTGCTGATTTGAAGCAGAAATGTGAACCCAAATGTGTTTCCAGAGCTTACATGCTTTTCAGAATATTAGTGTGACCCTTTCCAGTCTCTTTCTACCCAGCAGCCAGTCATTCTCTTACAATGTAACCGGATCATAACATTCATCTACTCAAAATCCTCCATCTCACTCTGTAGTATCCAAAGTCTCCACAGAGCCAAAGCCCCCTGTAACCTGGCACCTGGCATCGGACTACTTCTCTGATCTTGGAAATTCCTCCTATCATTTTTTTTTTTTTCTGGCCACACAGGCTTCCTCTCTGTGCTTAGAATACACTGAGCATATCCTGCCCCCAGCACACTTGGAGCCACCCCCCACCCCCAGGAAGTCAGGCACCTACTCTGTTCACCCAGGCTGCAGTTCCCACCTGCACTCACAGGCAGCACTGTGACTACCTGGCTGGGAATTGCTTATCTACCGCTGTGGCCCCAGCTGCTTGCATACGTGATTGCGTCAACATCAGGAGGCCTAGAGGGAACCAGGGGTCCAGGAAGCTTCCCCACCCTCAGAGCTCCTCCTTCCTCCCTCAAGAGGCACAGCCCTGCCCACCCAGCCAGTCCAGGCTGTGGGCATCATATCCATGCTCCAGTGGGTGGAGTCTGGGTTGGTCTTTGCTTTGAGCTCACCCTTCAGGGTGTCTGCTTCCTGGGTGCTCACCAGGCTGCAACTCTGCCCTAAACATCACTTACCCAGCTCAATCTGTAGGGCTTGGATTTGGTTTCTGTGCTTGGCATGAAAGGATTTCCCCCTCAGCTAGCCTCTAGGTGGCTTTTGATCTGAAGGTACCCTCTCCACCTCTCTTTTCTTTCATCGTAATATTTTGTTGATAAAACCATGGACTGAGTCTTGTTAAATTTCCCACAGTCTGGATTTTGTGATTTGAAGCTGGAATTTGAATCCTGATGGAGCCCTTCTTGCTTGGGGGGATCCTGCTCCAGCCGTCATACCCAGCTCTCAGCAGTCCCCACCCTTCATGAGTTGGCTCCTGCCCACCCCCACCAAACAACAAAAACTCCAAACCATTTTGCACAATTCTCCACAGAATACCCTGATCCAGGCTGGGGTGAGCCTGATTGAACAGGGCTCCCCTCAGCCTGCTGGGAGCTTTCAGACCTGCCCCCGGTTCAAACTGAGCTCTCCACACTTTTGGGAACACTGAGTATTTTGAGTTTCTGGTTGCTTCTTTTTGAATACATTATCTTAGCCCTGGCTGTTATTAGCCTCTACTCATTCATTCATTCATGTAATAGTCACATATTGAGCCTTTCTCAGTCCTGGGCAGCAAACTGGGCTCTGGAACACAGTGGTTGGCAGACAGATGAAGCCCGGCGCTCATGGTGCTCAGGACTGGCTGAGGAGAGAAACAAGCATACAAGCAAAGCCCAGGCAGTGGGATGGGTACTACCATACCAGGGAGGACAGGATGCTTTTGGAATGCAGAGCTCAGGCATTAACACACTCTGGGGGTGAGGGGAGTCAGGGAAGATTTCCAGGAGGAAGGACTCTAAGCTGAGCTCAGATGGGTGATTAGGAGTAAATGGGATATATTAGTTTGCTAATTAGGCTGCTGTAACAAAGTACCACAAATTGCATGGCTTAAACTACAGAGATGTATAGTCTCATAGTTTTGGAGGCCAGTGTCCAAAATCAAGGTGTCAGCAGGGCTGGTTCCTTCTGAGGGACTGTGAGGAAGACTTTGTTCCAAACATCTTTTCTCTTTTGGTGGTTTGTCTGCAATTTTTGGCACTCTTTGGCTTGTAGACTCATCACGCTGGTCTCTGCCCTGATGTTCACATGACATTCTCCCTGTTTGTGTACCTTTCTCCAAATTTCCCCTTTCATGAGGACACCAGTTATATTGGATTAGGGACCCCACAAATGACCCCATTTTAATGTATCTTTTTAAAGTTTCTATCCCCAAACAATGTCATCTTCACAAATACTGGGGGCTAGGACTTTAATGTATGCATTTTGAGGGGACACAAACCTATCACACTGGGTGAAGATAAATGTTATGGGGTAAGAATTAAGAGGGAGGGAAAGGAATTCCAGGTGTGGGGAAAAACATACACAAAGTCTGGAGGTGAGAGAGGATACAGCGGCTTCCAAGAACTCAAGATTGTCCAATCTGGCTGGGTGGGAATGGGGGTGGTCTGGGGAATAGCAGGAGTGAGGCTGCAGACTTCAGCAGGTGCCGGATCTGGGAGCATCTTAAAGTCCATGCACAGGAGTCTGCAGTTTGTCCTTGGACAATGGGAGCCAGTGAAGGTTTCACACAGGGTGTGTTACAATCCAGAGGTTTTGGATAGAACCCTTTGGCTGGGAAGGTGGGGGCCTGAGCTAGCAGGGAGGCAGTGATGCAGAAGCTGATGGGTTTCAGAGATGTTTAAGAGGGAAGCTCAGCTGGTGAAGGGCAGTTTCTGTTTTGTCTGGTTGCTGTTGTGGCCGTCAGTGACTGGGGCCTCACGAGAGTCTGACACTGAGTTGTGAGCAAGCCCGTGGCCCACACCACCTCCCAGACTTGGTCCCCTTATGTGGGTGACACATTGTTGAGAATGAGTTTCCCCCTGGGAAACAGAGGAGTCAGAAGTCTGTGGAGGCTGGGAATGATGGTGGGTTAATGATATGCCGTGACGGTGGGGCGCATGGAATACCTCCCGGCACTTTGGTCCTTACAGCGTCTATCCAAAGAGAAGGAGAAGGGAAGGCATGGCCTCAAACATTACCTTAGTAGCAGATCCTAAGTGACCTCATTGTCCATGTTTAATGTCATCATTTACCCAGACGTGGCCAAAACTTCCAACTTGGCATTCAGGGCCCTACAGGGTCGTTGCAGACTTCCAGCTTCATCTCCACTGCACTTCTTCATTGAGACCCTCCACCATACAGACCACACACTGCTCCACCCTGGTTCATGCCCTGGGCCTTCCTGCTTCCACAGTTTTGCTGCAGTGAATTGTCCACACTGTCTGCCCAAGTGCTACCCCCATCCTGTCTCTGAATGGCAAAATTCATGTTCCCCCTCCCCCTGAGAAACCTTGGGACCAGTTCAAATGCCAGGCACTCTGAGGATTCGTTCTGGGCATCTCAGCTCTTCCTTTTCTTCTCTACACCCTCATAGTATTTAGGTACATTTACATGAAACTGCACTGTCTTTCATCCAGGCATTTTAATTTCTCATGTATATTTTTGTCATCTTTATTATATTATGAGCTTCTTGTCAGGCAAAAACATCTGATTCACCTTTGTAGTCCCACAGTCTGCACATAGGGAGGAGAGAAATGAACATTTCTTAAACTGATAAAATGCCAGTCACTGCATTATAAGCTTTATGAGTAAGTTCACAGTTAATCCTTACTACCTTTTTTTTTTTTAATTTAATTTTTTTTTTATTGATCATTCTTGGGTGTTTCTCACAGAGGGGGATTTGGCAGGGTCATAGGACAATAGTGGAGGGAAGGTCAGCAGATAAACAAGTGAACAAAGGTCTCTGGTTTTCCTAGGCAGAGGACCCTGCGGCCTTCCGCAGTGTTTGTGTCCCTGGGTACTTGAGATTAGGGAGTGGTGATGACTCTTAACGAGCATGCTGCCTTCAAGCATCTGTTTAACAAAGCACATCTTGCACCACCCCTAATCCATTTAACCCTGAGTGGACACAGCACATGTTTCAGAGAGCACAGGGTTGGGGGTAAGGTCATAGATCAACAGGATCCCAAGGAAGAAGAATTTTTCTTAGTACAGAACAAAATGAAAAGTCTCCCATGTCTACTTCTTTCTACACAGACACAGCAACCATCCGATTTCTCAATCTTTTCCCCACCTTTCCCCCTTTTCTATTCCACAAAACCGCCATTGTCATCATGGCCCGTTCTCAATGAGCTGTTGGGTACACCTCCCAGACGGGGTGGTGGCTGGGCAGAGGGGCTCCTCACTTCCCAGTAGGGGCGGCCGGGCAGAGGCGCCCCCCACCTCCCGGACGGGGCGGCTGGCCTGGCGGGGGCTGACCCCCACCTCCCTCCCGGACGGGGTGGCTGCTGGGCGGAGATGCTCCTCACTTCCCAGATGGGGTGGCTGCCGGGCGGAGGGGCTCCTCATTTCTCAGACGGGGCAGCTGCCGGGCGGAGGGTCTCCTCACTTCTCAGACAGGGCGGCCGGGCAGAGAGGCTCCTCACCTCCCAGACGGGGTTGTGGCGGGGCAGAGGCGCTCCTCACATCCCAGACGGGGCGGCGGGGCAGAGGCGCTCCCCACATCTCAGACGATGGGCAGCCGGGAAGAGGCGCTCCTCACTTCCTAGATGGGATGGCGGCCGGGCAGAGACACTCCTCACTTTCCAGACTGGGCAGCCAGGCAGAGGGGCTCCTCACATCCCAGACGATGGGTGGCCAGGCAGAGATGCTCCTCACTTCCCAGATGGGGTGGCAGCCGGGCAGAGGCTGCAATCTCGGCACTTTGGGAGGCCAAGGCAGGTGGCTGGGAGGTGGAGGTTGTAGCGAGCCGAGATCAGGCCACTGCACTCCAGCCTGGGCACCATTGAGCACTGAGTGAACGAGACTCCGTCTGCAATCCCGGCACCTCGGGAGGCTGAGGCTGGCAGATCACTCGCGGCTAGGAGCTGGAGACCAGCCCGGCCAACACAGCGAAACCCCGTCTCCACCAAAAAAATACGAAAACCAGTCAGGTGTGGTGGCGCGTGCCTGCAATCACAGGCACTCGGCAGGCTGAGGCAGGAGAATCAGGCAGGGATGGCAGCAGTACAGTCCAGCTTTGGCTCGGCATCAGAGGGAGACCGTGGAGAGGGAGACCGTGGAGATGGAGAGGGAGAGGGAGACCATGGAGAGGGAGAGGGAGAGGGAGAGGGAGAGGGAGAGGGAGAGGGAGAGGGAGAGGGAGAGGGAGAGGGAGAGGGAGGGGGGAGTGGTTGTTTTAATGACTGGCAAAAGAATCTAATCCTTACTACCTTTCAGGCTTAGTCTTTCAAGTTGTTAGCCCCATTTACAGGTGTAAATGCTGAGGCTCAGAGGAAGGGAAGTGACTCACTTAAATGACTTAATCATAAATAGCACAATTCTAAAGCTTGTGCCCTTTCCACTTCGACCAGCTGGGTAAGTGTTTGTTGAACGAGTGAATGAATGACTGGAAAGTTGGAGAATAGGGGAGGCTCAGAAGAGCACTTATGACTTCATATGACCTAATTCATTTCAGGATTGGAAAGGAGGTGAGGAGTTCAGGTAGAAAACCTGTTCAATAAATAAAGTCAGTGATGAACTGAGCTCTGCCCATATTCCACCCAACACAGCCCAGTTGAGAGTGGCAGGGGGAGAGAAGGCCTTTTGTTGCTTGGTAACCTTGGGCCCATCACTCCCATGGGGAAAGAGAAGGCTGGAGTCTCCATCTTCGAAGCTCCCCTTCCACTGGCTTTCTCTCCATTATGCTGACTGTTTCTGTGAACTCCCACGGTGATGGTGACTGACCTCATGTCAGTCTCCCTGAGAGCTCAGAGCAGAGGTGGGATGTGGATCAGCCTCTGTCCCCCTGCTTCTTTCCAGCAGATCCCTGATCATCTCAGCAGCTGACCCAACTCAAAGGCGATGAGACCATTTCACTCCAATCGGGAATGAGCACACTGTGGTACAGTCATCTCAAGTGAATCTCTGCTCTTGAATCTGCTGTGCTAAGAGGCACTTTTACTTGTTCAGTGGAGAGAATAGAGGTGGGAGGGAGTGTAGGGTATAAGATTCAGTCATAAACCAAATGCTCTTAAAGTCCATTATCTGATATGGAAATGCTGAGTCCCAAAGTCTCTTTCCTCCTCCTTTCCCCTGCTCCTCACCCTTTTAAGACACAATGATGTTAAGGCTCCCAGAAAGCCTGTACGATCAGCTTCTCTCTGCCCTTCCCAGGCGTGCTGGGCTCTACTCTAAGGTGGAATTTGTATAATTGTGGATGATTTTGCCTGCAACGTCTTCCCTCTATTTTCTTTTCCCCATACAATTGCAGTGTGTTTCTCTGTTCATTCATTCTACTTCTTTCCTTCTTCATTTACTCAAAAATATTAGTGATGGCATCTTTGACCCTCTAGGATCCTTAGCTTCCTGGTAGAAAAAGTGGACCTTGGCTGGGCGCGGTGGCTCACGCCTGTAATCCCAGCACTTTAGGAGGCTGAGGCTGGTGGATCACGAGGTCAGGAGTTTGAGACCAGCCTGGCCAATATAGTGAAACCCTGTCTCTACTAAAAATACAAAAATTAGCCGGGCGTGGTGGCGCACGCCTGTAGTCCCAGCTACTTGGGAGGCTGAGGCAGGAGAATTGCTTGAACCCAGGAGGTGGAGGTTGCAGTGAGCTGAGATCGTGCCACTGCACTCCAGCCTGGGTGACAGAGTGAGACTCCATCTCAAAACAAAACAAAAAACAAAAAACAAACAAAAAAAAAAAAAGGAAAAAGAGGACCTCAGTTTATCCCAATTTAGGGTAAGTTTAGGATTCCATGAGCATCTTTACTTAATAAGCTGTCTTGAATTAGAGAAATGGATCAACTCTTTAAATTTTTTGTTAATATTTTGTTGAGAATTTTTGCATCTGGATTCATGAGAGAAATTGGTCTGTAATTTTCTTTTCTTATAATTTGTTTGTCAGGTTTTGGCATCGAGAGTATGTTGCCCTTATAAAATAAAATGAATTGGGAAGAGTTTACATTCTCTGGAAGGGTTGGTATAAGACTGGCATTATTCCTTAAGTATTCAGTGGCATTTACTAGTGAAACCACTTGTGTGGCTCTGAGGTTTTTCTTTGTGGGAAGGTTTCCATTATGGATTCAAGTTCAGTAACAGATAAATTATTTGTTCCCTCTTGTGTCAATTTTGTTAGACTGTGTTTTCTTAGGGATTTGTTAATTTCAATTATAGTTTCAAATCTGTCTGCACAAAGTTGTTTATAACATTCTGTTATTAGATTTTAAATTTTGATAGGATCCTGCAATAATGTCCTTTGTCATTACTGATGTTGGATATTGGTTATTAATGCTTTTTCTCTCTTTTTCCTCTGATGACTTTTGCCAGAGATTATCAAAATTATTAGTCTTCAGAGAATAAGCTTTTGACTTTGTTTATCAACTCTATTGTTCTTTGTTTCCTTTTTCATTAATTTCTGTTTTTTATTTCCTGTCTCCTACTTCTTTTGGCTTTATTTTGCTGTCTTTTTTCAAAGTTTTTGAGATGGAAGCTTAGGTCACCGAGGTTCAGACTTTTCCTTGCTTTGTAAAAAATTTGTTTTCAAGAACGAAGAGATGAAAGCAAGAGTATTTTCCCCTAATATATGCAATTAAGTCTGTAATTTTCCCACTGTGCACAGTTTTAGCTGCATCCCATAAGTTTTGATACGTACTATTTTCATTATCATTCAGTTAAAGTATTTTCTACTTTTCATTTTTTTTTTTTTACTTTATTATTTTCTTTTAGAAGCAGGGTCTCACTTTGTTGCCCAGGCTGGAGTACAGTGGTGCAATCATAGCTCATTGCAGCCTCAATCAAACTCTTGAGCTCAAGCAATCCTTTCATCTCAGTTTTCCAAAGTGCTGGAATAACAGGTGTGCACCACCATACCCAGCTGATTTTTTTAAATTATTAATTTTTTTTAAGTGGAGATGAGGTCTATCTATGTTGCCCAGGCTGTTCTTGAACTCTTGGCCCTAAGCACTCCTTCTGCTTCAGCCTCCCAAAGTGCTGGGATTATAGGCATGAGCCACCAAGCCTGGCTAATTTTAAATATTATTTATTCTTTGACCAAAGCATTGTTTTAAAATATATTTCTTTACTACGAAATGTGGAGACTTTTCTAGTAATTTTTTTTGGAATTTCTATTGGAATACCCTGGGTTTGAGAAGGGTTCTGAGTTCAGTGTAAGGTGTGCCATAATTGATTGGATGAGGTAGGGGAGTAAGGGCACAAATGGTGTGTATGTATGTCCCTGTTCTAAGCCCAGGGCCACCTCTTCCAGGAGATATCCTTAGCTGCTCACCACACAGTGAGCTCTCCTTTCTTTGAGGCCTTTTAAATATTGACATCACCACTGAACTTGGAGGAAGGTGAATCCACACAGCAATACTCCGAGTGAGGAGGAAATGGCAGGTGCTACATCTCAGCCAGGACATCTAATAGTTTGAGTTTATGGGTCATATCTCCTAGAGATTCCTATACAAGGGGAGATTTTGAGCCGGACTGGAGCTCTTGTCTTATAGCCATCTGTGCCTGGTCTAGGGATATTGTTACCCCTCTCCTGAGCTGAGGAATCATGGATACATAAACTTCTTAATTGTCTGAATATATATCAGTTCTTTCTCTACAAAAACTTGAAGGCTTGAAAACTTTTCTCTGTGACCTCTCTAGATCTTAGCATTAACCTAGATACTTAATAAATGCTATTGAATTGACCTGACACTTATTTTGATGGACACAATATGAGAAGACATTGTCCCAGAATATGCAGGTGAGTCCATCACACACAAACATCTGAAGCCAGTGTGAAACTGGTACCTCCATGTCAAGACTTAGGTGACAATAGCCATGCTTTAGACTTCCTTTCATGGGAGGAGAAGAGAAGGTAACATTTAATTAACAATTACTGTGGTGGCAGGAATTTGGCAAAATCTTTTTATACAGTATATATTATCTCCTCTCATTTAACTGTCAAAACACTTTTGAGGTGTTATGACCACAATTTTACAAGAAAATTACCCGAGGCTCAGAAAAGTTGAGTTGTTTACTTGAGGTTATGCAGCTGACAAGTGGCAGTGCTGGGATTTGGCCCCAGGTCAACCCATGGTCTAAACTCCATGGCTTTTTCATTATACCATTCTGCCTCAGGTTGTCCATCCATCCATCATCCATCCACTGACTCATTCACCCATCCTCCCACCCATCCATCCATTTATCGTCTACCCACTCATCCACCCATCCATCCATCCATCCTTCCTTCCATCTGTCCGTCCGTTCATGTCCATCTATCTATTATCCATTCATCCATCCATTTTTCCATTCAATAAATATTTATTGAGCACCTACCATGTACTTCGTAGACAAGGTCCATGCACTCATGGGAAATACAGACTATAAACAAAAGAAATAAGCTGAGTATCACCGAGTGAGTTGATGCCAGTCAGGCCCAGAAGAAGGCAGCACTGAGTGGTGCAGCAACAGTCGGGAGATCTGGGTTTTAGTTCCAGCTCTGCACTGACTCATTGGCTGAGCTTGCGCAAAGCCCCTCACCTATTTGAGCTTGTGTTTCTCATGAGTAAAACAGAAATTTGGACTAGAAATATGATTCTGAAAGTCTCCCGTAGCCCCCAAATTCTATAATTCTACGTACTAGAGGAGTTCTGCTTTCCCATTCATTTCTTCATAAATAACATCGTATGAAGTTGCCACAAAAACAGGTGCCCAGGGAGCCACAGAAGCAATTCCTGGCGTCTGAAATTCAAAGACTTTGTCATTTTGAGTCTAAGGACAATTTACCTGGATTCTGACCTATTTTCATTTGCCTCAGTGGTTTTAAGTTTCTCAGTCCCAAACGAGTCTCATATGGTGAGCCCAGAACTACATCCTGGGAGTGAGGGGTGTTTACTTATCAAATCAAACCCTGAAGTGGAGGCAGAGTCTGTGTTTGCACCATTCATGCACTCAGCAAATATTGTTCCTATCATAGACAGGGATAAAAGTAAACTTCACCCTGAGAGGTCTGTATTACCACAGGTTTTCAATCCCAGAGACTCTTAAAAATCTCCCGATACCTTCTAACTTGGACATAAGATTTACCACTGTTGACAATCCATTTTCTTGCTAAAAGAAAAAGAAAACACTTCAAATTGCAGAAATAATGCATCCCCAATGTTGAAAATACAGCAAAGAATAAATAAGAAAAACAACCACCCATAATTCCACCTCCCACAGATAAACACTATTAACATTTTATCGTATTTCCTTCCAGTCTTTTTATGCTTTTCAAAGTAGTTGAAATCATACTTTATAACCTTTTTCTGTCTTGCTCTTTTACTTAATGTTATATCATTAAGCATTTTTCCATGTCGTTAAGAACACTTCATAAGCATCATTTATAATGGCGGCACAATATTCCATCTTGTGGAGGCAGTTCAATTTACTTAGCCATTCCCTGAAATCCAACACTTAAGTATTTTTTAACCATCATATTTTACTATTATGAATGACACTGTGATGAACACATTTTCTGCATAAATCTTTGTCCACATGTCAGATTATTTTTCTAGGAGAGATATTCAGATCTAAAATTTACCAGTCAATTTGTTTTCCAGAAATATTGTACCCACTTTTACTCCCTTTGGCTGTCTCTGAGTGTACTCAGTGCTCCACTTCCTTCCACCAGCATAGACAATTATCATTTAAAAAAAAGTTTGCTAATTTTACAGCTGAAAGAACATTCATTCTTGTTTCAAATTGCGTTTCTTTCATTGTAGTTTGGTCAAATAAATACTATAATATTTATTAGCTATTTTCATTACCACTTTTTATTTTATTTTAATTTTTTATTATTTTCTTTTTCTTGAGATGGAGTCTCACGCTGTCACCCAGGCTGGAGTGCAGTGGTGGAATCTCAGCTCACTTCAACCTCTGCCTCCTGGGTTCAAGCGATTCTCCTGCCTCAGCCTCCTGAGTAGCTGGGCACAGTTAATTTTTTGGGATTTTTTTTTTTTAGTAGAGACGGGGTTTCACCATGCTGGCCAGGCTGGTCTTGAACTCCTGACCTCAGGTGATCCACCCACCTCAGCCTCCCAAAGTGCTGAGATTGTAGGTGTGAGCCACCACGCCCAGCTACTCATTACCTCTTTTTAAAACGGCCTGTTTGTGTTTGATCTTCCCTTTCTTTCTAGGTGCTGTCTTCTCTCTGGATTTTTGTTTACAAACGTGAATTCCCCAAATGAACAACAAACAAGAAGAACTCAACAGCAAACACACCTTTAGATTCAATCACAATGTGCTCTGATGCTCTCTGTAGAAAAGATGTTTTGGTCATCTACTGCTGTTTAGTAAGTTGCTCCATAACTTAGTGGCTTGAAGCTGCCATTTTATTTTGATCATAATTTTTGGGTCAGGAATTTGGAAATGGCTCAACTGGGCAGTTAATTGCTGACCAATGAGGCTTCTGCTGGGACAGCAGGGCCTGGAGAATCCACCCACATGGTGTCTTCTTCACTCACATGTCTGGTGCCCTGGTTGGGAGAGTGGCTGGAAAGCTAGGCTTGTGGAGACTATTGACAAGAGCACTTATATGTGTCCTCTCCAACACCGTAGGCTCAGGGAAGCTGAACTTCTTTTAAGGACATTCAGAATTCCCAGAGAGTGGTCCCAAATACAAGAAGTAGAAGCTTCTGGTTTCTTAAATCCTTGGCCTAGAAACTGGCACAGCATCATTGCTGCTGTGTTCTGTTGGTCCAAGCAGCCACAGAGCATGCCCAGATTCAAAGAGAGAGCACATGCAGCCAACCTCTTGACTGGAAGGTGGTCAAAGATTTAGAAGCCATCTTTAATCTGCCACAAAAGAGTACGTCTATGTTTCAGTATTAAATTAGCAGGATTAAGAGAGGGGAAGAAGGCAGGGAGTAAATGAATGAATGAATGAATGAACATTGAGAATTTATACAATTTGCAGAAAGTCACAGATCACTAGGAGAGTCAGACTCAAACTTAAGGGTATCATTGTTCATGTTTAGCTCCAGAAACATTCCTTCCTGCAGGGAAGGGGCTTATCTTGGCAATGTGTGTGGAAACTGGCTCTATGTGGAATGACATAAAAGTTCCAGAATGAAACCATATAGCAATGATCCCTCTCCATTTACATGTCCTGAAATAACTGTGTTCTCAGAACGCAAGCAGGAGGGAAGTGAATTGAAATATCTAGGACTCAGAGTCAACAACATTGGGTGGTAGATTGTATGTGTTAATATGCAAAATTTTCAAATCTTTATCTCTGTTTCCTAAACAAGTGACCTGGAGTTATTAGCAGAGCTTATAGTGTTAAGTATTAGAGGCTGAGATTATGTGGCATAGCACACTGCTCGTCTCCTGAGAATTTAGGCATTTTCCCGACAGTGAGGTTGGCCCAGTAAATTCCTGGATGAGAACTGTCTTGGATTTGGTAATATGACAGAAAGGATTGCTTTGCTCCATTTCAGTGACTTATTTTACACTAACAAAGGCCATCATACAACCTAACACCTCCCATTAATTCCCAGCCTAATCAGAATGGAAAACTTCTCATTCACTCATTAATCTACTCATTTATTCATACTCATCCTCTCAGTCAGCAAATATCTATGGAGCACCTCCTATATCTCCAATACTGTGTGGAGGTACAAGGATGAGCAACAGAGACATGACCCTTGTGCTCACTAAATTCCTTGCCACACTGAGCCACAGGAAGAAAGCAGATGGGGAAAGTAGATTTATTGGGTGCCTACTGTGCACCATGGATGGTGCTAAGTACTTTATGCACATGATCTGCTTTCATCCTCACACCTGGGACTCAGGAATTAATATCCACCTTTTAGAGGGGAGGAAGCTGAGGCTCAGAGAGAGATGTGATTGTGGAAGGGCACCCAGCTAGCCAGTGTCAGAGCTGGGGTGGAACCCTGATCTGTCTGACTCCAGAGCTAATACTACAGGAGTGACAGGAAGAGGATAGCAGTGACTTTACAAGTATCTGTGTTCCATCATTTCCTCAAATCTAGAGCTAAAAAGTGACCCACTTTGGAAAACTTGCATTCATGGGTGTCCTCTGAGTTCAATGTAAAGTGGGACAGAACATCCTGTTTTGAGAATCAGGAGGTCTAGGGTTCTCATCCTGGTGCTGTGTGACCATGAGAATCTCCTCCTTTCTAAATCCAATACTGGGACCGAGCAGGCAGGCAAAGGGGACAAAGAGATGGCATGGGGAAGAGTGGATTCCCGTGTTGGACCTTTGGTTTGATTCTGTTAGACCCCAACCTGTGACTGGCATGGGGCAGCAGGGGAGGCTGGATCCAGTCCTTTGGGTTGGGGGAGGTGGCTGGCCATCATTAGGCAGGATGTCAGCATCCCAGCCAAGCAGGCCATGTCCCCATGGTGGGACACTGGGGCACAAGGAATGGTCACTGGGCAATGACATACTTAGATTGGAATATGAATTAATCCATCCAACAAATAGCTATTTAGTGGTAACTCTGCGTGTTCCATATATGCCTGGGAGCAAAGAGATGCAGCCACTGCCCTCATGATGCTTGCAGTAGAGGAGGAAACATGAATCTAACAATGACACTAAGAAATCAGCCTGACAGGGCTGGGTGTGGTGGCTCACGCCTGTAATCCCAGCACTTTGGGAGGCCGAGGCAGGCAGATCACGATGTCAGGAGATCAAGACCATCCTGGCTAACACCGTGAAACCCTGTCTCTACTAAAAATACAAAAAATTAGCCAGGTGTGGTGGTGGGCACCTGTAGTCCCAGCTACTCGGGAGGCTGAGGCAGGAGAATGGCGTGAACCCGGGAGGTGGAGCTTGCAGTGAGCTGAGATCATGCCATTGCACTCCTGGGCGACAGAGCAAGACTCCGTCTCAAAAGAAAAAAAAAAAATCAGCCTGACAAACTGCAACTGCAACTTGAAGGAAAACCACAGGGGAAATGAGATAATTGAATGGGATCAGGGTGGTGATCTCTAGTCTGGGAACTGGAGCCTCAGATCAGGTTCAGGTTTAGGACCTAAAGTTTTTACCTCCTCTCCCTCCAACTCATGTTGGCTTCATCCTGTTACCTCCTGTGTCTTGAACATGTCTCATGTTTCCCCATGAGATCTCTGGGTGTAGCTTTTCCTTATGTCTTCTCTTCACTCTCTCAGTCCTTTCCATTTTTGCAGGACATTTTTCTCCATTATTATCTCAAATATTTTTTCATCTCCATTTTGATTTCTTTCTGAATCTCCTATCTGGATGTTAGCACTTTTGCTTCTGCATCCATCTCATGTAGCTTTTCTTTTACTTAACTAGTTCATTCGTTTACTGATTCCTCCTTCAGAGGGGTTTCCTTGATCTGTTTTTCCCATTGATTAATTCATTCTTCAGCAATTCATTCCAATTGTTCTGTTCATTGTGTAATGATTCCACTTCCCATATGCAGTATTTCTCCTGGGTCTTTTTGTTTTTCCTGCTTCATATTGCTACGATCTTCCTTTATCTTCTTTCATACGTTGATTAGGTTAATTTAAAATTCTTGTTGCCTCTGGTCTAATATTTCTGCTTCGGATGGAATTTCTGTTCCAGAATGCTGCTGCTGTTGATGTTTTGTTGTTGTTTTCTTTTGCCATAGCTGTGCTGCTTAAATGTCTAGTCATGTTTTCCTATAAACTTATCTTTCCCCCAAGGATGTGGGCTACTGTCAGGCAATGTGTATGCAAGGAGGCCAGCTTGAGGAAGTGGAGAAGCCGTGGCATCATAAAACCATAGCCAGTTACTCCTCACCTCACTAAACAGGTCCTCAGGTTGGGGTTGGGAGTACCCACTGCCTCAGTAAAAAGCAGCATTTGGGTGAGCCCCTTCTTAGACTGCTTGAGAGTGTGGACGGGAAGAAATGGGGAAGGGGCTTCCTGAAGTTAGTTGGCCCGACCTGTCTTATTAGCCTTTCTCAAGTGCAGAGCTCCTGTACCTCTCTGATTTTATTCCTGAGGTTTCCTAGGCCACAGATGTGAACAGTGTTCCAAGACGGTGGTGGCTGAGAAGGAACTGTAGGACTTCACCTGTTCCTCTCCTCCTTTGACTGCCCACAATCTAGCTGGGCTGACTCCTTACTCAGGTCAAAGACACTCATCCAAGCCTGTTCAAAAAAGACCCCTCCCCACGGGGTTTCTCACCATTCTCTTGTTTCTTAGTGTCTTCCCTGTCCAGCTCCTTCCGTGCTGACCTTGGGAGAGTGAGCCAGAATGGTGCTAGCTCAGCATTTTAGTTTGTCATCCTTTCCACTTAGCCTCATCTCCATCTATCCCAAACCTCTTCTAGTTTTCTAAACACTTGTCCTTTCCCACCCTTCTGCTCTTGCCCACGCTCTTTCTACTGTCTCTCCAAATGTCCTTCTCAGGCCCTTCCTGGAAACACCTACTTATACTTTGCAGCCCTTCCCATCGAGTCTCTTCTGACTTTCTTTATAATAACTGTAATGACATTTCATGAGCTCTTGCTCTTGATCAGGCCCTATGCTAAACATTTTCCATTTATTTCTCATTTAATTTTCATCATAACCCTGGCAGAGAGAGGTTGAGTGACTTGCAGAAGTCTATCCAGCAAGTCAGTGGTGGCATAAATATTCCAACAGGCATTGGCCAGAGCCCATGTGCCTAAGCACTTGATCTACTGCTTCCTTTTCACAAGTCTTTTCCATCTCTGTCCTAGCATTTACTTCTCTGGGTCATTGTTATTTGTTTCCCTCACTGTCTCTCCTGTTCATCTGGGACTGAGTTTTTTTTTTCTCTCTCTCTCTCTACAGAGCCTAGCATAGATTCTGGCTTGAAGTAGGTGAAGGAATGGATGGAGCAGTCTTCCTGTCCCACTCACATCAGATGCCTTTTGAGGATCAGTACTGAGCAAAGTGCTTTACACATAGTAGGAACCAACCATCCAGCCAACCTACCACCCCACCCATCCACCCACCCACCAACTAACTCACCAACTAACCAACTCACCAACCAACCAACCAACCAACCAACCAACCAACCAACCAGCCTACTAACCAACCAACCAACAAATCATCCAACCAAACAACCAACCAACCAACCCACCAAGCAAACCATCAACCAGCTATGTAACCCAGTCCAGGAGAGAGCTGAGCAAGATGTCATATTTTTGCCATAGTTTACTTATTTCACTTGAGAATTAGTTAATTCAACAAACATTTATTGAGCATCTGCTATGAGCAGTGTCCTTTTGACTCAGTCTTACAGATTTCTGCCAGAGAATTTTACCTCTATTCTGTGATACTACTTCCCCAGGGGCAAACAGGTGCCAGACTCCCCCAGGGGCAAACAGGAAACAGGTATCAGGTGCTCGACAGGGGATGATTTAAGAGTCTGGCAATGTAGCTGTAAGAATGTGGATCTTTGATTCAGAAACAAGGGAAACAAGAACTCCAGATTCTCCAAGTTTATGAACAAAAGATAAACTAATCATGAGCAAATAGCAAAACTAAGTAAGCATAATACAAAATTAATAAGACATACCTTTTAGAACAAAGTAAAGGAATTAATAATAAACTACTATTTACTACTGAGAATTCAACCCTCCTAAACCCTGTTTGGTGATCGCATAATGTTAGTTTATATTATTGCTTAAGAGGGGGCTGAGGTTGCTAAAATGAGATTCTCTTCAGTTTATGCTACCTTCATTCCTACTGATGTTTTTTGAGACTCTCTTGGCTTAAAATAGAGGGATAGTTCTTAAATAAAAAATGGTCTGTCTCTTCTAGGGATAAATTTTTCTTTGCTTCAATTCCTCTTTACTTTCAGAGCCATGTTAATACTACTTTAAACTGACTTACTGCTCTTTTTTTTTGAAACAGGGTGCGACTCTGTCACCCAAGCTGGAGTGCAGTAGTACCATTATGGTTCACTAAAACCTTTGCCTCCTGGGCTCAAGTGATCTTCCCACCTCAGCCTCCTAAGTAGCTGGGACACAGTCGTACGCCAACACACCTGCTAATTTTTGATATTTTATAGAGGCGAGGTTTTGCCATGTTGCCCAAGCTAATCTTGAACTCATGAGATCAGGTGATCTGCCCATCTTGGCCTCCCAAAGTGCTGGAATTACAGGTGTGAGCCATTGCACCTGGCTCTGACCTACTACTCTTGATTGATAAGCCCTTGTAGAAAGCAATGGTGGATGGTGTTGGTCGCCCATCCAATTATTTTCTTTTTGATTGAATATTGATTTTGATTGGGGCCAATGTGCCCAGAACTAGGGAATAAATCAGGATTTATTTACCAAGACAGTCATGGTGATACTATTCTTCTTAGCAAAGGTCATGTGAATGAGATGTAAGGGAAAGTCGGCTGGGGGAGTCCCGGAAAGTTTGTCTGTTCTTAAGAGAATGAGATAAAGAATGAGAAAGCCCTTTCCCTAATCCTTCCCTCCTTTCCAGTGGGGACGACTGTCCTGTGAGGAATGTGAGCTACTTTAGCCTGAGACCCTGACAAAAAGGCCAGGAGAACCTGGGAGGGCCTGACCCAGGGCTCTGACAACATTGATTTGCTGAATAAATCAATTCTGCCCTAAATCCAGGATTCTTCTCATGTGAGATGATTGTTTATCTTTATTGTTCAAGGAATTGTTTTTTGGTTTATTCTGTTACTTGCAGCTGAATGCATGCCAACAGGTACAACTGGTACAGGGGCCATGCCCTGATTTCTCCTGCACACATATGTGACCTGCAGTACACTACTCACACACACATGCACAACATTCTTCTTTTTAACCCCCTGCAGTGTCTTGTTAATACTGAAGGTGCTATTGTCTCCTTTTAACAGAGTGAGAAAGAGGCTCAGTGAGTGATTTCTTTTATGACAAATGATTGTGGTGCCGTGCCTCCTGGGTTTTAGTTGCTGTAATTCTCCCAGTAATGTTGGAAATAGAAAGAATTCAAATTTGTGTTTCCACACAAGATGTGACACTGTCCTCTTTGAAGATCTTAGCATTGGCCGGAAGTCTTAGGCATTGCGTTGGTTAATTTTATGTGTCAACTTGACTAGACCATGGGATGCCCAGATATTTGGTCAAATGTTATCTTGAATGTTTCCATGATGGTGTTTTTGGATGACCTTAACATTTAAATCAATAGACTGAGTAAAGCAGATTGCACTCCTCAATGTGGGTGGGCCTCATCCAATCAGTTGAAGGCCTAGATAGGACAAAAGGCTGACCTCTCCTACTGCCCCCCAAATTAAAATAAATTACTCCTGCCTGACTGTCTTTGAGCTGAGACATCAGTTTTTTTTCCTTGCCTTCAGACTCAAACTGAAACATCGGCAATTCCTGAGTCTCACATGTGCTGGCCTTCAGACTGGAACAACACAATCAACTCTTCTAGGTCTCCAGCCAACTGCAGATCTTGGGACTTGTCAGCCTCTATAATTGCATGAGCCAATTTGTTACAATAAATCTGTTTCTATACATATTTGCATCCCATTGGTTCTGTTTTTCTGGAGAACCCCGACTAATATAGGAATCATCTAACTTTGAAGCCAGCAGGGTTTCCTTCTCGATGCAGGAAGGGAACTGGAACTGACAGGTTCTCTGTGGCCACTCTGTGCCAGGCACAGACACAGTATCTCATTTAATCTTCTAACAACCCCGAGAGGCTGGTCCTGCTGCTGCCTCTTATCAGTGGAGGGACTGACACTCAGAAGCAGAGTGGCTTGCCCAAGGCTGCACAGATGGCAAAAGCAGACCTGGGATTTGTGGGTTTTCTGTTATATCGAACTGTCTGGGCGATGCTGGAGAAATTTGTGGGAGAGCAAATTTTTTGTTTGTTTTCTCGTCCATCCTTAAGAGAACTGTCTGCTTTCTTGTTTGGTCCTGACACCTAAATCACCCTTCCAGCTCAGGGTCCCCCCTGCCCTCTTCCAGAGTTCTTGTCATTCACTCAAAAAGCTGAGTAATTTACAAAGACAATTCCTTGGCAGAGTCAGAAGACGTTTGCAGCGTTTCCAGCCAAATGCAGATGATTCATTTTTAGCCTCATGTGAGAATTTTCTTCTGCCCCTACAACCTATATTTTTCTTTCTCCTCTCTTCTTTTTTTGGTTTTAGTCTTAACCTCCCCCACCTTATTCCTTCCACCCATGAAAGCAATTTTAACTTCATGAAACTAATTAAAGTTTTATATGCCTATGTTCCTTCACTGGACTGATTGTAGATTTCTTAGATTGAAATGGAACCAGGCCAAGAGGGAAATGTCTCTAGGACTTTCTAACAAATGTGGGGTTGTGTGTGTATTGGTGTGGCTGACTCAGGATGTCAGCCAACTCTTGGTTTGGGAATCATAGGACTTATTAATGGAACCCACGCTCCTCAGGACTAAGATGCTGTGATGAAAATTCAGGCAGATGCCTGACTGAGAAAATGCAGAGAAAATGTTTGTTGAATAAATGAATGAATAAATGGACACAAGAGTGAAGGGGAAATTATCACTAGCCATAATTAAAAAAATACTATTAGCACTTTAGGAGGCCGAGGCAGGCGGATCACGAGGTCAGGTGATCGAGACTATCCTGGCTATCATGATGAAACCCCGTTTCTACTAAAAATAGAAAAAAATTAGCTGGGTGTGGTGACATGTGCCTGTAGTCCCAGCTACTCAGGAGGCTGAAGCGGGAGAATCGCTTGAACCCAGGAGGCGGAGGTTACAGTGAGCCGAGATTGTGTCACTGCACTCCATCCTGGATGACAGAGCAAGACTCCATCTCAAAAAAAAAAAATACTATTGACAAAAATATTATTTATGAGTAATTCTCATGTGCCAGGGGCTGTGCCACACACTTTACAGACATTACCTTACTGAATACCTCCTAGGTACCTTAAAAATAAGTACTCTAACTCTGTTATTCCAGATAATGAAATTGAGGCACAGAAGGTTTAAGAGCTTACCTGTACATACTCAACAAATAATTGAAGTAACTGGGATCCAAAACAGAGTATTTGACCTCAATGCACTCTCTGAATGCTGAATATGTTGTGTTATTTGTTAACAATTGCTCATTCCCTTCCCTTGCTATGTTTTCCTGTAGGTGGCATGTCCTTCCCCACCCCTACAGCTTTGCATATTGAGCAGGGGCTTTAAAGGCTCATGTGGTTTGGCTCTGTTTCTCATGAGTTCCTTTTCTCTGCCATGAGAATAACACACCCCTGGCAAGTGCTGCTCCTTCACCCTGGGTCCCAGGATGAGAAAACACATGTAGCAAAATTAAGCAGAGCTGAGCAGATAGACACATAGAACTGACCCAAAGTCAGCAAGCAGCTCCCCAGTAATGTGAACAAAAGACAAATGTTTGTACTATAAGGCATTGAGGATTTTTTTTTTTTTTGTCCTGAAACCGAGTTTCACCCTGTCGCCCAGGCTGGAGTGCAGTGGCATGATTTCGGCTCACTGCAACCTCCCACACTGGGTTCAAGTGATTCTCCTGTCTCAGCCTCCAGAGTAGCTGGGATTACAGGTGTCCACCACCATGCCTGGCTAATTTTTGTGTTTTTAGTGTAGATGGGGTTTCACCATGTTGGCTGGGCTGGTGTCGAGCTCCTGACCTCAGGTGATCTGCTCACCTCGGCCTCCCAAAGTGGTGGGATTACAGGCGTGAGCCACCACGCCCAGCTGGCATTGAGATTTTGAAAATGCTCATTACTGCCTCAGAAGCTAATTAATACAGTCTCCCTGTCATGGAGACTATTTTGCATTGCCTCCTAGAAGAAACTGAATGTAAATTCAGATTGGAAATTGTTTTAATAGGCTGAGAAATGGGAAAAGTACATTCTAGGGGGCAGAAGCTGAGAGAACAAAGGCATAGAGGTGGAAAGATGCATTGTAATTTAGGGGAGTCAATGAGAAAGCAGCTTTACTGAAGCCCGTAGTAGGGTACAAGGGAAGATAGTTAGAAAATTAAGAGGTCATTGAACAACTTTATAGGGGTAATAGACATTCTCTTAAAGGTTTTGGACAGGGAACCACTGATAGTTTGTGAACAAGGAACATGGTGCTTTCAGGAACCTTCTCATGGTTTCTTCCCATGTGTGGAAAAACATCACTGGTCACGTATTTCCTCTTATAATTCCTGGCTTATCCTGTAAACCTGTTACTCTCGCTATAGCATTCGCCAGCAGCCAGAAAGTTGATTTCTTTCTTCCTTTATCTGGTGTCTATCAGGATGAGTGACTCAGTTCTCTTCAGGGAGGAAAAATGAAGCTGCTTTAGGAATAATAATAGTGATTTGCTTTAAAAAAATCCAAATTCTATTTATATATGCTGAGCAAGGCAAGGTCTAAGGTAGAGGAGAGAGAAGGGCCCAACATACCTCAGCAGCTACGTGTGACCTGTAGATGTACACAGGGCCCTGCACTGAGAGGGACCCTGGACTTGGATGCAATGCTCTGCTATTGCATCTTAATATTTTGAATAAATTTTATTTATTTATTTATTTTCTGTCTTTTTTTTTTTTTTTTGAGATGGAGTCTCACTCTTGTTGCCCAGGCTGGGGTGCAGTTGTGCAATTTCGGCTCACTGCAACCTCCACCTTCCTGGTTCATATGATTCTCCTGTCTCAACCCTACAAGTAGCTGGGCTTACAGGCACCTGCCACCATGCCTGGCAAATTGTTTTTGTATTTTTAGTAGAGACAGGGTTTCATTATGTTGGCCAGGCTGGTCTTGAACTCCTGACCTCAGGTGATCTGCCTGCCTCAGTCTCCCAAAGTGTTGGGATTACAGGCGTGAGCCACTGTGCTTGGCCTATATTCCTAATAAATTTTAAACAAGAGACCCTGTATTTTCATGTTGCACTGGGTCTTACAAATTAGATAGCCAGTGCTGTGGTGCTAGGCATTATAGTACTAGGCACTTTACAGACCTTATTTCACTTAATTTTTCCTGAAAACCCAGTGAGGAAGGAATGATCATTTCAGCCTTATTGCTGTGGAAAGTGAAGCTGAGAGAGGTTAAGTGATTTGTCCAAAGCCACACAGCTGGCACGTGGTGGAGCTGGGATTTGAAGCCTGATTACATTGTCTTCAAAGCCAATGTTCACCTGACATGTTCACAGAATATTTTAGTTTTAAAGCACCTTTCTTTCCATCATTTCAGCTTCAGCTTCCCAGCAGTCCTGTTAGGTCAAAGTCATTATTCTCTTTGACATTGTCAGCTGAATCCCATAGAAAAGTGACTGTCCCATAGCAAGTCAGCACTAAAGTGAGATGGGAATGAAGGTTTTTCAGGCCAGGGCTCCATGAAACCTGGGTCAGCAGGGCCTGTGTCTTGAAGAGTAGGCCCACGGAGTCAGGTGAGACCCAGGGCTAAGAGCCCCCCAGTCTCTCCACCTACTCTCTCATCTCTCAGAGTCTCTTAGCATTCAGGGACCATACTCAGAGTTAACTGATGACCTGGATAATGGAAGTTCCATGACAACACTCAGTCCAAACCCTCTTCTATATGTATGGTGGAACTAGAGACTGAGAGAAATAAGAAACTTGTCCAAAATCACATGCAGAGCCGTGGTAGATCCTCTGGGTACCAGGCACTATGCTGGGTGCTGGGAATGCAGAAGTGAACAGGGCAGTTACAGACCTGCCCTCAAGGAGCTCAAGTCTTGTGGGGGAGATGGACAAGGCACGCAAGTCCCCTGACTTCAGGGGCCCTCTGCCAGGCAGGCCCTCACTAGGCACGGTTACAAGCTGGCTAAGTGCCCTTCAGCAGGAAAGTCTTGGACAGTTCTGCCTGGGAGAGGTCTGAACTGTTCTCTTAGAGCTGATGCTGGCTTTCAAATCAATTTGCATAAGATAGGTCCTATCCTGTTAGAACAGCAAATTAATAGCTCATTTTATAGATTGAGCAATCAACACCTACAGCCCATTAAATTTAACAACAAATTCAGCTGATGATCAGGCTTTCAGCTTGGTCCCACCGTCAACTCATGTGCTTCCTTTTCCTTCCTCCTGACCTTTTTATTTCCTTTCATCTCCCTTCTCATGAACTGTCCTCCTAGATCCTCATTTTCTCATTGGCAAACATGATGTTAGTTTAACTCTCCAGTATTTTTTCCATGCTGGGGCTAGAAGGTCTTCCTAGTCCCCCAAGTGGGTTCTGTCATCAGCAAAGTGCCCCAAACTCCAGACATCAGCACACAAGCTCATTTTGGGGCCCTTGGCTTGGCCATGGGAATGAGCAATCAATATTTTATAAAGGTGTTAAGGTGGTGATAAAAGATGCATGAAGTGGTGTGCAGGGAGGAGCTCACTGACAAAGGAGTGGGTGACATTATAGCTAACCTTGGTGGCTATGACTTACGTGGATGGAATTTGCTAAGGAAGTCTCCACTCTAATCTTCCCGAGAAGATGGGAGGAAGATTTTTCATAAGGATATTGTTAGATTTCTTAGACCCTTCAACTTAACCTTCCTTAAAAGACTTCTAATTACTCTAGACTCATGGGTTGTATGAATAAGGGGGTGAGGGCCCCAGATGATACGGTTAACTAGAACTCCATTAGCTGTGGCTTTCCATGAATTTTGCATGCTCCTGTAGGTGGAAACATTTTGCATTATAATTGTGCCTTACTGGCAGGGTCTGAGGGAGCCTGCAGATTCTGGATAAATAAGATGGTGCATGATAGCTTGGATTATTGGTCCCAATCACTCCACTGGAATAAGATAGCACAGTCTCACCTTCTGCCACTGCTTTGCTCTTTGCAGAGTATGTGTTGGGTTTGTCCATGTGTGTTGCTTTGGCCAATGGAATGATAGTACGTAAGACTTGATCAGAGGCCTTCAATATATTGTGCAATTTGGTCTGGGCTCTTGTCATTCTGCTGTTTGCCATGAGAAGAATGTGCCTCTGGTCCAAGGGGGTTGAGAGACATGTGGAGTGGCCCTGAGGCAAAGCTGCAGCCTGAAGCCAAGCCCAGCCAAGCTCAGCCAAACTCAGCAAAGCTCAGCCAAGCTCAGCCAATGTGCAGGCTGAAGTAGAGCTGCCCTACCAAGTCCAGCTGAGTCCAGCCTTGATCCACCAAACCACAGTGACCTGCAGACCCATGAGCATGAGAATAAATGCCTGATGTTGTAAGCCATTGAGTTTTGGGGAGATTTGTTTTACAGCATTAACTTCCTCATACATGGTACAGAGGACATATTGCCTGAAGTTTATCTCCTGCTTGGTTCTTCAAGGCCTTTTTCTGCTACATGATAGTAGATCTCTGAGAATCATTCACCAGCTGAGCCCTGAACTTCCTGCTCTGCCCTGATCTATGCTTGGCTTCCCTTGCATCCCATTCTCAGGTTGCTCATCTTGTGACCCATTTCCCAATTAACGGTCTTACATTTCTTCTTAGAAATAAATCTCTGGCTGTGATCTCCACTTCCCTCTTCACCTCTGAGCAAGGCTACACAGCTTTCCTGGCACTCTCATTCATTAGTCAGCTCTCATTTGTTTATACAGGTGTGCAGCAATGAACACCTACCTCATGTGAGATCCTGTGCTGGGAATTCACAGAACAGTCATAGACCCATTGTCAAGGAGTTCATGCTCTAAAGGAAGACGTAATTTTCCTCCCTCCCTGTCTCCTTCCATATTCAAGTGGCCACCAAGCTCTGCAATGTGCAT
This sequence comes from Homo sapiens, assembly GCF_000001405.40. NCBI lineage: Eukaryota > Metazoa > Chordata > Mammalia > Primates > Hominidae > Homo > Homo sapiens. The sequence goes on along the minus strand of NC_000009.12, from coordinate 120,284,781 downwards.
CCATGTCTTCTCAATCCCATTAGAGCACCATCATTTTCAGCCTGAATCATTGCAACAGCTTCCTGACCTCCTCTCCCCTCAATTCTACCCCTTTTCCATCAGCCTTCCAATTTCTCCTCCAAACTGGTGACCTCCTCCAAACTGGCCTGATCTTTTTAAACAAAATCTGGCTATCTAGCTGTCCTGCTAAAATCTGTTAATGGCTTCCTTTCACCTGCTGGATGGAATCCATCTGCTCACTGGCCTCAAGACCCTCCATGACTGGGTTCCTGCCAACCTCACCTGAGTCACTTCCTCAGCCCTTCCTTCCTCACCATTTGTCCTCCATACTCTCCTCAAGCTGCTCCCCACATCGACTAGGACCCCTCTGGTCTCTGCATTTTAGTATATGCTCTTCCTTCTGCTGGTCATGACCTTCCTCTCTTCTCTACTTGTCAAAAACTTCCCCATGCTTCACAATCAGCACACGTATCACCTCCATGGGGAAGCCTTCCTAAAGCCCCCTTGGGCAGAGTTCACGGATCCCCTCCCTGTCCCTTCCATATACCCTGTACATCTTTCTCTAGTGAAGTATTTACTGCATAGTGTTATAATGTTTTTTATATTTAGTAAAATATTATTTTCCTATTTACCAAGTTTGCTTCTAAAGAGAGTGGATTAAGTTAACAGGCAAGATTTTGTTCTGCCAAGCACCTTGGTGTATTTGTATATAAACAACTTTGGGGTGAGAGCTAGAGTGGAGTCACTGTGCATAATGGAGGTAGAGGAGTTTAAAGATCTAGGAGTAGAGCTGGGGGATAGGAAAGGAACTTGGGATGTCTCTTCTCTTCCAGGGATAGAAGACCCAGTCAAAAGTCTTCTTCCTGCCCTCCATCAGAAGGGCAGCTGAGAAAGCACTTAGGGAGTACAGGGAATGCCTGAGATGGGGGTTCTGTGCTGATCACTGTAGGAGGTGCACTATGCCTCCCCTATGTGTCATTCAGGAAAGTGTGCATCACTCATGAATGCTTTTGAGTATATGGATAAGTTGACAAAATTCGGGGTTCTGCTTTTGAGTGGATTTAGAGTGAAAACAAAGGGAGCAGCCTCAGACCCAGGTGTGGGGCAAATGGGCCCAGGAAGCTGCACATCTCTGGGAATAAGAAGCCATGGGAAGTGCTTTGTCCTCTTGGAATGAGGATGTCTGAGCCAGGCACCTGCATCTCCCAGGGTCAGGAGGGCCCAGCTGGCATCTTGGTTATATTCCTTTCTATGTTTGTCTCCCACATTAGATTAGCTCGAGGGTGGAACTTGCACAGAATTTATCAGGATTCCTTCTCCTGCAAGGAATAGAAACCCATCTTGAGTTGACTTAAGTGAAAAAAGAAACTATTGTGTCACATAATTGAAAGGTTCCAGGGATACTTAGTGTCAGATAGGGCTTGATCTAGGTGCTCAAATGATGTCACCAGGATTTAGTGCTTAATTTTCTTTTTTCCTTCACATTGGTTTCATTCCCAGGGAGTTCTCTATATTGGGTGGGCCTGGCAGTGCTATGGCTCTCTCACAGCCAGGTAGTGGAAAGAGAGATTCTCCTCTTAAATGTGGGGATTGGGACTCATTGGAAAAATTTGGATTGTATGTGCATTTCTGAATGGATCACTGGGAACTGAAGGATTGGCCAGACCTGAGTCATGTCCCATCTTTGATTAAGGGTGTGGAGGAGATTGGAATCAGTTCTTCCTGGGTCACCTGGACTGTGAGTCAGGGAGGGATATTTTCCTAAAGGAATATGAAGGAGCTGATCTAAGAAATAGGGGAAACATGTGCTGGGGCAGCAAAACCCACAGGCAATCCCATCCCATGCCCTAGTCATCTCTGTATCATGGTGCTTGAAATGGGAGAGAGGCTGACACATTTTACAACATTTGGTTTGGAAGAAAATATCAGAATTTTGTCATACTCTCAAAATCATTCCATCTGTAAGTATCACTAATATAACCTGTTATTGAATGTACTGGCCTCTTAGGGTATAAACAAGAAACAGCTTTACTTTTCTCCCTCCACTGCCTTCAAACATGTTCTGTTGGCTCTCACTTCTTCACCCCTTCAAGGCATCTCAGACAGATCTCAGAGATTTTCAATCACTTTTAAGGGGGAGGGATAGCATTAGGAGATATACCTAATGTAAATGATGAGTTAATGGGTGCAGCATACCAACATGGCACATGTATACATATGTAACAAACCTGCACGTTGTGCACGTGTACCCTAGAACTTAAAGTATAATAATAATTAAAAGACTGTCAAAAAAATTTAATAAATAAATAAATAAATAAAATGTTTTAAACTTGACTTTATTTCTTAGAATACTTTTACAGAAAAATTGAGAAGATAGTACAGAGAGTTTCCATAGTCCCAGGTTTCTGAGATTATCAACATCCTACCTTAGTATGGTACATTAATTACAATTAATGAAGCAATGTTAATACATTATTATTCAATTACTTTTAGGTATTAAACATAGTCCTACTTTAAGGAATTAAAAAGTCCAGGTCCAAATCAAAACTTCAATCTCCCATCTGATTCAGGGCTTCTCTTTGCCCCCAGCTCAGAGCTCACCTATAGTTTAAGGACCTGTGGTTGGGAAGGCAGCTTGGTTTTGGTCTCCTCATCACTTGGCCATCGTCACTTTGTTTTTCCACCCCACTCGCCTCCGTTGATGGTTTCTCCAGGGTCAGGGCCCAGGAGTGGAGAGATTAGGGGAGAAGCAGTGACATCTTATGGGCTTACAGGACCAGTACTGTTGTAATTTGATGGCTGGTGACCTCCTGTGGGATGCATTTGTGGTTGAATAGAAACCCACTATGGGACCTTGATGACTACACTCTCTGAAAATGCACCCACAATTTTGGTCCTTGGCAATTCACCTTCAACCATTCTCTCTTAGGGCCTCCTCCACTCAGCACGCAACCTTCTAGGGCAGAGTCCTTTCAGGAACCCTCTAGGGGATCCATTCGGTCCACAGAAACTCATGCACCCCACTGACTTTCATAGCCCCAGCTGCTCCCTCACTGCCTCCCCTTGGCCACCATCACAGGCAGCCTCAGCTACCTCTCTGCTCACATTGCCCCAAACTCCTGGGACTCCTCAGAACTCCTCTTCAATGCTCCACATAGTCCCTGGCACTGGGATCAAGAATTAACAGCTCAGTGGGCACCCATGCTGGGTGGAGGATGCCAGGCTCTGCTTCTTCCCAGCACCCCAAACCCATAATCTCAAGAAGCAGTTCACTCTTAGTGTTTTCTCTCCCACAGAGAGGGCAGGGGAAGCCCCACAGCTCTCTCCCCCTACAAGTCCCCCCAAAGAATTCCCCTTATTGTTCCTTATAGACTTCTGGGGCAGATTGTGTTTTCCAAAGACGACTGCAACAGTATCTTCTGTCCCACATATTATTCTAGACTCTAGAATCTTGCCATTCCTCCCTCAAGAGGTAGAGTCTAATTCCCCTATTCCCCTCCCCTTGACTCTGTGAGGGTTTGTGATGGGCTTATTATTATTATTATTATCATTTTTTGAGACAGAGTCTCACTCTGTTGCCCAGGCTGGAGTGCAGTGGCATGATCTTGGCTCACTGCAACCTCCGTCTCCTGGGTTCAAGTAATTCTCCCTACCCCAGCCTCCTGAGTAACTGGGATTACAGGCACCCACCACCATGCCCAGCTGATTTTTGTATTTTTAGTAGAGATGGGGTTTCGCCATGTTGGCCAGGCTGGTCTTGAACTCCTGACCTCAGGTGATTCACCCCCCTCGGTCTCCCAAAGTGCTGGGATTACAGGTGTGAGCCACCACAGCCTGCCTGTGATGGGCTCATAATCAATAGAACGTGCCAGAGTGATGCAGTGTGGCTTGTGTGGTGAGGCAGGAAAGGCAGTAACATCCTCTTAGCCTGTTAAACATTCAAATTGGGGCCCTGAGCCTCTACTGAAGCCTGCTGGCCCTGGCCCACCTAAACTAGCCAATGTGGAGAGACCACAGGTAGAACCCCCAAGACTAGAGGAAGAGAGATCAATGTCCAGTTGCTCCAGTTTCAGTCATCGACTAACTACTGAGCATGAGACTCCAAAGCCAGAGCCACCCAGCTGAGTCCTTTCTGGATTCCTGATCCAGAGAAACCAGGAGAGATAATAATATGATGTTTTAGGCCACTAACTTTTGGGGTGATGTGTTACAAAGCAGTAATAACTGGAGCACCTCTAGGTTACAGGTGGTAAAGTGGGAGAGTGGTGAGAGGGTGCGTCTTGGAACCTTCTGGCTCTCTTTATTAAGTCCTATGTGGGATGGTAGCACCTCTTACAGAATGAGGGGTCAGGTCACTCTTTGTTCTTGGCTTTGCAGCCCTAGCTGGAATTCCTAGACAGTGTTCTTCCTGTCGGATGGTGCTCCTTAAGCGTTGATGGACTACTGCCAGTCTATAACTGCTCATTACTTGTCTGTGACAAGAACAGAAATTGGCATAAGCGTTTATTCCCAAAAGAAATTGGAATAAAATAACTTTTCTAGCAATTTGATAGATCTGTTGACTCTAATGATAAACATTTGGGGTTAGCAATTTGTGTTTTTTTTATTTTTGTTTCATTTTTTCTAGCAATTCATTTTTACTGTGTTTTACAAAAGCACTGGTCTGCAATGAGATGGGAATGAGAAAAACAAAACAAAATAAAACACTGATCATTCATAAAAAATAATTTAAGAAGCACTGGTCTAGGAAACCTCCGTTTCACAGCAGCCACTGGGAATGGAATAAACAAGGACCTATTAGTTATATCCCAGGAGCTGTACTAGGGTCTTTTATCATCATGATCTCATTTAACTCTTACCATGACTTTGCAAGGGAGAAATTATTATTTCCATTATGTAGGTGAGAAAACTGAGACTCTGAGAGGTTAAATAATTTATTTATAGTCACATAGAAAGTGGCTATAATCAATTTTATTACTCTTGCAACTATTCATCACTATCTCTTTCCCCACCAGATTATAGATTTACATCCTTTATCATGTAACTTGCCTGCCTCTGGTGGGTGGAGTATATGTCCCCACATCTTTGATTTTGGGCTTAGCTGTATGATCTGCATTGGCCAGTGAAATCTGAGTGGAAGGGCAATGTATCAGTGCTGAGCAGATGCTTTAAGAAGCACTATATATTTCCATCACTTCTCTGAACATCCTGCCCTCTGTCATGGGAATGTCACACACCTGGTGGAGGCTATTCTTCCAGCCTCACAGAATGTGTCACAGAAAGAGAAGAGAGATGGAGTGGACTCAAGTCCATATGCAGCTGGGAACAGAGTTAAAGAGCTACAGCTGAACTGCAGATGACACGTAAACTGCAGATGACATGTGACAGGAGTGACTAATCTTTGTTACTCTAGGCCTCTGAGATAGTGGGGTTATTTGTTATGCAGCATTGCTTCCAGAGAAGCTGACTGATACAATGGTAGAGTTGGGATTTTATACCAACCAAGTGGCTCTGAGATAAGTGTCCTCTCATCCTGTCACATCTGATTTTCATCAATATTATTATTTACTGTTTTCATTGTACTTCTTTTAACTCATGTATAAGAAATACCATCTTGAGTCAAATTCATGGACCAGCCAGCCAGGATAGGCTTGTCTTGTTCTTTAAGCAAATGTCCTGAAATCTCCCTTAACTTGACACAATGTCTGAAACAACATCATTCTGGTGCCTCGTAGTCTTTTCTGTTAAGAAGTCCCTATTAAAGGGGAAAGACACTTGGCAGAGAAACAGTATGAGACTTGTTGAAACTTTTTTCTTTTTTTTTTCTTGAGACAGGGTCTCACTCTGTCATGCAGGCTAGAGTGCAGTGGGGCAATCATGGCTCACTGCAGCCTTGACCTCCCAGGCTTAGGTGATCCTCCCACCTCAGCCTCCCTGGTAGCTGGGATTACAGGCACACGCCACCATGCCCAGCTAATTTTTTGTAGAGCCAGGATTTCACCATGTTGCCCAGGCTGGTCTCAAACTCCTAAGTTCAAGCAATCCTCCTGCTTCAGCCTCCCAAAGTGTTGGGATTGTGGGCATTGGCCACTGCACTCTGCCTGAAGCTTGATATAGTTAAGGGAACAGTGAGGATAACTTGATGGCTTATGGGTTAGGTTCTGGGATTAGGAGGGACTCACAGGAGAGGGCGTCTGAAAGGGAAGCAGAAGTCTGCCAATAACAAGCTTCCCAATGTCACAATTTTACTTAAAACCAGCAATAGTTAGCCCTTGATTCTGTCTCTGCTTTGAGGTTCCATAAATGGATTCATTCATTCATTCATTCATTCAGCAAATATTTCCTGAGATCTTGAGTCATGAAATCTTAGGGACAGACCTACATCTGACCATGTCACTTCCCTGCTTAAAATCCTTCTAGCTTCCCATTGCCCACAGTGCTGCCAAAATCTCCTGGGATCTGTCCTGGGCTTACTCTCCAGCCTTATCTCGCACCACTCCCCCAGGCCCAATTCAAATGCTGGATTGGTTAGAAGTTCAGGCTCTGTATGCGGGTTCAAATTCTGGTTCTTCTACACACTGCCCTTGAGACCATGGACAAATTACTTAACCTCTGTGTGCCTCAGTTTATTCACCTATAAAATAGAACATCAGATACTAGAGATAAAAGTGTTTAGCATCTTCTCAGATTCCAGCCCTACTGAACTACTCAGAATTTCCAGCAGACATTGCGCTGAATCACCCTCTTGCATTTTCACATTGGCCTCCCTCTTCACCTGGGAACTCCTACTCATCTTCTAATACCTGTTTAATAGACACCTTCTCCAGGAAGCCTTCTTTGGGGGACCCTCTTGCTGCTTCCACAGCCAGCTGGGTTTACCTTCATTGTAGTCCTCATTGTCTGTTATTGTCTGACTGTCTTTTAAGTTACCTGCCCCTCCAGGGATTGTCATCTTTGTATATCCAGAAACTATTACACAGTAGCTGCTTCATGGATGCCATTTTTTTAAGCTTGGAAGGTAAAATGTTACTTGAACAAAGGTAGATTCAATTACAATGTACGAAATTGGATTATTTGGTAACATATGGTTTGGCTAATAGAAAGCTGTTTTAGAATCTGACTATAACTTGGTTCTCTTGTTCAAAGTAGTTTTTAAAAAACTTGACAATGTATATATACCTAGTAAAAAAATTCCAACTAAGACATCAGACCATAAAATGAAAACTAAAGTTTCTCTTCTTTATCTTCTTCCTTGCTTCCTTGTGTTCCATGAGTTATGTATGTACAAAAATTTTTTCATTACCTCTAACACACACACGTTGTGCATACACAAACACACAGAGGCTCATACTATACATAATATCATGGACCTTGCTTTTTTCCCATATATTTAATCTTACAGGCATCCATATCAGCATGCTTGGGGTTCTGCCATTCTTTTAAATGACTGCATACTATTTCATTTTATGGGTGTTTTATAATTTGCATAATCAGTGAATTAGTCCGTTTTCGTGCTGCTGATAAAGACTTACCTGAGACTGGGCAATTTACAAAAGAAAGAGGTTTATTGGACTTACAATTCCTTGTGGCTGGGGAGGCCTCACAATCATGGTGGAAGGTGAAAGGTACATCTCACATAGTGGCAGACAAGAGAAGAGAGCTTGTGCAGGGAAACTCCCCTTTATAAAACCATCAAATCTCATGAGACTTATTCACTATAATGAGAGCAGCATTGTAAAGACCTGCCCCCATGATTCAATTACCTCCCACCGGGTACCTCCCACGACACGTGGGAATTCAAGATGAGATTTGGGTGGGAACACAGCTAAATCATATCAATCGGTAACCAATGAATGAATTTTTAGGTTGCTTCCAGGCTTGTGCTATTACAATGCTACAATAAAAATATTTGTTTGTGAATATATGCAAAAAAAATCTGTCAGCTAAATTTTTAAAAGTAGAGTTGCTAGGTCATGATTATAATCTCTCATGCTCATTATTTTTCAATTCTGAAACATTTCAAAAATATTAAAAATAAAGAATTAGGGCAGCAGACAGCTTCTGCAGACTTAAACATCTCTGTGTGACAGCTCTGAAGAGAGCAATGGTTCTCTCAGCATGGCATTCGAGCTCCAAAAATGGACAGATGGCCTCCTTAAGCGGGTCCCTGACCCACGTGTAGCCTGACTGGGAAACACCTCCCAGTAGGGGCTGACAGACACCTCAAACAGGCAGGTGCCCCTCTGGGACGAAGCTTCCAGAGGAAGGATCAGGCAGCAATATTTGCTGTTCTGCAGCCTCCTCTGGTGATACTCAGGCAAACAGGGTCTGGTGTGGACCTCCAGCAAACTCCAACAGACCTGCAGCTGAGGGACCTGACTGTTAGAAGGAAAACTAACAAACAGAAAGGAATACCATCAACATCAACAAAAAGGACATCCACACCAAAACCCTATCTGTAGGTCACCAACATCAAAGACCAAAGGTGGATAAAACCACAAAGATGGGGAGAAACCAGAGCAGAAAAGCTGAAAATTCCAAAAAACAGAGCACCTCTTCTCCAAAGAGTCACAGCTCCTTGCCAGAAAGGGAACAAAACTGGACTGAGAATGAGTTTGACGAGTTGACAGAAGTAGGCTTCAGAAGGTTGGTAATAACAAACTCCTCTGAGCTAAAGGAGCATGTTCTAACCCATCGCAAGGAAGCTAAAAACCTTGAAAAAAGGTTAGACGAATGGCTAACTAGAATAAACAGTATAGAGAAGAACCTAAATGACCCGATGGAGCTGAAAACCATGGCATGAGAACTTTGTGATGCATGCACAAGCTTCAATAGCCAATTTGATCAAGTGGAAGAAAGGATATCAGTGATTGAACATAAATTAATGAAATAAAGTGAGAAGACAAGATTAGAGAAAAAAGAGTGAAAAGAAATGAACAAAGCCTCCAAGAAATATGAGACTTTGTGAAAAGACCACAGTTTGATGTACTGGAAAGTGATGGGGAGAATGGAACCAAGTTAGAAAACACTCTCCAGGATATTATACAGGAGAACTTCCCTAACCAAGCAAGGCAGGCCAACATTCAAATTCAGGAAATACAGAGAACACAAAGATGCTCCTTGAGAAAAGAAACCCCAAGACACATAATTGTCAGATTCACCAAGGTTGAAATGAAGAAAAAAATGTTAAGAGCAGCCAGAGAGAAAGATCTAGCTACCCACAAAGGGAAGCCCATCAGACTGACAACGGATCTCTCAGCAGAAACCCTACAAGCCAGAAGAGAGTGGGGGACAATGTTCAACATTCTTAAAGAAAAGAATTTTCAATCCAGAATCTCATATCTAGTCAAACTAAGCTTCATGAGTGAAGGAGAAATAAAATCCTTTACAGACGAGCAAATGCTGAGAGATTTTGTCACCACCAGGCCTGCCTTACAAAAGGTCCTGAAGGAAGGACTAAACATGGAAAGCAACAACCAGTACCAGCCACTGCAAAAACATGCCAAATGGTAAAGACCATTGATGCTATGAAGAAACTATATCAATTAACGGGCAAAATAACCAGCTAGCATCATAATGACAGAATCAAATTCAAACATAACAATATTAACCTTAAATGTAAATGGGCTAAATGCCCCAATTAAAAGACACAGACTGGCAAATTGGATAAAGAGTCAAAACCCATTGGTGTGCTGTATTCAGGAGACCCAACTCACATGCAAAGACACACATAGGCTCAAAATAAAGGGATAGAGGGAGACCTACCAAGCAAATGGAAAGCAAAAAAAAAAAAAAAAAAAAAAAAAAAGCAGGGATGGCAATCCTAGTCTCTGATAAAACAGACTTTATTTTATTTATTTATTTATTTTTTAGTCATTATACTTTAAGATCTAGGGAACATGTGTGCAATGTGCAGGTTTGTTACATATGTATACATGTGCCATGTTGGTGTGCTGCACCCATAAACTCATCATTTACATTAGGCATATCTCCTAATGCTATCCCTCCCACCTCCCCCCACCCCACAACAGGCCCTGGTGTGTGATGTTCCCTTCCTGTGTCCAACTGTTCTCACTGTTCAATTCCCACCTATGACTGAGAACATGCGGTGTTTGGTTTTTTGTCCTTGCCATAGTTTGCTGAGAATGATGGTTTCCAGCTTCATCCATGTCCTTACGAAGGACAAGAATTCATCATTTTTTGTGGCTGCATAGTATTCCGTGGTGTATATGTGCCACATTTTCTTAATCCAGTCTACCATTGATGGACATTTGAGTTGGTTCCAAGTCTTTGCTATTGTGAATAGTGCCGCAATAAACATATGTGTGCATGTGTCTTTATAGCAGCATGATTTATAATCCTTTGGGTATATACCCAGTAATGGGATTGCTGGGTCAAATGGTATTTCTAGTTCTAGATCCCTGAGGAATCGCCACACTGACTTCCACAATGGTTGAACTAGTTTACAGTCCCACCAACAGTGTAAAAGTGTTCCTATTTCTCCACATCCTCTCCAGCACCTGTTGTTTCCTGACTTTTTAATGATTGTCAGTCTAACCAGTATGAGATGGTATCTCACTGTGGTTTTGATTTGCATTTATCTGATGGCCAGTGATGATGAGCATTTTTTCATGTGTCTTTTGGCTGCATAAATGTCTTCTTTTGAGAAGTGTCTGTTCATATCCTTGGCCCACTTGTTGATGGGGTTGTTTGTTTTTTTTCTTGTCAATTTGTTTGCGTTCTTTGTAGATTCTGGATATTAGCCGTTTGTCAGATGAGTAGATTGCAAAAATTTTCTCCTATTCTGTAGGTTGCCTGTTCACTCTGATGGTAGTTTCTTTTGCTGTGCAGAAGCTCTTTAGTTTAGTTAGATCCCATTTGCCAATTTTGGCTTTTGTTGCCATTGCTTTTGGTGGATAAAACAGACTTTAAACCAACAAAGATAAAAAAAGACAAAGAAGGTCACTACATAATGGTAAAGGGATCAATTCAAGAAGAGCTAACTATCCTGAATATATATACACCAAATATGGAAGCACCCAGATTCATAAAGCAAGTCCTTAGAGACCTACAAAGAGACCTAGACTCCCACACAATAATTATGAGAGACTTTAACATCCCATTGTCAATATTAGACAGATCAATGAGACAGAAGGTTAACAAGGATATCCAGGACTTGAACTCAGCTCTGCACCAAGCAGACCCAATAGTCATCTGCAGAACTCTCCACCCCAAATCAACAGAATGTGGATTCTTCTCAGCACCACATTGCACTTATTCTAAAATTGACCACATAATTGGTAGTAAAACACTCCTCAGCAAATGTAAAAGAACAGAAATCACAACAAACTGTCTCTCAGACCACAGTGAAATCAAATTAGAACTCAGGATTAAGAAACTCACTCAAAACTGCACAACTACATGGAAACTGAACAACCTGCTCCTGAATGACTACTGGGTAAATAACAAAATGGAGGCAGAAGTAAAGATGTTCTTTGAAACATCTTTGAGAAGAGAATAAAGACACTAGATAAATGTACTAGAATCTATGCGACACATTTAAAGTGTGTGTAGAGGGAAATTTATAGCAGTAAATGCCCACAAGAGAAAGCACGGAAGATCTAAAATCAACACTCTAACACCACAATAAAAAGGACTAGAGAAGCAAGAGCAAACAAATTCAAAAGCTTGCAGAAGGCAAGAAATAACTAAGATCAGAGCAGAACTGAAGGAGATAGAGACATAGAAACACTTCAAAAAATCAATGAATCCAGGAGCTGGTTTTTTGAAAAGATCAACAAAATTGATAGACCACTAGCAAGACTAATAAAGAAGAAAAGAGAGAAGAATCAAATAGATGCAATAAAAAATGATAAAGGAGATATTACCACCGATCCCACAGAAATACAAACTACTATCAGAGAATGCTATAAACACCTCTATGCAAATAAACTAGAAAATCTAGAAGAAATGGATAAATTCCTGGACACATACACCCTCCCAAGACTAGACCAGGAAGAAGTTGAATCTCTGAATAGACCAATAACAGTTCTGAAATTGAGGCAATAATCAATAGCCTACCACCAAAAAAAGTCCAGGACCAGAAGGATTCAACAGTCAAATTCTACCAGAGGTACAAAGAGGAGCTGGTACCATTCCTTCTGAAACGATTTCAATCAATAGAAAAAGAGGGAATCCTCCCTAACGCATTTTATGAGCATCATCCTGATACCAAAGCCTGGTAGAGACACAACAAAAAAAGAGAATTTTAGGCCAGTATCCCTGATGAGCATCAATGTGAAAATCCTCAATAAAATACTGGCAAACCGAATCCAGCAGCACATCAAAAAGCTTATCCACCACGATCAAGACAGCTTCATCCCTGGGATGCAAGGCTGGTTCAACATATGCAAATCAATAAACGTAATCCATCACATAAACAGAAACAATGACAAAAACCACATGATTATCTCAATAGATGCAGAAAAGGCCTTCAACAAAATTCAACAGCACTTCATGCTAAAAACTCTCAATAAACTAGGTACTGATGGAACGTATCTCAAAATAATAAGAGCTATTTATGACAAACCCACAGCCAATATCATACTGAATGGGCAAAAACTGGAAGCATTCCTTTTGAAAACTGGCACAAGACAAGGAGGCCCTCTCTCACCACTCCTATTCAACATAGTGTTGGAAGGTCTGGCTAGGGCAATCAGGCAAGAGAGAGAAGTATAGGGTATTCAATTAGGAAAAGAGGAAGTAGAATTGTCTCTGTTTGCAGATGACATGATTGAATATTTAGAAAACCCCAGCTGGGCATGTTGGCTCATACCTGTAATCCCAGCACTTTGGGAGGCTGAGGCAGGCAGATCACAAGGTCAGGAGATAGAGACCATCTTGGCTAACACAGTGAAACCCCATCTCTACTAAAAATAAAAAAAAATTTGCCAGGCATGATGGTGGGCACCTGTAGTCCCAGCTACTTGGGAGGCTGAGGCAGGAGAATGGCATGAACCCGGGAGGTGGAGCTTGCAGTGAGCCAAGATCATGCCATTGCACTCCAGCCTGGGCAACAGAGTGAGATTCCATCTCAAAAAAAAAAAAAAAAAAAAGAAATAAAGGAAAATCCCCTCATCTCAGCCCAAAATCTCCTTAAGCTGATAGGCAACTTCAGCAAAGTCTCAGGATACAAAATCAATGTGCAAAAATCACAAGCATTCCTCTACACCAATAATAGACACACAGCCAAATCATGAGCGAACTTCCATTCACAATTACTACAAAGAGAATAAAATACCTAGGAATCCAACTTACAGGGGATGTGAAGGACCTCTTCAAGAAGAACTACAAACCACTGCTCAACAAAATAAAAGAGGACACAAACAAATGGAAGAACATTCCATGCTCATGGATAGGAAGAATCAATATTGTGAAAATGGCCATACTGCCCAAAGTAATTTATAGATTCAATACTATCCCCATCAAGCTACAACTGACTTTCTTCACATAATTGGAAAAACTACTTTAAAGTTCATATGGAACCAAAAAAGAGCCTGCATAGCAAGACAATCCTAAGCCAAAAGAACAAAGCTGGAGGCATCATGCTACCTGACTTCAAACTATACTACAAGGCTACAGTAACCAAAACAGCATGGTACTGGTACCAAAACAGTTATATAGACAAATGGAACAGAACAGAGGCCTCAGAAATAACACCACACATCTAAAACCATCTGATCTTTGACAAACCTGACAAAAACAAGCAATGGGGAAAGGATTCCCTATTTAATAAATGGTGCTGGGAAAACTGACTAGCCGTATGTAGAAAGCTGAAACTGGATCCCTTCCTTACACCATATACGAAAATTAACTCAAGATGGATTAAAGACTTAAATGTAAGCCCTAACACCACAAAAACCCTAGCAGAAAACCTAGACAATACCATTCAGGACATAGGCATGGGCAAAGACTTCATGACTAAAACACCAAAAGCAATGGCAACAAAAGCCAAAAAAGACAACGGGATCTAATTAAACTAAAGAGCTTCTGCACAGCAAAAGAAACTACCATCAGAGTGAACAGGCAACCTACAGAATGGGAGAAAATTTTTGCAATCTACCCATCTGACGAGGGCTAATATCCAGAATCTACAAAGAACTTAAATAAATTTACAAGAAAAAAACAACCCCATCAAAATGTGGGCGAAGGGTATGAACAGATACTTCGCAAAAAAAGACATTTATGCGGCCAACAGACACATGAAAAAATGCTCATCATGACTGGTCATCAGAGAAATGCAAATCAAAATCTCAATGAGATACCATCTCGCACCAGTTAGAATGGTGATCATTAAAAAGTCAGGAAACAACAGATGCTGGAGAGGTTGTGGAGAAATAGGAACACTTTTACACTGTTGGTGGGAGTGTAAGTTAGTTCAACCATTGTGGAAGACAGTGTGGCAATTCCTCAAGGATCTAGAACTAGAAATACCATTTGACCCAGCCATCCCATTACTGGGTATATACCCAAAGGATTATAAATCATGCTGCTATAAAGACACATGCACACATATGTTTATTGCGGCACCATTCACAATAGCAAAGACTTGGAACCAACCCAAATGTCCATCAATGATAGACTGGACTAAGAAAATGTGGCACATATACACCATGGAATACTATGCAGCCATAAAAAAGGATGAATTCATGTCCTTTGCAGGGACATGGATGAAGCTGGAAACCATCATTCTAAGCAAACTATCACAAGGACAAAAAACCAAATACCACGTGTTCTCACTCATAGGTGGGAGCTGAACAATGAGAAAGCGTGGACAGAGGGTGGGGAACATCACACACCGGGGCCTGTCATGGGGTGGGGGCTGGGGGAGGGATAGCATTAGGAGAAATACTTAATGTAAATGATGAGTTTATGGGTGCAGCAAACCAACATGGCACATGTATACCTGTGTAACAAAAGTGCACGTTGTGCACATGTACCCTAGAACTTAAAGTATAATAAAAAAAAAGAAGTAACTGCTATCACATATATATTCCCAAAATTATGCATATATAATTTAAAAATATTATATATACGTATAGTATATATAAATATATAATTTTAAAATGTTAAAAATAAATATCACATATTCTCAAAATTATATACATATGTACACACACACACATATAATACGTTTTACCATATTTGCTTCAAATCTCTTTTAAAGAAGTACAATATCACAGCAATATGTCAGGTTCATCTTGGTCCTTTTTCTCAGTTTATTGCCAGAAGCATCCATTCCCCTAATGTGTATCATTTCCATACACATTTTCATATATATATTCAAACTTTTATTACATATATATGTTTCCATTAGCAACATATAGTATATGTGTTAGGTCTATTTTTTTGAAATAAATATTATTAAAATATATTATTTTGCAACTGTTTTCCATTTAACATTTTGTTGTTGAGTTTATCTCTGTCGATGTATAAAGATCAGCTACTTTAACTTCTACATTGCATTTCATTGTACTAACAAATCATTATTTATTTAGTCTGCTATTGAAGTTGGGTTATTCTGCTATATAAAGAGTGCTGCAATAAACCTCTTTGTACATATCTCTGTGTATGTGTGTGTATATATATAATACATTATATATGTTGTATTAATATGTTTCTAAGGTAGATAACTAGAAGCAGAGTTGCTGTCTCTGTGTATGTGTATATATTATGTATATAGTTTTCTACTGTAGAAATACATTACTATAGCATATGTAGAACCATGTACCATATATATATTTCTAAGGTAGAAAACTAGGAGCAGAGTTGATGAGAGAAGAATTTGCACATCTGCAGCTTACTAGATAGTGCCAAATTTCTCTCCCTAGTGCTTGTAAAAATTTATATTCTCAACAGCAGTGAACGAACACCTTTTTCCTTAGGTCCTTGCTAATACTTCATGTTATCAGATTTGTAAAAACAAATTGGCAAACTTGGTGTGAGATGATACCTCACTGTTTCAATTTGATTGTCTCTATGTGTGTTTATTGGCAATTTCTGTTTTCTCGTCCAGGAATTGCCTGTTCCTATACTTTGCCCACCTTTCTATTGGAATTTTCTTTTCTTATTGACTTGTTTTGTTGAAATTTTTCTAGTTGAAAAATTTCCTGGCATAACTGTTGATTCATATGAAGTTATAAGAAATAACACAGAAAGATCATTGTCCAGTTTCCCCCAATGGCAGCATTTTGTTAAATAATGGTGTAAGATTGCAACCAGGCTATATCAACATTGATATAATCCATCTTATTCTGATTTTTATATATATGTAATATAAATATAATAAATATGATATAATAAATATTAGATTTCTGCAGTTTAACTGGTACTTGTGTGTGCGTGTGTGTGTGTGTGCACGCCCATGCTTTTTGGTAGGTAGACATTCAATTACGGATTCGGTTTCTGCAGTTTCTTTAATGGTTAGACATCTCTTCAGGTTCTAAATGTCTTTTTAAGTCTACTTTGATAAGTTATGTGTCTAGAAAATTGACAATTTTAGTTATTGTCATTACCATCTGAGCCCTCCCCTTGTAGTTTCTCTCAGGCTAAGGTTCTGCAATTCCTAAATTGCAGAGTCACTGGGATCCAAACATCCCAGCACAGCTCCCCTCATCCATGCTAGTGTGAGTCACCCTTTAGTGCAGAGTGATCTGAATGCATCAGAATCAGACAGACCTTATTCCAAATTGCTTCCTCCATTCAGGTCTTTAATTCATTTCCAGTGGATTTGTATGTGTGGTGTGGGGGACCAGTTTCATTCTTTTGCATATGTATATGCAGTTTCCCCAACACTGTTTATTGAAGATACTGTCCTTTCCTCAGTGTATATTCTTGGCACCTTTTCAAATATTAATTGATCACATAGATGTGGTTTTATTTCTGCGCTCTCAGTTCTGTTCCATTTGTCTATGTGTCTGTTTTTATGCCAGTATCATACATGTTGATCATCATAGTTTTGAAATAAAGTTTGAAATCAGAAAACAAACAAACAAAAAACCAAAAAAAAACCCCACCAGATTTATTTCTCACTATGCAACCTTTTTTAAAAAAGTTTTATTTTTCCATAAGTTATTGGGGTACAGGTGCTATTGGTTAGATAAGAAAATTCTTTAGTGGAGATTCGTGAGAACCTGGTGCACCCATCACCTGAATAGTATATACTGCACCATATTTGTTGTCTTTTATCCTTTGCCTCCTTGCATTCTTCCACCCAAGTCCCCAAAGTCCATTGTATCATTCTTATGCCTTTGTGTCCTCATAGCTTAGCTTCCATATATCAGCACACGCATATTTATAGCAGCACAATTCACAATAGCAAAATTGTGGAACCAAACCAGCCCATCAATCAATGAGTGGATAAAGAAACTCTGGTATGTAGATACAATGGAATACTACTTAGCCATAAAAAGGAATGAATTAACAGCATTTCCAATGACTCAGATGAGATTAGAGACTATTATTCTAAGTGAAGTAACTCAGGAATGGAAACCCTTACTATGCAACCTTGAGAAGGCAATTTAACCTCTCTGGGCAGCAGTTCCCACATCTATAAAATGGGGGTGATAACACTGCCTCACAGAGTTAGATGGAAATGAGGAAGATCTTGGCCCAGCACATGGCAGGTACCCAATCAAAGCAACTCCCTTTCTACTTTGTACCTTAATACTTATATGCAGGTCTTTCTACCATAGGCAGTAGCAGTCTGAAGGTGGAGACTGCGTCTGATCCATTTACGCATCCTTCTGATGCTGGTATGCCACAATCATTCTGAGAATATTTACTGAATGGAAGAGCTGAACCTAGAGGAACAAGATTCAGCATTTTGGTGGTGCAGAGATGTGATTTCACCTGAGGTGAAATCACATATCCAGGGCATTGGAGCTAGGCAATGCCTGATGGTTAGAAATGTGGGCTTTGACTAAACAGACGGGTTTAGATCCTAACTTTGCTGCTTGGTTACTATGCAACTTATCTGAGCCTCAGTTTCTTCATTTGTTAAATGGAGTTAATAATAATGATAATAGCTAACAACTAATGAATGCTTCTATGTGCATAGACTGTGTTTTAAGCATTTAAATGTCTTATATTGATTCATTTTATCCTCATAACTCCATGAAACAGGCAATAGCATCATGCTCACTTTATGGATAAGAAACAGAGTGTGTGGTGTGGTGGCTCACACCTGTAATCTCAGCACTTTGGGAGGCCGAGGTGGATGTATCACCTGAGGTCAGGAGTTTGAGACCAGCCTGGCCAACATGGCGAAACCCCATCTCTACTAAAAATACAAAAATTAGCTGGGCGTGGTGGCAGGCGCTTGTAATCTCAGTTACTCGGGAAGCTGAGGCAGGAGAATTACTTGAACCAGGAAGGTGGAGGTTGCAGTGAGCTGAGATTGTGCCACTGCACTCCAGACTGGGTGACAAGAGTGAAACTCCGTCTCAAAAAAAAAAAACAAAAAAAAAAAGAGGGTGTGGCTCCTACAGCCTAGATTTGGTGAGGATTAAAGGAGATACCCTGCATAAAGTTCTCAGCAAGGTGCCTCCCACGTAGTGAATGCTCAGCAGGAATGTAGCTATTGTTACTGCTGTTATCCTGGGTTCCACATAGCTCTCCTTGAGCCTTTGCCAGGTCCAGCCAGAGTTATTGGAGTAGACTGACAACCCTTCTCTCGGCTTGGCGTCCCATGTCTGATGATGAAACGTGCTTAATAATAGAGCTATCGTTGACCTTCTCCCTGGGTGTTGATGCCGTTTCCCCAGGCAGCTGAGGGAGAGTGTGTAAGCCTACACAGCTGCTATTCTTGGCATCAGTGCTGCCTCTTAGGGAAATGGCTTTTCTGACACACCTTTTTCTGTTCTCTCCAGAAGCTTGTGTTTCCTTTGAGCAGAAACCCCTGTTCAAATGGCAAAACAGCTCCTTTTTTAAAAGGACAAAGTCATGTAGGAACACAGCCATGACATTTTTCAATTTTGTGAGCTTTTAGCATGTCTGGTGGAAATAGTGGGAGATAAATCTGGAGAGGTCAGCAGGGCCAAGATTCATCTAGCATCCATCCTTCATCTAATCTTCTATTTATTCAGTGAAACATCTAATTGTCCATCCATCCACCCATCTATCCATCCATACATGAATCCATGCATCCATGCCTCCATTCATCCATCTGTTCATTCATCCTTTCCTCCATTTTCCATCCATCCATCCATCCATCCATCAGTTCATTCATCCTTCTCTCCATTTTCCTTCCTTCCTTCCATCCATCCATGCATCCATCCATCCAAGATATTTTTTGAGCATACACTATATGCCAGACATTGCCACATATGCTCAGTGTTCATCACATATGCCTGATGAAGGTGATAAGTCTGGGGTACCGGAATGTAGAGATCCCTGAAGGCTTCCTGAAAGAAGCAGCATTTGATCTGGGCTAGGACGATTGTCGATACAGTGGGGCTATTGGAGCTTATGGCTTAATAAGTGAGGTAGAATGCATGTAAATGCTGATACATTTGAGTGTGTAATTACCAATGAGATACGTGCTCTTAAGGAAAGGAGCCTGTCTTTATGAGACTCTGAACTAGAGGGTGAGTGGCAGAGGAGTGGTGGCTAGGGGAGGCCTAAGAGATCTGTATTTTCAAAAAAGTCCCTGACAATTTTTGTGGTCACACATGTTTAGGATCCATGGCTGTAGGTCTATGCTTACCAGTTAGTAAGTTGTGAATGGCTTGTCACGGTGCTGAGATTCCACACCCCTCCAGCATGGGGTTGACCAATGGGACCTTCAGGGTTGGCTACTTGTAGCAGTGAGGAGCTCAACTGTTTTCTCCAGTGTGCTGGACAAATGCTGCCATTTTCAATGTGAAAATGTGAAGTGATGCAGCTGGAAGCATGGCTATGGCAGCATGAAGCCATCAGAGGTTGTTAAGCAGGGCCATGTCTTGGTCATTTGTGCCTTCTATTAATAGAAAGTTCTGAGGCCACAATGTGCAACAGGTGCTGGTGGAAGAGGGACCAGTAGGAAAGGAGGGCTGTGAGGAGGCCAGGGTATAATCCCTGGGATACATGGGGAGGCCTGAGCTCCATCCACTGTGGCCATGGTAGGGGCTGGATAGAAGAGGATGAGTCAAGACACATGTGATGTTCTCACTTCTAAGTGGGAGCTAAGCTATGGGCATGCAAAGGCATACAGAATGGTATAATGGACATTGGACACTCAGAATAGGGGAGGATACGAGGTGGGCAAGGGATAAAAAAATCACCTCTTGGGTACAATGTACACTCTTTGGGTGACAGGTATACTAAAAGCCCGGATTTCAACATTGTACAATTTATCCATGGAACCAAGAACCACTTATACCCCTAAAGCTATGGAAAAAAAAAACACACGTGGGAGGAAGAATACACAGGGTGAGTGGGGAGAGTGAGGGCTGCTGCCCAACTTTCTGGCTGGGCTGATGGGGGATTCATTTACTGAGATGGGGACGCAGGAGAAGCTGGGCTGGGGGTGGGGATAGGAAAAAATTTCAGTTTTGGATGCAATAAGGACTTTTAAATAGTCCAGATTGCATGTCTGTGATGGTCCTTTGATTACAGTCAGGGGCCCCTGAGCGTGGGCCATTCAAATGGACATTATTCCTGAATCAAAACTTTTGCCATCTGCTCGTCCCCAAAATGTGAAAGCGGAGGGAACTTATTTCCTGATGAGACTGGTGAGGAGGAAGAGAAATGCTCTTTAAATGCACGCAGGACATATGTTCTTCATTCAATATCACATTTGTCTGGAGTGCTCTGCTTATTCCTGGGGGACATGGGGAAGCAGGGAAGAGGAAGGAAGAAATTAGAAGGGGAGGCTGTGTTCCAGAAGAGGGGAGCAGACTTCAGGGCCTAGGAGAGGTCCTCCTGGTCGCCTCTGCCTCTCCAGATTTAGTTTGTCTTCATAGCCCAAATCAAGTGTTGCTTCTTCCGGGAAGATTTTATGGTTTTCTTCTTCATCTGGGCACTGAGCACAAATAGCCAAATAGTGATTTAACTTTTCACCAGTGTCTCAAATTGTGGTCTGCCTGCTAAGAAATTGGGTCTGGAGTAGTGGTTCTCAAACTTGGCTCCATGTTGGAATTGCCTAGGGAGCTTTAAAAAATAGTGATACCTCTTCCACCCCGAAGATTCTGATGTAATTTGTTCGGGGTGCTGCCTGGGCATCAGGAATTTTCACAGCTCCCCAGATGACACTAATGTGTAGCCAGGTAAAACTTAATAGCTGATTAATTCCCTTCCACCCAGATATGTGGATGTGCTTTTCTTTTAAGCATTTTTAGAAGGCAAAAGCGGCAATTCCACCCAACTATCATTCAAATAAAAGGGAGCTTACTGCTGTTAGCCAAGAAGATGCCTGTTGTGGCAGGAATATTAAATGGCCAGCAGAGATGGATTCCAGGATAAGGAGGTTTTGGCCGCTGTTTGTGTCTCACCTTGCATAAGCCTGCACCTTGCTTTTGCTGTGCCATTTTTGAAGGGCAGCTTCCTTCTCTCAGAGCACAGCTGGCAGGGCACACTGGGGCTGGTGTTCAGATGGAGTCAAGACCTATACGCATGGGTTCTGAGAAGCAGCACAACATGTTGGTGAATTCAAACTGCCTGGGAAGCGTCCTGCTTCTGCTACTTAGCAGCTGTGTGACGTTGGGCAAATGATTTAACCTCTCTGTGCCTTAGTCTCACTATCAATAAAATGAGAAAGATAATAGCAGCTATCCCCCAATAGTGACTGTTATGAGGAAGAAATGACTTATATGAAAGTTGCTTAGAACAGCGCTAGGCAAAGATGAACTCTTTGCTCTCATCAGTGTGGCTGGAGATGTGAGTACTTACTTCCACCAGTTTCTTCTTCTTCTTCTTCCTCTTCCTCTTCCTTTTTTTTCTTTTTGAGACAGGGTCTCACTCTGTCACCTAGGCTGGAGTGCAGTGGCATGATCTTGGCTCACTGCAAGCTCCGCCTACTGGGTTCACGCCATTCTCCTGCCTTAGCCTCCCGAGTAGCTGGGACTACAGGCGCCCGCCACCATGCCCAGCTAATTTTTTGTATTTTTTAGTAGAGACTGGGTTTCACCATGTTAGCTAGGATGGTCTCAATCTCCTGCCTGACCTCATGATCCGCCTGCCTCAGCCTCCCAAAGTGCTGGGATTACAGACGTGAGCCACCGTGCCTGGCCAATTTTTGTATTTTTAGTAAAGATGGGGTTTCACCATGTTGGCCAGGCTGATCCTGAACTCCTAACATCAAGTAATCCGCCCACCTCAGCCTCTCAAATGTTGGAATTACAGGCATAAGCCACCGTGTCCAGCACTTCTATCAGCTTCTTTATCTCTGGTTTATAGTTTTCTGCAGGACCGAGGCCTTAACTCAACATGGCCTCTGGCCATCTGGGCATTGGTCAGTCCAAGGATGGCTTAAATGGCCAGCAGGGATGGATTCCAGGATAGTCAGACTGGCTGGACCACAGGTAGCTACATTCTGAGACTGGCAACTTCCCAGAATGGATGATGTCAAAGGCAGGAGTGGGAGTGAAGATTACCCAATTGTAGTGGACTTAGGACAGGGATTTGCCACCTTGGATGCTCATCAGAATCACCTGGGGTGCTTTTAAAAATCAGACCCAGGCCACACCCCAGATCAATGAGAGCAGACTTGCCATGGGTGGACCCAGCCATCGGTATTTTTTAAGGCATCTGAGATGACTGCAATGTGGATCCATGCCTGAGAACACTTAATTTTGCTAAAACATTTCCTCAATATCTTTTGGGGCATAGAGCTTTGTGAATGAATGCATTTATGTTTTTTTTTTTCCTCCTCAAGAAAACTTCTTAATGGCAGGGTCTTCATCATAGACTCCTAGTAAAAAGGAATATTAGAGATCATTGGGCAGCTTTCATTTTATAAATGAGGACTTAGGACTTAGAGGTGAGAAGGACTTTGCCCGGGGTCAAACAGCAAGCTGGGAGCACACAGCGTCCCTAGTCTCCATTTGGGGCCTTTCTATCCCCGTCCACCCCCAGAGGGCAAGCATACTGCTCTGTAAATACTCACCTAGGAGACAAGATGACAAAGCAGTCCCGCTGATGACAAGGCTTCCCCTGACTCTGCTGCTGTTTTGTTATTGGTTCCACTGCCCTCTGCCTTCTCCCTCTCCAGGGGAGCCCTGGGAGTCGGAGTGGCAGAGTAGAGAAGACATAGGGCCTAGGTCTCTTAGACAAGGAAACTGCAGCCCAGTGAGGGGGATAGACCTTGTCATGGGCACAGAGCGGCTCTGTGGGCCAGCCTCGAACACCTACACCCTAGGTTCCCACACCAGGGCTCCTCTGTCCCATGCTGCCGCCTTATCCCTGGCCCCTCTGCTGTCTCTCATTTTCATTCCTGCCACCTCTCTTTGTCCTTGGACTAGGATCTATTTCTGCTTCTTTGTCCTTGGACTAGGATCTCTTTCAGCATCTTTGTCCTTGGACTAGGATCTATTTCTGCTTCTTTGTCCTTGGACTAGGATCTCTTTCAGCTTCTTTGTCCTTGGACTAGGATCTGTTTCAGCTTCTTTGTCCTTGGACTAAGATCTATTTCTGCTTCTTTGTCCTTGGACTAGGATCTGTTTCAGTTTCTTTGTCCTTGGACTAGGATCTGTTTCAGCTTCTTTGTCCTTGGACTAGGATCTATTTCTGCTTCTTTGTCCTTGGACTAGGATCTCTTTCAGCTTCTTTGTCCTTGGACTAGGATCTGTTTCAGCTTCTTTGTCCTTGGACTAAGATCTCTTTCTGCTTCTTTGTCCTTGGACTAGGATCTCTTTCAGCTTCTTTGTCCTTGGACTAGGATCTGTTTCAGCTTCTTTGTCCTTGGACTAGGATCTGTTTCAGCTTCTTTGTCCTTGGACTAGGATCTGTTTCAGCTTCTTTGTCCTTGGACTAGGAGCTGTTTCAGCTTCTTTGTCCTTGGACTAGGATCTCTTTCAGCTTCTTTGTCCTTGGACTAGGATCTGTTTCAGCTTCTTTGTCCTTGGACTAGGATCTCTTTCAGCTTCTTTGTCCTTGGACTAAGATCTATTTCTACTTCTTTGTCCTTGGACTAGGATCTATTTCAGCTTCTTTGTCCTTGGACTAGGATCTCTTTCAGCTTCTTTGTCCTTGGACTAAGATCTATTTCTGCTTCTTCCAAGGTCAGATCTCAGGCCCAGGGTTCCTGGTACTGAAGGTGGAGCATGGAATAGGCTGTGGGTCCTTTCTGAGACCACTCCCAGGGCCAAGCTAGGACAAACCTGGTCTCAGGCTGGCTGGTATCTACTTGCAAGGCCACTTTATGAATTTAACTCCATATACATCCTCTTGTTAGGCCCTGGGGTTGGACACTGGGACTAGACATTATTGATTAATTGATCTATGACTTACCTTAATCTAGAAAGAAGGTAAAGTATCTCACAGCGATGTGTAACATATGCCAAACATTAATATCAATAAGAAAGAGGATGAGCAAAGAAAAAAAATGTGTGTGTGTTTTGGGGGGTATTGGGGGGGACAGAGGGCAGAGCCACCATCATGGGTGGGCCATGATTTAGCCTTCTTGTTCATTCATTCCTTTATTCATTTAGTTATTATTACCTGATCACTTAGTTATTAAACAAGTACTTCTTCTTCATTCATTCAACCTTGTCTTTTTATTCTGGGGCACTTTTGTTTTATCTCAGTGGGAGCCAAGTCAATGAGATATTTTCCCCATAGCAATTCAGAAGATGTGTGGCTCTGCCTTTCTGATCAAACTAGGGCCTGGGGAGAGAAGGAGATGGAGGGAGATAGGGCAGGGAATTGCAGGGTCTGATTGCCCAGATAAGTTAAAAATAAATCTACAAAAGAGGAAATTGTTCTGGCATCATCCACGAGAGGACTGTAAGCCCATCCCCTTCCCGTCTTCCATCTACAGGGGGCATTTAAGTATGCGAGCTTCATTTGTTGGAAAAGGACAAAGAAATTCAGCAATCGAAGATCCTAATTAAGCCACCCTTGTTGCTGAGGTGTCCTGGAAACCCAGCACCCTGCTGGGAACCTGAACTCCATTCTCAGTTCCACGGCTAGTCAGAGCTGTAGATGGGATGTACACAGTGTCTGCTCCAGGATTCCTTCTCTCCCATCTCACAGATGTTAGGACTGAGATCCAGGGAGGCCCTGGCGAGTGTCTCACAGCTGAAAACAGTGGGAATGCTGAGGCTTGGACCCTGGCTGTTGCATACCTAACCTCCATGTACTGCAAGCTGGGATGGCCATTCTACCTCCTCTCTCTGTAACCAACCACTGCAGCCTTGCAGTTGGTGAGAGCTCTCTGTTAGCATACCTACCTCAGACTGTCACTTACTGGCTTGTGTGGTCATCTCCCCCATCAGACTCTGATGCTTAGCATGAAGTGACCTAGTCTGACTCATGTCTGTATTCCCTCACAGGCAGCACAAGAGCTGTCCTTTAGCAGACACCTGGTAAACATTTGATGACTGAACACCAAATTCCTAGCACCACCATGCTTCTAGCACACAGACAAGAAGACTAATGTTAATATCGAAATAGTACCAGTTGACATTTACTAGGGGCTTGCTATGTGGCAGGCATAATTTTAGTTACCCTTTACAACCACTCTGTGAAACAGATTCTCCAGTGCTTCTTATTGTACAGATGAGGTCAAAGAGGTGGAGTCAGGACTGGATTCAGGTCTGTCTGATGCCCCTGGTCTTGGGTACCACACTCTCCGCCTCCAGTGGAGGCTGAAGAAGCCCTGGATCTGGACAACACTTTCAGTTCTGCTAAACAGAAGTTGAACTTCTGCTAGTACTTTGCTTTGAGATGTTGGGTAAATCCTCAGCCTTCTCTGCTTCGGTTTTCACAGGAGAGGGTTCTAGGAGATGAGCTGGAGGATCTCTTCCATGTCCAGCCTTCTATGAGCCCATGAAATGTGTAAATGTGTCCTAGTAGAAGCCTTGAACTTGAGCCTTCCAATCTGTTGTGGAATGGAGTTACATTCCAGGGAAGCAAGTTGGTCTGTTTATGAAAGGTTGTGTGTTTTTGTGTATCTGTGCATGTGCATGTGGTGTGTGTGTGTGTGTGTGTGTGTTTGTGCATATATGCATCATGGGTCTGCATGTGGGAGGATGAGTTCCTCACAAATCACAAAGACAAAGTCACAGGAAATAGCTCACCAGACATGCCCTTATCAAATGGATTTTCACTCTCTAGTTTACTAAAAATGGGTCCTGATCTCAAATCGTGTATATTGAAGCCATGGTGAAGCCAGGAGCTCAGAAGAAAATGCATTTTTCTTGCTCTTAGAGCACAATAACTTACCATCCCCAACTCATCTATATTAAAACCTTAAACTTTCCTTCTTAGTAATAAAAAAAGCCCCATAATCCCCAGGGACCCCAGTTATACGCATTGAGAGGCTCATCTTTCATCTAGTCATTGAAATTTCTTTACCCTAATGGGGGTATTAATGGAGGACTTTTTAACATCACATTAAAATATGGAATGTGGAATTCAGAGCTGCCCCCAAACATCTTTCTGGTTTTTCCGCTTCCTACTGCCTCCTGCTTTATGCCAAAGTTTATGAGTCTGTAATTTCCTGGAAGTTTATATAGCATGAAAGAAGGAGACATAATAAAATATGCAATTTAATTGCAAAAACCACGTACTAATCTTGCTAATGTGCTAGATTAAGACTGTAATGCGAGAAGCTGCAAGGTGGTTAAACTGATTTAGAGCAAATTGTACCCCTAAGTCTCTTTGTCTGTGCCCATATTTTATGCCACCCAGACCTAACAATTTTCTTTATTTTGGCTGTTGATTTATAGTCTAAGAATAATAATGTCACGTCAGACTGTACATGATTTAGAATAATCTCCTCTCTTGTTGCGCTGGATGAGTACCTCTAACACAAACCCTGCTCGTGGCACTGTGCCTGCCAGAGGGCTGAACTCTGCTCCTAGACCACAAGCCTCTAATTTCTGAGTCACAGCTCAGCCACCCGGGCTGGCTCCTGGAGGCAAGTACCTCTGATGATGTCCAGAAAAAGAACTTCAACTGGAAGTAGCCACTCTGACTTTCATTCCACATCCTCATAGATACAGTGGGAGAGCCGGGGCTCGGAGATCACATGGACTGGCTTTAAGCTTGCTATGCACAGTTCACTCCACATCTCTGAGCCAAAGCTTTGTCATGTAAAATTAGGCTCTTCATGCCCATCTCCTGCCCATCTCATAGAATTGGGGTGAGGACCCTTGAGTTGACATGCCAAGTGTAGCACTCCCAATTGTTGGGAATTCCTTCTCCTTTATTTCAGATTATCAGAGAAGGTGAGGAGCTTCTAAGCCATCTTAATAAGATCATCATTTTTGAGCTTCAAAGCATGTAAAGCCATTTATGGGGAAAGAAGAAACCCAATTCACTTAAAAGTAACTGTTCATCCTTTATGTGTCAGATTCTACCTCACACATATGAACCTAATAAGGAAAAGTCCTGGAGAGGAAAGAGAAAGCCAACAGTGCAATAAATGTGCATAAGTCATGAGTGTGTGGTGGGTGGGGCAGGGGACACTGGTGTGGAAATTTCACTGCACAGGAAGTACCAAACTGGGACTGTGGCCCCAGATCGGTCACTCACCTGGTTGGGTTGTCTTGAGCAGCTTCCTTTGCCTCTGCGGGTCTCAGTTTTCTCTGATAAAGTCAAGGGTCAAACTGGGTAACATCTAAGGTCTTTCTTCCCCTAGGGATTCCAGGACCCATCTTTGGGGATGGTCACTCTGTGCTGGAGGCAGGTGCAGCTCCATCCTGAAGGTGGCCAACAATGGATCCCAAAGGCAGATAGTCTAGGCAGATGGGTGGAGACCAAGCAGGGCCAGAACTAGGAGGAGGAATTAACATCAGGCCTGGAAGCCACAGGCAGCCATGTGATTGCCTGGAAATGCACAGAAAACCAAAGACCGTGTATCTCATTGTATTTCTTTCTGACACTTTCTTTTCAGCCCCCCTCTTTTTTTCCATCCTTTTGAGACCCCACAGATCACATGATCATATGGTCATTTCATGGTCTTCAACTCTTACGACCCCTTCATAGTACGGACTTCACCATTTCCTTTTAATTTCCTAGTGAGTTAAAAAAAGCATGAAATGGAGCCTTTTCTGATCTCCTCAAAAATATTGAATTTAATTTTGCAGATATTTGCATAGGGTCTACTATGTGCCCTCATCATATTTCATCACATCTTACATCTCTTTCTAAATCTGTCTCTCCTTCCCCCACTAAATTTTGAAACCTTAGATGGCAGAGATTCTGTCTTTTTGTACCTAAAACCATCTGCCAGGTTCCATACTGTGCCTTCCACATGGTGGGGACCACACAAACACCTGCACCAAGCAACATGAGAGAGAACTACACCAGAAAGAAGAAATAATAAAATGTTGTCATACAAATTTGAGAACCAATCCCACAACCCACAAACCACTGAGTGTCTTCTAGGTGCCAGGCACTGGGCTGGGTTCTTTGGAGAATGTAGACATTATAGTGGGAGCTATGGCATGCCATGCAGAAGCTGCTGGAAGTACTGACTGCTGTTGATTCACAGTTGAGTCCCTCTAAGCAATTGTCCCTGGCTGAAGGGAGCCACCTCACCCAAGGTTGCACCCCCTCCCTGGGGCAACACTTGGGACAACTGTGCAGTGTTATCTCTGTGTAATTTAGAGCTTTTTTTTTTTTTTTTTTGAATTTGCTGAGAGCTCTGTTGCAACTGCATCACAGTTTAATTTCTGCATCTGCCCAACCTTGCTTCCTTCACTCCCTGACACCTGTTAATTCTGACAGCACCCCCCCCAGTAAACAACTTGAATGCAGACATCTATCTTAGAGTTTGTATCTCAAGAACCTGATCTATGACAAGATGAATTAGAATACACATTTATGCTGAGAACCTAAGAACTGGGAACATGGTGTGGGAAGAGGAAGAGCTGAAAAGGGAAAACTATGGGAAGGAGATCACTGGGGATGATGTGGAAGGCTCTGCTGCATCAGATAATGACAGCAACAAGGAGGAAAGCCTGCTTTGGTTACCACTGGAGAGGGACACCATTATGGGAGAACATAAGCTCCCTGGCATAGTCATCTATTCTGCTCATTGGTGGATTCACATTGCCTGGCACTTAGTGCTCAGTAAACATTTGGTGAATGCTCCAGTGAAGGCAGGAGAGGAAGAAACAAGCCACTCTTCAGGGCCATAGGAGCTGAGGTGTTAGAATTAGAGAGGGGAAGGAGGAATAAGAATGTATGTCAAGTCACTTTATCTTTCAGAATCTTCCCCAGCAAACACTTTATATGCATTTCACATGGGTGATTACAATGGTGCCTGGTTGATAAATTTGGCTCTGTGTCTCCACCCAAATCTCAACTCAAATTGTAATCCCCACATGTTGAGGGAGGGAGGTGATTTGATCATGGGGGTGGCTTCCCTCATGCTGTTCTCATGATAGTGAGTGAACTCTCATGAGATGGTTTTATAAATGTCTGACAGAAATGTCTCCTTCTCTCTCCTGCTGCCTTGTGAAGAAGGTGCCTGCTTCCTCTTCTACCACGATTGTGTTTCCTAAGGCTTCCCCAGCCATGCAGAACTGTGAATCAATTAAACCTCTTTCCTTTATAAATTACCCAGTCTCAGGGAAGTTCTGTTTGGTGGTGTGAAAATGGACTAATACACCGGTGGAAACTTCTTCCTCTTTTCTTCTCCTCTGTAGACTCTCTTATCCTTTGTTCTTTCTTCCACATTTTATTTCCTATCAGCGTGGCTTGGAAGTGGCTACAGGAATAAGTGGATGACTTTTTCCCCCCTTCTCGAATCACTATTTTTTTCTTCTTCAAAAGTTTACATATAGCATCTTGACATTATGTAAATTCAAAATCACCACTGCATTACCTGGGATAAACTATGCCATCATTTCATTCAACCGTTTCTAGTTAAGATACCACCAGCATTTTTTTAGAGCTTAAAGCTCAGTAAGGGACAGAAAAAGGATCAGTCAAATGCAAACTTACTCCACCAAGGGAATTTCTTAGCAGCAGCAGTAGCAGCAGCCTTGTTTTGATTCCTTCTGTCTCCCCAGCTTCTGCCCTGGGCTGGCATGGGCTCCTCTGTAGGTTGAGGCTGGCGAGGTCAGATAGGCAAACTGAACCCCTTGAGAAAGTTGAGAAGATTCCTAGATGCATAGAATGAATTAGAGACTCTTTGTGAGTTAACCTGGGTCCCTGGGGGGCAAACATGGCTATGAGGAGCCCCAGGAATTCAGATATTGAGGGAGCGGCTGGGGGTGGGAGGATTCTTTGCCCCCTTCCAGCTTAAATCAAGCCCCCCATTTTGTTTTGTTTCTTTCCCTGACACATGTGGGACTTTTGCATAAGATTTGAAAGAATTCCATGTCTAAACCATTTGGCCAGCCTTCCCACCCATTTTACAGATGAGGAGGCTGAGGCCCAGATAGAAGAAACAAGTTACCTATGTTGACAGGGCATGTCAGGAGTCCACCCATAGTTTCCATAGTCCTTGCTGAGCTCTGTAGATTAAATGAAATATTACAAACTCACAGACATTGCTATTGAATGTAGGATCTGCAGTGTCTATGAAAGCTGAACATGAGCAACTCCCTCCATCCCTGGGTATCTATCTTCCAAAGGCACAAGTACAGAAATATTCCCAGCAACTTTATTCATGATAGTCCCAAACTGGGAACAATCCAAATGCCCATCAGTGGTAGAATAGATAAATAGATTGTGATATATTCGCATAATGAAATACTACATAGCAATACGAAAAGAACAAGTAGGCACTACACACAATAATACAGAGAATGCCACAGATGCAATATTGAAGAACAGAAGCCAGACACTAAAGAGTGCTTATGGTGTAATCCCATTTATATGAAGCTTAGGAACAGGCAAAAGTATTCTATGGAGATAGTGCTCAGAATAGTGGTTTCCTTTGAGAAGAACAGATTGGAAGGGAGCATAAATATGTTCTATGGGGTGGGAAATATTGTACATCTTAATTTGGGTGATGGTTTTGCAGGTATATGAAAATGGAAAAATTCATCAATCTGTACCCTTAAGAGCATTGCATGTCATTGTGTGTAAGTTATTGACAACGTGAATAAGGAAACTACAAATATTACCACAAAATTAGATAGTAGTAGACTCTGGAGTGTTTGTGCATATTAGTAACTGAGGTTCAAATGGAAGATGTCAGCTACTCTCAGGGCTGGGGACCCATCGTAAGGCACTCTACAACATGCATGGGAATCACCTGGAGAGTGTGTTAGTGCTCAGGTTCCTGGATTCCATCCCCAGGGTCCTGGAATCACTGAGCCTGAGGTGGGACTTGAGAGTCTTGCTTTACTTAAAAGTTCCCAGTTGATGCTGATGCTGCTTATCCACAGGCAGTACTTTGAGTAACACTGGTCTAGTGGTCCTCAGAAGCAAGTCAAAAACAATCCATGTAGCATCCCACAGTCCAGTGAGTCTCTCCCCCATGGCCCCACTCCATGCCACCTTCTCCATGAAATGTGCCTCTATCATCCCCTTCACTGCTGTTGGGCTTTCTCTCTAGAGAAGTCTCTTTTTTCTCCCTCCTCAAACTTGCTGCATTACATTAGAAGTTATAGTGTTAATTTATTTGCTAACCTTGAGCAAGTCACTTCACATCTATCAGCCCAAGTTTCTGCACCTAGAGAGTGGGAGAGGTAACCCAGCATCAAGTATTTCCTTGTAGGTACTGAGAAGAAAGTCCATATTCCTTCCATGGTCCAGGAGATCCCTCTTTGGGCTGCTCAGCCACCTCTTTAGCTCCTCTCCTACCACCCTTTTGCCCTTGCTTACTCCCTTCCAGCCACACTGGCATTCTGTTGGCCTCATTGGGAAGCTTGTTCCTACCTCAGGACCTTTGCACAATCTGTTCCTCTCCTTGGAGTGCCCGCTCCCAGTCTTCACACAATTGTTTCTTTCTCATTATCTTAGTTCATGGATTGTGTCTTCACAGAGGGCTTCTCCATCTAAAGTAGGCTTCTTGTTATTCTCTGTCAGTGCACACTGTTGTGCTTCCTCATGGCACTCCTACCACAGCTTTTAATCATATATTTATTGAATGGTTTATTGTCTCTCTTCCCTTCTGCATTGCAAGCTCCATGAGCCCAGAGATGGAGTCTGTCTTGTTCACACGACGTCCAGCACCTTGGAGAGTGCCTGGCAAGTGCCCCCTAGCACATTAAGTATTTGTTGAATGAATAAATGAAGCAGTAAGAGTCTGTTTATCATTCTCCTTTGGAAGCAGCAAAGCACTGTGAAAATATGGGATTTCTTAATGTTGTGTTTTTCATCTTTGGTCTCAGGTCCTTGAGGGTAGTGATTGTGACCTTGCTTCTTTCTCTCGGCATTTGCTCCCCTTCACCCCCCACATAATTGTGTCCACTTCTGCTTCTAGCCAGGGATTTAGCATCTCTCAGTCAGATTCTTGCAAGAGTTGCCCAACTGGCTGTATTACACAGAGCACTGTGGGCTCCAAGGGACAGACACCCAGGTTGGCCTGACATAGGCAGAAAATGGAATTTACTGGAAGGATACTCAGTGCCTCCTGGAATCCAAGAGCAGGAGTGTGGCTGGGTCTCAGGAATGGCTGGTACCAGGACTTCAAGTGCTTCCAGTCCTTTCCATAAGGATGTCTTCTTTGCTTATGTTATTTTTCTTTCTCTGCCTCCTAATCCCCATTCCTGCCATAGCATCTATCTTTGCATCTCACCTCCACACATGCCTTGCCTAAAGCCTCACACCTTATAGGACTAAGCACCGAAGTGGGGCTTCCTGGCTTTCTTTAAGTGCCATGTGCTAAAGCTGACTCACTCCGGTGATTTTCTCAGTGCAAGCAGTTGTGGCCAAGACACTGGGGGCACATAGGAGCTTTTCAGGACATGGATAGAGTGAGGGGAATTCCTAGAAGAAAGGGAGAAAGGGAGTTACTAGGAAAACAAAACAAAAGATACCTACCATTCCCCTAACCCTGGTCTTTTCCCTCCAAACCCAGTCACATAGAGTCATTTCTTTCATCAAAACACTATTGGAAGAAAAATGTTGTCAGGGCAGTGATGCTTTTAATCACTACCGTATCCCTGATGCACAGCACAATGGCTGGTGCACAGTATGTATTTGACAGATGTTTGTTGAGTGAATAAAGAAAGGAAATGTGACTATAGAATGAAATCTATCTCATGAGTGTGGCAGTCAAGGCCTTTGTGGTTGGTTCTTCCCTGCTGTCATCTCCATCTCTGCCTCTGTCATATGCACCTTGCTATAGCCTCACTGGTCTGCTGGCTGAACTCACTATGATCTACTCATACAGGTCCCATTTTCTTCCAAGTAAAACCCTTCCCAGCATTTGAGGTCTGCCCCTATGCTACCTCTTCTGTGACATTTTCCTTGATTCTCCTGGTCAGATTCAGCACTTATGGCATGTGGCATCTTCCTCCATTTGGTACTTCCAGACTCTGGCATCATAGTAGGTATGCAGTAAAAAAAATTTTAACTTGTCATTGGGTTTTATCTTAGAGTCAGCTTGGTACATGTCTGCCTCCTCTTTAGATGAGAAGGTTCCTGTTTTCCAAAATCATGCCTTTGTAGCACCCTACTGTTTAGTTTGGTGCATTCTTTCCTTCTGCCTCACATTTTGGCTAGTTTGGGCTGCCTCTTATAATGAACACCAATAATTATGTTCTATTCATCACTGTGTTTCCCTGCATTGGAGGAAGGCTGCAGCCTGGCTGTTTCAAGGGGAAAATAATGGGCCTGTCTCAGACTTTGCTGGTCGCAAAAATATGCAGTTGCTGGATTCAAAAGAGAGTAGTGGTGACGTGTCAGAAACTAAGTTTCTACTTGGGAAACGAAGTTTCCACTAAGATTCCACTTGGACTCTCCTGCAAAGCCTGGATAAGGTGAACCAATACTCATATTATTAGTTTTGATATCAGGATGAAGTGTAGTAACAGAATCCAAAGGATTTGAAGCAAAAAAATAATATTGGGCATCAGGCCTTCCAAATGGTTGAAAGAATTGGGATGAGGAAGTCATGGAGCTACCAATGGTCTATTGATTGAAAGGGCACGCAATTGTAGCTGTGGTCCAGAGGTTAGGAAGCTGCTGCTGATGCCTCACCTTCTCCCCTCATTCATGAAGCTGGTGGCTAGACCGTGGAATACTGAGCCTAGCTGAGGCGACATCCGTGTCTCTACAGCCTTGCTTTCCAGTGGCAATGGAGGTAGGAAGATGGCCTGTGCCTTCCTCTGCCATCTGAATCTCACATGAATGCATCTCATTGGTGGAATCAGATTTGCTTCCAAAACCTTAGCTGCAAGTGCATCTGGGCAGTGTAGTTAGTGTCTCCACATTGCAGTACTAGAGGAGGGTACGTAGAAGGAGGATGGATTTCAAGTGCCATTCAATCACAATCTCCAGTGCCCACCCAGCTGTCACTGCTGATGCTCCATGTGTTCAGGGCTCTGATGTGAACACAGGTGTTCTGCCGGGTGACTTGAGCTACTGACAGCTGTTGTCTTCTGGGGATTTTTGACACAGTTTCCAGTCTAGGAAGTCAAGTTTCAGACTGGGAAAATCTGATAAGAATTGTTAACGGAGACAATAGTTTCCTTGTTTAGCTCAATGATCCAAAAATAAAACCAAGATTTAGTTCATGGATGGCTAGAGCTAGAAGAAGCAACACTGTTTGCAGCTGCCCAAGCCCCTGCCATTTCTCAGATGAGGAAACTGAGCCTCCAAAAGGGGCAAAGGTCATCCGAGCAGGGCTGAGACTTAACCCCATGCCTGCATTTCTGCATTTTGTCTGGTATAGCCTGGAGACAGAGACCTGCCTTCTAGTCTTGGTTCCTCTGCCTGCTAGCTGTGTGACCATGAATAAATGACCTAACCTCTCTGTGCCTCAGTTTCCTTTTCTGTGAAATGGATTTACTGATAACAATCTCAAAAGGTCTGGTCAAGAAAGCATGAGATCATAGATTGAAAGTGCTTAGCACGGTGCCTGAAACATCATAAGTCTTGAACAAATGTTAGCCATTGCTATTTTTCTAAGGTTTTTCCAAGAAAGTTTCTAAGAGCTTATTCAGGCACTATCACATTGCCCCTAGAAAGGCTGGTTTCCATAAAATAATAAAATAAAACAATACAAACTAAAACAAAGCAGCAGTTTGGGGAGGGAGGAGGTTATCTCCTAGAGGACAAATTGATCTCACCTGTAGCTGCAATGAATGACTACCTTGATGGGATCCTTTGTGGTGAACCACCAAATGACCTTTCTCTAGCATTTCTCTGGCTCTGTTACAGATAGACGCTGGAGAATGCATTACCATTTTGATGATTACTTCTTTGGGCCTCAAATGCATTTTTCCTGAGGTTTAAGATAGAAATACTTAAATAAGCACCCATTAATGCTGGAGCTCCTACTTTTCCACAAGCTCTACTCTGGGCCAGTTCTGTGCCAGAAGTTTCACATATGCTATGTCCAATTTTCACTGCAAGTCCCCTTGGTGGAAACTACCTGGCAGCCAGCTGAGCTCCAGATTTTAAGAGAATGAGAGATGGTGGCACTGAGGCAGGCATGGGGACAGCAGGATAGAAGCCTACTAGATGCTAGGCACTGCGCCAGGCACCTTGTTTTTGTTATTTCAATGAACTCTCCCAGTGTTTCTGAGAGGTGGAACGTGATTCCCATTTTGCAGATGAAGAAACTGAAGCTTAGAGAAATAACATGCCTGGATCCTAAAGCTGGTAATTATTGGCTCCAGGATTTGAACTACAAAACGACTTCATTTTTCATGTCTCCTTCTGTCTTATAGAAAGGAAAATGGTAAGGGTGAAGTGGATGACCCCAAAAATATATTTGTGACTTCAACATTCCATGGAGATAATGAAAAGGAGAGGTAAAACAGTCCTGGAGGAGTAATTAGTGTCCAGCTTCTGCTTATCAAAGCTTTGCCAGGAGGCTTGGTCCACATGATTCCAGGATTCATTTGTTCACTTACACAGTCAGCTCTTCACTATCCATCAGCACCAAATGTTGGAGAGTTTGCTAGTTTCCATCTAATGTCCATCCTTTCTTTCTTTGCAACAGAATCTCAGTCTTATTTGTAATGACAAAATGCCCAGCTGAAAGATTATATTTCCCAGCCTCCTTTTTAGATGTGTCCAAGTGACTGAGTTCTGCCCAATGAGATCTAAACAGATTGTGTGAAGTTTTCACGAAGGCATCTTCTTGAGGTGCCTTAAGAAGATGATCCAAATGATTGACCTTCTTTGTACCCTCCTTCTTCCTGCACCCCCTGCCCCGGGCAGGATGGCCAGAATGCCAGCAGCCACTCTGGATAGTGAGGAGGATTTGCAAATGGAAGCCACATTACATATGATGGGAAAAACAATAGAAGTTTGGATCCCCAATGTCTGCTTCTTTTACTTGAGAGTAGTTTCTTGTTGAAACTACAGTTATACTGGGTTTTCAGTGATAAGTAGTCAAACCTGAGCTTAATGGCTATATCTACTGTGTAGAGAGAATGGTTGTAGGCACCATGGGGGATACAGGATGAATCTGTCATGGAAAGTCCATGCTCAGAAAGCTCCTTGTCTAGAAGAGATGAAACAAGGATGCAAGACAGGATAAGAGCAGAGAGAAGTCAGTGAGTGCTGAGAGAGCTGTGAGTGTCTGGAGGTCGGGGGCAACATTTGACTAGGGATGTCTCCTAGAGAAGGATATTTTGGGTCTTAACAAGCAATGGGCTAGCAACCTCCATGCAGAAGGAATGACATGGGCAGACCCGTGTGCAGAGCACAGGGCATAATTGTGAAATGGTGAGTTTGTCTGTATTCATGAAGAATGAGTGATATGACCTGAAAGAAGCTTTGGGGAGTCAGGGAAGGTCAGAGCAGGAGGCACCTTCATCACCTCATTGTATCTGATCATCGACATCTCCCTCCCACTAGCTCCATCCACCATGCTTGCAGCGAGGCCAGCCTCAGCCTCCTCCCAACTCCAGATTCCGACCAAGAAGAAGAAACTTGATTCCATGTCTTTGCTCTTGTGAATAGTGCTGCGATGAACATACGTATGCATGTGTTTTTAATTTTTTTTTTTTTGAGATGGAGTCTCACTCTGTCACCCAGGCTGGAGTGCAGTGGTGCGATCTCAGCTCACTGCAACCTCTGCCTCCCACGTTCAAGTGATTCTCCTGCCCCAGCCTCCCGAGTAGCTGGGACTACAGGCGCATGTCACCATGCCCAGCTAATTTTTGTATTTTTAGTAGAGACGGGGTTTCACCATGTTGGCCAGGCTGGTCTTGAACTCCTGACCTCAGGTGATCCACCCACCTTGGCCTCCCAAAGTGCTGGGATTACAGGCGAGAGCCACTGCACCTAGCTGTATGTGTTTTTACGGTAGAATGGTTTATATTCCTTTGGGTATATATCCAGTAGTGGGATTGCTGGGTTGACTGATAGTTCTGTTTTTGGTTCTTTGAGGAATCACCACATTGCTTTCTACAATGGTTGAACTAATTTACACTCCCGCCAGCAGTGAGTAAGCATTCCCTTTTCTTTACAATCTTGCCAGCATGTTATTTTTTAACTTTTTTTTTTGTTTTTTACAAAAATCCCCTTTAATATGGGAATCTTCAAGCGTATACAATATTAGAGAGAATGGCATAATAAAACCCCATGGTCCCATTGTCTGGCTTTAACAATGGTCAACTCCTGACTAATCTTGATTTATCTACACTCTTATTTCCAGAATGTTTCAAAATGTTATATGTTGATTGATCCATAATAGCCATTCTGACTGGTGTGGGATGGTATCTCACTGAGGTTTTGATTTGCATTTCTGTAATGATGATTAATACTGAGTGTGTTTTTATATGTATTTTGGCCACATGTATGTCTTCTTTTGAAAAGTATCTGCTTATGTCCTTTGCCCACTTTTTCATGGGGTTGTCTGTTTTTTTGCTTGTACATTTGTTTAAGTTCCTTGTAGATTCTGGATATTAGATCTTTGTCAGATGTATAGTTTGCAAATGCTCATCAATGGTAGACTGGATAAAGAAAATGTGGTACATATACACCATGGAATACTATGCAGCCATTAAAAAGAATGACATCATGTCCTTTGCAGGAACATAGATGGAGATGGAGGCCATTATTCTCAGCAAACTAACACAGGAACAGAAAACCAGATACTACATGTTTGCCCTTATAAGTGGGAGCTAAATGATGAGAACAGATGAACCAAAAGGGAGAACAACACACACTGGGGCCTACTTGAGGGAGGAAGATAGGAGAGGGAGCTTCTGAAAAAACAAAAACAAAAACAAAAACAAACAAACAAACAAAAACAAACCTGTTGGGTACTATGCTTAATACCCAGGTGACAAAATAATCTGTATGCCAAATCCCCAAGTCATGAGTTTACCTGTATAACAAACTGGCACATGTGCCCCTGAACCTAAAATAAAAGTTAAAATATTTTAAAAAATACAAAAAAGAAGGAACTTATTTCACTAGTGGTTCTTGTAAACTTTGTAGTGGCTGGAGCCACATCTTTCACTGTCCATTCCTTTTTTAAAAAATACATTTAAAGTTTAAAAAAAATTATGGCAAAATACACATAACATAAAACTTACCATCTTAATCATTTTTAAGTGTGCAGTTCAGTGTCTTTAAGTACATTCACATTGTGCAACCATTACCACCATCCATCTCCAGAATGCTTTTCATTTTCCCGAACTGAAACTGTACACGTTAAACAATCACTCCACATTCCTCCCTCTCCCTACCCACTGGCAACTAGCATCTTACTTTCTGTTTCTATGAGTTTGACTACCTTAGGTACCTTATATAAGTGGAAACATTTAGTGTTTGCCATATTATAACATGCCTATTTCACCTAACATAATGCCCTTAAGATTCCTCTTGCATTGTAACATGCATCACAATTTCCTTCGTTTTCCAAACAATATCCCATTGAAGGTATAAACCCTATTTTGCTTATCTGCTCATCCATTGATGGACACTGGGCACTTGGGTTGCTTCTACCTCTTGGTTATTGTGAATAATGCTGTTATGTACGTGGATTTACATGTCCAGGTCTGTGCTTTCAATTCTTTTGGGCATATACCTAGAAGTGCAATTGCTGGATCATATTTTAATTCTATGTTTAATTTTTTGAGGAATGGCTGTACTGTTTTCCATAGTGGCTGCACCATTTTCTATTCCCATCAAAAGTGGGCAAGGGTTCTGATTCACTATTTTTTTCTGTGTGTGTGTGTGTGTGTGTGTTTTAATAGTAGCCATCCTAATAGTTATGAGGTGGTTGCTGTTCATTCTGTTAGAAAAAGTGATGTAACCATTGATTGGAAAAACAAAAACAAACCCTGCATCTTGAGAGACTGTGGATTCCAATGAGCCTCAGAAGCTCCTGAGAATCAACCGATAACAGCAGCCCACCAAAAAGCAGCAGAAAACCCCAAAGGGCAGCCAAATGAAATGTCTTCACTCCTTTCCTTCCAAAGAGCAAACACTCCCTGAATCTAAAGACAACATTTCTGCACACACACCAGACTATGGAAGCCAGTGTGTGGAAATGCTTCTGCTAGATTCTGAAGGTCTCCTTCCATTTTTGGCCTCTGGAAGAGGAGTTCTATTTTGCCTTCTCAGTGGCATAGTAACAACCACATAATTCAAAAATAAGTTTTCCTGTGCATTTCCTTGTTGAATCTTGCACATTGAGTTTTTTTTTATATTCATGCATTCTTTCATGATGCTTAAATGTTTTCTTCGAAATATCTACTGTATTGATTTGTAAATTAGATAGTCTTCTGTAATAAAATACTACTTTTGCAAAAAAAAAATCTGTTTATATAGTATAGTGGCTGTTGGGAGGGAACTGGAGGGGCAATGTGGGAGGGAGAGAGCCCTTTTGGGAAGGTGCTGCAATGAGCTGAGGGAAGAGATGTGGCCTGGCTAGGGTGGTGGCAGTGAGGACTCATGGGGAGGGAGGTCAACAGACATTTCAGAGACAATCTGCAGGACGTAATGCACAGTCACTGGTCAGGCCTGAGGCTGAGGAGGCA
Source organism: Homo sapiens (assembly GCF_000001405.40). NCBI lineage: Eukaryota > Metazoa > Chordata > Mammalia > Primates > Hominidae > Homo > Homo sapiens. Next base: position 120,244,504 of record NC_000009.12, on the reverse strand, counting down.
AGAATGCCTCCCATTTTTCTGGCTTCATGGAGAGAGAGGTGGAGAGTCAGGGAATAGAACAGAGGTGATAGTGTTGACTTCCATTTAGCCCTTCAGGGCCCTGCAGGCCACCTGAACTTTCAGTCATGTTCAGTAAGACAAGAGCTTGGGTTTGGGGGAGTGAGGGGGAAAGGAAAGTTGGGGGATGGATTGTAATGGGTCTTGGAGGTGGGCTTTGGTGTGTGAGCTTGACTCTGGAGGATGGACAGCCAGAAGGTGCATGGTGAGGTGCAGGGTGAGAAAACAGCTCTGCACTGGGCCAGGCCACTGGAGGTGGACATGAACATGGAATCCTAGGTCTGAAGGGGCCTTCATCCAGTCATTCCATGGTGCCGATGGGGAAGGCGAATGACTGCCCAAGGTCTTTCAAAGGATTGGTGGGAGAGCAGGGACTGGAATCCAGGTATCCGTGACCTCTGCATCCCTCAGCCCTTCCTGACATCCTCAGGGCACTCCCATCCTGTCATCCTCCCACCCTACTTCTGAGCACACCCATTGTGGGCTGAGGCCCCGTGCCTGCTTTAGACTCAGAGTGCCCTGAGTTCGAGTCCTGTTTCCACTCACAAGCTGGAAGGCTTGGGGTGGTGACCTTTGCTCTGAACTTCACTCTCCTTAACTTCCCTTTCCTCATTGATCACATGGGGACGCTGATGCTTCTATCCCAAGGTGGCCTGGTTTAATGACATAAGGCATGTTAGAGGGCTGGCAGATTGCTTGGCACCTGTGAACACTCAGTAAACAGTGTTGAAGTTGGGTCATTTCAGAGTCAGCCCAGACATCACCTCCTCCAGGAAGGCTTCTTTGGTCTTCTCCCCCTTAATCACACAAGGTCAGGTAAGATCACCTTCCTCTATGCCCCCAAAGCACTGAATTGGGCCATCCTCTCTGTCTGTCTGTCTGAGAACAGGGGCTGGTATTTAACAGTATAGTTTAGTTCTGGCATCTTAGAGATCTGAGTTCAAATACTATCTCTGCCACTTCTTATTTGTGGCATATGAGACGAGTCTCTTAATACCTCTGAGCCTCAGTTTCCTCATCTACAAAAGAGAAATGGTACCAGTGATAGCTATCTTTTAAGGTCTTTGTGAGAATTAAATGATAATACATAAACACAGTCCTTAGAATGATGCTTGACACATAGTAAGGGCTCAATGAACGTTAGCTATTTATGCATTATTATTCATCATCACTGCCATTTTTACTTGGAGGCCTATTGGACTGGGAGTTAGAAGACCTGGATTCTGTTCTCAGCTTTTTATTCTGCTGATCTTTAGTAAAATTTTAGATGTATCTGGGACTCTTTTAGATAGGTGGTTAGATAATCAACAAATGAAATTTTTAGTAAAGAGAAGACCTAGCTACCCCTTGTCTCTGTTTTTCACTGCGGCAGGCACACCCTGGGTGATGCATATGTGTTTGTGGAGTGCCTATGTTGGGAGTAGACTCTAAGGCGGACTTTGTCTTCCTTCCCATGACCACACAGGCCTCTTTCCTGGGGCTCAAACTCATGGTGGCACCTGCTCCAAACGGGCTGGGTTCCCATCTCCCTGCTTCCCTTGGGCCCTCCTACGGAGGCCCTGTGTGTTTGCAGACACAGCTGAGGCCCTTGGCCTGGGGTGCACACCCAACTCATTAGGCCTTGTTCTCTGCACACACGAGTATATACATTTTAGAAATGTTTCTCTTAATCATATCTTGAATTAATGCAGGACTCGTTCATTCCCAGCTCTCATTACCCTCTTAATTAACTCGGCACAGATGGAAAAAGTCAGAATTGCTCTAGCTGAGTTGTTCTGCTAGTTTTAAAATGAGATGGCAGATGGGAGGACGAGGTGGAACGGGCCGGCTCGGAGGGAGGAGATGAGTTTCCAAGCTGTCACCGGAGCGTCAACAAACGCTCCATCTGTCGGTGGTAAGGCCCGGCTGAGGCCTCGTGCAAGGAGCTGGTGTTCGGAGGGCCAGCATGGGCCAAAGCTCAGAGGTCCTGGCCACCACAGGTATCCTGGGGATGTGGCCCCCAGCACCGGGAAGAGCTCCAGGACTTCTGGGGTTCTGATGCTGGTGGAGTCCCCTGCCCCAGACCATGAGGGAAACACTCATGTCCCCCATTCCTGTTTCGGAGCCAAGGAAGGGTTTTATTTTCCTTCTTACCTAAAATAGTCTTAAGGAACGAGTTACATCAACTCCACATGGCTGTCAGTGTGAACTTTCTAAAACACACATCACTGCTGCCGGAGACTCGTCATAGGCCCCCGAATCCCTCAAGGCAGGGCTATCCCTGCCAGCGTCTCTAGCCTCTTCTCACCCTAGCCCTCTGCATGCCCTGCCCTGCCAGCAGCCATGCTGACCTGCTGTGGTCTGTCTTGACGCTGGGCCCTAGCATTTGCTGTTCCTGCTGTTGGAACCCTGTCCCTCCTTCTCATCCTTCAAGACCAGCTGTATGAAATATCCCCTTAGAGTCCTCTCTCTGCTTCTTGTGCTTCTCCCATCTAAGTGTTTTTCAAAATATGCTTTGCTTGTAAATGAATTAATAAACAATTCTTCAGCTTCAGCTTATGAAAGGATGTTTGGCTTGTTCAAGGATATTTCTCAACGTGCAAAGATCATAGAACCCTGGAATTGAAAGGGATCTTAAGAATCTCTCAGAGTTCACAAATCCACTCTTATGCATCCTGGTGAACTGAACATTTAGCCTTGTCTAGCATACTCCCAGGGACAGGGAACTCACTGTCTCCTAGGATGGATACCCTATTGATAGACAGGTCTAATTGTTCCACTGTTCTCTTGGCTGGACAGTGATCAGACTTTCATAATAGGCATGGAAATAAAATCTTCTCCCCTGCCTCACCACAGGGAAGTCCTTCAGGGGCTTGACAACAGCACCCAGGTCTTCCCTGAGCTTGTCACCCTCAAAGACAATATGGAAGGCAGAGTCCACTGACTGGTCTCTGATACTGCTGTGAAATGACAGGGTCTTGGGATAACTGACTGTTTTGTCTTATGTCCCAGAGGTTTGTGGAGTGGTAGACAAATCTTGGACTTTGAAGTCAAATAGACCTGCTCTGCTGTTTACTAGTTGTAAGACATCAAACAAGTGCCTTAACCTCTCTGAACCTTGGCTTGTTCACCTGTATAATGGGGGGTTGAAATAGATGGTTATTAAGGCCTCTTTCAGTTGTGACTCGTGGAGTTCCACATTGCTTGTCTCTGAGCCTCCTGCTTCTATTTCAGGAACTTGTTCCTGTCTCTGACCTTCTGACTCTTGTCCCCTGCCCCCGACCCTCTATCATAGTCCCTCGTTTGTTGCACTAACTCTTTGGCTCCCTTCACCAGGCTTTAAAAAAGAATTCTGTTCTGACCAAATCACTCCCTGCATCTGTCTTTATGGCTCCCAGCAGTTGCTAGTGTATGTCCAAGCTCCCTAGAGTGGCCCTCAAGGCTCCAGTATCAGGCCTTGCCAGTATCTCCAGCTTTATAAACAACTCTCCGCTTTTCCTTTGGAATTCTCCAAAAGCACTTTCACTCCATGCTTCACAGACACTGTTTCTTCCACATGCAAACTCCTATTGATCCTGCAAAACCCTATTCCGGTGTCACCCTTAATATCTGAAGCTCTTTCAGACCACTGCTCTCCCTGAGACAAAGTTCATCATTTCTCCTTACTCCTTTGCAAGCATGATCGCTGAATGAATCATGGTGTGTTTCAATAGTCATTTTCTGTGGCTGTCTTTCCTTTGTAAGAGTTGCAAGGCAGGGAGCTACTGATTTCTTCTCTGTGTCCCTAGCACTGGGGACGGGGCCTGGCAGGCTGAAGTCCCTACCTTCATGACTTTTGTTACTGAACTTTTGATCCCAGTCTCTTTCTTCACCTTTTCCAAGTGAAAATGACAGTGGTTCTTAATCAGAACTTCTTAATCACACCACATTATCCTTCCGAGATGCTTTTACCTCCAGGAACTCATTGATTCACCACTCTAAATTACTATAATTACCACAAATGATAAAATAGCAGCTTTCCCAGTTTTCTTTACCCTTGCCAATTTACATATGCTAATGTTCTAACATCTCCCATTGGCCCCCCTCCTGCTGGCTCTTCAGAGACATTTTCTGTAGTTTGTGTTCACTTGTCCCACACCAACTAGGACCAGATTAGGGCAAAGAAGAAAGAAGTTCCCGGAAGTTCCTAATCCACCAAAGCAATGGAGTAAATAAATTTTCGGTCATTTAAGATACAGTAAATACACGAGGGAAATGTTTGTGCTGCCGTAGGAGAGCACAGGATGGTACAAAGCAAAGGGCACTGTGGAAACGAGAGGCAGGAGGGACCTGGGTTCAAGGTGCTGCCTCCAGCAGCCCTGGCCTGGCCCACCTCACTTTCTGAACCTCTCATTTCTCTTCTGAAAACTGGAGAGCCTATACCCCCTTGAGAGTTTGTAATGAGAAAGAAATATGGATTCTTTTTGAATTTTTAAAAATTATGGTGAGACGGGGTTTCACCATCTTGGCCAGGCTGGTCTTGAACTCCTGACCTCGTGATCCACCCGCCTCGGCCTCCCAAATTGCTGGGATTACAGGCATGAGCCCCTGTGCCTGGTCCAGAATTTCCTTCCTTTTTAAGGCCAAATAACATTGTATTATAGGCATATACCACATCTTGCTTATCTATTCATCCATCAATGAACACTTGAGTTGCTAGAAATATGAACATGTATATTAAAATATTTTCTAAAATGTAAAGACCAGCAAAATTTTAGGAGGTGGAGGTGGTTAGGGCAGTGGGCTTTGGTGTTACACTTGACTTTTAGACCTGGATGGGTGTCCTTGAGCTCTGAGCCTCAATGCCTATTGCATGGGGCTGTCATGCGGTCAGTGATCCAACGCATGTCATTGGCTTAGCACAGAGACTGGGATTTGAGCATTCATTCTTTTAGTCATTCATTCAACACATTGAATGTTCCAGACACAGCTACTATGTTCCAGACACAGCTAAGTACTCAGGATACAACAGTGTGTATCTTTCAGAATGCCTGACAGCAAGAAGGCAAGACAAGTCATGATCAAATAACTAAGAGAATGTATATTTTGGTGATGGCAATAAGTTCTTTGGAGAGAAATGGAGCAGATTAAGAAGGGTAGTGAGTGCTTGTGGGATGGCTCTATTTGATACAGGGTGAGCTGGGGAGGTCTCCCGAGGACATGAGAGTTGTGCAAGTGAGCTTGGTGAGGATGAAAGAATAGAAAAGGCAATGACCACAAAGGGAAATGATGTCTGGAGTGTCCTAAAAACAGGGACATGTCTGCTGTGGCTGGAGAAATTTGAGGCAGAAAGTAGCTGCAGATAAAGACAGAGGGGTAGCTGGGGTTAGTGCTGCAATATCAGGTGAGGTGGGGCGAGTGAGCGCAGCGGGTAGTGAAGAGTTCTGAGCAGGGAAGTGATAGAGTCTGATGGCTTAAAAGCCATCACTCTGCCTGCTGGGTTAAGAATCAGCTACAGTGGGGACAAGGGTGAAAATAGAAGGACCTATGATTGTAATAATCTAGGCCAAGGATTGGTAAATATTTTTTTGTGAAGGAACAGAGAGTAAATATTTTCCGTTTTGAGGGCCATGTGGTCTCTGCTGCAATTACTCAGTTCTGCCCTTGGAATGTAAAAGTAGTCACAGATGACATGTAAACAAATGGATGTGGTTGTGTTCCAATAAAACTTTATTTTCAAAAATAGGTGGTGGGCTGAATTTAGCTGATCCCTGCTCTGAGCAAGATGATGGTGGGTTGGACCATCAGTGGGGTTGTGAGAAGTGGTTGAATATGGGATACATTTTGAAGGTAAATATCAACAGAATTTGTGTCCAGTTGGAGGTAATGTGTGAGAAAAGACAATCAAGAATGACTTTAAATTTTATGACCTGAGAAAAAGAAGGTTAGAGTTGCCAATTACTGAGAAGAGAGACTCTATGGATGGAACAGCATTTTAGTTTATTTTTTTTTAAAGCTGTGGAGATAATTAGAAGTTTGGTTTGAGACATATCAGGTTTGAGATGCCCCTAAACATCCAAGATAGATGTTAGGAGAGAGCTTGAGGCTGGAGGAAGGAATTTTGGAGTTGTCAGCATGTGGATGAGATTTGAAGACATGAGGTTAGACAAGATCACATGGAAAAGAAGAGTGAGTAGGAAAGAGAAGGCCTCTGAGGGCTGAAATGAGGAGCCACCAGCAAAGGAGACTGAGAAGGAGTGCTCACTGGTGTGGAGGAAAGCCCAGAGAGCGTGGTGTCCTGGGAGCAAAGAGAAAGACGTGTTTCTTAGAAGGAATGATCAACTCTGCTAAATGTTGCTGTAGTGAGTTGGACAGTGTTTCCCCTAAAATCATGTTTACCAGGAACCTCACAATGTAATCTTTTTTAGAAATAGAATCTTTTCAGATGTAATTAGTTAAGATAAGGTCATACCAGATTAGGGTGGACCCTAACTCCAACAACTATTTTTCTTATAAGAAGAAGAGAGGACACGCAGAGACACAAAGGGAAGAAGGCCGTGCGAGGACAGAGACAGGTGGAGAGATTGGGGTGATTCAGCTACAAGCCAACAAATGCCAAGAAAAGCCAGGAGCTACTAGAAGCTGGAAGATGCAAGGAAAGATCTTCCCCAGAGCCTTCAGAGGGAGCATGGTCCTGCTGAAACCTGGATTTTGGATTTCTAGCCTCCGGAACTGTTACAGATACATTTCTTTTGTTGAAGTTACCTTCAACAAAGTAATTTGTTACGGCACCCCTAGGAAACTAATATCATTGCTGATGGGTTAAGGAAGACCAGGACCGATGAAAGATCTCGACTTTGGCAATGTTGTGGGTGGAGAGTATCATGGGTGACCTTGACAAGCATTGTTTTCAGTAAAATGGGTGGGGGTGTGAAGTCTGATTAGAGTGGGTTCAAGAGAAAATGGGAGGAAAGGCATTAGAGACTGAGTATAAACCATTCTTTTATTTTAAAGGAGAAAAAATGGATGGTAGCTAGAGAGGAATGGGAAAAATAAAACATGTCTAGCATTGATGAGAATGATTCAGCAGAGAGGTTAGAAATGACGATGCAGGAGACAGGGAGACCGAGTGGTGTCTTTGAGGATAGGATCAGTGGACACGTGGGGAGGCTGGAGCATAGGAAGGTCATCCATGGGAGTAGGAGGGAAAGCAGTGAGTGTGGATGGGCGTGGTTGGCAGATGTGGTGGAGAAACCATGAGACTTCTCTTCTGATTGCTTCTATGGTCTTCATGAAATAGGAATCAAGGATATCATCTGAGACTGAGGCTGGGGAGGAGGCAGTGAAGATATGAGTAGAAACAAGGGGTGAAATGACCAACTGGGAGAGCAGGGAGTGATTCTTACTGGGACAATGTCATTGGTTGGCTGGGAGGCCACAGGGCCTGCTTGAGCTTAATGGCTGTGTATTTAGACTGGGCAGAGTCAGTAGGGTTGTGTGTTTCCCTCTTATCACTTTTGCCTGCTGGGTCCAGGTTGAGAGCAGGGGGAGAGCTGGATAAAGCCAGCAAGGGTAATGAGGCAAGAAAGGAATGAGGAAGGTGAGGGTTGTATCTGTTATCTATTGCAGTGTAACAAACCACTGCAACATTTGGTGGCTTAAAATAACAATAATTGTTCATTTTGGTTGTGAATCTTTAATTTTTGGCAGGGCTTTGGTAGGAACAGCTTGTCTCAGCTCAGCTGGGATGGTTTAACCGGAAAATGGAGGATTCACTTTTAAGACAGTCTAGCAGGTTGATAATGGCCCCCAAAGATATAGGATCTTAATCCCTAGAACCTGTAAATGCTACATTATTTGGAAAAGGGGTCTTTGCAGCTATAATTAAAGTTAAGGATATTGAGATGGGGCAGTTAGCCTGGATTATCCAGGTGACTCTTAAACACAATCACAAGTGTCCTATAAGAGACAAGCAGAGGGAGATTTGACATACAGAAGAGGTAGAGGCAATGTGACCACAGGGAGGAGATAGGAGTCATATAGCTACAAGTTGAGGAATGCCTATAGGACCAGAAGCTGGAAGACACAAAGAACAGATTGTCCTCTAGAGCCTCCAAAGGAGTGTGGTCTTGCTGACACTTTGATTTTGGACTTTTAGTCTCCAGAACTGTGGCAGAATAAATTTGTGTTGTTTTAAGGGCCACCCCAGTTTGCTGTATTTTAATACAGCAGCCCTAGGGGACTAATGCAGATGGTGAATCACGTGGTTGGCAGGTTGGTTCTGCTTGGCATCTGTGAGCTGGAGCTGAGGGCTGAGGGCTTTCATTCTTCTCCACATGGGCCTCTCCTGGTGTGGTGGCTGGGTTCCAAGAAAGAGGCAGAAGCTCTCTTGTCTTTTATGACTTACCTTGATATCACTTATGCCATAGTCATAGCCCCATCTAGAATCAAAAGGAGGAAGCACAGACTCACCTCTCAATGGGAGGGGTGTCAAAGTCACATAAGAAGGCAATGTGAGATGCACATGCATACAAAGTGCATGTGAGATGGGAGATACTGTTGAGACCAGTTTTTAGAAAATACAAACTGCCAACAGGGTAACGCAACATGATGATAATGATGGTGGTGGTGGTGGTCGTAATGATGATGGACTGTGACCTCTTGGTTGGGCAAAGTGGGAAGTGGGAACATATGGAATAAAGGGCAGTGAAAATATGGCAGAATCAATGAACCCTAGGACCCAGTGAGGTCAAAGAATCATTGACCTCTGAGTGAACAGAGGTCAGAGTGTGGGATGCTTGAAACTGAGTTATGGAATGAAAACAGTTCTTGTAATGATAAGTTACACAGTGTGACCACAAAGGTGAGTGACTGAGGTGTGGCTTTTGGATGAGAGGAAGTCAAAGAATGATAGACCAGGCTTTTGGGAGGACATCTATATAGATATTGAAACAAAGTCTGTGTTGAAGAGAGTGACAGTGACTCAGAAGAGAGAATCTCTATGCGCCAAGGGTCAGTGACCTCCTGCAAGCCTGAAGATGACCAAGAAAAGGAGAGGGTAATGGTTGCTCTAATGTGATGGGATGAGCTTCAAAGGTGGAAGTTTTGGGGAGGGAACAATGTCCCGAGAGCATCAGGGAGGAGTAGGGAGGAGCAGTATGAGCAACAGCAGGCGTGTGGGAGAGAAAACAGGTGCTCTTGAGGGAGCTGAGGGAGCAGAGGGTCCCCAGGGAGAGTCAGATTTCATTTGAAGCCAGAAAGCAAATGTTCTCTGAAGAAGTGTAGTTGAGAGTAGAAGGGATTGCAGAGAGCATGGTGGGAGGTTTTGAAGCATTGGAGAGAGTAGGGATATAGAGCCCAGTGGGGATAAAAGTCCCCAAAAGGGGCAATCCCTGGAAACCCTTGGCTTCTTGGGGTGACTGATGTGAACCACGATTCAGGGCATGATGGGATTATATTTCGGGTTCCTAAGGCATACAGTGACGGTGCATCTGGGTCCTGAGGGATCGAGGGAGGAGGGAGAAAGGGTTAAGACCATGCCAGGAATCCCAGAGCTCTGGGGCTCCTGCTTAACTCCTGCTCATGGCAGTGGGAGGCCAGGGAGATGCCAATCATCCAGGAGGACCAGGAGCTCAACAGACATTACTTATTGCTACCATTGCCATCATTTTGTAGGTTAAGCTGCTGATTTTGTAGATGGGGAATGGGCATCATTGCACTTGTCACATTGTGTTGTAATTGTCTGTTTTCCTGGCTTTCCCACAGGATGTGAGCTTCTGGAGAGTAGGGTCTTCATCTTGTTTTCTTGGAATCTATCCCTAGTACCCAGCACTGTGCACAGCCTAAAATATTTATCAACCAGCATATATTGAAAGAAAAAGGCCCAGAGAGATGTACTGACCAATCCAAGGTCATACGGAAAAACAGAGCCCAGACAAATCATTTGGGTTCCTGATGCTCATTTTTTCTTTGCACTTCTGCAGTATCTAAATTCCTCTAATCCTTGTAGTGGTTACTTCTTCCATCTCTCTCCCCTTTGCCTATTTATTTTTCAGTGAGATCTGCAGCTGCAGCTGGAGTTGGAAGCCCAGAACCTCCATCAATGTTCAAAGCCTCTCCCTTTTTGCTCATGTTTAATCTTCAAAAGGCCCTTTTCTCCCACTGGTGATTTTCCCTGGGGTGCTCTTGGCTGGCCCTGCTAAAATAGGAATTGCAGGCTGGCTAAATAGGGATTTTCAGCTAACAGAAGAAATTACTGACAGGGGAGAAAATAGGGAGAAAAGGCGGGTAGTTCTGGATCTTCCTTGTCATTTGCATTGGTCTTGCCATTGGGGGCTGCTTAAGTCCGTTAGTCTCTGTTAATTTCTCTAGTGCTTTATGGTAAAGGGGATGTAATTGGCTGGAAATAGTCCTTAAATGGGGGTGGTTCACATCTGAAGCTGACAAGCTGAGATAAACCCATTTAGGAAAAGAAGCGCATCTTGTCAACCCGTCCCAAAAATTTGAGGAGTGGGAGGAGAGAATCCCATGGTCCAATGCCATCTTCTTGTTCACAGACTCCCTTCTGGGAAGCTGTCAGCTGGGGCCTTTGTGCTCCAGTACTGGTGAGTTCCTGCTTTGTGATCAGCTCAGACACAATGGATTCCATTCCTCAATTTTTCCTCCTGGAAACTTCAGAACCTAGACAGGCAGCAGGGACACAGCTTGAGATGAGCACAAAAAGGGAGCATCAATCCTATCATTACAGCGATCCATGGGTGCATGTATGTTTATGTGCATGTGGAGGGTGTGTGTGTGTGCATGTGTGTTTAGTGAATGGGTGGGGGATGTGGCTGTGAGGGAAGAGAGAGAGAGACAAAGACAAATGACATAAGAAGCAGGAACACCAGCAAATGCCAGCATGCGGGAGTCCTTCCACTGGCCTCAAGAGAGAACATCCATGATATGGTTTGGATTTGTGTCCCCGCCCAAATCTCATGTTGAATTGTAATCCCCATTGTTGGAGGAGGTACCTGGTGGGAGGTGATTGGATCATGGGGGAGGACTTTCCCCTTGCTGCTGTCATGATAGTGAGTGAGTTCTTACGAGATCTGGTTGCTTAGAAGTGTGTAGCACCTCCCCTCTCTCTCTCTTCTTCCTGCTTCAGCCATGTAAGACATGCCTGCTTCCCCTTCACCTTCCACCATGATTGTAAGTTTCCTGAGGTCTCTCCAGCCATGCTTCCTGTACAACTTGTGGAACTGTGAGCCAATTAAACCTCTTTTTAAAAATAAATTACCCAGTCTCAGGTAGTTCTTTATAGCAATGTGAAAACAGACTAATAGAATCAATTTCTTGGGGCACAAAAAAGCAGGAGGGGGATGAAGTCTCAAAGTCTGTGGAGGGAGTGCTGAGGAAAGGAAGTGATTCTCCTTATTGGGTCTCCAGAGCAGAGGATTGGAACTATGTGGAGTAGATTTCACTAGAAGACGAAAAAAGCACACTCTGGAAAGGCATTTCCTATCATATTGGGAGTCTCCCGTGGGCTGCTGTGGGGCATGAGCTCCAGTGCCCACAAAGTGTGGACCCTCGTGTGAGGACCAGCCAGCACCACATGGCCAGGTGACCTCCAAGGGCCACCTGGGGCAGGGTGGGAAGCAGAGAGAGAAAGTTCAGGGTTCTCCTTTTCCCTCACCTCCCATATACAACCTGTGGTCAAGTCTTGTTGATGCCAGAGCCCAATTACATCCCATCCTGTCTGTGGCTTCCAGCTTAGCTGCTAGCAGCCTAGTCCAAGGCATTCTCTCCTCTCCTCAGACAGCTGCAGTAACACCTTAACTGGTCTCCTGGCCTCAACTGTTGGTACTCTATGTCTACTGTCTTATAAAATGTAAATTAGATCATGGCTCTCTTTATTTAAAAAAAAATCATCCAATGGCTGCTTGTTAGGAAAAAATCCAACTCTATCCAACTCAAGAGACCATGCACAATCCATGTCTGCTCACCTCTTCTGACCTGCAGTGAGCAAGGGCCACGTCTTCTCTGTCTTCCTCAAATGGGTCCTTTTTATCTCAAGGCCACTGCTCCTGTTAGTCCCTCTGCCTGGAATCCTCTTCCCACAGATCTTTTCATCATTAATTTTCTTTAATTTTTAGGTCTCAGCCCACCCACCTGTCACTTGCTCACTGGCACTCCCCCCTTAGCCCCCAACTAGAGTTAGTCCCCCTTCCCCACCTCTATGCCTTTATCTGGTTTTATTTTCTGTTATTACTTCTTGCTATTTTAAGTAATCTCATGAACGTATTAGTTTGCTTGTGGATTTTCTGTCTTCCACCATGAAAATGTAAGTTTTGGGAGAGCAGAGAGCTTGTTCCAGTGCCAGGCATGTAGGAAACTCCCAAGACATAGTTATGGAATGAATTAATGAATGAATAAGTCAGAAACACCTGGTTTTGACATCCGGATCTAGCACCCACAAGCCGAGTAACTGAAAAGGTTAGTTCACAACCTGGGGCCTTGTGTGTAGAGTGAGGATCATGACATTTACCCTAAGAGTGCCATGTGGCATCAATGCTGTAATTATGTGAAACTTTCAGCCTAGTACTTGCATCCAGAAGGTAGTTAATTAAACCCAGTTCCAAAGGAAAAAGAAAAGCCAGGTCCCTTTCCTTCCTGGTTTTCCAGGCGTGGATTCCACATGAGGGGGGAGGATCAGGAATGACCACCCTCTCTCAGGACTACCATTGGGAAGTCTGACCAAGGGGAGGGACAAAGGAGCACCTGTCTTCCATGTACCTACCTGGCCTCCTAGCCCTGATCCTGTCCCCATTTTCCACCTTGCTCACTGAGTCCCAGACTCTAACCATATCCCTGTTGCCACTCCTCTCCCAGCACCGTTGTTCCTTCCAATGTCTGCTTCATAATACTCAAGCTTCTAATTTAAGGCTAGCACTCAAGGCTCTTTAAATACAGGTTTCATTTTATCTGTCCAATTTTATGCCTCTGGGCTTTCAGCTGCCCTTTTACTCTGCTCAGGCTGTTGTCTACCTCATCCCTTGCAGTCTGGTTTCAGCCTTCTTTTAATGCACTGAGTGCTGGATCATTAGAATGCAAGCAATTAATGTGCTGATTACAAAATGACCCATTTATATTCCTGAAAGTGTACTGGCAGCAGTTTTACTAGGATATACTTTCAAAAGTCACTTGAATTGAGCATTTCTTTTCTATTTTGATGCTTCTTTTCTGGTAACATAAACTTTCAGGGCAGGGAAGAGAATCTTTTCTAACTCTCATAACAGAGGGGGAAGTGGGGCCCAGAGAAGTAAAGTGCCTTGCCCAGGTCACATAGCAGGTCGGCAGCAGAGTTGAGACTAGAACTGAAGTCTCTTGCCTCTACACTAAGAATTTTGGCTGCAGGGAGCCAGTGGCTGAGCTCGATTTGGATTCAGCCTGGGAAGGAAGCCCATGGTCCAGTCTGGTTTGGCTGTACCCACAGGCACAGTGTGGATGGCAGCAGCTGGAGGCCATTAGGGGCGTGTGAACCTCTCTTTATCACAGCCCCTTCTACAAACATTATCCTTGGAGCCTGTCTCAGCTGGGATGGTGCACCCAGGTGTCTGTCCAATGTGCCAGCTTGCATGCTGCACAGCCTCCTCTGAAGCCTCTCTATTTGGGAGGTTTGAGCTGAGCTTTCCACCAGGAGAAAGGGGACTGGGCTGAGTCCCTGATGGTCCTACCCAGCCTGATGGGTTCTTGGGTTCAGCCAGACTTCTAGTGGTTCTCAAAGGGAGAAGTGCTACCTCTGTTAGGTATTTTGGTTATAGATGTGAGTCTTTCTGATTGTCTCAATATTTGAGAGAGCTCTTAGCAATTGGTGGGTGGGGGCCAGGGATGTCCATTATACTGCCTCGTGCCAGGAAGTTCCATGTCACAAAGAATCAATTTGAACCCCATGACACTTTCACATGTCTTACCGGACATGTGTGTAAGTGAAAAATCCATTTATATATGCTTAGAACTTTCTCTGTCTTTATCTATCTGTCTATCTGTCTATCTGTCTATCTATCTATCTATCTATCTATCTATCTATCTATCTATCTATCTATCTAATCTGTCATCTATCTACTTACCTGTTTGTATCTATCTATCTGTCTGTCTGTCTATCTACCTATTTGTATCTATCTATCTATCTAATCAGTCTATCTATCAGTGAATGTATATAAAGAAAGTATTTTCTGCAGAGTTTTAAAATTCATTTAACTTTCCAGGAATGAAACTACTGGGTAGAAAAAGAAAAGACTGTAATTTGTTTTGTTCAAAATTTTATCAAGAATTGTTCACCATCTCAGAAAATCATGCAGAGGTTGGCAAGGCCACTGTGGAATTGAAGACACCAATACAATCCCCCTGTCTCAGCCTGCCTTTGTTGTGACAAATATAGGAAGGTACTTATTTAGCCCTTATTTCAAAATGTCAGATAGATAGGAAAATATGTCAACAATATTCAGTTAAATATTGGTTTCTGTCTCTTCAGTCCCAACCTCCTCATTAGAAAGAGGTGCAAACATCTGATTACTTAGGGTTTCTTTGTAGTCATGTCTGAACATTTACTTATTGATATATATATTATTTTGTTATAAGTTGTCTCCTTTTATTTATCTTTATAGTACATTTTATTGATTTTTAAAAAGTATGTAGGTAGGCTATACTATCCATGGATTTTATTTCATCATACTAAAAGGGATGTTGCAAAATAATTCTACACAAAGGGGGCTTTGAATCTGAGGATAATAAGTCCTGATATCTCCCTTCCAGGGACACACATCTGGTTTGTCAATACCATTTAAATCCCATGTTCTGGATGAAAAATCTCCTGCTTTTTTCTTCTTGGATTCCTGAATAATCTCAAGGGGTGTGATCCTCACCCATTCATTTATTCATTCAACATATATTATGCTCATTCATGTGCCAGGCATGTTGCTGGGCACTTTATGTACATTTTCTCATTTAATCCTCATGATACCCTGCAGAGTAGCAGTTATTAGCCTTCTCTTGCAGACACAGGTCCAGGTCCTAATGAGGTCCCAGGCCAGTGGAGGACACAGATTAGTAAATGGGCATTTACAGTTCAGCGTGGTCTGTGAGTTCATGGGGCAAGCATAGGAGCTGCAGCACCCAGAGGATGGGTTGTCTAACCCTGTTCCAGAGGGAGATATGACTGTTTTCAGGGTGGGTTCCTGATGGATCAGTATCTGAGCTCTGTCTTGACAAATGGGTAGAGGTCAGGCAGATAGAAGAAGAAAGTAGTTCATAGTTGAGCCAATGCAGTTGCTAGGGCATGGTGGCAGGAATTACCGTGTCAGGCTAGGAGTTCTGCATGCTGTTCACTATGGTTGGAGCCTGGAGTGTGAATGGGGATGGTAAAAAAGGAGGCTTCTGGTAGGGAGGAACCAGTCTCTGGTGGTGGTGCATGTAATGATCCTCGGTTATAGCCCTGAGCTCTCACTTTGTCCCAAAGGCAATAGGGAGCCATGGAAGGGCATATGCAATGGAATGAAGCGGTCAGTGTTGTGGCTTAGAGTGATCACTGATGTTGCAATCTGGAAAATGATTGGTGGAAACTAAGGAGACTAGGTAAGCAGCCCTTAGCACAATTGAATAATTAATTACTTCAAATATTTATTGAATGTCTCCTATATTGCAGTCACTGCATGAAATTGGCCCTAAACTCAACAAGTCAGAAGTCTGGCCACATGTTAATTCCTATTAACCCACTATGAGCCAGAATCAAGACATTAATTAAGTCCCTGGGCTACACTGGCCCCATAGACTTCTGTGGCCCCAGACACTGGGTACCCAAGTCATTTATTTCCAGTGCTAATCCAATTACCACTTCTCCCCCTAAAGCAGCAAGGAAACCCTTTGGTTGCAGGCTGGACTTAATTATGGATAGTTTACTATTATTCTGGAGCATTTTCTTATCTACTGAATATTAATTGGCTGGAGTTCCACGCAGAAGATGAAGATATTAAACTGTCATTACAAAAAGGCTTGTTTGTGTTCATCCCACACAGTGCAATCATCAGTTCTGGCTGCCTTGAGAAACATGTCCTGTATAGAGATCCCCCCGAAGTTGAAATTTTTTGACTTTAAAGGCCAGTTAGTCACAAAAGTGACTAACAGAGACCCGCAGGTGAGTAGGTGACTGGAGATGTTGGGGGAAAGATGACTAGATGTCTGATCCTTAGGGAGATGAAAAAGGAAGATCATGGAGCTGGAACAAGCTGACCAAGGGATCCTTTCTGGTTAAAGGCTTCAGAGCCCTACTTACCCTCATTTACCCACTCAATAAATATTACTGTAGCACCTGCCATATATCACAGAGATCAAAATGACACAGCTCCCTCGTGGAGCTTATAGTTTATTTATTGAGGGATACAGATATTACACAGCAAATTATACAAATGATTATTTAATCAGAGTTATGATGAATGCCGTGAAAGAAAGGGAAGTTCAGGGTGGTGTGAAAGAGAATGAATGGTTTTGGGGCAGGCTTGTTTGAGGAAGTGATGTTTGAGGTGAGACTGGGGAGCACACAGGAGACAGCAAGGTAGGATAAAGAATGCAATAGGCAGAGGTAATACTGGCTGCAAAGGCTCAGAGATGGCCACCCCAAGAAGGCCAGCAAAGGTAAAATGTAGCCAATGAATGGGATAGGAAGCTGAGAGAAAGGGTTCAGGCCAGGGCATCTTTAACCTTCTCTCAGCTGACACGGACAGGGAGAAAAGAGCAATGACTTGGGTCTTCTCAAATACTTCAACAAAAAGAAAGTCAATTAGACTCTAGGATGGCAAGTAGGTGATATTTTGATCTAGTAACAATGGAGTTTACCCAGGAGTACTCTGTTGAGAAGGATTCAGAGATTCTATTCAGGTTTCATGATGAAGAGTGGCAAGATTGGTTAGTGAGGTCTGCATGGGTAAGGGAAAGCAATTGTTTGCCTACGAGGCCTTTATTTGTTGTCCCAGTTACTAGTGCTATTAGCTAACCACCCTAAAATGTAGTGGAGTAAAACAACCAGTTTACTACACTCACAGATTTTGTGAGCCGGGAATTTGAATGGGGGATGGCAGCAGGGATGGTTTGTCTCTGCTTCACGATGTCCAAGGCCTCAGCTGAGAACACATGAAGGCTGGAGGTGACTGATGGCTAGGAACTGAGATCATCTGGGGGCTTCTTCACTCATATGACTGGCACTGGGCTAGGCTCACTTGAAGGCTGGGCTCTGCTGGGATGGTTGATCAGAACATGTGCACTTGCCTCCCCGTGTGGCCTGGGCTTCTCTCCTATCATGGTGGCTGGATTCTGAGTGGAAGCACCCTGGCTGATGTCAGGAAAGGGAACATCCCAAAATAACCATCCAAAAGCTTGCATGGCCTTTGCTTACCTAATCTCCAAAGTCAGACACTGTCACTTCTGTGGCATTCTGTCAGTTTTAAGCCCAAACTCAAGGAGACAGAAAAAAGAGTCCACCTCTCAATGAAGAGGTCAAACAAGTATCAAAGCATCTGCAAACATGTTTTAAAATGGCCATATTTGCTGACCACTTATATTAATAAGTTTCAGCTGCAATAAGGCTGAATAATAAATAGCTCTGAGATTTCAGAGGCTTGCCTCACATGTTCAGTTATATACTCTTGGGTCTGTTGATTGGCTGCGGTTTGACTGATCTAGATGGGGCTTGTTGACTCACTCTAGACTTCTGGTTGGGTTCAGGTCTGCTCCACATGAATTAATTCCAAGATCCAGGCTAAAAAATTAGTAGCTCCCTGGGTCATACTTTTTTCTTGATAGGGCAAGAGGTCAAGCCAAGCCATATAAGCATGTCTACTAACTTTCTGCTGGCTCCAGCAAGTCACATAGCAAGCCCAACATTAATGCGGTGGTGAGATATACTGCAGTTACTTTATTGGGTGGCACTGCAGAGCCACATGGCAAAGGGTGTGGCTGCAATTCCGTAACAGAGAGAGAGAGTAAAGAAATGTGAACAGTGATCCAGTCTGTCACATTTTTATAGATGAATTTTAAGAATGTTTGTAGCTTAAATGTGTGAATTATATTCTAAATATGTGAATCAGTTACTCAGGCTGAAAGTCCAAGAATACTTTTGACTCTTCTCTTTCTCCACACCAATCACAAATTTCTCTCTGGTCCACAACCTTTTTACCATCTATCTACCCATCTAGCAATTTAACTATCTGTTTGTATTGCTTTGCTTTTCTGCCCTACCTGCCTTAATTTAATGGATGAATCATTACTCCTTTTCCAGACTATGAAACTTGACTTTATTTATTCACTCCATAAACAGAAATAAAATGTATTTATTGATTGTCTACTATGTATTAGGCATTGTGCAGGGGGCTGGAGCCATGAATCAGAAAGAAAAGTTTTCTGCCTCCATAGATCTCATGATCTGTGGGGGAGAGAAATATTAATGCATAAATAAATAGAAAATTTATATATTTCAGCAAATGCTTTGAAAGATATGGCATTCTGAGATGCAGAATAACGATGATGGTGTCGGGGAAAGTTTCATTAGATATGGTGGTCAGGGAAGGCCTCTCTGAGTAGGTGTCAAGACCCAATGGAAGAGATATAGCTAGGGGTGAGATGAATGGGTAGAGGAGGGTGTTGCAGGCAGAGGGAAGAGGATGTACAAAGGCTCAGAGGCAGGAAAGTGCTCAAAGCGATCAAAGTACTGTAAGGATTCTTGTGTGAGGAAGTCACAGGGAAAGAGAGGGAACTTGGCAAACGTGATCAGCCTATCCACCAATCTCTTTTCCTCCAACCTGCCCTCACGTTCATCTAGGCTGGACTATCTGAAGTCCACTCCTGAAACTTCAGGGGCTTCTACTGCTCTCAGGATCAATCTAAACCATTCATTTCTGTCTTTGAGGCTTTGATCATATAATAAATATTTTTCCTCTGCTGTTACGCAGCATTTGCTCTGGTACAACTGGTCTGCCTAGCAGTCCCTGGACCCTTATTAAAAACAGGGATTTTCTCCACCCCTTCTTGTTCAGTGAACAGGAAGGCTCAGCCATAAGCAGAATTGTGTTTAGGTTTGTAACTCACTCGGTTGGAGGGTTGACAAACTGGAGGACTTGTTGGGAAGGGTGTTGGAGCTTAGAACCCAGGAACCAGGGTAATGTTTAGCCTAAGAAAAAGTAAAATCCACAGCTAAACCTCATGGAATGCTTCTTTTGTGTCAAGCACTTTGCTGAGGTATGAGGCAGATACTACTTTTTTTTTTTTGAGATGGAGTCTTGCTCGGTCACCCAGGCTGGAGTGCAGTGGCATGATCTTGGCTCACTGCAACCTCCGCCTCCTGGGTTCAAGCAATTGTCCTGCCTCAGCCTCCCGAGTAGCTGGGATTACAGGCATGCACTACCACACCCGGCTACTTTTTTTTTTTTGTATTTTTAGTAGAGACAGGGTTTCACCATATTGGCCAGGCTGGCCTTGAACTCCTAACCTGGTGACCGCGCCTGGCCCAGATACTATTTTTTTTTATTCCTATTTATTTTTTTTGGTGAGATAAATTTATTTATTTGTTTATTATTATTACACTTTAAGTTTTAGGTTACATGTGCACAATGTGCAGGTTAGTTACATATGTATACATGCGCCATGCTGGTGTGCTGCACCCATTAACTCATCATTTAGCATTAGGTATATCTCCTAATGCTATCCCTCCCCCTTCCCCCCACCCCACAACAGTCCCCAGAGTGTGATGTTCCCCTTCCTGTGTCCATGTGTTCTCATTGTTCAATTCCCACCTAAGAGTGAGAATATGCAGTGTTTGGTTTTTTGTTCTTGTGATAGTTTACTGAGAATGATGATTTCCAATTTCATCCATGTCCCTACAAAGGACATGAATGCATCATTTTTTATGGCTGCATAGTATTCCATGGTGTATGTGTGCCACATTTTCTTAATCCAGTCTATCATTGTTGGACATTTGGGTTGGTTCCTATTTTTCAGATGCCCAAACACAGGCTTGTAGAGTTTAAGTAATTTGCCACATAGAGAAATTTTAGAGCTAGGATTCAAACCCAGGAATCTTAGCACTGTAGCTCTTAGCCACAGTGCTAGCCTATTTTATGATAGACCTGTATTATTCAACGTTAAATAGTTAAAACGCTTATTGCAATCCTCCTGTGTGCCAAGCACAGGGCTACATTAAAATGCCTGATTCATTCACACTTGTTCATGCTTATATCACTTTCCTCTCTCTTTAATTCAAGTATTTAGTGAGCAACTACTATGCTTCTGGAGGTTGGAGCAGATAAGGCTGAAGAGATTTGTCTCATAGATGGGGAAGAGGTAGAACTCACAGGAGAGTTTTCCTACTTCTTGGAGGTAGAGGTCAACTCAGTGATCAGAGGGTATTTCCTGAGAGGCCTCTCCTATGGAGAGGACTTCGTTGGTAGGTAGTGAGCTTACCATCTTTGGAAATGTGCTAGTATTGCTGAAGGAACTTCTGCCTTGATGGAGTTGGGCAAGCAGCTTCTAAGGCTTTTCCAGTAGTAAAGTTTCATTATTCAAAATTAGTGTTTCTCAAAAGAGGTTTCCCCAAATGACCTTGGAGTATAATGTGCATATTTAAAATGAAGATTCCAAGGTCCACCTCAGGCTTCCGAATCAGATTCTCTATTGGAATAGTACAGAAATCTGCATTTTAACAGTTTCTCAGTGACTCTTGTAAATTCCAAGGTTTGGGACTCCCATGATATCAAGCAAGAGCTAGTGATGGGACAAACACTCTGGATGAGTTTGGAAACAAACCACCAAGTTCTGCCCTTTCTAATAACTCACTGTGTGACCTTGGGAATGTCTTCTCTCAACTTCAGTTTCCCCTTCTGTAAAATAGAGGTGTCATTCCAAGATTTCAAGAAAGTGAAAAATTCTTTTGTGAAGGAAAAACCTAACCTCTAACTCCATAAAGCTCTATTTTTTATAGATTATTGTAAAAGTAAAAAACTGCCCAGAGACTCCACACATTTATTTTTATTTTATTATGTAAGAACACTTAACATGAGATCTACTCTCTTAACAGATATTTAAGTGCATAATACAGTATCGTTGACCATAGGCACCATGCTGTACAGCAGGTCTCTAGAACCTATCCATCTTATATAACTGAAACTTTATGCCCACTGATTAGCAGCTCCCCATTTCCCCCTCCCCTCATTCCTGGCAACTGCTATTCTACTCTCTGCTTCTATGAGTTTAACTATTTTAGATCCCTCGTATAAGTGGAATCATGCAGTATTTGTCCTTCTGTGACCAGCTTATTTCACTTAGCATAATATCCTCCAGGTTCATCCATGTTGTCTCATATTGCAATATTTCCTTTTATAAAAGGCTGAATAATATTCCACTGTATGCATATACCACATTTTCTTTACCCATTTATCCATCAATGGACATTTAGATTGTTTTCACATCTTGGTTATTGTGAATAATGCTACAATAAACATGGGAGTGCTAATATCTCACTGAGATCCCAATTTCAACTCTTTTGGGTAAATTTCCAGGAGTGGGATTGCTGGATCATATGGTATTTCTATTTTTAATTTTTTGAGGAATCTTCATACTGACTTCCACAGTGGCTGCATCATTTTACATTCCCAACAGCAGTGTACAAGGGTTCCAATTTCTCCACATCCTTGTCAGTACCATTTTTGGGGGGATAATAGCCATTTTAACAGGTGCAAAGTAATAGGACCCAAAAACTTCAGGCTTTTTTAAAGGAGCTAGATAGGTTTGTTGTTGTTTGTTATTTGCTTATTGTTGTTTTGGTGATATGTATAGGAGATCTAAAAACAGATATAAAATTTGTATTCCTGAAACATATGATAAAGAAAGAGAAAAAAGAATGAAAGGAC
Organism: Homo sapiens; assembly: GCF_000001405.40. Lineage (NCBI taxonomy): Eukaryota > Metazoa > Chordata > Mammalia > Primates > Hominidae > Homo > Homo sapiens. The sequence continues at coordinate 120,222,560 of NC_000009.12, read as the reverse complement.
TTTAGAAAAAAATGTTTAATGTAATTGGCAACAGCTCTTGAAAGAAGACTCTACCTTTCCCCCCATGGTTCCAATAGCGGTAACAGTGATGCTGACAAGTCCTTAGGCAAAATCATCTTGAAACTACCAGATTTTACCTCAAAAGATGCCCACATGGTTTGGAAATGGATCCATTTGGTGCGGAGGGGAGGTAGCTGTCTTATATTAGGTTTCTTGAAGATGGACTCTGAGAAAGAGATTTGCAAGCAGGAAGTATTGGTTCAATTTAGATCTTGGGATGACTCCCACAAGAGAGAAAGGGAAGCAGGACTGGGCAGAGGAAAGACTTGAGCTGCAATGTGTGTGCAGCAGAGACCTCCGCTGATCCTGTAGGAAACCCTGAAGCTGGGATGGTCCTTCAGAGTTGCTCTTAATCAAGATAAAGTGGCTAGTTCTTTGCACCTTCACATGGAAGCAGCCTGCCCCTGACGAGGGGGCGTGACTATGCATAAGGCAGCTCCTTTTGGCTAAGGGCAATTCCTGGAGAAGGAGGCTTTGTGAGCCACCAGGAGCCAGTGCTCCCAGAGGAAGCTAGGGGAATGAGTGCCTTGGTCCCAGAGGGGCACCTGGGAGGCATACAACAGTGTCCACTGTAGCAGTGGAGAGGGTCTTGCCATGGGAAATCATTCTTGATAAATCTGCCATCCATCTGGGAGGACATTTGCAGGAGTATGAGGCTCATGGGGCACGATCCAAGTCTGTTATCTTTCAGGTTAATTTAGCCCCACAGATTCTAGGATGGGAGTACTCGGGCGACTTTTTTTTTTTTTTTTTTTTAACATGAATGAATGAGTGGAAGAATAGTAAGGTGGAGTTAAGTCATATTGAAGAATTACTCTGAAAGACACAGCTGCCCCATGGGAGGAAAAGAAATCCAAGTGTTTCAGTTTCATTTCTAGTCCACATGTTCTATTGTTTTATTTCATTCATTCATTTACTAATTCATCCACTTAGCATTTATTGAGCAGCTTCTGTATTCTAAGCCTTATACTAGGCACTTTTAATGCTAGATACTAAGGACCTCATAGTCTATCGAGTGAAACCAAGTCACAAACAAAAATGATTCCTGTGGCAAGATAGGAGCTTCAAAAGAGGGATGTATAAAGAGCAGAGGGGACACCTAGTAGGAAGAGAATGACTTCCTGGAGAGTGGTATCTTGTAGGAGGTATATTTTAATAGGACTTTGAAGTATGAGTAGGAGTTTGCCAAGCAGGCAGGAAAAACCAGTTCTTTTCCTAGTATTATTGCACTCTTTTCAATCCAGGACAAGAAAGATTGTTTTATACTTTAATTGCAACCCACAAAGATTGAGTGGAAGGAGATACAGAAAATTTTGAGTAGCCTTGGGAATGGTATGACTCAGTTTCTACTAACCTCAGGCTTTCATGGCAGTGACAAGGAAGCCTATGGAGAGGAATGTGCTTTATGTGGAATGGTTTGGTTTAGCTCAGATGTCTCTTGCTGTACCATATTGCTCTTCGATAAAATCCAAGCCCAAATCACTGAACACATAGATTAACATATCACGGTGAGCCCCTTTTCTCCATCCATGCCTTTTCCCTGGGATTTAGCATCTAATTAGCCAAACATTCGTTATCCAGGGAGTTCCAAGGTTTTCAATGTAATGCATTGGCCCTAAAAAAGAAACCAGCATCATATTTTAAAAGTCACGATTGCAGTTGTTTTTGGTGAATTACCATTTATACATTTTCCATCTGTGAATATTTTTCTGGAGTACCACCTGTTTTTCCCCCACTTTGGTAGTAGAGAATCCAACAGATCATATCTCAGAATAAATGCATTTTATCTATAGTAGTTTTCCACATTTTCAGCAACTTTTTTTTTTTAATCTTACAAAATAATCTCCTCTAAATACAAACCAGCTTTTAGAGCTACAAATAGACATGGAGACTTTAAAATTTTTTCTTTCTTCAAATCTCTCAGGAGAGCCCTGGGAAGTTGATTTAAAGAGAGAAACTCAAAGTGACAGTGAAGATGATGAGAAACCCGAGGTGGGAGACACATCTTGTCCTAAGAGCACTTCAATAAACTGCGGAGGAGACAGACAAGGGAAACTTCAGCATCGTGGGGCTCCTGAGACAGGAGAAATCCTTTCTTAGAATCGTAGGGTCCTGGATTTCGCATTTCCTCTGTGCTCTTTATTTTTGTGAGACCTTATATAAGTTACTTAACCTCACTGCACTTTGTTTCCTCATCTGTAATATGGGGATAATGATGCTTACTCCAGAATTGTGATTTGATGAAATGATGCCCAACATATCACAGATGCCCAGTGGAGTTAGTTTCTTTTCTGTTCAGGTTGCTTGCTATGCGGAGTTTCTGGGTGAAAATTCATCTTTCCACTCTCAGCAAGCAGTTCCCATCTGATAAAAGCAAAGGCCTCTGGGATTGCCTTTCTGAGAAGCTTTGCAGGGGGGTATCCAGATCCCCAGAATAAACATAGAGCATCTTCCAGGTGGTTCAGTTTTATACCTTGGCAACTAACTTAAAGCATAGTTTTCAAGTTAAACAGACTTGCATATACTTTAATATAGATGGAGAATTCTATGTGTTTCACTTGAAAATTCAGAATTCAGAACCTCTTTTGGGAGCTGAGGGCAGTGCCTGCGGGCCTCCTGGGGTCACAACTTTCTGCTTTTCTGGCTTCAGGGACTTATCATTCTGGGGAAGGGTTTGGAAGCACTGCTTAGGAGCTGGCAGAAAGACCTTTGGTCATTTTGTCATCATCACATGCCTTCCAGGGGAGAATCAGGGAAGTTGTGTCAAGGCGCTGAAAAGAACTTTTGAAATATGATGGCTTGTTTTGACAGATGGGTACGAGAAAAATGTGCAAAGACTATAGGACAGATGGTTCCTAAGTAAAGCATCCTGGTCATCCATTGGTGAGGAGTTGGGGCTCCTAAAGGCAGCTTTTTTTTTAGTGCTCTATCAACGGGGTGATCATGTCATTTATCATTCGAACTGGGACATTTGAGAGTGCAGGGGGCAGCTATTAATAATTACACTGGGGCAACAGGCACAAACCAGGTCTGTAGGGTGATCAGAGTATAGAGTGGCCCTACACATAGTATCATTGGTCCTTGATTCTAAGAGCCCATGAATCAAGTGACACATCATTAACTTAACAACAGCCTTTTGGAAACAAAGAGAAAAAAATTATGTACAGCCATTGTAGGAGGCATGCTGATTTCAGAGGTGTCTCATATCAATGTTTTAGAATTGAGAAAATTCATGTGTTTGTACTTTGTGAAACTGGCAGTTCTCCTCAGCATATTACAGCTCTGAGAAGTGGTGTCAAGAGGAAGGCTCTTTAGCTGGGTGTAACCCACCCTCTGTGAAACAGCCTCTCACATCCTCTGGACCCCTAGGTGGGCTGGCTAGGGAGTGTTGCTATAGGTAGCTGATCCATGCTCCTTCCCCAAGCTCGTGCCCACAGGCCTACCCTGCTTCCTTCCCTCTCATCAGCAGCCATCAATGAATGGCAGCCATCAACATCTTCAAGAAGGCCAACTGAAGCTTCATAACTGATTTATTCATTCATTAGTTTATTCACTCCATACCCTGTGCCAGGTACTTCCCTGGACACTGGGGAGATGTTTCTGCTTTCAAGGGTTTTAGAGTCTAGATGAGGAGGTAGCCAGGTAAACAGGAAATCACTGTAGTGGGAGATACATGGATGAGGGGTGTAATCCAGGATGTGGATTGGGTCAAAGGTCTCTCAGTCCCCAGGGACAACCCAACACTAGAGGTGTTGCACTGATAGGTAGGGTGCAGGGTTTTAAGGAAGGAAGGGCTCCAGTCAGTTTCACATGTTAGGAAAAGCACTCTGGCAATCTGCTCTTGGAGTAGGCCAGGCTAGAGGCTGGAAGTCCAGTTAGGAGGTACCAGTTTAAGCCACTTACTAGACCCATGGTCTGAGTGAGGAATGGTAACAACTTGATTAAGTAGTAGTGGTGGGAGGAACAGCCAGGAAAGAGTACCCTTCAATTCCTGGGTTCCAGGACTTCAACCCTATTGACACAAAGCATGAGGCATACAGTGTCTTTATACAAATAAGAAAAAGGCATCCCTTTCTCCAGATAGTTGCAGCCCTGAGTCAGGGCTCAATGGCTTGGCCAGGAGTCCCTGCTTGGGTCCAGACTGAGGTGCCCCTCAGAGGACACAACCTTTACACAGAGCACAGAGCTGCAGTGAGAGAATATGGATAGAACTCAGTTGTTATTGGGTAGAGGGGTGGGCTGGGAAGAGGGAAGGAGTGGAGGATGATGTCTAGGTTCTGGCAGGGAGGTCATGGGCAGCCCAGGGGAGGAGAAGTGATATGGGAGTGGGGGGAGATGATGAGCTCTACTGGGAACCTTTTGAGGAGGAGGGGCTGCTGGTCAGTGGGAGAGATGCCTATCAGCTAGTGGCTCTGTGGATTTGGGACTCAGGAGAGAGCCCAGGCTAGAGAACTGATTTGGGAACCTTGGATTTGTGGGTCAGAACTGAAGCCATGGGAGGGATGAGACTATCCAGGGAGGGGATGCTGAGTGAGGGAGAAGAGGAGAAGAGCATCTTCTTCAACATGGCACCCACAGGAGGGACCAGGAGATATGGAGTCCAGGCTTGGGCACACTGGCTGGAGGTACCTGTGGGCCCTCCAATGGCAAGAGCCAAGAGATTTAGGGCTCAAGAGAAGCCAGGAAGGAGTTATGGATTTGGAGGTCTTCATATCTCAGCTACTGCCTTTGGGAAGGGAAAGAATTTCGAATTGGCTGAGGAGGACTGGAGTTCTGGCCATTTACCCACAGTATGACCTTGAGAAGTTATCCCCTTGACCTTCAGTTTGTTCCTCTGAAATAAAGGTGATTTGACTAGAGGTAAGATTCTAATGGTGTGTGTTTTAAGATGTGTTTGATGAATTGATCTCACAACACAGATTATATTTATTCATTCATTTGTTCATTCTTTCATTTATTCATCAAATATTTATTTGGCACCTGTTCCAGGCACTAGGGGCAGAGCAGGGAATAAAACAAGAAACAACCTGCTTTCTAGGAACAGAAAGTTTAGTGCAGAGATAAGTAAACATAAGGGGATAAAGAAGTACTTGAGCAAGGTCATTCCAAATGCATATAATTTCTCTAAAACAACGAACCACGATGCTGTTTTAGAGAAGGACGAGACATGGGGTAGGTTCTATTAGACATGGTGGTCTAGGAAGAACCCTGTGAAGATGGACATTTGAGCCAAGACCTGAATGATAGGGACTGAGCTATGCAAAGGTGTGGACAGAGTGTCCTGGGAAAAGAAGAGTAAATGGAAAGGCCTTGGGGCCTGGCACACAGTGGTCAAGGCCAGTGTGGCCAGAGCTCAACCCGGGAGAAGAAGATGGGCTACAGCCAAGGTCCAATAGGTGGGTTGGGGGCCTACCAGACCATGGGGAGAAGTTTAGATTTCATTTCAGACATCCTGGGGAAAACACTGGAGCATTTGAACAGAGCAGTCACAGGTCTGATTTGTATTAAAAGTGATAACTCACGTTGGCTGCTGTGTGCATGGTGGATGGCGTACCCTTAGAGTAGTAGCAGGGAGCCCAGAGAGGAGGCCCAAGCAGGGATGGCAGTGGTGACCCCTGACTCACCTAGCATTTAAAAGATCCCTGGTGAACTCTTGCCTCCAATAGTTCATGTTGCCAGTGTCTATCTCTGAAAGCCTGGGTCAGGGTGGTTTGCCCAGCGTGGTAAAGCAGAAAATGAGACAGACATCATCAATCAACCAGAGGAAAATTTCAGGACACTGGACAAGGGGATTAAGGAAAAGGATAATCCTGAAAAAAACCTGCCTCCTGGTTATCTCAGTGCTTCAGTGATGCAAACAGTGCTGGCCTGGTAAGGAAGTGTCAGAGATGCAAGAGACAGCGAGAACTCTTTTTAGCCCCAACCCTTCTGCTTTAGGGGAACATGTTCATAGTGCCATTTAGAAGCACAGAAGGTTTTTGTTTCTTGGACCCTTCTGAAAATATTCCTTGGATTGTAGGGACAAGAGTCACCCTCCCTAACTGTCCTCCCTGCCCCGTTCTCTCCCCACCTTCACTTACACTTACACATGTTCCTTGGGCCTAGGAAGGTAGACAATGGGGAGGAAACATCTGCTCCTTCTTCCCATTCTCTGCCTTCTTCACCATCTCTAGGCCATTATGTTCCCTAAATGGGAAAAGAACAGAAAATTGTCTTATGAATGTCTTGGTTTTTGACCAAGCAGAGGAGAAAGTGCTAATATGGTAGGTCAGAACCCAACATTCGTAAGACAATATCTTCCTATTGTCTATTTCAATGGACTCCCTTACAGTGGGTCCCACTGCAATTAGGATAGAAACTCAGATCCTTAAATGACCTTTAAGGCCTTGCAGGACATGGTTCCCAACTCCCTGTCTAGGTTCAATACCCACTGTTCTGTCCTGCTCTTGCTATAGTCTGGCCACCTGCTATTATTCCAGTCTTTCATGCGTGCTGCACTCTTTCCAGCCCCAGGGCCTTTGCACACGATGCTCCTTCTTCCTGGAAGGCCCTTCTCCTCACTTCTGACATGAGTGGCTCTTTTCCCTTTGAGTGTCAGCTCTGCACCCATGCTCTGGGTGGCCTTCCCTAACCAGCCCAAATGAAATAGGTCTTCCCCTTGTCATTTGCCATCTCAGTTTTTTGTGGTTCTTGGTTTTTTTTATTTCAATAGTTTTTGGTTACAGTTGGTTTTTGGTTACATGGATGAATTCTTTAGTGGTGATTGCTGAGATTTTAGTGCACCTGTCACCCAAGCAGTATACTCTGTACCCAACAGTAGTCTTTTATGCCTCATCCCCCTCCCAAACTTCCCTGCCAAGTCCCCAAAGTCCATTATATCATTCTTATGCCTTTGCGTCCTCATAGCTTAGCTCCCACTTACAAATGAGAACATACAATATTTGGTTTTCCATTCCTGAGTTACTTCACTTAGAATAATGGCCTCCAGCTCCATCTAAGTTGCTGCAAGAGATATTATTTCGTTCCTTTTTATGGCTGAGTAGTATTTCATGGTATATATATATATATATATATATATATATATATATATATATATATATATATATATACATCGCATTTTCTTTATTCACTCGCTGGTTGATGGGCACTTAGATTGGTTCCATATCTTTGCAATTGCAAATTGGACGCTATAAATATGCGTGTGCATGTGTCTTTTTCATATAATGACTTCTTTTCCTTTGGGTAGATACCCAGTAGTGGGATTGCTGGATCAAATAGTAGTTCTAGTTTTAGTTCTTAAGGAATCTCCATACTGTTTTCCATAGTGGTTGTACTAATTTACATTCCCACAAACAGTGTAAAAGTGTTCCCTTTTCAATTCTGTGGTTCTTTTCATAAGCCTGACACAATCTGCCAGCATAGTAGCCTGCTTCTTTGTGTCAAGTGTCTTCCTTTCGAGAAGATGAGCAACATGAGGACAAAAATGACTTCTGCTTTGTTCACTGCTATAGCCTGAGTGTCCAGAAACAGTGCCTGGGATATATTAGGAGCTCAATACATATTTGTGGAATGAATCTATGATTACTAAATTAATCAGGGAGTCAGAGGAGATCTCTGCACTCACCTCCATCTCTAAGAGCCTTTGTGTTTAGAAATCCTTTGTCACTGAAGCAGTGCTGACCCACCCCAGAACCATGACACATAAAAATGTAAATCATTCCATCTGGATGAAGAGGCCTCTACACCAGACACAGAGAGGCTGACCTGGAAGACAGGGATTCTGTACATCTTCCTCCCAGGGCCCATTCAGGAAATTGGATGTCATGCCCTTCTTCCTAGCATGCGCACCCCATCCCAAACACAACATTAGAGCATGCTGACCCCCATGCCAGCTGGAGTCTCAGGAGCAACCCTAAATCACACAACCATCCTGAGGCTGGAACATAACCTGGGCCTGAGTCATAGATCACCAGGCACGTGGCGGACATCGTATATCACCTAACTCCATAAAGCCTCCGCATGGCACCTGGGGAAGCTCGCTTGAAGCGCTTCGCTGAACAACGGGGCTTCACTGAACAACGGCTCGGGGAATAATTGTCCTCATATGTAACTTTCCCTGTGCTTAAGAGGGCTGTCTTTTTTCTTTTTCATTCACTCTCTCTTTTTCTTTCTCATTCTATTTTTTCTTTCTATCCTTCCCTGACCCCTCCTTCTCTTCTTTTCTCTTCTTTCATTGTCTAGGACACAGCAGTGCTACTGTTGTCTTTGTCTAGAAAAACGTGATGTGCTCAAGGTAGGTAAACTGAGGCAAGAGATGGAGGACACACAGGTGGTCACAGAGCACAAGGATGGCAAACCCAGGAGAAAACCCCACTGGGAAGTGAACCTGCAGGGAAATTTAGCAAGGCTGCTGTGATGTGCTGGGTTCTCCAGGAGCGGAGGTGTGGTGGGTGATTGGTGGGGGACAGGAGTGTGGTCTTAGGACCTGGTTCAAATCCTAGCTTCCTTCTTTAATTCATGATATGTAGTAAGGAAATTCACAGTATCTAGAAATGAGGGTGGACACTGGAGATAGTCACGTATGCTTCCAAATTCCTGTCCCACTATTCTTGTGAACTGAGCACCCGCCTTCTGCCTCACTTTTCTCTTGTCTGAGTAGTGAGATAAGAACAGTGGGTCTCCCATGACGCTGTGGTGAAGAGTGGAGGAAACAACAAGCGAGGAGGTGCCTGGCGCACTGTAAAGTGCCCTACGAACAGATGATGGCCACGGGCATGCTCATGAATCTCTGTGAATGATGCAGTAGCACTGCTCACAGGGAGCAAGGTCCAGAGCGTCGTCCCCTGGAGCTGCCCCCTCGGGAGGAGATTCTGGTGCCTTGTTCTGCTTCACCCCAAGCTTTTGCACATGTCTTTCCTCTGACCCGCCCCAGCATAACATCAGAGGGAGGTGGCCCTGATGTCCAGGTCATCTCTTACTTCCAGCCACCTCTGTTCTCCTCTATCTGACAGTCCATTGCACCCAAACTATCCACATGGAAACTATAGTCAATCACTTCTTCCGAACCCGGTCCTCCTGCGAGATGCCCCATCTCAGTGTTCAGCATCATCCCCCTATCCCCAGACCAGATACTTGGCATCATCTGTGACTCTTCCCTGTCCTCCACTCCACATATACTGTCTGTCACCAAGTTGTGCATCTTTACCTCCTAAATATCTCTCAGTCCCACTCCCTGCAATCCACAACCATTTTCTCTGCCCATGCTGAGGCCTCATCTTCTCTTTCCTGGACTTTGCTACATTTTTCTGATGGGTTCCTTGCCTCTGGGCTGACTTCTGCAATCCATCCTGCCTGCATTCAGACTAAAATTCCCGAAGCATAGCTCTGCCCATGGGATGCCCCCGATCAAATCTTTCTGTGGCCTCCTCTTACCTTTGGAATGACATTTGAAACACGAGACCTTGTGCTACCTGGTGCCACCCTCTCTTACTCCTCCTTCTGTCATCCTACACTGAAGTCAAATGACTGTATGTTGTTCCCACGCATACCTGCTCCCTCTCTGCAGCTGAAGCTCTGCCAACTCTGTTCCCTCTTTCTGGAACGTCTTCATATGCATCTCTGTATGAGCAGACTCCCTTCTGAGATCAAATCCCAAGTGGCCTCCTCTGGTCTCTCAATCAGGAACTTTGTTTCCTACAATGTCAAGCAGGGACACTTCATCTCTAGAGCATCCCCTGCCTATTAGGCTAAGTGAAGTCTTCACTGTTTCTCTCACATCATTTCTCACATCCTGTTTTCTCTCCTGACTCAGCCAATGAATGAATCCCCCCATTAATCTCAGGGTTGGAAGGAACCCCAGAGGTCAACTATTTTGACCTACCCCTGTGTGGTTGAAAGCTTCTGAAGGGCCTCTGAAATAACCTGTTTCTGAATAAATCATATATATTATCAGGGGAGGGGAAAGAAAGATTCTAGATCCTTGGCCATTTGCTGCTTGCCTGTCACCATGAGAGCTTGGGAAAGGAGGCCCCGTGTGGCTCTATGAAGGGACAGAAAAAAAAAAAAGTCTTCTGTTTTCTTTGGCCACTGGTTGACCCAGGAGATGGCAGAGGCATAGAATGGTTATGTGTGACATCTGTTCCGTATTTAGCAGGGCCATTGGAGCAGCTGGACTAGTGGCAGACTGGCTCATGTGTCAGGGACAGCATGGGCTCTGGAATCCCACAGATCTGGGTATCTTTATGATCAGAACATGTTATTCAAACTTTCCAAGACTCATCTCTTGTACTCATGAAACACTGTTGAAGTCTAAAGTCCCCTGAGGACTTCTGAGAATTCCCTGGGTCAGGGTGGGGTGGGGTGGGGCATTCTAATCCCATGGTCACCCAGGCTGCTGGCTCTGTCCTGCATTGGTTTTGTACCACGATGATTCAGATGGGAAAGTCCTCAACTTCTCCAACGTCCACCTGACACAAAACACTTGGATCTCAGTTTGTGAACATCTGGGAGGGAGCTAGAGGAGGTGTTTCTATCACAGGGATCCAAAGACTTTAAAGTGGACTCCAGGCATCCCCATCCTTAAAATGTTGGTTATCTGCTCTCTACCTGTTGGTTCCTTCAGCTCTTGTACCCCTCTCAGACTCACCCCCTTTTGCTGGTTTCTTGTATTTGTTCCCCAGGGCTTCCATAACAGAGTGGCACAAATCGGATGTCTTAAGTAAACAGAAATTTATTTTACACACAGTTCTGGAGGCTGGAAATACAAAATCAAGATGTTGGCAGGGCAACACTCCCTCCAAGACTTCGAGAGGAAGATCCTTGCCTCTTTGAGCTTCTAATGGCGCCAGGCTTCCCTGGCTTGTGTTTGCACAACTCCAATCTCAATCTCGTCTTCCTGTGCTGTCTTCCCTCTGTGTCTATGTGTCTCTGTCTTCATATGGCATTCTCCTCCCTGTGCCTCCATTTTCTCTTCTTATAAGGTCACCAGTCACATTGGATCAGGACCCAGCATAACTAAGTATGTCATCTTAGCTTAATTACATCTGCAAATAACTTATTTTCAAAAAAGGTCATATTCACAGATATCTGGGGTTAGGACTTCAAGAGATCTTTTTGTGGGGACACAATTCAACCCACAAGAGTCTTCTTTTCTCTTATTTCACCTCTGTACCTCCTCACCTTGCTCCTCTTGGAAAGCACCCCAAAAGCTCCACTTCCTTCTCTATTATGCAGAGCCCTTTATCCTTCCTGGTGACCTATAGCCAATGTCTATTCTCAACTTATCTAAAGTGACCAAAATGACTATGGCTTTCAATTTAGCAGGGTCCATTCTCCCTAGAAGCTAGATCGCAGCTCCTTTCTTTTTCTTTCTTATTATACATAGTGTACAAATGGGATCCATACTGTTATATATCTTGCTTTCTAAAATACTTCTTAATAAATCATGAACATCTTTCCATGTCAATAAATATATTTCTTCAACAGGCTTTTTAAAGGCCACTTATAACTTCATCATGCACGCCTCTTCTATAGTTTAGGTTAACCAATCACCAATTTTCAGACACATATGCTGCATCTACTTTTGCACAGCTGATTGCATTGCTATGATGACTACCCTCACACACATCTGCAAATCTGAGTTTTGGAATTTGATGGTTTCCCTGGTGGGCTGCTATCTGTGTGCACATCCTCTGGGTGAACAGGAGGCACACGCTTTGCCAAGCCAGCAAAATAATTGCAGCCAGAGCTAAAGACGGGGGCAAGTTCCTGACGCAGCACCTTGTGCTGTCCATTAACAGGGCCGAATGATGCTCTTCGATGCCTTAAATCTGCAGGCCTGTCTAATTCTAGAAGGAAACGGATGGCACCCATCCTGGAGTCAGTGTTTGGAAACATACAACAAAAGGGAAGCTTTATTAACACTGGAAATGTACTCTCAGCTCAGGTTTCCTTTTCAACACCCATCTTGTTCATCTCACAGCTCAATGAACTGTTAACGTCACATATATCTTTTGTTCCAGCCATGAATCCAGTTACTCCAGGCTTCTGCTAACTGCAGACAGATGAGATTTAGTTTTCCCAGGGAGCAGGGGAGAGAGAGAGAGAGGGAGAGATTAAATCTGTATAGATGGCCCTGGCAGAGCCGAGGTGAGGTGGCAGTGGTGCATATTGGTCTTTTGACCTGAGCAACAGTGGACGCTTCCATCTTCTTGTGGTGTGATTGTAAACTTCCACTTTCCTGTGTTGACGAAGGCCTCTATTCAGTCCATTCTTTGGCAAAAAGTGTTGAGTTGACTATGGCTGCTGCTTGTGTACTTACAGAGAAGCTGAGAGCCAGCAGGATTCAAGAAAGGGGCAACTTTCCATTCAGACCCAGATGAGGATCTGTCATTTAACCTCAATTTCCCTTGTAGCTAACTAAGTCCACCCTAGATGACATGAAGAGGTTATGACCAATGGCAAATTTAAAGACAAAAACTAGGATGCATTCTCTTACTTGCCTGAATGGGGTTGACATCCTCCTTGACTTGACCTTGAAGGCTTACAAGCTGATGTCAGTCCTTACCTCTAATCCTTGTTCTTAAGCTCCCTGATTCCCTGTCAGAACTTTTTCTTGCCTATCCTAATCTGGTGGTGCAATGTGTTTGGGAGGGGGACAAATGTGTTAGGGCTTCATGATAAATTTCAAGTTCAGAAGAGCCCTCTAAGTTTTGGTTGCCTCTCCAAACTAGTCACCATCCCTAGGCTACTTCATGGACCTGTGGCAATGAGGCTGGAACTCCTGCAGTCAGATCAGGCCCTGAAAGCAACAGGGCCTTAGAATCAGATGTATGGGCTCCAATTCCTCCTATGGTTTATTAGTGCTGTCATTTTGGGTGAGCCAAGATCCTTCCTCCTCTGCAAAATAGGGCCTATGAGAAATCTAACTTCTGTTCACCTGTATGGACTTTTGTCACTTTCAAGGAAAACGTGAATGAAATAGCACTTTGGGAAACTGTCAGGTGCTTGACAACTGAGACTTACTGATTTCTGGGCAACAACTGAGAGTGGTGATTTAGAGTTTGGTGGATGTGGGTTTGAGCACCATTTTCACTGCTCTGAGCTGAATTTCCTCATTATAATATTTATAATAGCTAAGACTCATTGAGAGTTTACTCTGTGCTATGCAACGTCTGAAATGTTTTATGTGGGCTAATGCATCAATTTGCAATATAACCCTCGTTGGGTAGGCACCATTTATGTTCTCATTTTCAAGGAGAGAAAATGGAGGCATAGAAAGACAATGTGCTGAAGATCATCCATCTAGTAGTCCTCATAGCTGGGGTTTGACAAAGCAGTCAGAATTCTACCTCCCTCATTGGGTTTTTGTGAGAATCAATGTCTTCCAGATTTCTCAACTAAAAAGTCTCCATTTTTACCTTTGTCATTGGCACTATGTGGTGAAATATTCCAAGATTATGCCAATATCCCATTACTTATAAAACCTCCACCCACCAACCTTAGCATCCATTGACAATTCCTGCCTAAATAACCTCTACAATGATGGTTGCCAAATGGTGATTTTCTATTTTCATCATTCCTTGCACACTTACTAGTTGACATTCTATGTAAAGAAGAATTTTTTCTTCTCCTTCATTTGCTAATTAACTAATATCAGTGCAGAATTCATAAAGTCCTATGTTCTTTAGTGGGATATAATATATTACTGTCAGTATTTACTTTGAAAATTGTCCCAGATTTTCCTGGTGGAAGCACCTTCAACCTGGCTCTCATGTGCTCTTGAGCATGTCTTTGCTTTCTAGCCCAAGATGTTCCAGATTTATCTTGTACTTTATTACCCTGCCCTGGTCCTGAAATCAGCCATTTCTTCAAAGGTTCGTGGTTTCTGTTAGTGGAGGGTGGTATTTAGAAACCAAGAGGTGGGGGGCCCAGGTGCTCATTTCTACTGGAGCATCATTATTTTTAGACCATCTGAATGGACAGAGCTGGAAAACATATGTATGTATAATATACATACACATACATCTCTATGTATCTTTATGTCTCTATCTAAATCATAAGTTCATAGTGATACTTCCAATTACAGTTTGACACCTCAGTGTTCATTCTAGTCTTCTCCTTTCCTGTATTTTTAAATCCCTTCTCTGACAGTGAATAACCCTGTTCTTATTATTCTCAACATATTTACTTACTTGCTAATAGCCTTGTATTTAACCAACCTCTCGATCAGATCATACTGACTGCTTCTAGGACCAGCAGGATCTACTGTCTCCCAACTCCCACTGCCTGTTGGACACCAGGCATGCTTCTGCCTCTACTCCTCTCAGGAAGAGAATTTAAGGGAGGAGCTCTTGATATGAAAGGAAGGTCTTCCATTTGGGCCATTGAAGGAGATAAAGGGTCATGGTGACATCCTTGCATATCCAGGTGCATTTATTGACCTTTTATTCAGTGCCACTCATGGTGCCAGATGTTTGGGAACACACATGGAAATTAACCCTGACCTGAGCTTCAAAAACCTCACGTTTCATAGGGGAAGCAGACATGTGGGCTGATAATGCTAATCGTAGTGTTAAAGATGCCATGTAGAGTCCCAGCCATGTGAGTGATTCTTCTGGGGAAATAGAGAAGGCCTAATGGGGAAGGGACCTCACTGGGTGAATATGAGTAATCCAGGTGACTAAGAAGGCAGGAGTGAACAGGAGCAGGGAATGCTAGGCAGAAGGAACAGCAAGTCAATGGTGCACAAGCATAAAACTGTACACTGATAGTGTGGCTACTTACATCACCCCCTGGCAGTCAGGAAGTTGACTCTTTTTTTTTTAACTTTTATTTTAAGTTCAGGGGTACCTGTGCAGGTTTGTTATATAGGTAAACCTGTATCATGCAGGTTTGTCGTACAGATTATTTCATCACCCAGGTATTAAGTCTAGTACCCATTAGTTATTTTTCCTGATTCTCTCCCTTCTCCCACCCGTCACCTTCCAGTAGGTCCTCATGTCTGTTGTTTCTCTCTGTGTCCGTGTGTTCTCATCATTTAATTCCCACTAATAAGTGAAAATATGTGGTATTTGGTTTTCTGTTCCTGCGTTAGTTTGCTAAGGATAATGGCCTCCAGTCACATGCATGTTCACTGCAGCACTGTTCACAACAGCAAAGACATGGAATCAACCTAAATGCCCATCAATGGTAGCCTAGATAAAGAAAATGTGGTTCATATACATCATAGAATATGATGAAGCCAAAAAAAGCATGAGATCATGTCCTTCACAAGAAGTTGACTCTTGAAGGTCATATGATTGATTATTCATGGTCAGGGGTAGTCAGAGACATGTGTGTTTACTTGGAAGACTAATAATTTAACATCCCATCAAACTTACAGTTTTTAAATATTAATTTAGTATTCATTTGGGAGGGACAGGAAAATGTTGGTTGCCAATTCATAAAAAATATGTACTTCTTCATTGAATTAAAAAATAAAATACTTGTTACCAGATCTTCCAGGTCATACAGCTCTTTGGGAGGTAGCCTAAACAATCAGGTGGCTGGTGCAGGGCCGGTGGTATGGTGTGCAGTTGCACTGTGCTCTTTGTACAGATTTAGGTGGGTGAGTGCAGGACTTTCTGTGACAAGGGAGTAGAACCAGATGACTTTTTCATTATGTAAGGAGTTGCAGGTAAGAACCTGAGTTATCTTTCTCAGATGGGCACCATATTTCAAGTGGGTTTCAGCGAGACTTTATTTAGCACCTCTTATTGACTGGTATCCCGAGCACCTGTCCAGTTGACCATTGCTTATTCTAGTTTTCCTGTGGTTCCAGAGTGAACCAGAGGCACAGCGAATTCTTCTAGTCAATGGTGATATTCTTTCACTCTTGTGCTTTTTTATTTTACCTAAAACTCATCACTTCTATTCCTATCCAAATATTTACTCCATCAAATATCAATTGGTCTGCCCAGCTTGGACCAAGAACAGAATAGAAGAAAACAAACAAACAAATGAACAAACAAAAAAACAAACAAAAGAAAACATTTCTTTTAAGGTGGGCTCCTTCCAAAAGCTCTTGAGATCCCATCTGCCACCACTGAGACTGGAGGCAGCAATTATGAATTTGTCATGATTCTCTCATACCTGGGCCAAGTGCTACTCTGTGCAGACCATGGAAGAGAAAGTTGGAGAAGCAAGCTGGTGTTGTGAACAAGCTCTCCAGGGCAATGTTTTCTCATGAAAGGAAATTGTTTACAAGCTCCATGGGAGCATCATTTACATAAAACAATCACTACGCTCATTACCCAAGCATTCTCATTTATTCATTAAAACAGGTACCTGCAGGACTTGGCAAACCTGTGTTCACTGGGTTCTGTGGATTCCTATTCCTCCAAAGGGACAATATTCACTCTTATTGCGTTTTCAACGTGGTGATAGTAACAGGTACCATTTACCGAGTGCTTACTTGGTCAGGACTTCTGGATGCGTTTTATATAGTTTAATCTTCACAACAACCTGGTGAGGTAGGTATTATCATCCCATTTAGTGTATGAAGAAAATGAGGCTCACTGGTATACAGTGGCTTGCTCAAGACTTCCTAGTAGGTAAGCAGCAGGGCTGGGCTGGCTGCTTCTCTGGGGACAATTGTATGGGATGGAGCTTTTGCCAGCCAGAAAGAGGGCATAGACTAAAGAGCAGGCAGGAAACATGCACACTTGTTTGGCTTATTTCTTTGTGCAGTTCCACTTTTTGCAGAGGGTTAAGGAGCTCCAAAATGTTTGCTGAAAGAGAGATTTTACAGTTAGTTAGTGAAAAATAACCCACGACTGAGAGTCAGTTTAGGTGTAACCTTGACCCGAGTGAGGACATTTGGGTCCAGCCCTGCCATATTAGTTTGAATCCCATAGCTTCTCTGGGCCTCTGGTTCTTTGCCTATAAAATGAGGGGGAAAATAACTAGTTTGAGGAATTCATGGGT
Organism: Homo sapiens; assembly: GCF_000001405.40. Taxonomy (NCBI): domain Eukaryota; kingdom Metazoa; phylum Chordata; class Mammalia; order Primates; family Hominidae; genus Homo; species Homo sapiens. The sequence continues at coordinate 120,205,535 of NC_000009.12, read as the reverse complement.
CTTGATGGGATCCATTGATAAGGTTCTTGGATGAGGAATCCATGAATTCCTTGAAATTAAATGCAAAATGATTTGTATGTGTCCATTTCAGATTTTCAAAATGATTTGTGGCCTAATAATTATGATAACAATGACAATAATGAAAATCATTTATTAAGTGCTTCTTAAATGATGAATCTCATGTTCTTTACATTATCTCTTAAAACTCTACAAGCTAAGTATTGTTATTATTTTTATTTTAAACACAGTTAGAAGTGAAGCTCAGGGAGGCTGAGTAGCTTAGTTAAGACCATGGGTGGCAGAACACAGGGTAAGACCCCAGGGAGCCCTTGCTCTTTTTTTTTTTTTTTTCTTTTGTGAGACAGAGTCTCGCTCTGTCACCCAGGCTAGAGTGCAGTGGCGCGATCTCGGCTCACTGTGAGCTCCACCTCCCGGGTTCACGCCATTCTCCTGCCTCAGCCTCCCCAGTAGCTGGGACTACAGGCGCCTGCCACCATGCCCAGCTAATTTTTTGTATTTTTAGTAGAGATGGGGTTTCACCATGTTAGCCAGGATTGTCTCGATCTCCTGACCTGGTGATCCGCCCGCCTCGGCCTCCCAAAGTGCTGGGATTACAGGCATGATCTACCACACCCGGCCGCCCTTGCTCTTAACTACGACAATATGTAATACCCTTCTTATTCCAAGTTGTTTCCTCAGGCCTCGAAGATGTAAGGAATGACTGAATGGAATGAGAGCCTCAGGCAAATTGTGGTTTGGAAGAGGGGATTATCAGGGGTTGTTGATTAGTACACCCCTTAAGCCTCTCCCAGGAAGTAAAGTCCACTGTTTCGTTGGACTACTCAGCCATTCATTCAACAAACACTAAACTCCCATGAGGGGCGGACCTTGTGCCAGGTGCTGTGGGGATGGAGCTTTCCAGAGCTCATGGCCTGGCCAGAGAGTCCTAAGTGACAGCCAATGGCAGGATGTGATCAGTACCAAGGCTGGGGCCCAGGGAGGGCAGGAAAGGTCTCACCAAATGGGCAAACTAATTTGGGTTTTGAAGAGCTTTTATGAGTCTGGGACAATCCCAGTGTCCATGCCAAGAGAATAATGACAACAAACTAATGTTTATTGAGCCTTTACTATCTTCGGAATTCTTCGAAGCACTTGCAAGCCTGATTTCATTCAACTCTCGCGCCAATTCTTTGACTGGGTACTGTTGTTCCATTTTACAGTTGAAGAAACCAAGGCTCAAAGAGATGGAATAACTTGACAAAGTTCATGCAACAAGTAGTGGCAAAGACAGGATTTAAACTCCTATCTCTCTGACCCCCAAATATAGGCATGTCCTCACTGAGCACACTGCCTCTATCATTCTTGCAGGAAAAGATTGATAAGAGCCTAGAGAGTGGCAGCCTTTGGAGAGAGAAATATTCCCACGTTTGGCATGCCCTGCACAATACAATGTATTCTCTCCATTTAGAAGATGGAGGACTGAGGCCCAGAGAGGCCATGGGCCCTGCACAAGGCTTTGTAGGTAATCAGCTCTGAGACTTCCCTGCTGAACCACAAAACAATTCTTAAGCTCTATGCCCCGACTCTAGGCTGAAGAATGCCCACAATCAGCTTTACCCACCCCAGTGGGTTATTTTAGTTCAGGGCCATTACACAGCTCAGGCTGCATTTGAATCTATGTTCTTCTTCTTATTAGCTGTGTGACTTTAGGCAGATCATGTAGCCTCTCTGAGCATCTCTTTTCTCAACTGTAAAATGGGAGATAATAGACAATACCAACTTCAGAGCATGAGGAAAAAATGAGACAAGGCACAGTGCCTGGCTAAGAGTAACTAACTGCTTCATCATTGCTCACTTTCATTGTCATTGCAAATAAGAAGGCATGGCATTCAATAAATTATAAAGTTGCTGTACTGATGAAGGAGGGAGGAGGGGTGTTAGAATAAAGACCTTTCGACCTCGCCTGAGCCTGTGATTCTCAGATTCGGTTATTATACTTGTATGTGACATTTTTCACACGCCTTCTCTGGGAAGCTAAACCAGGCACCTAATTAGCAAAGGCCATTTAGTTCCAAGGGGCTGGGTTGTGCAGTTGCTGGGTAACAGCCTGGTGGGGGACTGTGGGGTTGTGGGAGGGGGTGCCGAGGGCCTAGTTTCTGGTCTTTCTCTTTGCAGCCAGCCTTCCTCCACCACTCTCTCCCCATCCCACCCGCTTAAGCTCCGGAGCTGCACCGCGTTTGTTCCCAAAATGGGAAGAAATGCAAGTCACAGGCCTGTCCCATCACACTTACCCAAATTAATCTAAGAAAACAAAGATGAGGCCACACACAGACACACAGACACACAGACACACACACGCACACAGTTAGGTGTGAGGAAGCTGAGACCCAGGTATTTATGTGAGGCCTGGGGTTGCAAGATGCAGAGCTGGAAGGCAAGCCCTGGTTTTTGTCCCCAAAGGAGTTCTCTTTCTCCCACACATACTGTCTCTCTTCTTTTTGTCTCATTCTCTTGAGACTGAATATACAAGTGGACAAAGACCATTTATGACAATAGAGCTCTAACCCATAACTTTTGCAGCAAAGGCCCCAAATCGTCAGGACATGGCCAATGACTGCCAGCTTCCCTTTGTCCCTGCTTCTCTCTGTGAACAAAAGTTCTCTGAAAAGGAACTCAGAGGAAAGAGACTTTATCGCAGTGAATAGTTTGCAAACCTAGGAGACACAGCCTCCAGCAGCCTCCCACGTGAGAAGGTGCATTCTGTCCCAAAGAACAAAGGGAAGCTTCCAGTTTTAGAGCAAAAGGTCCTGCCTAGGTTCCCAATCAGGTCCATTCATGCAAATGAAGGATTGAAACTCACTTAGTTTTGACTGGCTGATACAGCTGAGCCCTGATTGGCCAAGGCAGGTGAGCTCTGCTTGGTTGGTTCAGGTGAGCGCTGAAAGTCCCAGAGTTAAGAGTTTGTGACCAGCCTGGCCAACATGATGAAACCCTGTCTCGACCCAAAATACGCAAATTAGTTGGGCCTGGTGGCGGGCACCTGTAATCCCAGCTATTTAGGAGGCTGAGGCATGAGAATTGCTGGAACCTGGGAGAGGGAGGTTGCAGTGAGCTGAGGTTGCACCACTGCACTCCAGCATGGGCAACAGAGTGAGACTCTTTCTCAAAAAAAAAAAAAATAAACAAGAAAGTCCCAGAGTTAAAATGGTACAGGTTTTGAGGGGAGCTCAGAGTATGTGCATGAACTTTGGTCAGCACATGGCTGCTTGGCTCTATTTTAAATTTAGTCCCAGTTAGCCACTTGGTATCCATCTTGAAGGACTGGCTCTTTTGGGTTCACATTTGTTGACATATCTCACCAGCCAGAGAAAGCCAAATATATATGCTCCCTGGGCCAATTGCATAAGATGCCTACTTCTAGTCAGCCTGCCTCTGACTTTCTCATTTCAACAATCTCCAATCTGACTACACCTGAAGCCTCCTTCCTTTTCCCCACTAAAATCTTTCCCATTTCCCTGCCTGCTTTTGAGTCTGAGCCAAATGCCAGTGATGGTGGCTGACTCCCTTGCTATGGAAGCTCTGAATAAATAGCCTCTATTTGTTCTCATGTAGGTGGTCTTTGTTTATTTCCACACTTTCCAGCCCTGCAAATCCACTCTCTAGCCCAGGACAGCCTTCCTTTGGATATGAACTATTGCATGAGCCCCTGGGGAGTCTCATTGCCCCATTCTATTCACCACCCATTCATTGCCTCATGAGTCTTCCTCAAATTCTATGACTCTGTCACTCAACTAAATTAAATTAAAACCTACCAGTGACTCCCCATAGCTCAGGAAGCAAAGTGTTGCTCCCATTTTGCTGGAGCAGGATGTGGTTATTGTGGTCATTTCAAGGTGGATGGCTGGTTCAAATCCTTCCTCTGTTACTTACTAAAAGGAAAACTGTAAGTGTGTGCTCAAATGGCTCTGGGTCTCGGTTTTCTCATCTGTAACATGGGCAGAATGACAGTGCTTCCCTTATGAGAGTGTTTTGAGTTGTGAGAATTAACGAGTTCATTTCTTAAACCAACAGATATTCACTAAGTGCCTACTGTGTGCCAGGCATAAGGATACAGCAGTGAGCAAAACAAAATCCCTACCCTCAGGGAGACTGCATTCTGCTTTGGGCAGATGGAACATGCCACCCTTCCCCCTACACACACGATGTGTCAGGTGATTAGTGGGAATAAAAATGATACGGCCACGTTGGAAAACATTTTGGCCTGCTTCTTTTTTTTTTTCTGAGACGGAGTCTTGCCCTGTTGCCCAGGCTGGAGTGCAGTGGCACAATCTCTGCTCACTGCAAGCTCCGCCTCCTGGGTTCACGCCACTCTCCTGCCTCAGCCTCCTGAGCAGTTGGCACTATAGGCGTCCACCACCGTGCCTGGCTAATTTTTTTTTTGTATTTTTAGTAGAGACGGGGTTTCACTGTGTTAGCCAGGATGGTCTGGATCTCCTGACCTCGTGATCTGCCCGCCTCGACCTCCCAAAGTGCTGGGATTACAGGCATGAGCCACCGTGCCCAGTCGGCCTGCTTCTTATAAAATTAATGTATCTTCATCATAGGACTTGTCATCTCATTTCTATATATTTGTTCAAGAGAAAATAAAAGCATTTGTTCACACAAAAATCTGAACAAAATTGTTCATTTATAATCACCCCAAACTGGAAACAATGCAGATGTCCTCTACTGGGGAATGGATATACAAACCGTTATACATCCCTGGAATGGAATATTATTTAGCACTAAAAAGGAGCAGACTACTGCAATATGCAACAGCACATTATGCCAAAAGAAAGGATCCAGACTCAAAGAGCTACACGCTGTGTGATTCCATTCATATGACAACCTCAAAAAGCAAAGCTAAAGGAGCAGAAGACAGATCAGTGGTTGCCAGGGGCTGGGGGGTCAAGGGAGAGGTTGACTACAAAGGGAATTTTTTGAGTTAATGGAAACTCTTCTTGACTGTGGTGGTGGTTACATGACTCTGCATTTGTCAAAACTCATAGAACTTACAACAAAATAGATGAGTTTTACTTTATGTAGGTTGTGCCTCAAAAAATATATTAGTGCTAAGAATATAATATATAAATGTTAGAAGAAAAGTGAAGCAGGATAAAGCAGGCCAGAAAATGACAGAGAAGGGCATGCCAAAAAGGATTCAGGGAAGACATTGGGTGCAGAGACGCAAGTACTGTATGGTGGACATTTGGGATGAGACCTCTAGGAAGCAGGAACAATGCCCAGAGTTCCTGAGCTTGGGGCAAACTGTCAGGGGACTGGGGCAAATGGTCAAGAGGCTGGAGTAGAGGTGGGTGTGGGGCTTAAGAAATGAGGCTGGGTCATTTTAGTAGAATGATTTATAATCCTTTGGGTATATACCCAGTGATGGGATTGCTGGGCCAAATGGTATTTCTGGTTCTAGGTCCTTGAGGAATTGCCACACTGTCTTCCACAATAGTTGAACTAATTTACACTCCCACCAACAGTGTAAAAGCGTTCCTATTTCTCCACATCCTCTCCAGCATCTGTTGTTTCCTGACTTTTTAATGATCAACATCCTAACTGGTGTGAGATGGTATCTCATTGTAGTTTTGATTTGCATTTCTCTAATGACCAGTGATGATGATTTCAGCACTGTTCACAACAGCAAAGACTTGGAACCAACCAAAATGCCCATCAGAGATAGACTGGATAAAGAAAATGTGGCACATATACACCATGGAATACTATGCAGCCATAAAAAAGGATGAGTTCATGCCCTTTGCAGGGACATGGATGAAGCTGGAAACCATCATTCTCAGCAAACTAACACAAGAACAGAAAACCAAACACTGCATGTTCTCACTTATAAGTGGGAGTTGAACAATGAGAACACATTGACACAGGGAGGGAACATCACACACCAGGGCCTGCTGTCGGTGGGAGGCTAGTGTAGGGATAGCATTAGGAGAAACACCTAATATAGATGATGAGTTGATGGGTGCAGCAAATCACCATGGCACATGTATACCTATGTAACAAACCTGCACATTCTGCACAAGTATCCCAGAACTTAAAGTATAATAATAATAATAAAAGACCTGTCACAATTAAAAAAAAAAGAAATGAGGCTGGGGAGAGGGAAGACATGGAAGATCATGCAGGCACTTATAGACCATGGAAAAAGTCTGAGTTTTATTCTAAATGTCCATGAAGCCACTGGAGGGTTTTGAGCATGGACAGGCAGGATCTGTTTCCCATTGTATGTGGAGCTACCTGGTTGCTCTGAGCAGAATAGACTGGGAAATGAGGATGGGGTGTGCATGGAAGGATTGTACAGGAAGTAAGCACAGGATTGGTCAGCTTGCATCTTGCACACTATGAGCTCCGTAAACTTCAGTCATATTATTCTTAATTCCTTTTGCCTGCCAACATGAGGAGTCTCTCTTCAGCCAACTGGGCCAATTGCTGTCTTCAAAATATACCATGTGAACATCTTCCTTCTCTGCCTTTGCTTACCTGTAACCCTGCCTGGGATGCCTTCCCTCCTGCCCTCCATCTCAGGACTTTGGAGAGAAGAGCTAAACCTCTCAGAGCCTGGGACTGGAGCAGTACAACTGGCTTCCCTGGGCTTTTGTGAGGGGAAAATGAGATGCATGTGGTCATCTCACACTGAGAAAGGCTTGAGTCATTTAAACATGATGAGTCTCTGATTATGACATGGCCCTGAGGCTGCTGAGGACTTTCCTTGCACTCTAGGCAGAGGGGGCTGGCACATACGCCTTTTAAGAGTTTTGAGGGGGTTAAAGGAGCTGCCTTACTTGAAAGTGCTTTGATAGCTCTGCAGTGCTTTATATATAGAAATGAAGGCTATTAAGGATTATCAGTCTTTTACTTGGCCTTTCATGGCCTCAGTTTCCATTTCTATCAAGTGGCCTCCTGTTGTGTGACTTATCTGGGCTATCCTATATAAATATGCACCCCACAAACCCCATCTTTATCTTTCTTCTTAGCACTGATCACTGTATATGTTACTTATCCTGCCTATTGTCTGTCTCCCTCACTGGAATGTAAGCACGGGCTTTTCCTAATTCTATTCGGTGCGGTATCCTTGGCACCAAAACAGTGCCTGGCCCACAGTTCCTGCTTAATCAATATGTTTAATAAATGAATGAGTAAATCTTATGGATCACCCTATCTCAAACAACTAGCTCAGAGGCTGACCAAGAGGAGGTGGTTCCACATGTTTGCTGAACCAAGGAGTGAATGAATATGCATGCATAAAAGCACAGACCCACAAGATGCAGAAACCAAAAACAAAACCCAGTTTCACCTGAGGGAGAGTCCTTGTTCTTTCGGTGTCTGTGACTACTTGGTTTTTATTAAAATTTGCATTAGCAAACAGAAACCCATCCTTTGTTCCTTAACCTCCATTGTCATTTGTTGGCACCTGTGCCCACAGCCACAAGCATCCCAGTTCCTGCAGGAGGGGTGGGTTTGGAGACGCCCACGAATTGTCCATGAATCCTTCCCATCCACTTCCATAAGATTTGCATCCACTTCACCCCAGGTCCCTGCCTTGCCCACTCGCTCTATGATAATCCTTTTTAAGCAAGGATGGGCCCCGGCCGCAGCTCCACTCCATCTCCATGTGGTCACTAGGCGCATTTCCAGACTGTTTCATATGGATTAGGCTGAGGCACGGAATCCTCGCATGCTTCTTGGTGCATTTCGGAACCTCGTGAAATTACATTATAGATTCATTGTGTAAACAGGACACTGAGCATAGCCATTGTCAAGCAGACCCACAATCAAATGGCCCCCATCAGCAGGCCGGCTGAGGCCCAGGCTGGCAGCATGCAAACCTTGCAATAAACTGGTCACGCGTTTGTTTATTTAATCTCCAGCTTCTAAGGGCCAATTTGCTAGTGAAAATAACCTTTTCACACACTTTAGCAGGGAGATAATGGGAAGAGGGAAGTGGCTGGCAGATGCAATGCAGAAAGCGTCCCCTTTCAAGTCTACATGGGGGTAAGGCGGGCAGAGGTTGGGGGGCAGTGCAGGGCCAGCTGCTCACCAGCTGTGCGGCCTTGAGCAAGGAACAAGCCCCTCTGAGCCTCGGTTTCCTCATTGTCAGAAAAGGGTTGATACTATCTGTATCATCTTGTTATAAGAATTAAATGATGCATGTTGTGGATGAGCACAAGGCCTGACTCCTAGGAGGTACTTAGCAAATATCACATCCTATCCTCCTCCATGGAATATGGTTTCAATGAACTTCACTCCTTCACTCATTCATTCGTCGCTCTGAGTCCACGAATAATTGAAAACACAGCACGCACCTACACTCACACCTCCCCGCCCCAAGTGGCAGTTGTGTACCTGGAAGAGCTTGACCTTCACAATTAGTGTCCTGGGTTTGAGTCCCAGTTCTACCACCTCCTGGTTGTAGGACCTACAGGAAGAAGCCTTTCTGAGCCTCAGCTTCTACATTTGTCACATAAGGATTTCACATCTTATGTGATTATTATTGGGATCAGATGGAATAGAGACTGTGAAGGTGTCATAGAAATGACAGGTGTGATACTCCGGTTGATCGTTAGCATAATGGTAGTACTGCACACTTAAAAGGCACTCTTCTAAGCATCTAACATGTATTTAACTTTTTCTTTTTAACAACCTAAAAGGTAGGTATTATTATTATGCTTATATTGCATATAAGTCAACTGGGACACAGAGAGGTTAAATAACTTGCCTTAGGTCATCCAGGTGGTAAGAGGCAGAGTCAGAAATAGCAGGCAGGCAGTCTGGCTCTAGAGTCGTCTTGTGACCACTAGTCTGTGCTGCCCAACATTAAAACAGTCGTGATAATAACAGCCATTCCTTACTTACTGCCTACGTTGGGGTGGATGTTGTTTCAGAATATCTACCCACGTTTTCTCAAGTCCACACAGATCTGTCGGTGCTGGCTTCTCATTCGTTCTTTTAAAAAATTAATTATTTTAATTGACAAAAATTGCACATATTTATTACGCACAACATATTGATTTGAAATATGTGTACACCATGGAATGGCTAACTTGAGCTAATTAACATAGGCATTACCTTACATACTTATTTTTTGTGGTGAGAACATTCAAAATCTACTCTTAACAATTTTCAAGAATATAATAAATTGCTATTAACTGTAGTCACCTTGTATATAATGGATCTCTGAAACTTATTCCTCCTGTCTAGCTGAAAGTTTACATCCTTTAAACAATATCTCCCTAAGCCCCCTGTAACCACTATTCTACTCTCTACTTCTATGAGTTCGACTGTTTTAGACTCCATTCCCGTGAGATCGGGCAGTATGTGTTTTTCTGTGCCTGGCTTATATCACTTAACCTAGATGTTTCTTGATGGCAACAATAGAAGCCCACTCCGATCCACTTAGAAATAAAAATTTCTTGGGAGGGTATGTGAGAGCTCACAAAATTGATATGAAGGTTGGAGAACCCAGAGGCAAGAACCAACGGAAGCAAATTCAGCCAAGATCTGGCCACCTCCAGCCCCGAGCTGCCCGCAAGCACGCCTACTATGCCTCAGGCCTCTCGACTCTGCTGAAGTCGTTACGGGTGATCTCTGACCCTGTGTCCTGCAGGTCCTGGGCAGAAAGTGGGGTCCTGCTCAGGTCCTGTGCTGGGCTCTCAGCTCTGTGTGACTTTGGGGTTGGGTAGAGAGGGGATTGGCCCCTTTGGTTTCCAAAATGGGAAGAGGGCTTCGTTTCTTTCTTAACTTGGAATTGACCCAGTAGCGAGAGATTTGGATATTCTGCAGCCTCAAATGGCAGACAGCAGAAAGTATTATCCCATTTAACAGACATGGAGGTGAAATGGTTTTCTCCAAGTCTTGGAGTTGACAAAAGAGCTCAGCACTGCCAGGCTGACTGCCCCTCCTCCTAACAGGACTCAAGCTGCCTTTCTGAGGACACAGGGGGATGTGACATAATTCGCCCAATGTATCTTTCTTAATTTTCAAAATCCAAGGATTTCTAAAAAATATTTATACCCCTCGATCCAGTTTTTCTACTTCAAGTTTCCTGTGGTGTGGAAATAAACAAAAACTATGATACAGATTTACACAGAAGGATGTTCAAGGCAACTTTGTTTCTTATATACTGATACTGGAAATAAACATTCAATATCACGGAATCTGATATCGAAATAGGTTAAGTGAGATGGCTATATGATGAAATATTATGTATTCATTAAAGCTGATTGTTTCAAAATGTTTCCAATGACTTAAGAAAAGTAATAGTAAAATTAAAACAGAACAAAATATAACTGAATAGAGAATATAATCTAAGTTTTGGGGGAAAAATTCTCCCATATGCATAGAAAAAAGACTGAAAAGAAATGTTTAACTTTTTGCACTGATTATTTTTGGTCAGAGGGGTTATGATTAGTTTATCTTTGTTTTTATCTGGATTTTTTTTTATAATGAACATGTGTTTTTTTTTTTCTGTTACAAACAGAAAAAAGGTTGAGAAAAACAAAGTTAGAACATACAAAATGATACGGCTTCATAGTGAAAATAATACTGGTATACTCCACTGGTGCAGCATGAGTTGGTGCAATCCTTTTGGGGATAAAAACAAAATAATAGATAAATGTTCTAAAGAGGTTTATGCCCTTTGACTCCAAACACTTACTTCGCGGAATTTCTCTTTTATTCTGGGGATATAATTTACTGGAGACCAAGAGCTGCGTGTAATGAAGATGCTCATTATGATGTTATCTATAACAACAAACACCATATGAAAGCTAAATGTCCAATGATTGGTGAACAGTTCCATAAATTATGGTGCATCAACACGAAGGAATATTATGGCACCATTAAAATGATAATTATGAAGACTGTAGCAATGCAGAATACATTTCTGATAGAATGCAAAGTGCAAAATGCAGAGTATCAAGTCTGCAGCAATATAACACGCACCCAAACCTAGAATAAATACTCAATACATGGGAAGCCAAACAATTATTGAGGTTGAGTGAATGGGATTCAGGAAGATTATTATTATTTAGTTTTGTCAAAACATGATTTAAATATTGTTGATGCTTCCTCTTCTTGCTGGAGCTTGTATTTCCCTAAACAAAGCTCTTTTGATACTGGTTTAAAGCAGGCTGGTAGAGTGATGGCGTTGGGGGGCTTTATAAGATTCAAATACTTGAGCAAGAGGCAGCTGAGGAGCCTGGGTGTGGTGTGGATGGGGCTTTGCAACCCTTTGTATGCCTGGGGTTTCAGGTTCACTTCTGGAAAATGGAGGGATGAAGAAGAGGCTAAGTCGCTGAGAGTCTCCCAGCTCTGATATTTTTCAAATCTATGTTTTTTCAGCCTTCAGTGTCAGATACATTGTTATACATTTTGCTGATAACCACTGTTTGGGGTCTGTCCTATCACTGACATCATTTTGAGGACATTGAACGTCAGATTCAGAGCAATGAAATGGCTCATACAAGGTTAATAGCCAGCAAGTGGCGGAGAAAAGGTCCAATTATTTCATCCCAACTCACATTTTATTTTCTTGGCCCAGCATCACTTTAGCCTGTGAGGCCCATTGTAGTCCTTTCCTCATTCACTCCTTCCTCCTTTCCATCTCTAGAGATCTGAGACCCAGTTGACTTGTTGCAATTGCTTTTGACTTCACCAAGGCTTCAGGTTCACCAGTCAGTAGGAGAATACATACTCATTGTCTGGAGATGGAGACAGAAAAAGTATAGGAGATTTGCTTTTACATGTGGGGTTTAAAAGTAGATTAAGAAATCATTGTTATGACCTTATCATTATTACTATTTTTTGAGACAGAGTCTCACTCTGTTGCCCAGGCTGAAGTCCAGTGGCATGATCTCAGCTCACTACAACCTCCACCTCCTAGGTTCAAGTGGTCCTCCTGCTTCAGCCTCTTGCGTAGCTGGGACCACAGGTGCACACTACCACCTCTGACTAATTTTTGTATTTTGGGTAGAGACGGGGTTTTTCCAGGTTGCTCAGGCTGGTCTCAAACTCCTGGGCTCAAGTGATTCGCTTGCCTCGGCCTCCTAAAGTTCTGGGAGTACAGGCATGAGCCACCACACCCAGCTTGAGCTTACTTTTTATTATGTGTATTTTTTCCCTTAAAAGTGGGATGGTCTGGAAAATAAATTGATTAAACAAGGTGCAGGCAGTTATGGCTAACCTAAAAATTTCCAATTTTGTTAGTACAAAGAGTGATAACTGCTAACATCATTTGTATCTATTAATGAATTAAACCACCATGTATTTCTTGAGGATCTATTTGGTGCCAGAGATGAGAGAGATGAGGTCTGTAATTCGAGGAGCTCAACAAAAAGTGCCTTAGAGTATATTCAGGCTGGGTGGGAGGCAAGGAAGATCTGATGTAGAGAAATCAAACGCAGGATGCATTTCCCAACATACCTAAATTGTCCAGGTGGTTCATAAAGTGAAATAATAATTTTCAAAAATTAAAAAGAAGAAAGTAAGGCAGAATGGGAATGTAGGGATTACCCGGTTTGGTACAGAAGCACATTCACCATGGCAATTAGGGTGCCTTGGATGATTTTCCAGTAGGTTATGAGCTTTTGTGAGTTATCACCTGCTTTGAGAAGAGGCAGTTCATTTGGGGCAGGAAGAACCGTGGATTCAGGGACAGGCTAGACCTGGTCTAGTCCCAGTGCTGCTACCTATTGTGTGATTTTGGGCAGGTCATGGAAGCCTAGGCCCTTGGTGGGTAATCGGTTCAACCCCCATCCCATTCTGAGCCTGGAAATGCCTTTACCCCATTCAGTGAAAAGGACAGTGAAATGACAGCTAAGACAACAGCCACCCCTGTTTGAAGACCTACTATATGTCCTTCCAAGCAGCCTATATTCAAGTACTTCAATAATACTATGAGTTAATGCTATTACCCAAGGTCTCAGGATTTTACTGCAGCACTCAAGAATGTGAGACTCAAAAGGAGAGAAAGAAAAAGAATGAGAGTAAACACTGTTTATCCTGGGGAATGTTTTGGATCCACCTAAAAGTTCTATAGCACAGATGAAAAGGACGGAAAGGGCCAGGGAAAGCAAGATTTCTGGGCTTCCCCTCATGCAAGGATAGGGCCCTGGGCCAGATTACCAGCAGAAGGGAGAACTGTGTCCATGTGCAAGGCCTTTAGTGCACAGCTGCCCTCCCTGCTAGCAAGCATGGCTCAGTCCGAATCCTGGAGTTGGATTACTCTATTTATAACTCTTTTAGAGGAGGGTGTATGTAGGGGAGAATAGTGTTGGTTGTGGTCAGCAACAAGAAGGAAGTGTTTTGAGGTCTCCCTTAGAGATTTTACTCTTGATAAAATTGGGATGATAATATCTCCTCTAACTGTTGCAATGAGACACAAGTGAACAGAAAGGGTCTCCATAAACCAGAAAGCACTGTGTCCGTGAATGGGATGGTTAGTAGTCTTCTGACCACGTCTATGTTTTACGAGGTGTGCCCCTAGCAAATTTTCCGATGGAGGGGAATCACTTCCAGATCTCCTTTGCTTCCCTCCCATTTGTCAGGGAGACAGGAGAAGTATTGCTAACTTTTGCTAGTCTTGAAACATACCAGGTGCACTCCCAGACCAAGGGCTGTGCATTCGTGAGTCTCTCTGCCTGGAACGCCTTTTCTCCAGATGTATTCTCCATGCCCTGCTCCTTCATTTCATTTATGTTCCTGTTCAAAGGTCATTTCTCCAAAGAGGCCACTCCTGATGGGATGCAGAAGGTGCTACAGGGGCCCCGCCCAGATCCCACAGTGCTGTGAGTGTTGGTTGCTAGTGGGCATGGATGCCTTCTTTCTCCAGAAGACTGACCTTGGGTGATGAAAGTCTTCTCACCTAGCAGATTATGCCCCTCAGTACCCCTTATCCCTCACTTGGCCAAAGCATGACTTAAGCAGATCCGTATCTTTAATCCCATCTCAGCTCCTCGTCCAGCTTTATTCTGCCTCCCTCTCTTCCAAGTTTGACCGTATGCACCTGAGTCCCAGTCTCAGGCTCTGCTTCTAGGGAAACCAGCTAAGACCAACTCCAGTTAGAACCACCTGTGGTCACTCTTGAGCCCTGTCATCCTGCTTCATTTCTGCTTCATGGCCCAAATTCTGCCAGACATTGCATCCTGTATTCATTTGTTTGTTGTCTGTCTCTCTCCTGTGCAATGCAAGCTGCCTGAGAACAGGTCTGTGTCATTCATACCTGCTGCTTTGTCCCTAGGTCCTACTGTAGGGCTGGGATCACAGCAGGGTGATCCTTTTTGTGGAATAAAGGGCTCTCTGCGTGGGAGGACAAGACCTCAGAATGTTCCACAGTTGTCAGGCTAAAAGGATCCAGAAATGAGCTCTTCGGATTCTCAACTCTAAAAGAATTTTACTCACTGTCAAGATAAGGTCAACTAGAGTGAGATTTCATACAACTTTACTTTGGATTTCTTTGTGTGTGTGTGTGTGTGTGTGTGTGTGTGTGTACTTAAAATGTGAAGGAAAAAGGCAAAAGATTTGAGACATGTGACGTTAAAATTCTGAGACATGAGGTATTCTGGAAAGTGTTCTGGTCTCACGACTTTTGAGAATAATTTGTTTATTTATTTGGCTAACATTTCCTGAGTGATCACTCTGTGCTGGACTTGGTGCTGGGTCCTAGCGACCATTGAAGATATGGTCTCTGCTTTAGGAAGCTCCCAGAGACCTGGGTTGTAATATTGGGTTCATCCCTAATCAGCCGTGTGACCTCAGACAAGGTGTGCCCTTCTCTGGGCTTGGTTTTCCCAGTTTTAAAGCAAGGGCACTGGGCTGGGTGATCTCTAAAGCTCTCTGCCAGCTCCATGTCTCAAGGACTGAGTCTTCCTTTCAGACAGGCTGTCAGATTTTCATGGCCATCAATATTTCTCTAATCATCACCTTCCCTTATTTTCTCTGGGGACTGGAATTAAAGCTAACTGCTTTTACCAGATATACTTTCAACATTGTCACTGTCAATGCAATGGGATCAAACCTGGACAGAGAAAGTGGGGGCTCCCACCCATATTCAGCTTAGTTTGAGTCCAGCCAGTGGTCCTGATGATGTCCCCATTACCCGCCGTGGCTCCTCAGACTCAATTCCCCTCTGCCACAAATGCCTGAAACCAGCGCCGTCTGCATCCTGCCTCGTACCCCCAGCACATGCTAATGAATGCATCGATTTTCCTATTCTCTACCACAACAGTTATTTCAGAGATAAATGCCTCCTGTTTGTGGTTATTAAATCTGTTTCATGTTGGACAGCTGGGGGTGGGTGGGTGGGAAGACTGGTCTGGGTAGAGCTAAGTTGGGGACAATCTGGGACAGATCCCAGCTCAACATCTGACAGGCTGCAGGACCTTGGACCAGCCGCTGCTCTCCCAGCCTCAGTTTCCTCATCTTTAAGATGACTGTTGTGCTGGTTCTGAGGTTTAAAACAAAATTGTTTAAAGCCACAGAATGCTTTGATTACAGAAAACCTTGTGTATATGACAATGTGTAAACCATAGAAAGGAGTGGCTTCATTTGGAATGGGGTTGGGGTGGGAGGCTTCCCATCCAACCTCCTTGTTCTCTACCCAGACCTCTGGGACACCTTCAGCGACACTGAGGCTCTGGGGAGCATAGTTTGAAAACTGCCAGGCTAGATGGACTTAACTAGTATTTTAGAGTTCTCAGTAACAGATGAGGAGATGTGGCATGGGGAAGTGGCAAAAGGAAAAGACGGATCAAGTTGGCCTGATGGGTAAACTCAGCTGCATCTGAGGAAGTGGCTGATCTGATTGCTCTTCACAGAGCACTAATTTCCTAATGCCTGAGTTTCACTGCCTTTTGTCCAGAATCTTCCTCTCCAGCTAAATCACATGTAGAGGCAACTTGGCCCGTGTGGGTGGTTAAATGCACACAGTCTCTGCTTTCAATCCCAGCCCAGATATTTTCTAGCTGTGTGATCTTGGACAAGTCTCTCACTTTTCTGGGACTCAGTTTTCTCATCTCTAAAATGGGCAAAATAACACTCAGTTATCGCTTCCCATATGCGTCATGTAGCTCTCTGATTCAATGCAATCACATGCATTTTAATCCTTAGAAACAATAATAATATAATGCTAATCATTTATTGATCACCTGCTACATATCAGTTCCCATGCCTTTTAATACCTATGTCTATTCTTCACAACCACCCAGCAAAAGAGGGGCCATGGTAATTATCTTCTAGGTGGGGTTTGGAGAGGAGAATCTAAAAAGAGCTCCAAGATTTGAACTCAGGTTTGTTTGACTTCAAAGATTATTAGGTTCTTGATTCTATACTAAGCATCTGAAACTCTTTTAACCACCCTCCTGTGCTACGTTTGGGAAGCACTGAATCAAACCATGTTTGTCAGAATCTTTTTTACAAACAGGTCCAGATCCTTGGCCTGGAAAAGAACTTGGATAGTTGTTACATCTACTTTCTTCCTCTCAGTAGGCTGCACATTCACATTGCTTTGAAATTCCTGCAAGATGCAGAAGGCTGATCTTGACCTTGTCTTAGCAGGCTATCACTGGTTCCAGTGGTCCCAATTAATCCAATTACTTGCAATCATTGAACAACTGAACCACTTATCTGTAGCAGTTACTATATTGCTTTTTGGGTACAAGGGAGTCAATGAGACACAATCTTTGCCCTCAAGGAGCTCACAATTTAAGGAAAGAAACACACAAGCATTAGAAAACAATCTTGCAGAGTGGAAACTATTATGAAAGAGGGGTTCTGGGAGCACAGAAAAGCCTAGAAGGCTTCCTATTGTGGGTGGGCCTGAGCCTTAGACTAAAGGATGAATGAGTGATAGTCAAAGCCAGCAGAGAAAAAGAGTTGGCAATGGGGACTTGGAAAAGCAGAGAAACATTATGTGCAAATGTATAAGGGTAAGGAAAAGCATGGGGCATTTGGAGGAATAGCAGTAGTTCAAATGACTGGAGGAGGAACAAGGGGGCAGGTTAATGAAATGGCAGTGGAGAGGCCTTGGTGTTCTGAAACCAGGGAGTCAAGTGGCTGGAACTTGGAGCCACTGAAAAGTCTGCAACAGAATTCTGGAAAGATTATTAAAGGAGCTCCATGGAGGCTGTGCTGGAGCAAGAGCCCAGGGAGGAGGCTGGGGAGGTGACCCTGGAGAGAGATGATGGAGTTTGGATCAGAGTGGTGGCGGTGGAGTTGGAGTAAGGGAGGTGCATTTAATACACTGGGGGGCTTGAGACTCCAGGATATCGCGGTTGTTGGCTGTGGAGTCCAGTATGATTTTGAAACCGTGCCCCAAAGAGTTAAACCAGTAACTAACAGAAATTCTTGAGTGTACAGGATGACAGATAAGAAAAGAAACAACTTGCTGAAATGTTGAAACTCCCTCAGTTTGTAAAGTAACAACGCTGGCTGAAGTCTGTTAGAACCAATATGGCCAACTAGAGTCTGCACAGAACCAGCTTGCTGACGTCACAGCCCGAGTTTCTACCGCATGTTTCTTACTAACTCCTCCTCAAATTTGCGCTTGCGATCCATGAGAGAGCATGAAGAGAGAACTGCGCATGCCCAAGGACTTTCCAGCCCTCCCCTTTTCTTCCACCAATCACCTACTAACCTAAGACTCCAACATCTAAACCTTTTCTAATAAAATGATTGCCTTGAAGCCAACACGGGGAGACAGATTTGAGCTGGACTCCTGTCTTC
Organism: Homo sapiens; assembly: GCF_000001405.40. Lineage (NCBI taxonomy): Eukaryota > Metazoa > Chordata > Mammalia > Primates > Hominidae > Homo > Homo sapiens. The sequence continues at coordinate 120,187,757 of NC_000009.12, read as the reverse complement.
TCACTGATCATCTTGCAATAAAAATCTTTTCTTTTCTCAAGAAACCCCGGTGTTATAGCATTGGCTCCTACCACTTCAGCCAGCAAGCCCCTTCTGCTCGGTAACGATTTCAGGATTTTTCTGGTCTGTGTAATGGGGTGGGTAGTGATACCCTTCCCCAGGCTGGGAATCCTGGAGGAGCAGGGCTGTGTGGCTGAGGATGAGCTCCTTGTGGGACACGCTGGGTGTAAAGGGCCAGTAGTGGGGGGAAGGGGGGCATTCAGGTGGAGACATCCAGGAAGCTCTTGGCTACATGGGCCTGAACCTCTAAGTTAGGAGAGGAGATTTGGATCACTAGCTCGCATACTGAGAGAGACTGAGGTGATTTGGAGGTATATGCAGAGAGAGAAAAGGAGACTGACAAGGAAACCCAAACCCATCTGGGTGAATCAAGCCATAAAAAGATAAGAAGGCTCTTTGGAAGAGAGAAGCCTTTTCCTGGGGCATGTAAGGTGTTTTACAATTCTGCAGCCTCTTTACAGAGCAACACTGGAAGATACCTCCATCTCAGGGTGCAAGCATCATGTTCTCACAATATTATTTGAGGGCTGTTACTAAATCCATATCACATCCAATTTTTCCATTTTACAGAGGATAAAAAAATAAAGAAAATAACTGTTCAGTTTGGTTACTATTTCTTTCTAACTATATTCCCTTAATGAGGCATTTGCCTGCAACACGGTCTGTTATGTGTCTTATAAAAGATCTCTTGGGGAAAATAACCCAGGAAACACAATTTTTCGGCACCATCTCCTTTTATTAAGAATAATGAAAAGGAAACAAGAATCATTCTCCCAGTCAAAGACACTTCTGCTGCCTCTTATTGGTGTTTTTATGACAACTGCCAGGTAGTACAGACGGCCATGAAGTTGCTTTCACACAGATGTGCATCCATTTTATGGCCATTCTAATGCCCCGGTTGCATGTATATCAAGGCAGGTGGGTGTATGTATATAAATCTATTGTACACATATATTTATATATTGCCTATATCTGAGTAAGTGTTGGGATGGTGCAAGCCCTTAAAATTACACACGCTAAATAGGCTCTTTGCCCAGAAAAGCAATCATCTTTCAAAATGGGCAGAAGAGCAAATAGGGAAATTAACCCAGGAGGGGAAATGCAAAACAAAAGTGATTCTGTTAATTGGAAACCCTGCTCGGGTTTTTGGACATAGCTGGGGGTTCTTCACACCCTCTCTCTGGGTGTGTTTGGCCATGCTCGTGGCTGGACTGCTGCCCACACACAGACAGCTCCTGCCCATGGCTCCAGCCTAGACCTCCCACCAACACTTCAGATGTGTAGATCCTACTGCCAACTGGACATCTTCCCTTGTATGTTCCACAAACACTTAAACTCTGCCGGTATAAATCTGAGTCCTATTCTCCCTGCCTCCTCTTCCTCAGTTAATAGCTCCACAAGTCATTCCATGGCCCCAGGCAAGGGTCAGTCTTGACTCCTCCCTCTCCTTTAACGAAGTCTGCAGATATTTACTGAGCCACTGCTAGGTGCCAAGCACTAGTCTAGACTCTGTGTATATAAAAGTGACCCAAAACATGCTCCCTGCTCTCAAGGAGCTCATAGTTCCATGAGGAGGCAGAATCACTTAGTAGTTAAGAGCCTAAGGAAACAAATTCGGAAAGATCCAAGGTCAAATCCCAGCCCTGGCATGGATTTGCTGCCTGATCCTGGGCTCCTAAGCTTCAATTTCTTCCCATTGTAAAATGAGAGCAATAATAACAGATTCTACCTCATAGGGGTATTGTAAGATTTAAATGCAGTAATTCATGTAAACCACTTACCACAAAGCCTGAACACAGAGTAGAAGCTTGACAAATGTAAATCCTTTTTAGGTATCAGCTGGACGATAAGACAGAGATTGCCTATTGCCTCCGTGTCTATTTTCCCCTTCTTCCTGAGTGGTGTTTCAGTGGGCTACACGGCTGCCCAAAATGAAGACACATTTTCTAACCTCCTTTGTGGTTTGGTGTGGTCAATGTGGCTCAGCTATGGCCAGTGAGACTTCTAGAAAGCCTGCTTAAGAAGGGGATGCCTTCTTCACCCATTTCTCCAAACTGCTGTCTGGAATGTGGTTGTGATGGCTGGAGTCACAGCAGCTCTGTCAAACCATGCTTTAGTCAGGGTAGATGTTGCAGGTTGGGTCCCCCAGGAGGCAGACACTGAGATGGAGTTAGTGTGCAAGAGGTTTATCAGGGAGTGCCATTGGGATCTAAACCTGAGGCAGGAAGAGGGAGGAAGCAGGATTGGGCAAACGGAGGGGCCAGTTGTGACACAGTAGTGATGGGGGTGGGCCTCTATACCCCTCTGCTTCTCTGCTTCAATACTGGGATGTGGGCTGCTCTAGGAGGGGCATGACTCCAGAAGGTAGCTCTGTAGCAGAGGCAGTCTTTGAAGGGAGAGTTGGGGGTTATGTGCTAGCAGCAATTGGGGCAATAAACCTTTTTTGAGGGGGAAACTGGGAGGTGCCACTTCATGTCCATCTCAGTAAGTCACTGCTGTAAATGGGGAAACACAGTAAAGTTTATTATTCACTCATGTGACAACCCATCACATGGATTCCTTGTCTCGTGGTGACTCAGGGACACAGGCTCCTTCCATCCTGGGACTCTGCCCTCTTCTAGATCCTCAGAATCCTCTTGGTTCAACAGGCAAAGAGGGAAAGAGAAGGCAGAACTGTTTGGGAGGTTTTATGGGCCAGGCCTGGCAGGGAGGTTCTGTCCACATTTCATTGGCCAGATGTTGGCCAGTGGGAAATGTCATTTACATGCACATTCATGAAGACAATAGATGGGATTTGGGGAGTGCTGGAGCAGTCTTTTTCAGAGACTATGAAGATGAAGGCTAAACTCTGGGAAAGGCAGAGTGGTGGCTTGGCGGGAACCTGGGTCTAGGGGGTTGGGGCACCAACATGTCCACCTTGGACAACTTGCCTTTGGACTTGGCTTATGTAGGACAGACATAAATGTCTACCTTTTCTAAGCCTCTGTTACGCTGTTTACAACCTAATCCCAACTAAACTGAGGGGTAGGAAAGCGAACAATACTGGGTGATGGGTGCTGAGATTGAGTAAACACAAAAGAGGGGCAGTTGCTTTCTCCTCAGGGCTCATGGAGGGCTTCTTGGAACTGGTGATACCTGAACTGAGATTTGAAGAGTGAGTGGAAGTTGACCAGTTGCCAAAGGTGATTGTGGGAGGATGCGGTTCTAGTCACTGACCCAGAGCCAGGGCACAGATGGTGTTTTGCATAAGTCTGAAGACTAAAAAATAGGTGCTTTTGTGACAAACCCCCATAGGACAAAGAGGGTCATGAAACAGGGAGGATACTCCTTTTGTTCAGAGACTGGTGAAAAAGAGAAATAAATAAATGAATGTGTGAAAATTTCTCTACCAACCCCAAAGCAATTTGATGATCCGTTGTTCCCTTGGGGTCCTATAATCTTCCTTTACATAATTCTATTATAGTACATATGATGCTGTGTTCTAATTACTATTTGATGTATCTGACACTCCACTTGACTTCAAGGTCAAGGACTTTATTTTTATTCATTCTTATGCCCATACCACCTAATGCAGCTTGGCACATGGAGTCCTAAGCAGATGTTTGCCAAATGAGTGAACAACACATAAGTCCATTTTGTTACAAAGAGCAAGGAAGCCTGTGATATTCAAGGCTTTGTGTTAAATTGCAGAAGGTGGGCTATAAAGACAAAGAAGCCCCCCTCCTCCACCCTCTGGAGCTTACCAGACTCTATCATAATAGCCCACCAGGGAAGAAAGAAGAGTTCTTATTCAGCGGCTTCCCACTGGCTCTGTGTGTGAGTCCCTGAACCTGCCTGGCTCCTCACATACAGGTTGCTACACCAGGGGAGGTCCAGTCCAGGCAGAGGAAAGCACACTCTCGAGTTGCTGGGACAGCCTGCTGCTTCTAAGCTTTTGAAGTAGGAGTTTCAGAATCTGCCCTTCACCAATGTGCAAGAGCTCTGACCCAGATGACTACTCCTCATTCATTCATTTGTTCATTCCATTTCATAAAGCAAGCACGGGGCCAGGAACTGGGTGGGCATCAGGGCTTTAGAGATCAGTAAGGTGTAGCAGATACTCTACCCACTGTGGCTGTCACTACTCCCATCCGCAACTGCTTTCTACTGCCAGCACCTGTGAAGTTCTACCTGAGGGCTTTCTCTGGCTATTATGTGTCATGGGCTGGCAATGCTGGGAATCAACCAGTGGCAGGTGGGAGATGGTGAATATATATTTCAGCCGCCTCATGCATCATGTGGGGCCACTCTGGTGCATGCCCGACTCTACCTCCCGAAGTCCCCAGGGCTTTGAGCTCTGGTGGCCCACAGTGGAAACCTGCCCATCAGTGCACCCTTCCTGTCTTTCTGTCTCTGTATTATTTCCCCATCCTCCCATGGGTACTTCCTGGGATTGCCTCCTACATCAACTACATGCACTGAAATTCTAGTCTTAAGGTTTTCTTCTGAGGGGAGCCCAACCAACATAAGACACTAGATATCTGTCCCTACAAAGCTGATCCTCTATCAAGAAAGTTTGATGCTTAGTTATATGACATGGGAGTAGATGCTATAATATGGAAGATACAGGAGCCAGAGGAGCTCACAGTATGGGCCCAAGGAAGGTCTTTTGCAGCAAGCGACTTGAAGCTGAATGCGTAAATTTTCTCAATTTTTTGCTTTGGATATTGATATGGTTTGGTTGTGTTCCCACCCAAATCTCATCTTGAACTGTGGTTCTACTAGTCCCCATGTGTTATGGGAGGGAACCAGTGGGAGGTAATGGAATCATGGGGGAGGTTACTCCCATGCTGTTCTCACAATAGTGAGTGAGTTCTCACGAGACCTGTTGGTTTTATAAAGGGCTTTTTCCCCTTCACCGGACGCTCATTCTCTCTCCTGCCACCCTGTGGAGTGGTGCCTTCCGCCATGATTGTAAGTTTCCTGAGGTCTCCACAGCTATGTGGAACTGTGAGACAATTAAACCTCTTTTCTTTATAAAGCACCCAATCTCAGGTATTTCTTCATTAAGAGAAAGTGTGAGAACAGTGTGAGAACAAACTGATACAAATATCTTCTATCTACCATACCTTGTTATGAAACAATAGGTCTGAATAACCTCCTACCCCTGGTGTTGTATAGCACACTGTGTTAGGATTCCTTCTGAATTCCTTTGGAAGGAAAGGGGGATTCATGAGAAGCAGCTGCAGACACCAGCCAGGAAGGTGATTTTTATTGGCCATCTCATCTAATTCTCAGGTCAGTCCTGGGAGGCTGGAGTCATGATTCACATTTTAGAGATGAGGAAACAGACTCACATAGGTCCTTCTTGCCCAAGAGCACACATCATGCTTTGGAGATGACCTTGAGGGGTAAAAATTATCACTCTGATGTTACTGATGAGACAACTACCGTGGCTCAGCCAGCAGGAGTGATGGCCTCAGAGGCACATTGTGTTGGAGCTGGAATCAGAAACCACCACAGCCTGACTCTGGTTCTCCACTCTCTCCTCCCTCTCAGGCTGCCTGTGAGCCAGGTGGGATGCCCCTGGAGACCATCATGGGGAGTGCCCACCAAGCACAGCCTTCCACAGGGCTGGGGAAGCTCCAGGGAAAGGATGGTGCTACAATATAGTGTCATGTTTAAGAAACAGCTCTGGACTTGTACTACCTGTATGCAAATCTTGGTTCCATAAATTAGAGTGATGTGATTTGGGCAAGGCATTTACCTTCTCTGAGCCTCAATTTTCTCATCCATAAGATGGGGATAATCGTAGTAACTACCTCATGGGGTTGCTGTGAGAATTAAATAGAAGGAAAGTGCTCCAGATAGTGACAAAACAATATACAATCCATAAAGCACTACAGATTCAACTTGTTTAATGTTTGGTAGGAATGGACACTGAGTTGAGATACTTAGAAACATGATTCCATTTTGTCCTTAAGAGTCAGTAAATTTTGGTTACTGTAGCCTTGTAGCATAGTTTGAAGTCAGGTAGTGTGATGCCTCCAGCTTTGTTCTTTTTGCTTAGGATTGTCTAGGCTATAGGGGGGTCTTCTTTGATTCCATATGAAATTTAAAATAGTTTCTTCTAAGTCTGTGAAGAGTGTCAATGGTAGCTTGATGGGGATAGCATTGAATCTATAAATTACTTTGGGCAGTATGGCTATTTTTGTGATATTAATTCTTCCTATCCATGAGGATGGAATGATTTTCCATTTGTTTTCTGTCCTCTCTTATTTCCTTGAGCTGTGGTTTGTAGTTCTCCTTGAAGAGGTCCTTCACATCCCTTGTCAGCTGTATTCCTAGGTATTTTATTCTCTTTGTAGTGATTGTGAATGAGAGTTCATTCATGATTTGGCTCTCTGCTTGTCTATTGTTTGTGTAAAGGAATGCTTGTGATTTTTGCACATTGATTTTGTATCCTGTGACTTTGCTGAGGCTGCTTATCAGTTCAAGGAGTTTTTGGGCTGAGATGATGGAGTTTTCTAAATATAAAATCATGTCATCTGCAAACAGAGACAACTTGTCTTCCTCTCTTCCTACCTGAATACCCTTTATTCCTTTCTCTTGCCTGATTGCCTTGGCCAGAACTTCCAATACTATGTTGAATAGGAGTGGTGAGAGAGGGCATCTTGTCTTGTACCAGTTTCCAAAGAGAATGCTTCCAGCTTTTGCCCATTCAATATGATATTGGCTGTGGGCTTGTCATAAATAGCTCTTATTATTTTGAGATATGTTCCATCAATACCTAGTTTATTGAGAGTTTTATAACATTAAGGGATGTTGAATTTTAACAAATCTGTATCTATCGAGATAATCATGGGGTTTGTGTCTTTGGTTCTGTTTATGTGATGGATTACATTTATTGATTTGTGTATGTTGAACCAGCCTTGCATCCCAGGGATGAAGCTGACTTGATTGTGGTGGATAAGTTTTTTGATGTGCTGCTGGATTCAGTTTGTCAGTATTTTATTGAGGATTTTTGCATCAATGTTCATCAGGGATATTGGCCTGAAGTTTTCTTTTTTTGTTGTGTCTCTTCCCAGTTTAGGTATCAAGATGATTCTGGCTTCATAAAATGAGTTAGGGAGGAGTCCTTCCTCTTCAATTGTTTGGAATAGTTTCAGAAGGAATGGTACCAGCTCCTCTTTGTAATACTGGTAGAATTCAGCTGTGAATCCATCTGGTCCTGGGCTTTTTTTTGTTGGTAGGCTATTAATTACTACCTCATTTCGGAGCTTGTTATTGGTCTATTCAGGGATTCGACTTCTTCCTGGTTTAGTCTTAGTAGAGTGTATGCATCCAAGAATTTATCCATTTCTTCTAGATTTTCTAGTTTATTTATGTAGAGGTATTTACAGTACTCTCTAATGGTAGTTTGTATTTCTGTGGGGTCAGTGATGATATCACTTTATCATTATTTATTGTGTCTATTTGATTCTTCTCTCTCTTCTTCTTTATTAGTCTAGCTAGCGGTCTATCTATTTTGTTAATTTTTCAAAAAACCAGCTCTTAGATTTGTTGATTTTTCGGAGGGTTTTTCGTGTCTGTATCTCCTTCAGTTCTTATCTGATCTTAGTTATTTGTTGTCTTCTGCTAACTTTTGGATTAGTTTGCTCTTGCCTCTCTAGCTCTTTTAATTGTGATGTCAGGATGTCGCTTTGAGATCTTTCTAGCTTTGTGCTGTGGACATTTATTGTTATAAATTTCCCTCTTAACACTGCTTTAGCTATGTCCCAGAGATTCTGGTACATTGTCTCTTTGTTCTCATTGGTTTCAAAGAACTTCTTGATTTCTGCCTTAATTTCATTATTTACCCAGGAGTCATTCAGGAGCAAGATGTTCAATTTCCATGACATTGTGTGGTTTTGAGTGAGTTTCTTAATCCTGAGTTCTAATTTGATTGCTCTGTGGTCTGAGAGACTGTTTGTTATGATTTCAGTTCTTTTGCTGAGGAGTGTTTTGCTTCAAATTATGTGGTCGATTTTAGAATAAGTGCCATGTGGCACTGAAAAGAATGTATATTCAGTTGATTTGGGGAACAGAGTTCTGTAGATGTCTACTAGGTCCACTTGATCCAGAGCTGAGTTCAAGTCCTGAATATTCTTTTTAATTTTCTGTCTTGTTAATCTGTCTAATACTGACAGTGGGGTATTAAAGTCTCCCACTATTATTGTGTGGGAGTCTAAGTCTCTTTGTAGGCCTTTAGAAACTTGTTTTATTAATCTGGGTGCTCCTGTATTGGGTGCACATATATTTAGAATAGTTAGCTCTTCTTGTTGAATTGTTCCCTTTACCATTATGTAATGCCCTTCTTTGTCTTATTGGGTCTTTGTTGGTTTAAAGTCTGTTTGTCAGAGACTAGGATTGCAACCCCTGATTTTTTTTTCCTTCTTTCCATTTGCTCAGTAAATTTTCTTCCATCCCTTTATTTTGAGCCTGTGTGTGTCTTTGCACGTAAGATGTGTCTCCTGAATACAGCACACCAATGGGTATTCAATTTGCCAGTCTGTGTCTTTTAATTGGGGCATTTAGCCCATTTACATTTAAGGTTAGTATTGTTGTGTATCAATTTGATCCTGTCATCATGATGCTACTTGGTTATTCTGCATACTAGTTGGTGCAGTTTCTTCACTGTGTCATTGGTCTTTATATTTTGGTGTGTTTTTGCAGTGGCTGGTACCAGTTTTTCCTTTCCATATTTAGTACTGGTACCAAAACAGACATATAGACCAAAGGAGCAGAACAGAGACCTCAGAAATAACACCACACATCTACAACCATCTGATCATCGACAAACCTGACAAAAACAAGCAATGGGGAAAGAATCTCCTATTCAGTAAATGGTGCTGGGAAAACTGGCTAGCCATATGCAGAAAACTGAAACTGGATCCCTTCCTTACACCTTATACAAAAATTAACTCAAGATGGATTGAAGATTAAAGGTAAAACCCCAAACCATAAAACCCTAGAAGAAAACCTAAGTGATACCATTCATGACATGGGCATGGGCAAAGACTTCATGACAAAAATGCCAAAAGCAATTGCAACAAAACCAAAATTGACACATGGGATCTAATTAAACTAAAGAGCTCCTGCACAGCAAAAGAAACTATCATCAGAATGAACGGGCAACCTACAGAATGGGATAAAATTTTTTGCAATCTACCTGTCTGTCTAATATCTGGAATTTACAAGGAACTTAAACATATTTACAAGAAAAAAACAACCCCATTAAAAAGTGAGCAAAGGATATAAACAGACACTTCTCATAATAAGACATTTACACAGCCAACAAACATGAAGAAAAAGCTAAACATCACTGATCATTAGAGAAATGCAAATCAAAACCACAGTGAGATACTATCTCATGCCAGTCAGAATGGTGATTATTAAAAAGTCAGGAAACAATAGATGATGGCGAGGCTGTAGAGAACTAGGAACACTTTTACACTGTTGGTGGGAATGTAAATTAGTTCAACCATTGTGGAAGACAGTATGGTGATTCCTCAAGGATCTAGAACCAGAAATACCATTTGACCCAGGGATCCCATTACTGGGTATATACCCAAAGGAATATAAATCATTCTATTTTAAAGACACATGTACACGTATATTTATTGCAGCACTATTTACAATAGCAAAGATATGGAACCAACCCGAATGCCCATCAATGATAGATTGGATAAAGAAAATGTGGTACATATATACCATGGAATACTATGCAGCCATAAAAAGGAATGAGATAATGTTCTTTGCAGCAACATGGATGAAGCTGGAAGCCATCATTGTCAGCAAACTAACACAGGAACAGAAAACCAAACACTGCATGTTCTCACTCAAAAGTGGGAGTTGAACATTGACAACACATGGACACAGAGAAGGGAACAATACACACCAGGGCCTGTTGTGGGGTGGAGGGTGAGGGGAGGGAACTTAGAGGATGGGTCAATAGGCACAGCAAACTACTATGGTATCCATATACCTATGTAACAAACCTGCACGTTCTCCACATGTATCCCTTTTTTTTTAAGAAGAAATAATAATTTTAAAAAAGTCAGTGAAGTTGGCATTATTGCCTTCTGTTTTACAGAGGAGAAGAATGGGGCACAAGGCGGTTAAGTAACTTGCTTAGAGTCACACAGCTGGTGGCAGAGCTGAGCAGTCTGACTCAAGCTAGTGCTCCTGACCACTGCATAGTGACCCTTCCTCTTGGTCTAGCAGGGTCTGTGGCTGCCACTTGGAACCTGATCCAATGATTCCCAGGCTTGTCCTTCACTTTGTATGTCAGCACTGGCTCCTGGTATTGAGGCCTCTGAGGGCAGCTGGGCCATTTTCCTAAGTAGTGTCTGTGGCAGCTCACTTCCTTTGCTGCCAACATAGGATGTTGGCAGGAATGACCAGAGCTGGATTCATGCTGTCTCCATCCGAAGTCCCAGATTGCACAATCTGCTCTCATCTCCATTCTGCAGGGACCCCACAAGCCCTCCAAAAGGTGCCCATGAAAGAACTCACACTACCCACATCCCAGACTCATCTTCCCATCTCAACAGTACTTAGCAATGTACCCATCTTTTAATTTTTGGGCCCTGCTGTAATATTAAGGCAGTAATTTATACACTTGGCTCCCGAGCTCCTGGCTGTTTCAAAGGCATTGATCACCCCGGAGCACTCATACAGGATTCAGGCTTACTCCTCCAACTCCTCTGCCAGCTATTGATTCCAATGACATTATTTATCAATTACGAAAGGTTTATTCCTCACTCGCTCCTGCACAAAAGAATCTGCGCATTTATTTTACAGCATGATTTATTGACACGTCACCATGCGTTACATGGAAAATTGAATTTTTGGAGGCTGGATAACCTTAGGAAATTTCACAGGTTCAATTAGACAGGAGAACATCAAAGAGTTTAATGATACAATTTTTCATCCATTTGCTGCAGCACTGGGAAAGGAGGGGCCCCAGGGCCAGGTCAGCTCAGAGCCCCAAACTATTCTTTAGTTCAGGTGTGCACTTAAGGATGAAGTCCTCATTGGCTGAAACCCTCCCTCAGATACTTTTGAGCCCTGGCTCAGGGCTTTTATTTATGACTCCCAAGGTCAGGATATTTCTTTAAGCTGGGTTCACCTTTTGTCCCCAGAGCAATAAACCTTTCCTTTGGCTGTTGGGGAGACTTGGACAGATCTTTCCTTGAACCATGATGGAAGGAAGGACCATCTGCGTTGGTGGATGAGCCTAAGAGAGAAATGGTGGTGTGATGTTTAGAGCCCATTTTGCATCATCTCTCCATCCATCAGATCCAAGCTCAATCATGAGTTCCCAGAGGAAGGCTTCCCACATCTCCCAGGTGAATCAGACCCCCAGTCTATACTGTCCCAATACTTTTCACAGCTTGTATGTATGTTGCTGTGATGATTTGACTAATGCCACCTCTACCTCGGACTGGGACTCTCCAAGGGTAGTGTGCAGGAACTTGGCAACGTTCCCATTCCCATCCACTGCTGAGAACTTTGTTTCCCAGAATCTTTTTCTCTGTAGGGTTCCAGGTTAGAGTTGGCTGATGAGAGGAACCTGCAGATGCTTTAGATGGCAAAGCAGAAGCAATTATTCTCATGATGGTCCTGTTATGGGAGCTCCTCTCCTGGAGTCCTCACTTTGGGACCTCACTTTGGCCCCTAAATGTAGTGGCTTCTTAGACTTTCCCGTGAGCTCTGGCTCCTCTAGCTATTCCAGCATTTGGGGCTGAAATCTTATGGGACTATTACTCTGATCCTCCAGCCCTTTTCCTTCTACCCCTCTATTTTCCCAGCTCCTTGCATATGTGTGTAAGTGCTAATCCCCATATTAAACCCTTTATTCCTGTCGCACCCCTGTCAAGTCCATTTTCCTGACAGGATTTCAGACTGACACAGTAATGGAAATGTCTTTTCCTTTTCTTGCATTCCTCATGGCCAAGTGCATAATGGAGTGTATAATCAAATATGTTGCCTTTAATTGATACCTTCTTCTGGCTGGTTAACTCCTACATGTCCTTTAAAACTCACCTCCTCCAAGAAGCCCTCCTTCATTCCAAGTGTGGGTCAAAGGCACCTCCTCTGGGATCCTGTAATCAGAGCACATATGGTGCTAGATGACAAGCATGTGTTCACTTGCCTATCTGCTGCAGTAGATGATGAGTTCCTTAAGGCTAAGAATGAATCTGAGTGGTCCCTGTTTTGTTACTTTTAGAGGCCTGACCCTCAAAGTAGAGGTTTATGGATGGAATTAATTATTCATTTACCTGTCCTTCACTGTTGGGTATAAGGACAATATGTATGGGCTACTGTACCACCCCTTCACATCCAACCTCTTAGTTGATCCACACGATAAATCCACAGACTGGGCAGGTGGTGGCTTCCCTGGGAGGACAATGACACAGCACGAGGGTTGCCCATCTGGAGGAGACACTCAGGTTTGGAAGGGAGCCATCCTTTCCCCATTCAGGGAGTGCTCCACAAACCTAAGCTAGACAAGCTTTGGAACAAGCATCAGGCAAATAAAAAGAGGAACAATAATAAATTATATATTTGGAGCTAATATAGTGTTAATCAGGCAAATTGGATATTAAAGAAGCAAATGGCATCTACAGTTGTAAAAAGCTCAAATTTAACATTAAAACTGGTGCTTGAAATGTTTAAAAATGACAGATCATTTGGATCACTAGAGCCACCATTTATTTAATCAACTCTCTATTTTCTAAAATGGGCTAGAGATTAATTTATATCCCTTTGTAACTGTGATAAAGACACACGTCACTTGCTATGGATACACTTTAAGGAACAGATTCATTCCCATAAGGCTAGCCTTGAAGCAAATTTCTCTAAAGTGAATTAGATTTTCTCATTGATTTACATGATTAAATTAAGGATGTGTCCTCATGGGAAAAGTTGACCAATAAATGGAATTAAATTTTTTTTGTAATGCAAGAATGGGGTAGGGGAGCACTTGCAGAATATTATGGGTGCGGTGGTCCATTACTAGCACCATTCCTTCCGGGAGCTATTGTTCTCTCCCCACCATTGACTTGCTTTGTGGCATCATTTTTCGCAACATATAAGGCACTTTCTTTTCCAAACTTTATAAATAGGGGGGGAGTCAGGCAGAAAGGGTGGCCAATATTTACTGAGTCCTTATTCTAAGCTGGTTCCTAAAGGAGAAACTTTTAAATTCTCACAACTACCTTCTGAAGGAGGTATTTTTATCCTTATTTTAAGGACAGAGAACTTGAGGCTCAGAGACACGAAGCCACTTGCCCAAGGTCCCGGTGCTGAGTCTGTCTGACTCCAAGGCCTACGCTTAGTGAGCTTCATTATCAGGATGGAAAGCGATGGTAAAAATAATCCAAAGCCTCAGATAAAGAAAAGATTGACTTTGTTTCTCTTTTGGATGAGATCATGTTCCTATACTGAAATATAGAAATGTCAATTGCCTATGAATTCTCTCAAAATAAAACAAAGATGTTGCTTTGTGGGTGCTTGGTCCTGCTGGCATGGTGGCTGCCTGCTTTGTACCTCCCCGTTTCCGCCTCTAAGTTGGTGACAAGTGCTTCGGTCTTTGTGACTCATACCACATACTGGCTCATGTCTCTGGGGAAGCAAGGGGACACGGGTTGGGCAGGAGGAAGCAGAAGTGCTGCGATTTCATCCAGGTTCTGTCTCTCTCATTAGCTGTGTGATCTTGGCTAAGTCCCTTTTCCTCACAGAGCCTCAGTTTCCCATCTGTTTTTTTTTTTTTTTTTTTTTTTGGAGACAGAGTCTCTTTCTGTTGCTCAGGCTGGAGTGCAGTGGGGTATGATTTTGGCTCACTGCAACCTCCACCTCCTGGGTTCAAGCAATTCTCGTGCCTCAGCCTCCTGAGTGGCTGGGATTACAGGTGTGTGCCACCATGTCTGGCTAACTTTTGTATTTTTTTGTAGAGACGGGGTTTCACCATGTTGGCCAGGCTGGTCTTGAACTCCTGACTTCAAGTGATCTGCCTGCCTCGGTCTCCCAAAGTGCTGGGATTACAGGCATGAGCTGCCCACTGCACCCAGCTGTCGATTTCCCATCTGTTGAATAAAGTGGCTACACTGGAGATGCTCTTTGAGGCCACTTCTCCCTCAGATCTGATTCTCTTGGCTTCTTTGATTTCTCTCTGACTACTCTCAGTGTTCACATGAAACCAAGAATTGACCATAAGTATGGAAAAAATTGATTGGCCATCTTGTGTATTTAACAACTGGCATTTAAACTGAGAGATATTTCAGGTTAAAGAATGCTATTTGCAAACATAAAAATATCATAAAAGTCAAATATATGCAACCCATACACACACCAGCATCAAATCAAGTACACAAACAGAAGTTGAGTTGCATCATTATAAACTCCTGATTGAGAACAAAGCTGCAGCAGTTTCGAAGGCAGTTTTCAAATAAAAATTGATTTTCTTCATGCCTCTCCTATGATTAAAATGAGAGAGGATGATGGCTTTTAAGTGAAGTAGGTTCTTTAGAAACATGAGTTTTGATGTTTAAGCTCATATTAAAATTTCTGAATCTAATGCATCAATGACAAATGTGAATTGGTCTAGAAGACCCCAGAGATAGAGGCAGAGCCTTAAATTTCATATTGTATAAAATTAGTTGATAAAATGCTTTTCTGTATTTCAATCAAGCTTCATGACCTTATCAGGTAGGTAATGTAGTTCCCATTCTACAGATGAGGTGAGGCTCCCAAAGGAAAAGGGACTTCTCTAGGATTAAAAAGCTGGTAATTGGCAAACCTGAGACTTGACTCAAGGGCTTCTGAATCCAAATTCAATATTCTTTCAAATGAAACAATTATTTGTCTGACAATTTTTTTTTTTTAAATTTTCTATTTCCATAGGTTTTTGGGAAACAGGTGGTATTTGGTTATATGAGTAAGTTCTTTAGTGGTGATTTGTGAGATTTTGGTGCACTCATCACCCGAGCAGTATACACTGAACCCAATGTGTAGTCTTTTATCCCTCACCCCCTTCCCACTCTTTCCCCTCAAGTCCCCAGAGTCCATTATATCATTATTATGCCTTTGCATCCTCATAGCTTAGCTGTCACTTATGAGTGAGAACATACAACGTTTGGTTTCCATTCCTGAATTACTTTGCTTAGCATAATAGTCTCCAATCCTAACCAGATTGCTGTGAATGCCATTAATTCATTCCCTTTTTATGGCTGAGTAGTATTCCATCGTATGTATATACCACAGTTTCTTTATCCATTCATTGATTGATGGGCATTTGGGCTTATTTGTCTAGCAAAGTTTTATTGAGTGCCTAGTACATGCTAGGTTTTTATCTTAGATTCCAGATGATAGACAGAGGTGCCACTTTTGGTAAGTTCACACAACTATTTTCAACAACTAAGTCCATTCTTGCTATCCAATATGCTCCACCGTCCTCAAATTTCTTATAAGCCACCATTGGGAGTTGGGGCTTCATATCAGAAAATGAGTGGCCATGTCTACGGTTCTGCTTTGGGAAGACCACTCTGGGCAGTGTGGAGGGGGAGCTTGGGAAAGGAGAGGAACATACAGAGGCCAGGAAGCTGGAGGGATGCTGTCTCAATAATCCAGGTGGGATATCAATTAAGGTGGAGAACAGGGAGAGGACTCATGACTATTCCCAAGTTCAACTCAATGAGACTTGCCGATGCATTTGATGGGAGGAGAGGCAAAATTTGAGGTGACTGTCAGCTGTAGGGGGTTTGAATAGGCTTAGTAAATAGCAACTTCCTCCTGCCCAAGTTTTTAACCAACTGGAAAATAAA
Organism: Homo sapiens; assembly: GCF_000001405.40. NCBI lineage: Eukaryota > Metazoa > Chordata > Mammalia > Primates > Hominidae > Homo > Homo sapiens. The sequence continues at coordinate 120,171,849 of NC_000009.12, read as the reverse complement.
GCAAGGGGTGAGCAACATAGAAAGAAAAATAGCACTTTTATTACAACTATAACAGAGGCAGGAGAATGTGGCTTACATCTCAGCCACGGGTGCTTCCTTATACTGAACCTTAGAATCCGGAAGACCTCTTTATCTTGCAGCATGGATGGGACGGTTTGTCCCTGGAGGCCACTTGCTTCCAAGAGAAAGGAGAGAGGAGTCTGTACTCATAAGCTTTGTGCCCCAGGGCGGGCGTGAGTTACGGGTGGAGAGATGCTGGGCTTCTTTCTCATAGCAGCAAACATTGGGAGTGGGAAAAGTTTGGGTTTCTGATTTGTGCCATTTATTTAGGTGGCAAACACAGAATGGGGGAGATTTGGGGAGAAGTTGATGAGCTTGGTTCTGTGTTTGTGAGGATCTCGTGTATCACCCAGTGGAGACGGCTGGCAGATGGCTAGCTGGCTCTGTAGAGTCCAAAGCTCAGGAGAGATTGATATAGAAACTGTCAACAGATAATAGTGATTGGAATCATGGTAATAAACGAGGGTAGCCAGGGTGAGGGATGACTTTCTTGAAAAACAGGAGAAGGCAGAGGGCAGAATGTGAATGAGAAGAAAAAAAAAACAGCCTTCGAAGGATACCGAGAAAATGTAGATAAAAGATAAAAGAAAAATAGGAGGGCATGGGATCAACAAAGGCAAAGAAAAAGAATGTTTTTGGAAGGGGAAAGAACAGAGCAGTAGGCTTCGATCCTAAATAACTTGGATTTGACATGTATTTCTGTCATTTTTTTGCTATGTGATATCGAGTTAGGTACTTAATAAATGGTAGCTATGAAAATAATGGTGACGATGATGATGAAGATTGAAGAAAGTGGTTGCAAGTGTTGCAAGAAGACAGGAAGATCAAGCTGGACAAGGTCCAAAAAAGTAGAAGAGAATAGTTTACGCCTGTAAAATCTATTTTGAGGAGCAAGTCGAACACTCATGGAACAATTAGATTTTCTCCTCATGACTTCACCTTACACTTTCCTAACACACTTGTTCTAATAAGAAGGTTAAAAAAAACCCCAAAACTAATATTACAGACATGGAGGCGGATGCATATGCAAGGAAGTTATTAAAACTGCCTTGATTTTAATAAATTTACCACCAGGTAGCAATCTCTCAATGTCGCCTCTTTCCAATTTGCATGTGTAACTGGCATCTCGTTAAAACATCATTAAGAAATTGAAAACCAGGAAGACATAAACAGACACAGAGAAGAAAGAGAGGGGCTCGGGGGGAGAGGCTGTGGGTAGCAGAAGAGAGGACTTCTTGCAGGAAACGAAACAACAAACCTAACTTGGTTCTCCAAACCCAACCTGATTAGCAAGTGATGGGAATCAGAGTTTACATAGATACTGTTTGCAAATCGGCAATTAGAAGACTCGTGTGAAATCTTTATTTTCTTGGAATGATTGAAAATTGCAATACAGGATGCTGTCACTTTTCCTCAACTGGATCATCACTTACATGTTTGGGAGAGCTTCTTCCAAGAATGCACATAAGCCTTGGATACACAAGGTGCGTCCTTGGAAGAAGCTCTCCTGAACATGTAAGTGTTGGTCAGGACAAGCCCCATGGTGACTGGGCTCTTGGATTTTGCATGCTCTTCTGTGGCCAGATTAACTTTTATTTACTTATTTTTGTATTGGTGTGTATTTAAGTGTGCATTTTACTATTATAAAAGTAATATGTAGCCACTGCTGAAAAACTAAACAAACAAAAAACTATATGAAAAGACATTGGGCCAAACTAATAATCTTAAGAGGTGATATGGTTTAATGAAAAGAGCTCAAGCTTTGGAGATAGGCAGGGCTGGGTCTGACTCTGGGTTCTGCTGTTTAACTATTGCACACCACGGGACTGAGTTTCCTTATATGTTAAATGGGGAATGTGGTTTTGGGCGGATGAAATGAGAGAGTGTTAATGAAGTGCTGGCATATAGTATTTTGTACTTTGAAGCATTCAATATATGGTTGTTACTATTTTAAATGATCTTCCTTTTCTTCCTTCTAGAAAACTATTTTAAACGATCTTCCTTTTCTTCCTTCTAGAAATCACTCCACCTCCTTAAAATTCTTTACTGGCTTTATGAACACTGACAAACACTGGCAAACAAGGCCTTCCATTATCTGGCCCTAACTTATCTGTTTGGTACTTTTCTATATAAGTATCAGAAAGACAGAAATTGTTGTGTGTTTACATTTTACTGGTCTGTGTAGGCTAATGATTGAAACAACCCAGACATTTCAGGGGCTTAGCCTGGAATTAAAGCTTGTTTCTTTTTCATGCCACAGTACAGCATGGGATGGGGGTTGCTCTGCTCCATACAGTCATCCAGGCACCCAGGCTCCTCCCACTTTGTAGCTCTGCTCTTCTCTAGGTCCATGGACTCTCTCACCATTTACCCGCAGAAATAGATAACGGCAAAGATGCAGACACTCTTTACTGCCTGGGCCAGATGGTGCCACACTTATCACTTCTGTCACATTCTATTAATGAAAAATAGACCCATGGCCCCATCAAGATGCGAAGGCAAACTGAGGACTATAGTTTGTCTGTGAGCTCTGAAAATGGTGAGAATTTGGAGATGGGGGGTAGTTCTCCCAGTCTCTGATCCATGTGTGGCTGCAACATATAGAGGTCCAATCAATCTGGAAAAGACTCTAATTGGCTTGTCTTGAGTCATGCATGTAGCCTCCTGCACAAGAGTTTCCAGGTACTCAGAAAGACATCTCCCAACCTCAGCCACATGACTCAAGTGAGAGAGGATCCATTTCTTGGAAGAAGGAGGAAAACCATGCTGAGCAGACCGACGTAGCTGCTGACCACTACAACTAAAGTGTCCAACACCCAGCTGGGTGGCCTGAGGGATGGACATGTGTGATGGAGAGGACAGAATCCTCACTCTCAACATGCTTGCACCTACCAAACCATTAGGGAATAATTCTGGCTGGGGTTGAATCAAATGCTAGATGATAGGGATTATATCAATAATGCAAAGTTAATTCAAAGAAAAAAGAAATGGGAGTGCAAATGGAGCAGCCACAGTGTGGCAGAAAAAGGATTATTTGTTTAGGTAGGAGACCATCTCTGTGTGACTTTGGGCAAGATGACCAGCTGGGAAACTTTGGTCTCTTTCATTGTTAAAATAAGGGATAATTCTATCCCCACACAGCATGCCTGAAGGTGTAAGAGAGATAATGTACAGTCATGTGCTGCATAATGACATTTCAGTCAAGGATGGACCACATATACAATGGTGGTCTCATAAGATTATAATACCACACTTCTACTGTATCTTTTCTATGTTTAGATATGTTTAGTTACATGAATATTCATCATTGCATTACAATTGCTAACAGTATTCAGTACAGTACCATATCATACAGGTTTTTAATCTGCAGCAATAGGCTGTACCTGACACATTTGTCAGGATGTATCCCCGTCCTTAAGTGATACATGACTTCACATGAAAAATGCAGAAGAAAAAAGTTTAATTTGATAATCGTTAGTATTCAACAAAGACTTCAAGGAGACATAGAATTTATGGAGTTTGGGTGGGTCAAAGTTACAGGGTGGGTATGCAGAGAAGAGGGGTGCTGAGGGCATCCCCAGCCGGGGTAACAGTGGAGGCAGTGGTCTGGAAGTGGGACTAAGCCTGTCGTGTTGGGACAGTGGAAGAGATTCCTTGCATGGATCTCAGCCTACAGAGCTAAATTTTCCCCTCCTTTGGCTCCCCAAGTCCTTCTCACGATCAGAATTTGGAACCCAGGCCAGGTGGTTCTGCCTGTGTTTAACAATTCTCCATCTTTCCATGGGCAGCTGGCCAGACCAGTTTCTGAGGGCGATTTATAAACCACAGACAGGGCTGCTGCCCACCTGGAGATCCAGTGTAAAAATTTGACTTAGTGAGTCCCTGTTTTTCTGGCTTTACACACACACACACACACACACACACACACACACACACGCACACACACACACACACACACAGGTACACTGCAGATCGCACAGACCCAGGTTAATGACCTTCATATAAAAGGCTCCTATCTCTCCTCCTGGTGCTGGGGGCAGCATCTCCTGAACTCGGACCCTTGATGTGTGAAAGCTAACTGGGGCCAAATGGCTCTACAATATGTATCCAGCTGATGGGAGAGGAAGGCTGCCTTCAGAGTCTTGTCCCAGAGCTTCTTGCAGGTGTCTATTCCATTCACTTGCTGCCCTGGAAGTATGTATAACAACATTTCCATTTCACCAAGGAACATAGCACATAGTGAGGCCCAGAGCCCTGAGATGACTTGTTTGAAATCATGCAGATATATGTGTGGATTCTTGTAGAGTGCCTTCTACACACCAGACACACACTATATGTTGCCTCTGACCCTCACAAAGGTGCTGCAAGATAGAGGTTTTATTCCCATTTTACTTATGAAGAAAATGAGGCTCAGAGAGAAGGAGATTTCCACAAGATCACGCAGTAAGTAAAAAAGACAAAGCTGGGATTTGAGATGAGATCTTTCCATTATAACCAGGAAACACTAGGGATAGTGGCGTTTAGCAGCAAAAGTTCATTGCACACTTGTTCTGAGCCAGGCTTTATGCTGAGTGCCTTTATATACAAGACCTCATTTAATTCTTGCAACTATCCCAGGAGATTAGAATGACTGTTACTGTGGCCATTTCACAGATGTGGAAACTGAGGCCTGGTCACTTGAGTTAAGCAACTTGCCCAAGGTTCTCCAGAGGAAAGTTGGGGTGTCAGGCTTTGAACTTAGGCTTTCTGACTCTGAGTTCCTCTTGCACAACCACTGCATTAAACTGCCTTGTTAAGGGTAATCCTTACATTTCTTTAATTTTATGTGTACTCTTATGTGTCCTAGACATAGGTATAGGAGGATAAGGGACTACTATTAGTTTAGTGCAAAAGTAGTTGCGGTTTTTGCCATTACTTTTAATGGCATTACTTTTAATGGCAAAAACCGCAACTACTTTTGCAGCAGACTTTTAAAGAGCACCTAGTCTTTTCAGTGCTCTATGTAAGTTACTTCAGTAACCCTCACGATGACTCTACATGGTGGGAACTCCTGCTATGTCTGTTCCTGAGATGAGAAAACCAAGGCTCAGAGATGCAGGGTGACTTGGCCAAGGTCACAGGGTGTGACCAAAGAGATCTTTGGTCCCAATAACCAAGAAGCCTGCAATTTCCTTGAAATGGCTGGGGATAAACATTTATCCATTTATTGGTTTAGGTCAGTATGTGGCAAGAACCTGAAGTGTTCCATGCTGCAACAAATTAGGAACACGGATGAAAAGGATTAAGGAGCACCCAGCTAGCTGGTAAAGCAGTGTTTCTGTTTGTCTGTTGAAGGTGTTTACAGAAGAGATGAGCATCTGTAATCTCTTGGTAGACTCAGTAAAGAAAATCTGCCCTTGGCTGGGCGTGGCGGCTCACATCTGTAATCCCAGCACTTTGGGAGGTCAAGCCAGGGATCATTTGAGCTCAGGAGTTCGAGAACAGCCTGGCCAAATGGTGAAACCCCCTCTCTACTAAAAATACAAAGATTAGCCAGGGGTGGTGGTGGGCATCTGTAATCCCAGCTACTCAGGAGGCTGAGACAGGAAAATCACTTGAACCTGGGAGTCGGAAGTTGCAATGAGCCGAGATTATGCCACTGCACTCCAGCCTGGGTGACAGAGCGAGACTCTGCCTCAAAAAAAAAAAAAAAAAAAAAAAAATTCTGCCCTCTCCAGTGTGAGTGGGTATCATCCAGTCCATTGATGGCCAGGATAGAACCAAAACGTGCAGGAGGGGAGAATTCACTTTCTCTTGAGCTGGGACTTCCACCTTCTCCTGCCCTCAGACATAGAGACTCCAGGTTCTCAGGTCTCCAGACCCAGACCGATTTATACCACCAGCTTCCTTCAGTCTCCCGCTTGCAGACTGGCATGTTGTGGGACTTCTTGGCCTCCATAATTGCATGAGCAAATCCCCATAATAAATTCCCTGTTATTTATCTATCTGTATATATCGTATTGGTTCTGTTTCTCTGGAGAACCCTGACTAACACACAGGGCAAGGGTTCAAAATCAGATATATCTGCTGTCAAGGGCGTTTTCTCTAGTGTACATTACTGCCCATCCATGTTTTCCATCCATGTTCCTAATTTGTTTCAGGATAAGACTCTTCAGGTTCTTACTGTATATTGACTGAACCAACAAATGGATAAATGCTTCTACCCTACCACCTCAAGGAGATTCCAGGCTTCTTGATGTTTCTTTGCTTGTATTGCCCTAGGCTAAGAGCCCCATGAGATCAAACAGGGAGACATTTCTGTTTAAATCTTGCCATTCATTGAGCACACAGCCTGTGTCAGGTATTGGCTTAAGCACTCTAAATACTTTAATCCACCCATGACTTCAAGGTAGGCATTGTTATTCCTGGGCTCAGAGGGGATGGGTGGGTTGCTCAGGGTCACCCAGCTCATGAGGGGAAGTGCTGTGATTGGAACCCAGACCTCCCGCTACTAGGTCCAGGCCGGTTTCCATTGCATCACTGCCTTTGGCGTGGTGGAGGTTTATAAAAAGAAAGAGCTGGTACCAGAGTAAAAGCATATTGACTGCCCTACAAGTTAGAAAAAAAATGTATATGTAACTTTATTTGACTCCAAACACTTTACTCTCTTTCCTTTTTCTTTTCCCCTCTTTAATGTATTTGGAATTAGAGATAAGCTTGAAAGATGCCAGCAGGGCCTGCTAAAAGCCTGCAAAAATGACAAGGAAGATTACACAGCTGGAAAAAACTGTTTCAACATTTCTTGTGACATAAAAAAGCAAAGCCTGAAACAACAAAAAAACCTACACGTAAGAGACGAGAACATCTGTGAAAAACCAGTGGGTGAAAATCACAGGAATCCCGGCTTTAAATCCATATAAAGAAGACCTCCAGCAGCCAGAGTCATCCAACAGCAAGACAGGCTTCTGGAGAGAGAGTGAGGTCCCAGTTCCTAAAAGTATACAAGGGCTGCTTACCAGGTACTGAAGGGGCAGGGTAGGAGATGACTCAAACATCTAAGGACTTGACTAGGTCACCCCATGAAATTAATTCCAACTTCACCCTATTGTCTATACTAGAGGCTTACCATGACCATTTCTACTGATTGGGCATATATATATATATAGGGCATACATATATATACATTTTTTTTTTTTTTGAGACGGAGTCTCGCTCTGTCACCCAGGCTGGAGTGCGGTGGCGTGATCTCGGCTCATTGCAAGCTCCGCCTCCCGGGTTCACGCCGTTCTCCTGCCTCAGCCTCCCGAGTAGCTGGGACTAGAGGTGCCCGCCACCACGCCTGGCTAATTTTTTGTATTTTTTTTTGTAGTAGAGACGGGGTTTCACCGTGTTGGCCAGGATGGTCTTGATCTCCTGAGCTCATGATCCGCCCGTCTCGGCCTCCCAAAGTGCTGGGATTACAGGCGTGAGCCATCGCGCCCGGCCTGATTGGGCATATTTTAAGTGCCAAGCACTGGGCTAAGCAATTTTCTCATTCAACTCAAATATCAGAGGGCCATGCTTTACTTCTTAAGAGCTAGATAAGATCAATTTGGATCCTTCAGGATTTATAGAAAGTCCAAAACCCTCCTCATGGTTTCTGTATTTCCGGGGCAGTGTGTGTATGTATATATATGGGCATGTGTGTGTGTGTGTGTGTGTGTGTGTGTGTATGTGTGTGTATGTTTCATGGGGAGGGGTTCACTCAAGGGCATCTCTAGCTCTGAGTTTCTGTTTCCACTGAGTCAGTTCACTTTCTGGAAGGACTTTCTGCACATGTTCCTGTTTCAAGATTTGGAACTCAGTCTTATTACTTGATTTCCACAAAGAATCACTGATGGGCCTGTAATGGACTGTTCAAAAGGTTTGCAGCCACAGAGATGACTTAAGTTTACTGTCACACTGGTCTTTAAGGTAAAAAAAAGAGAGATGGTTGAAGCTGTGGTGATGAAAGCAGCAAGGGATATCAGCCACCCCAGTTCTTAAAGGAGCTTTTTCACTGCCCTACTCTTGGGCATTCTGTACTGGCCATCCCACCTTACATAGAGTCTGGTCATCTCCTCAGCTCTCTGGCTTCTTTCTTCCCTTCTCTCTTTCCTCCCTTCCCTGTCAAACAACCAGCCAATGCACCATCCAATTCACAGACTAACCAGTCACCCAGCCAGCCAACAAATCAACCAACTACCCAGCCAGCCAATCATAAGTCTATCATTATTTATTTATTTACCTATTTTTAGTTGCCAAGGTTGGATTTGAACTCCTGGGCTCAAGTGCTCCTCCTGCCTCAGCCTCCCGAGTAGCTGGGACTGCAGAATTGTGCCACCATGCCTGGCTCTTGACATCATTTAAAAAGAAAAAGTCACCACATGACATGCCATATCAAACCTGAAAACAAAACAAAACAAAACATACAGAAAGGAAGGAAGGAGAGAAGGAAGGAAACAAAAGAGAATGAGCGGCCTCTTCTTTACTAATGCAGAGCAATTCTGTATTCCCTTGGCCCTGAATTCCAGACCTGCCTTCTGGTTTCCTTCCACCCAAATAGTTTATCAAGGTGTTTTCCAAAACTCACACCCACATTTACTTTGAACTTTCTGCCTCAATTCCAGGCACCGTCCGGCACTTCAGGTTTGCCATCTGCAAAATCTTCTTTAATCCTTGTAATGACCCTGTGACATATGGAAAACTATTATCCTCATCTTCCATGTGAGGAAACTGAAGCTGGGAGGGAAGAAGTCACACCTCCAAGGTACACGGCTGGTGAGGGGCAGAGCCAGGAGTGGGACTGGGACAGGTTGTCCCACACTCATAAGTCTGAAAAATCAGAGCCCCCTTCTTACCTCCTGAAATCTGGTGCTATTATTAACACGTCTTATTTTTTGACTCCACCAAGCAAACATTATCTCATTTTCTCCTTAGAGCAGCCCTGGAGGTAGATATATTCATCCCTACTTCACAGTTCCAGAAAACCAGTGTTTAGCAAGGTGGCTTGCCCAGGGTCCCAACCCCTCTGAGGTAGTGTAACCAGGGATTTGAATCCATGGTGTCCTGCAATTGTAAAATTCTGCACTTAACCTCACTATGCATGCCTCCTGGATATAGACTTGAATGAAATACAGAGATACAGAGAAGTGGGCATCTAGCGATATTCACAATGATCAATTCTGTAACAGGACTTCTTGGAGCCTAAATATCACAGAGCAGGCACGGCCAGCTCTGCCGCCAAGGGGAGGCCCCACAGAGGAAGAGACCCGGAGCAAGGTTCAGAATGGTGATTTAAGTAGCTTACTACACAAACACACCTGTGAGCAGAGAAGGGCATTCCAGGCAGAGTGGACCTCCTAGGGAATGACAGCCTCACACAACAGTTGTGCCTTTGTGGGGAGATACAAGCAGGTTGAAAAGACTGGCTTCTCTGTAAGAAAGGGAAGTGGTACAAACTGAGGTCAAAGAGGGCAGCAGGGACCAGCTCTGGAAAGGCCTTGAATGCCAGGCCAAGGGGTTAGACTTGACCCTCAGTGTTGATGGGGAGCCATGGGAGACTTCTAAGCAGGGGAAGGATGTGGTTGCTTTAAGCAGGGTGCCAGGGCTGCTGTGGGCACCACACACACGCAGGCACGCACCTTCCCTTTCTCAACCACATTCATCTTCTTTTCAGGAACGGGTACTGAGGTTTTAATGAACTCATTACTCATTCCACTGTCAGGTGAGTCCAGTTGCAGTGGGAGGGTGGGCAGAGGGCTCTTCCCGCTGAGGCCATGCTGCTGCGATCTCATCAGCAGCCGCCTAGCCCTGTCCCTGGCAGAAGCTCACCCAACCTGTTCTGCCATGACCCTCCCCTCCCACCTCCTCCCAATCCCACGCTTTGCTGCCTCCTGAACTTGCCAACATCCATTTCAATGGGCTTGATTGGAATCATGTCTCCCTGGAACTAACTACCATCTGTCTCCCTACACCATTGTCTCAGTGGGTGCCTCTGCATCTCTATTTCATGGCTGGGTGTGGGAAGCTTCTGTTTGTACCCTGGACAAGCAGTCTGTCTCTCTGTGTATCTGTCTTCTTTGCACCCATACCTCCAGCCTGGGCCTACCCATCCAGTATCTCCTCCTTCCCCTTCCCTTCTCCTTTCCACCCTGGACTTTTGGCCTGACTTGCTCTTTCTTTTCTTACCTTGAACTTGTCTGAATGTCTGTCTGCTTTTCTGTCTCTTCACACACTAGTCCCTCTGATTGTTCACCTCTTTCACTCTCTACCTCTCTGCCTTTGCCAGGCATTCTCTGGAAACAGACTGCTCCAAGTCTATTCAATAGAAGGGTATATGGTTTTGCAAATTCCCAACCATGTGTATTAGACTCGAGTAATCTGTGGAAGGGACTTCAAGTGAGAAAGGAACTTGTCTTTCCCGCTTATCACTATGAAGGCAGAGATGAGGCCACTAGGGACGTAAGCATGGGGCACTCCATTGTTCCAGATACCAGGCACCTCCTTTTCTTCCTCTCATCCTAAACCACATGGCCCTTACCTACGCAGGAGCCACAAGCCAATCTGGTGTTCCAAGTTAGATTGTAAGCAGCCAGAGGGCAAGGAAAACCCTCTGTGTCGTGGGATCATGGGCTTCCAAGGGTGAAAAGACCCCTTGAGATTCAACTGTTACCGATTTTCTTTTTCCCAGATGAGAAGTTTGAGGCTGAGAAAAAGGCATGAGTTTAACGACTGGCTTAAGGTCATTCATGAAGAGTCAGCCTAGATCCCAGGCCTAGTGACCTGCAGATGAGGGTTCTTAAGCCCAAAGAAGCACATGGCATGTGAAGTTCCTGTGCAGGGCTTCAGGGCACAGGGTAGGCAATGGTCTTCTGGTTTGCATGTAGCCCGACTTTACACCTCTATGGTAACACAAATGGACCATAGCAACTCTCTTCCTTCAGTATTTATGGCATAATGTTTACCAGAATTTATGTTTTTCTTCCTTAGTGCAGGGTTGTTTCTAGGGAATGGCTACCCAATCAAAAACTACATTTCCCAGCACCCCTTGCATCTACGGGGGAATATGTAATTAGTTCTTGACATTGGATTGTGAGTGGAAGCAATGTGTGTCATGTCTAGACGAAAGTGTTTAAGAGGAGGTTGTGCCTGATCCACACACTCATTTTCCTTTTTCATGAGCCAGATGCAGAGGACTCCAAGGCCCTAAGGGATGGCAGAGCCACAAGACAGAAGGAGCCTGGGTCACTGAATCACACAGAGAGCTACCTGCCAACCAGAAGCACCCACATTGACCTGTTACCTGGGCAGGAAGGGATTTATTTGTTATAGAAGCTGGCATCTCCCTAGAAAAATACAGTGTTGGCCATAGGTTATATACTTATAGGGACTCACCAAATTTGCTTCCTAAGGTATAGTCATTCTCATTCACCTGTCTTTGGTGAAGAGGCCCTGTCCTGGAATCTTCTAAATTGCCAAATTTCAGAAAACAAGTACAGGGTAGAGGTGAGACTGACCCATCACTGCCTGATCATGGCTCACACAGCTCTCTGGGCCCTCCTGGCTGCCTTGAGTTCTCACCTATCCCTCCAACTTTCCCTTTCTCATTACTTTGCCCCACCAGTAGTCTTTTTAAAAATTTATTTTTTATTATTTATTTAATAATAATTATTAATTTTTATTTTTAAAATTGCTGTGTTAGGCTGTTTGTGTTGCTATAAAGGAATATCTGAGGCTGGGAAATTTATAAAGAAAAGAGGTATAATTGGCTTATGGTTCTGTAGGCTGTATGGGAAGTATGTTGCTGGCATTTGCTTTTGATGAGGGCCTCAGGAAGCTCACAATCATGGCAGAAGATGAAAGGGGAGTAGGCAGTCACACGGCAAGAGAGGTATTGAGTGAGAGAGCAAGAGAGAGAGAGAGAGAGAGAGAAATAGAAAGAGGAGGCCCACACACTTTTAAACAACCAGATTTTGTGTGAACTCAGAGCAAGAGCTCACTCATCACCAAAGGGATGACCCAAGCCATTCATGAGGGATCCACTCCCATGATCCAAATACCTCCCACTTAGGATCCACTTCCAACACTGGGGATTACATTTCAACCTGACATTTTTAGGGGACAGATATCCAAACCCTATCAATTGACAGATAAAAATTGTATATATTTATGTCAGATAACATGTTGTTTTGAAATAGGTATATGTTGTGGGATGACTAAACTAAGCAAACCTTTGGTCTTTTATTCTGTTCTTCAAACACATTAGGCATACTCCTACCTTACAGCCTCTATACTTGCTACGGTCTCTTGGATTGCTCCAACCCTAGATCTTCTAAGCCTGTCTTTTTTCTTGTTAACCAAATTCTATTTCAGACACCCCCTCTTCAGTGAAGTCTTCTCTGACCACCCAGTCAAATGCAGTTGACTCCAACTCGCCATCAACTGTCGTCCAACCTCTATCACAGCTTCATGGTTTACATCTTTAATGGCCTTTGCCACTACTTAAAATTATCTTGACCATTTACCTGCTCACTCAGTTATCATCACCACATACCTCCCTTTAGTCTCTGCTTCATTTAAGGAAACAGATGCTCAGGAGTGTAGTGTAACTCACCAGAAGTCACATCACCACTAAGTAGTCATCCCAAGATTTGAACAGGTCTGACAGATTCTGCAAACGATGGTTTCTTCTTTACTACGCTGTTCTCTAGACACAGCAATAACTAGAGGGTTGCACTTGTTTTATCAGGACATAACTTGAATCATGAATCCTAAGGCATGGTGGTATAGGGGAAAGAGTATGAATTATTGGGTTGGCAAGCCTAGATTCATGGCCTGGCATTGACATTTTCCAGTATTAAACATCTCTGCATTTTTTCTCTCAAAACAGAATTAACATTCTTACCTCAAAGAGGTAACATACATTACGTTCAAAGAGGTAATATGACGACTGAAGGAGATAATGTATGGAGCAGGTAACCCAAGGCCTGCACACAGTGAGTCCTCAGGCATGCACTTCATTTCTTTTCTAACAAAGATATCAACATTTTTCCTGAGCATTCTACCTTCATCAGTGGAAAGAGAAAATTGTAAATTTGAGTAAAACCACAAAAGATTCTAAAGAGTGGCTGATTTATTTCTAACTTCATTCCCAGGCTTTTTTGGGAAGTTAAAATCCAAGTCAGACTCCTAGACCTCATCCCAGTTACTGTGCTGAAAGCAAACAGACTTTAGGATTAAAAATTTTCCCCTCATTTTACCCTCTACAAAGCACAAATGTCACGGACAAGGGGCAAGCTCATTATAGCTAGGTTTCTATCTGCCTAGTCCAGATGCATGTGCTAAAATATGAGGCCAGTTCCAATGGCCAACATCCAGGACCATGTGCACTGTGACTAATGTATGTAAAACACACACAGGGCTCCTCTTTCCCAGCATCTGGACCCCAAAGCAAAAGTTAGCTACAGAGAAATTTCAGACAGTCTCTCCAAAGTCTTCATTGCTTTTCAAGTTTGGAGGCAGTGAATCTGGCTTAAAGCAAAAAAGCCCTTAGTTGGGACTGGGATTTTTTTTTTTTTTTTTATATGGATGTTACTATCCTGATGGTGTTCACTGGCCCCTGGCTATAAAGTTCACATTTTCTGTATCAGTCAGGACAGCCTAGGTTGTATACTGATAACAAATAACTCCGATTTCTTAGGGGCTTAAAACAACAAGGGTTTATTTGTTGTTCATGCTACAGGTATAGTGCAGCTTGCCAGGTGATCCACGCTTACTATAACCACTCAGGGTCCTAGGCCAATGGAAGAGCCACCATTGCAAACTTTGCCAGTTGTTGGGCCTGGAGAAGAAGAAGGATCTCACACTGATAATTAACTATTCAGCCAAGAAGTGACATCTGGCCCTTACACTCCCAACACATCTGCCAGAGCTGGCCACATGGCTCCATCAACCACAAGGGGAGCAGAACTTGCAAACCCACTATGTGCCCAGAAATGGGGGAACCAGAAATATTTGTGCACAGCATCTTATTTCTGTTCCTCATGCTTCCTGGATGGGTTACCAAGTCTAGGTGATTCAAGTCTCATCCCCTTTGCTCCATGGCTATGATCCCTACTTGAGCTCAGACTTCACAACAGTTAGGCTTGTCCACTAACTATTGCATCCACCCCAATCTTGTCTCTTTGCTACTCTTCACCTTGTATTTCATCCTTGGCTTCTCAGTCAGAGTGATCACCCAGACCTCCCAATCCACCAGGTCATTCTCTTCCAGATAACAAAGCTTGGGGCCCTCTGACACCATCTTTCCTGCAACCCAGCCTAGATTCGTAGAGAGAGGAAGATAAAAGATATGTTTGTTTGTTTCTAGGAAAAGTCCTTTCAGGACCCCTCTGAAGCTGTGATTCTAGGGCTTTATTATTATTCTCATCCATGAAGCTGCAGACACATACCTCCTGCAGGGGGTCCGACTCAGACACTTAATTAGCAAAGAAAATTAAACCCCAGGGAACTGGGTTCCACAGTTGCAGACATCTTCTTGTGTGACCTGCTGCTCGGCTGGTAGGAGGGACGTGAGGTGTCTGGGCCTCAGTGTTGGAGCATGCTGGACCCTTCACAACCCACTGGCCTTACCTTGCCTGGCTGCCTTGCCCCCAGGGATGTCTTCCAGGCCCTCCTGCATATTCCACCTACTTTCCCTTGGGGGATGTTATTATTCTCTCCCAACAGATGAACATCAAAAGGCAAAATCCCCAATTCAGTCCATCCAAATAAATGATAACCCTCCCTCCTATGAGCACAGGCCTGCCCCATTGCCAAAGCATGTTCACTGACAGTGGCTCACTGCATTTTTTCAGCAACACCATGAGGTGGATTTAATCACCATCCACATTGGTAGGTGTAGAAATGGAGGCTTAGGGTGGCCAAGTCGCCAGTCAGTGAGCTGCACAGTGGGAGCTGGAATCCTGGCCTTTGGGTTCTCCCGGGGTAACTTTCTGCTCCACTGGTTGGAGCAGAGACTCTGGATTGCACCTCCCATAGAACTAGATGTTTAGAGAGCCACACTCAGACTCAGTTTCCCCGAGCCTTCCTGGCTTGGCCTGGAGCTGTGGCCAGACTCAGAACCACAGGCCAGGAGATAATCAGGCTGTTCCCTTTCTGCTCCCATCAGCAACAATGGGCCAATTAAGACAATTACTGCCGGTTTATATAACAGGAAATAGGGATCACCGTGCTCAACTCGCTGAAAATCTCCTATAAAAGTGCTAATAATGCATTAATGTATTAATCCCCTTAATCCTGTCAAATTACCACAGAAGCGCTTTGTGGAGCTGACAGTGGCTCTCCCGGTCCCTGCGGTGGGCACCACTGTCTGTGAGGCTCAGGGCACTCCTCTCCGGCCACCCTTTGCCCCCTCAACACTCCTCAGGAAGCTCTCAGGAGCTGCAAGGACAGGATGGCAACTGAGGACTTTTGGCAGGAGATAAATATTGATTCTTTTAAAGACAGACGATGATGCATTAAACAAAGATTCTTTCTTGATTCTTTCTCAGCAAGGAGAGACTCAGCTCTGGGCAGCTGACTCTATCGCTTGCTCTGTGGTCTTGGGCTGCTTTTCTAGGTTCTCTGAGTCTCCAATTCCTCATTTGTAAGACGTAATAATAGCTCATTGCAGTGTTGTTGGAAGATTCTAAAGCTGCAGGCAAATGCCTGACATATGAAGGTATTCCATAAATCTGCTGTCCTTTTTCCAGCTGTAAAATGGGAATAAGAATTCCCACCATGAGGGTTAAATAAAATCGCGTGCCTCAATTTCCTGACAGACAGTTGGGCTAACAGACACAGTAGTTCTTTCCCTTCTCACCCTTGTTTGTTGTTTTTGTTTGATTAAAATTCTGCCTGACTTTCAAGAGAGCTTAGGAACAAAGACTGTGATGCTCAATGAGTTGTTCAGATATTTCATTTGTTCTAAAGCAGGTCATATATTTTCTGAGTCTCACTCTTCAAGGTGGAGAGAATTTCCTACCCAGGTCAGCCTACATGGGGTCGTCCTATTCTTCCTTACAGGCATGTTAGAATGATTGGGGAGGAGGGTGCTGGGATGGGTCCTGGACACCTACAAGTGGGGAAGAGGCTTCAGTCTCTGACTGCCTCTAAGGTACTGGGGTAGTTTTGGTGTTGGGATGCTGTGGTCAGCCTGTTCTTGCTCTCTGGTGGTCCTTGAGGCTCCCAGAAGGCCCTTCAGGGCCTTGCAGGTGCCTCTCAGTGGATGGTGGGCGATACCACAGAGACCCCCTACTACCTTTGAGGCCTCAGTCCTAGTGGCCACCTCCACAGGCATCCAACAATTTCCCCTGTTGGAGACCATGTGGATATCTGTAGGCAGGGCTCTGCCATTCTTTGGAGTTGGAATTTGGAAGGGAAGAATCCATACCCCCATCCCTATTGCCCATTCAGTTTTGGGGAGCTCCTCTCTCTCTCAGAGTCAGTCAGAGTCTTCTGTTTCCTCCATTTCCAGCAAGTGTTGGGGTTGATAAGGGAGAAGAACTGAGGGTTATTACCTTCCAAGTGATTTTGGTTTCATGCGCTAAAATATAGACACTCTTAAAAATATCCTCTGGCAATGGCATTCAGAAACAGAAAGCTAGGGTTTGACTGTTTATTGGGATGGGGACAAGGGGAAAAGGTCTTTCTTTCTTTCTTTCTTTCTTTCTTTCTTTCTTTCTTTCTTTCTTTCTTTCTTTCTTTCTTTCTTTCTTCCCTCCTTCCTTCCTCCCTCCCTCCCTCCCTCCGTCCCATCCTTCCTTCCTTCCTTCCTTCCTAGAGTAGTGTGAGAGTTTTAAAGTATGTCCACAAATTTGTTGATACTACTCCCTCCAACAGGTGAAGCCTAAGTCTCCTCCCCTTGAATGTGAGCTGAACTTAATGACTTGATTATAATGAAGAGAATGTGACAGAAGCAGTGGTGTGTGATGGTGCAGATCATGAAAAGTATTTGACTTTCTCCTTGCTCTCTCTGAAGCACTCACTCTGTGGGGGAGGCCAGCTTTCATGTCATGAGGACACTCAAGTAGCCCTCTGGAGAGGCTCTCATGGTGAGGAACTAAGGCGTTCTACCAATAACCATGCAGTGTGCCATCTTGGAAGCAGATCTTCCAGCACCAGTCCAACCTTCAGATGACTGCAGCCCAGGCCAACATCTTGACTGCAACTTCAAGAAAGACCCCAAGCCATAACCACTCAGCTAAGCCATTTCCAATTCCTGATTCTCAAAACCTGTATGAGATAATAAAATTGTTTGTTGTTGTTTTAACCCACTAAGTTTTGAGAATAACATACTATGTAGCAGTAGGTAATTAACATAATTAACAGTAAAAACAAAACACAAATTGGTATTTCAATAAGTAACCCTGAAGGGCCTCTTGGGAGCCTCAAGGACCACCCAACAGCAAGACCAGGCTGACCACAGCATCAATAAGCATCAATGTGTATGTATGTGAGCCTGCAAAAATGGTAGACTGTGTTCACTTATTTAGCATCTATTTATTAAAGACCCATAGCCAGGCATAGGGTAGGTGAAGATGGGTGCATTACAGACCCAGTGTCTAGGAGGCTCAGTTTAGAGGGAATAGGCAGAACAATATAGAACATTGATGGACTAGAGAACCCAGATGGCTATGACAGCCAAGGAAAAGGGGCCCATGAGCCAAACTAGCTTTGTGTCAAGGGAAGGTGTCTTCGTGGTGATGACAGCTATTCTGAGACTCCAAGGATGAGTAGGAATCAGCTGGGTGAAGATGAAGCATGGGGAAGAGTGCACCAGCCAGAGAGAACTGCTCATGCAAAGGCCCTGTGTGAGTGGGAGTTCATTACCTTCCGGAGTATAAATTGGTTAAGGTGTAGTCAAAGCTTAGGAGCGTGGGAGTGTGTGTGTGTGTGTGTGTGTGTGTGTGTGTGTATGTGCACACATGCATGTGTGTTTACATGCTTGCATATGTGTATGGAGGGGAGAAAGGGAGGCATAGAGGACTGTGACGAGATAAAGCAGGAGGAAGAAGAGAAATACAAATTCAAATCTTTGCCTACCTTGTCGTAGGTATGTGATTTTGGACAGGTCACGTCACCTCTCTGAGCTTTATAGCTCCTTCTTTCTAAAATGAGAATCCATTCAATAATACATTTAACAAAGATCTTACTACATCCAGGTTCTGGGCTAAGTCTAGGAGTACAATGATGTTAACCAGAACAGCAATTCTTACTCCCCAGGAGCATAGAGCTGAGGGTGGTCCAAGTGTGTGTCATATCCTTGATCTGTGCCAGCTCTTTGGCCAGCATTCTTCTGGGGCTATGTCTTCTTCCTCTTCTCATCTCCAAGGCCTAGCACAGACTATTGAGGGTATTGTTAATATGGCTGAGCATTACCTAATAGCTACACTTTGAATTCAGAAGGACTCTTGCCCAAGATAATAGACCTGGGACTTGAACCCAGCAACCAGGCTTGGGTCTGGTTACTAAGTCTTAGGCTCCGACATCAGACTTCTTGGCTTTTAATCTCTCCTTCAGCATTTGCCAGTCAGATGACTTTAGGCCAGTTGACTGTTCATCTCTGTGAGCCTCGGTTTCTTTATATAAAAAATGGGAATATTATAATAAAATCTCTGCTAGTGGGTTTCTGCAAGGATTAAGTACCATAACGAGTTCTTAGATATTTGGTAACTGCTTAGTAGTTGGAAACAATCTTTGTGACTGTTTGTTAGCAGGAGAACTTGGTGGATATAGCATTCTGGTTACATGCTGGGACTCTGGAGCCTGGTTGCTGGGTTCAAGTCTCAATTCCGTTACTTAACAGCTCTATTATCTTGGGCAAGAGTTTAATTTCTTGCTGCCTCTCCCTTTCTTCTTATGCAAATTGGGAATAATAGGGGAACCTACCTTAAAAGTTTGCTGTACTTGTTAAACAAACTAGTATATGTGGAGTGCTCAGAATACTGCCTGGCACTCAGCAAGGGCTACGTAAGTGTAAGCTAATATTTTTTATGATGCTACCTTATTCTTTGCAGTTTGCAAGAGGGTGTTGTGCAGGCATCAGCAGGAGAAATCAGCCATGTTGTTGAGGGAGCAGAATGGAGGCTGTTTATCAAGCTTAGAGGATAGCAGCACAAACAAAGAGCCCCTTGGGTAGAGTGATCTAACCCGTAGAGTGATCTAAGCTATGCCACACCCAACCCACTCTAAAGCCACCCCTCCTGTTGTCCAGGAGACCCAGAATGCACTGCGGCACAGAACCAATCCCACTCCCCCTGCCTGCAGCACTGTCCCCTCTGCCCAGCAACAGGGACTCAGGGATGTGTGTGTTGGCTTAGCAGGACTTGGGGGTTAGCCAGGGAGGGCGGAAGGCAGACACTCTCTCTCCTGCCCCCTGCCATCAGCAGGCTTGAGGACTCAGACAAGCCCTCAGCTTAATTGGCAAATGGATTCTCCAAGGGTAATTTCGTTGATGCGCGCCGTGGGAGGGTCTGCAGGCCTTAATGACCAGCTCTGCCTGCTAAATGTGTTTACCAAAAAATAAGGTTATTGATTCCACAGATATTCTGTTTGGCCCTCACCATCAGCCTATTAACGCGAGTTTTATGTAACAGGACAAATAGATCACAGTGTAAAGTCTTTTGAAAATCCCCTGTGAATGCTGTAATAATGCTTTAATGTATTAATCCCCTTAATCCTGTCAAACTTCCAAAAGAATTTCAGGACGTGCTGACAGAATATCTCGCTCCCAGCCCTGGCAGCTACAGCTCCACACGGCGGCTGCTGCTTTTAACCTTTTGTGAATGGGCCGAGGAGAGGCGGCTGTGTTCGTAATGGCTACAGGGTTATGAGCTGATGTTTGAGGGTGTGGGAATAGATGGAAGAGGCACCGATGCCGGCTCAGGAAAAGGAAAGACAGCCTAAAGAAAGTGGTAGCCCCCAGGGCCTTATAGCACGGAGCTGGCTATGATAAACTTGGGAGGCAATGGTGCCTGTCATGCACTGATCTCTTCATTCCTCCCTTTCATCTCTCCCTGTTTCTGTCTCTCTGTCGCTCTCTTTCTCTGCTGGGCACCGAGCTAAGCACTTTACCTGTGTTGTTTCATTTAATCTCCACAACAGCCCCGTGAGGTAGACACTGCTATTCTCTGCACGTTATACAAGTGACTGGTTTGTCTGGATTGCTGGCAGGTGGCAGAGATGGGGCTCAAAGCTTGGTCTGACCCCGAAGTCCAAGCTGCCTTCTTTCTCCTAGGCTGGGGCTCAGCAAACTTTTTCTGTCAAGGGCCAAGGAGTAAATAGTTTTGGCTCCTTGTGCCATATAGTCTCTGTTATAAGCATTCAGCTCTGTCACTCAGCATGAAAACAGCCATGCTTCAGAATACAAAAGCACATGGGTGTGGCCGTGTTCCAATAAAACTTTATTTGTCGAAACAAGGGATGGGTTGAATTTGGCCTGCAGGCTGTAGCCTCCCACTTCTGTAATAACAGATAATGGGGGCCAGTGGGATTCCTGCAATGGTTTTGTTGGATGGTGAGTCTGAGACCTTGGGGGGATAAACTTCCAGGGTGGCATCTGCAGGGAGGTGCTGGACATCTGCCTCACTGCAGGGGCCTTCATCTTGTGATGCTGGAGAGACCAGCTGAAACCCAAATGATGGCTGGACTGAAGGCCTGCTCTCTCTTGGACTCTGGGTTGAGGGGGCTAGGACCTGGTTTGGGGTAGCTGGGGTGCAGGCTGCCTGGCCGTGTGGTCCTGATAAAGTCCTTTCCCTTCTCTGGGCCTCAGTTCCCTCATCAGTGCCATGAAACAGTGGACTTTGCTGCTCTTCAGAGTCCCTCCAGGTCTGGAAGCCTGCATCTGAGCAGCCGGCCCCCAACCTTAGGTATTTGCAATACAAGGGGGCACTGCTTGACCTCGTGCACTGAGAAGTCTCTGAAGGATGGACCTGACTTTGTTTCTCCAGAATGCTTTATATCAACAACTGAAATAAGGACCATCAACAGCAACTGAACACTCCCCACTTCAGTTCCCCCAGTTGCCCAGGCTGGGAAGCTGTGCTCAGTCCTTGATATCGTCCCGCTATTCATACTCAGGCACCAGTCGTTAGAATCTATCCTGAATCCTTCCCCACTGCCAGAGCCAGATGGAGGGAGGGGGACGCTCCAGCCCATACTTGGAGATGGCAGAAACCTCCTGGGTCCAGACTCCATCAGCACTCAGCTAGATCACTCTACATGAAGACCAGCCTGCCTCCTCAAGTCGGATCCTATCACCCTCCTTTTAAAATACTTCAGGGGTGCTCAGGATAAAGTCCTAATTTCTACGAATGGTCCCCCAGGTTTCTCTTGTCTTCTGGCCCCTTTCCTTGAGATATCACATTTTTCCCACTCAAGTGTGCATTCCATTCACCCACACTGAGTCTCCTGGGTTCTTTTACTATCTCCAGGGAGAGATCACGTCTGTGTGGCAGGAACCTCCCCTCCTTTTTTGCCTGGTTAACTCCTGATCATGCTATATGTCCTTTTTCTAAGGAGCCTTTCCTCATCCTGCACTTGGGGGAGGTACTGCTGCTCTCTGATCTCATGGCCCCACCATGAGAAGGAGGAGACCTTATCAGCTGGCTTTGCAGTCATGTCTCTGAGCTTGTGGGTCTCCCCAGCCAGACTGTGAGCTCCCCCAGGTCAAGGGCAGGTACTAGCCTATCTCCCCACCAACCAGTAACATGTGCGGGATGTAGTAAGTGCTCAATGAATATTGGTGGAATGCTGGATAAAGGTGGGTACCACGCCAGTACATGCAGCATCTCCCATACTCACTCTGGACTTTGAGAAGTCTCTTTTGGATAGAAGGTGAAATTGGATTTCACATTGCATCATCAACTCAAGGTCACACAGCCTAAAAGGGCGAAAAGAGACAGAATCTGAGTCTGGGTCGGTCTGCCTCTATGCCCATGTTCTTCCCACCTTTTCTATGTATCCTGCTACTTTTCAACAGTTTGCCCAGGTGGTACTACTATCCCCATCTTATTACTGGATATTTGGCTGGGCGCGGTGGCTCATGCCTGTAATCCCAGCCCTTTGGGAGGCTGAGTCGAGCGGATCACTTGAGGACAGCAGTTTGAGACCAGCCTGGCCAACATGGTGAAACCCTGTCTCTACTAAAAAAATACAAACAAATTAGCTCGCCGTGGTGGCAGGTTCCTGTAATCCTACTTACTCAGGAGGCTGAGGCAGGAGATTCACTTGAACCTGGGAGGCAGAGGTTGCGGTGAGCTGAGATTGTGCCACTGCAGTCCAGCCTGGGTGACAGAGAGATTCCATCTCAAAAAAAAAAAAAAAAAAAAGCCGATCACCGGATATTTTGCAGCTAGGAACCAAGGCTCAGAGAAGTGGCATGACTTGAAAGCTGAAAGCCACACAACTAGAAAGTTGCAGAGCCAGGAATTGAACTACACCCTCTGCCTTTCCTTTTTCTGCTAAACTACGTTGTCAGCCACAGTTCCTAGGGCCAGGCTCTGCTCTGAGCGGGCACCCAGATGGTCTTATTGACATCCTGATTTCCAAAGTGCATTTCCAGCCCGGGGTAGTGCCATCTCCCCCCACTGCTGCCCCTGAGAAGAGGAGGCGTTAGGGTTAGAAGGGAAAAAATGCATCTTTAGAATATATCGTGAATGATAGAGTTCTTCAGGTGATGCCACCAATTTCCCATGGGAAAAAGCCAGTTTGCCCATGATGGTTTTTTCCTTCTCTCTCGTGAAGCTCAGGACACAAAGGCAAACTGCACGGGGAGGCCAGGTCTCAAACAACCCAGGCAGGCCTTTCCTCCCAAACAAATGGACGCTCTAACCTCTCAGCCTCTGCAGATGCCAAAGGTGGCGTTGCTGACTCTGCTTTCTCTTCATTATGAAGGCGTCAGGTTAAAAACCAGCCACAGGCCTGCTAGGTATGAAATTTTCCTGGGAGGCAGTCAGGTTATGGATTCAATCCTAAAAAGCAGGCTGAGCCCCTTTATTAGTTTGTTAAAGCTGCTGTAACTCAGTTGGTACCACAACCCAGCCACAAACCGAGTGGCTTAAACAACAGAACTGTGTTGCCTCATGGTTCTGGAGGCTGGAAGTCTGAGATCAAGATGTTATCAGGGTTGTTTTCTCCTGAAGGCTGTGAGGAAGAATCTTTTCTGTGCCTGTCCCCTAGCTTCTGGTGGTTTGCTGGCAATCTTTGCCATTTCTTGGCTTGTAGAAGCATCACCCTGATCCCTCTCTTCATCTTCACATGGCATTCTCCGTCTGTGTGTGTGTGTGTGTGTGTGTGTGTGTGTGTGTGTGTGTGTGTCCAAATATCTCCTTTTATAAGGACATCAGTCATATTAGATTTGGGGCCCACCCTGCTCCAGTACGATCTCATCTTAGCTAACTACATCTGCAATGACTCTATTTCTGAACAAGGTCACATTTTGAAGTACTGAGAGTTAGGGCTTCGACATATAAATTTTGGGGGTACAGAGTTCAACTCATAATAACCACAGACATATGTCCCTCCTGGATTACTGCAAATGCCCCTTAATAGGCTGTGTCTTACCATGCTTAAATCCATCCTTCTATAGCTCCCAACTTTTTTTAAAACACAGATTTAATAAATCCCTCTTTCTTTTCATCATTTCGTCCATTATTCCTTTTCTTTTTCCTTTTATCATGGACCAGGCATTGACTGGACAGAAAGTCCAAAAGGAAACAAGATACGTACATCTCATTGGATCTTACAGTGTCAGCAGCACCAGCACGAAACACACAACGACAGCAGTCCATGATCAGACAGGATCATTGGAGCTAATTCAGGGGAAGATCTAGGAAGGGCTTCCTGAATAAATGATGCTTCTTTGAGTCTGTGAGATGACGAGGAATTATCCAGGTGAGGAGACGGGGAAAAGTATTCCGACCAGAGGGAACAGCACATGCAAAGACCTAGAGAGAAAGCGGCACCATTGGTTTATAGAAAGTAGCTCAGTGAGGTTCCCTGTTGCTTATAGGATAAAAATGGAACTCCTGAGTATGACATTCAAGGCCCTACAAGTTCTGCTCCAGGTTCACCTCTGGCCACTTCCTGACATCCCACCATACCACAGTCACACTGGATTCTGTGAAGTTCCTGCATTGTGTCACACTCTCTCCTGCATCAATGAAGCGTGACCTGGTTTATTTTATGATGTGTCCATCCCAGGACACAAAAATGAAGAGAATGCATCAATTCCTGATCTCAAGTTGCTCCCAGCTTAGTTGAGAAATGCATCATTTCCAGCCTCCAAATGGTATAGTAGATACCTCTCATAAGGTAGATACTCCATAATTTTTGCTGAGTGAGAAAATGAATGATTATGATGAAACAAAGAGCTGGGGAAGACTGGAAGGTGGAGTCGCCTGCCAATAATTCTGCATGAGGAGTTGGAGCATTCCAGGCAATGGGAATAGTGCGAACTAAAGCCAGAAAGTATTAGGGCACAAGGCATACTCGGGGAACATTGGGAAATTAGTGTGGCTGGCATGCTGGCCATGTGTATGTGTAGGGGGTAGGCAGGGGGTGGAGGAGCAGATGGAAGGACATGGGAACAAAGGGACCATAGGGCCTAGTAAGGGCTAATGAATGCCAGGCTGAAGCATTCACATTTTTGCTGTCAATAAGGAGCCATTGAAATAGTTTGATGTGGTTGGACCTTGTGTTTCAGGAAGACTGGCCTATGGACATGCAGTGGTCACAGAGGTCAAGTTGAGTGGAAATGTGCTATAGAGTTACAACAGTGGTCCAGGCCCTGGAGATGGTAGTGGAGATGCAGTCCTCAGATGGTTGTGAAAAATAATGTGACTGATGTCAGTGCACACAGAGGAGGATTCAGGTGCTTCAGGGGTTTCTAGCCTGAGCCTGGTGGACAGGGTGAGCCATTAGTTGAGAAAAGGAACAGAGACCTCATGAGAGCATCATAGTGGTTAGCATTACAGAGCCTTATCTGTGCGTCAGGCTCTGTGCTCAATGCCCCACGTGCATTACTGTATTCAGTCTTCACAATTTTCTCCTACACTAGGGGATCCCCAGAGAAGTGGATCTTACTGAGCCCATTGTGCAGATGGATAACTGAGGCCCAGAGAGGTTAAGCAACGTGCCTATGTTACCGCAGTTAGTGGATGGTAGATCCTCGACGGGATTCCAGGCCCCAGTTCAAAGTCCTCCACAGGGAGCTGGGCCACCGTGGGGCCATCCAGGGCCTGAAGGCTGTTGTGTGTGTGTAGCATATAATACCCTTCAGAATCAGGTCTCAAATGGGAGTCAATGATTAGAGTCAAGAGAGATGAAGTTAGTGAAAAGAATGAGGACCTCTTATCAGATGTTAGGAGAGCCTCACCCTGGGTCAGGTGAGAACAGAAAACAGGCTTTCAACTACAGCTGCAATGAGGCCAAGTGCAGCTCCACAAGAAGATAAAAGCCAGAGGCATGGGTCCATGAGTGCTCAGCATCACCAGAGAAAACTGAGACCCAGGCAGGTTAAGGGTTCTGCTTAGCATCACGTAGCTAGAACATGGCAAAAGGTAGCTTCAAATTCAGGGCTGTTTGACCTGTAAGCCTGTTCTCTGGAGCTCCGTGTTCTCTTAGCACATCTCTGATGACTGAAGAATCTCTTAAAGGAGCCACATCAGGCCCTTTAGTATAGGGGAAAATCTCCAGGCAGACCCTGGCAGTCTGTGACGGAGGGCTCCTCTGTTACAAGCACAGGTGCCCCAGCTCCAGCACCTTCAAGCTCCAGGTGCACTTTCTTACTCTGAGCCCCCTCTTGGGTCCCAGTCTAGCCTCTATGCTGTGTCCCAGGCTCCCCACTCCACCCCTGGCCAACCTCCCCTGCACACGTGCTGCAGGCTGTTGCCCTGGCGTCCACTTATACACACATACACACACACACACAGACACACATACACACACATTTCTTTTAATCTCTCTGCCTAGATCAATTTCTCCATTCCCCTGATCATCTTTTCTTGTTCACTTTTGAACTCCCTCCAATTTGTCTGCTTTGGCCTGGTAATGAGGTGCCCCTGAAACAAAATGCAATATTCTGCATATGACTTCATCGGGGTCGTATAGATTTTCTTGCTAACTATCTCTTCTGACTCTGGGTGACACACTTAGTGCAACAACTCTATTAGTGATTGGACTCTTATAAACATGCTGTTACAAGTCACAAAATGATAGAGTGTACAGCCACATAGACATTAGAATCTGTTCTGGTCCATATCTAGCTCCTCTGTCTTGCACTTTCCACCTCAGTTACTTGGAGCTTTTTCACTCCATGCTTTTACCTGTGATGTTCCCTTGGCCAGAGATGTCCTTCTCTTACCTCTCCTTTCCACCAATGCACATAGAAAATGCTTATGCCATCTCTAAGACTGAGCTCAATGTTTTCACCTCCTCTGAGAAGCCTGCCCTGGTTGCTCAGGCAGAATGCAGATGCTCATCCCCTGTGCTCTTTGTATGTTGGTACATAACTCTGATGTCAGAGTGAACACTCTAAACTCTTATTGTATAGTTGTCTGCCTCTCCAGGGAGGCTGCCAGTGCCTTGGGGAGCAAGGCCCACATGGTTTTCTTCAGGATTATTGATTCTTCAAGAACATGGAAAGGTAAAGTAGTTGTTAGACTGTGCAGTGGAATTTTCCCATGGAATACAGTTTTTCAATCATGTGTGTATACATGCATGCATTTGTTTGTCCTGTTCTCAAAGACTCTTTGAGTGCTGTCTACATGCTAGACACTATGCTTGGTGCTGGGGACCCAGTGGCTAGCAAAACAGACATGATCTCTGCCCTGGGGCTCCAGTCTAATGGGTAGACAGATGTTAATCAAATAAATGTACTAATAATACAGTTGCAGACCATGGAAAGGCAAAGTATAATAATCTACAAAAAGGAATTCTGATGTGGCCTGGGTCTTTCAATAAAGTTTTCCTTGAGGAAGTCTCCTTCGAGTGAAACATGAAGGGTGAGCAGATGCTAAGTTGTTGAAGATGGTAGGGAGCCTGGGAAAGAGCATTTCAGTGAGTGGGAACACCATGTGTTAAGGCTCTGTATCAAAGTACATAGTGTATTAAAAGACCTGAAAGCATTTCAGTTTACCTGGAGCTCAGAGTGGTGAGAACCAGACTGAAGAGGTGTGCACAGAGGAGTCCTGCAGTGCAGCAAAAAGATTGTTTTTCTTTTAAGCCCAGTGGATAAATATTGAAGGGGTTTAAGCAGGACAGTAGTAAAGATGATCATATGGGCAATCTGCAAAGCCACTCTGGTTGGAGCATGGACAACACGTTGGGGAAGCAGGTGTGGATCTCAGGAGGTCAGTTCTGAGGCTTTGGAAAATGCCAGATGGTGCTAACTTAGACTTGGGTGGTGACAGTGAAAATGTTGAGAAACGGATGGATCAAAGGAGGTAAAATCGACAGGTCTTGTGATGGACTGCATGTTGTGGAGTGAGGGAGGGGTTTCAAGATACCTCACAGACCTCTGGCTTATAGCATTGGCAGAAGGTGGCAGTATGGCATAGTAGTTATGTGTACAGGCTCTGAGACAACTCTTACCACTTACTAGATGGATGATCTTGGGCAAGGCACTTATTCCCTTTATGAAAAAAATTGAGCCATTTCTAATACCTGCGCCATAGGCACGTGACATGGATTAAATGAGTTGGCATAGGTTGGTAGTTGGAGCACTGTCTGGAATATAATTAACACTTAGTCATTATTATTTTTATAGTGATATCCCTCAATGGATAAAGACATCAAAATAACCAATATTTCTTAATCAGATGGCATACTGGACTTTGAACATGTTATGTTGTGTCATTAAGATATCCCAACAGAAACCTGGAGTAGGCACCTAGAGATATAGGTCTGTTTCTTGGAGGAGGAGGCTGAAACTGGAACTTTAACTTAGGAGTCATCATTTTCTTTCCTTGGAGTACAAGAAGGAACAAGTTACACTATCCATGTTTATGGTTCAGGATTGGCATGCTTTTGGCTTAGAATATCTGTTGAATGAGGCAACCTTGTACTGGTCAGCATATTATGGGCAAAGTGATGTTTGAATTTCTACTAATAATCAAACTGTCTTTCCCCAAGTAAGAGGAACAAGTCAATAGTAGATGGTCTTGACTTTGGGTATAAGAGCCTTGGGACCTTGTCTGGAAGAAGCTTGTCTTGTTCTGATGGACAGAGCTGTGGGACAGGTGGTGGTGTGAGCACCATAAGGGGGCTGCGCCTCAGAGTGTAGGGTTTCATGATACACAGTCTTCTTTATGAGTAGAAACTCAACGCAACTCTGCATTTTTCCACACAAGAACAAGTCAAGCAACCCAAATGGGGCCAGCAGACATATGGGGACAGAGAAAAGCAATGGTTCAGGAGAATAAAATGAGCATCGTAAAAAGAGCTCCCTGTCTCACAAGGTTACCCAATCCAATTTCAAAGCACTGCAGTTGTTAGAAATGTCTTCCCTTGTTGAACGGAACATGACATCTTATAACTTTGATCCTCTTGGTTAAACCCTTTGGAGCCACACAATCTTGGTCTGCTCTTTCCCAAGAAAACCCTTCAGTGATTTGAAGTCAGTGGCTAGATTTTTGCCAGCATTTTTTTTTCCTTGATTTTAACAGGATGTGACTATGGGGTCTTGAGCTGTCTTGGCCACTCTCAACTGCATGAATTATAGTTGTTCAGTCTGTTACAAAATGTGGATCGCAGAATGAACCCAACACTCCAGTTGTAAGGATTTGAGTGGGGAAAGAGAGAGTGATGAATAGAAAGAGATAGAGAGAGAGACAGATAGAGAGAGATTGATTAAGAATAAAGATAATGAATAAAATTATGGACAAAGAGATCAATAGATAGATGGTAAAGATGGTTTCTAGTGATACTCAGAGCATGATTGATGCATCGGAAAATTGACTCCAGGCAAGGGTCTTCACAAAGAAATAAATAGATTCTTTACATTTTATTTTTATTGTAATTCTTACTAGAGGGTTTGTCCTGTAGAAAGGTGAAATCTTCTCCAACCAAAATATCTGCTTTGCTACATGCCAATCAGAGATAGCAAATGTATTTTCTGTATGCTGTTCTTCTGTATTTCTCTGCTCACGGCTGATATCACGAATCCATTATGATACCCTTCTCGGCCTAGCCTGGATGTAGACTCTGAATCTTTCCTAATGTAACACTCCAGATAGTCATGGCCAATGGATCTATAGTGGTGTGTGTCTTGTTAATTATTGCTATGGCAATAGTGCTGCATAATAAACAGCTATGAAACCTCAGTCATATATAAGATATTATTGCTTGTGTGCCAGGATGGTTGGAGCTTGGCTGGTCTTGGTTGGACTTGGTTGGCACTGGTTGGACTCTGTCAGGCATCTGTGGCTGACTGGGGGCTCTGCTCTAGCTGGGCTGGGCTGAGTCATCTTAGCTGTCGCAGTTCTTTTTTTTTTTTGAGACAGAATCTTGCTCTGTCACCCAGGCTGGAGTGCAGTGGCATGATCTCGGCTCACTGCAAGCTCCGCCTCCCAGGTTCATGCCATTCTCCTGCCTCAGCCTCCCGAGTAGCTGGAACTACAGGTGCCCACCACCACGCCCGGCTAATTTTTTGTATTTTTTAGTAGAGACGAGGTTTCACCGTGTTAGCCAGGATGGTCTCGATCTCCTGACCTTGTGATCCACCTGCCTTGGCCTCCCAAAGTGCTGGGATTACAGGCGTGAGCCACCATGCCCAGCCTTCTGCTTGTAGGATCTCTCATCCACCTTGTGGGACCAGTGGGCTTGTCTGTGTATGTTCTCATGGGAGTGGCAGAAGCCCAAGAATGAGCAAAAAACATGCAAGTCTTCTTGTGGCCTAAGCTTGTACCTGGCCCACCCTTACATCAACTGCTTTCTAATAAATTCATACAACTGGGCCCAAATTCAAGAGGTGGAAAGTAGACTCTACCTGTTCAGCGAGAGGAGTTTCAAATTTGCATATCAGAGTGTGTGGATATAGAGGGGGTGAAAAATTGGGACTCTTAACACAGTCTGTTGTGATGTGTAAGATGAATCTAAACTGCTGTGTGCTATGTGCTAATTACATGGCTTATTTATCTGTATTAATATATATTAATATATCTGCTCTAGAATGGCAGACTGCACACCATGCTTTCAAGGTGGGCAAGGGTCAAAGTCAAAATACAAATTCCCTCTGCTTAGCTCCTGATAACTCAGCTCAATTCAACAGGGGTCAATAAGATTTCATTCCATAAAGACAGGTGAGGCCTAACACACAAGTAACCTCATGGGAGCAGGCGGGCACTATGGAGTTAACCATGACTCACTGCCACCACCACCACCACCATCATCATCATCATCACCATCCTTATCCTTGCTGCAATTTATGGAGAACTTACTCTATGCCAGGTGCTTCACCTCCAGTGTATCTCATTCTATAGGATACTCCAGCAAGGCAGGTTTATTTTGTGCATTATTTTGTAAATAAGGACACAAGGGTTCAAGGAAGTGCCATGATACACCCAGGACATTTAATGAAGGGCCCTACCTGAAACAGGCTTGACTGGGTCCCCAAAGAAAGCTCTTCTGATGACCTTCAGCAGATGCTGTCTATGCTTTGCTAACTCCCTTCTCAGGTCCAGAAGGGCTCCTTGCACTACCCTCTGTTCTTCTATGCCTGCCCTGGGTGCTCTACTTCCTTCTCTCCTTGCTTGGGCTTCTCTGGCTTCTCTACTTGCTTTGGGAGAATAGCTTTTCTATTCTCCCAAATCCATACTCTCTAATTCTCTCTCACTGCTAATCAGTGGAGAGGAACCAAAACAATTTCCATTAGGAAATGACATGAGTTATGATGATCAGGGACACTGGTCAGTGTTCTTCACTCCTTTTGAGAGGTTTCCTTAAAGGAGCTTGGACCAAACAACTTTAGAAGAGCTGATATCCTGGTAGTGGACTATGGTGAGATGGGAGGGGGGTACCTTGCTCCTCATGGGGGTTACTCGCTGAGGTGGGAAAAAGGGCAAGGCAGTGCTGTTTAGGTTCCAGTGCACCACAGAGTTTACGGAGCAACTCTTTGGATATTTATTTGTTTTTAGTGAAGCACGGTCCTTCTCTCACCTTAGAATTTAAACATGTACTCAGGGGCTGCTCTGGGCAGACTACAGCCATCAGGGTATATGCACAATCACTCTTCCTCGGGGAAAACTAAGGCTTTGTTTAGTTGAGGATCCTCCTCCTTCTTCCTCTAGGATGAGTCCTCTCCCGGGAGTTTCTCTAGTTTCCAGCCTTGCACGTTGACCTCTCTTCGGTCCTCAAACTCATTTAATTAAGTATACACATCATCCATTCTGGTCTGATAAAGGGCAAATATCAGAGTCAGAGGGGCCCTGAGGTGTCGTTTAGTGTCTGCACAGATGGGGAAACGGAGGCTAAAATATGAATAGGAATTGTTCTCATCTCTTCTCTGACATGGATGCTGAGGAATCACCAACTACAGTTGAAGGCTGATAGGTTCACTATATGGGAGCCAAGAGAAGAGGCTTGGAAAGTTGAAACCAGACTCTGGTTCAGCCTACCCAGAAAGGGGAAGGATGTATTAGAGTTGGCTGCTATGAAATCTGATATGGTTTGGCTGTGTCCCCACTGAAATCTCATCTTGAATTGTAGCTCCCATAATTCCTATGTGTCGTAGGAGGGACCTGGTGAGAGATCATTGAATAATGGGGCAGTTTCCTCCATACTCTTCTCGTGGTAATGAATAAGTCCCATGAGATCTGATGATTTTATAAGGGGTTTCCCCTTTCATTTGGCTCTGTCATTCCCTCTTTGCTGTCACCATGTAAGAAGTGCCTTTCACCTTCTGCCATGATTGTGAGGCCTCCACAGCCATGTGGAACTGTGAGTACATTACACCTCTTTTTCATTATAAATTACCCAGTCCTAGGTATGTCTTTATCAGCATTGTAACAATGGACTAATATAAAATCAATCCTTAGGTCTCAGAGGCTTAATGCAAAAAGTTTATTTCTTGTTTCCAAAAAGCCTAGTGTGGCTTGTGTTAGTCAGGTGGGCTCTCCTGGGCTCTCTCCTTCAAGCAAAATGGATGCCAAAGTGGGTGGATTGCTGTAGCCCAGGAGTTCAAGAACAATCTGGGCAACATAGTGAAACCTTCCCTCTACAAAACATACAAAAGTTAGCTCAATGTGGTGGCATGTGCCTGTAGTCCCAGTACTTGGGAGTCTGAGATGGGAGAATCACCTGAGCCTGGGAGGTTGAGGCTACATTGAGCCATGATCACTCCAGTCTGGGTGACAGAGTAAGACCCTGTCTCAAAAAAAAAAAAAGAGAGAGAAAAAAAAGTAAAGATTCAAGCTTCTTCCAGCTGAGCCTTGGAGTCCTTTATCAGATCATTTGCCTCCAGACAACTGACATTGAGGAGAAACAAAGGAGAGGATTGCTTGGCAGATTTTAGATCTAGGCCTGGAAGAAGTAAGCAAC
Organism: Homo sapiens; assembly: GCF_000001405.40. Classification (NCBI taxonomy): domain Eukaryota; kingdom Metazoa; phylum Chordata; class Mammalia; order Primates; family Hominidae; genus Homo; species Homo sapiens. The sequence continues at coordinate 120,139,212 of NC_000009.12, read as the reverse complement.
AATTCTGCCCACAGCCCATTGGCCAGAGCAAGTCACGTGGTCCCTCCTAAAAGAAAGGAAGCTTGAAAATTATAGTTCAGTAGTGTTCCCAGGAGGAAAAGGAAGAATCAAGTGAGGAATTTTTCTATAGAAGATCTGAAGTAGAAGTTAGGGGACAAGGTGTCAGAGAGTGTGGTGGAATGGATAACTTTAACTAATTTTGCATGCATGTCTTTTGCCATTTGACCTTGCAGTAGTTAGTTTTCAGAGCATATTTCTCTTTCCCAGTAGTTTTGGTCTTGCTCATGTGACTTGCGTTGGCCAATGAAATGCTGGAAGACATTATATGAGCAGAGATTTTAAGTGTTCTTGTGTGATTTAGGATGGTCTCTTGTACTCCTGTAGTTCACTGTGGGAAAGAACATAGCCCGGGTAGCCTCTGGCTCTTGAATAAAGATATAAGGAGCATACTTGAACTTTACCCACAGCCTGGAGTCAAGCCCAGCTGAGCCCAGTGATCCCATATGAAGCCCTGAGAACCTGCAAGGATTGTAAACCACCAGCACCTTGAGGCTGTTTGTTATACAGCATTATTGCCATCATAGCTGACTAACACAGGGTGGCAGAGAGTTTGAATATGAAGACCAGGGAGAGTGGGAAGATGATCTGAGTAGTCTGGAAGTAGTGGCTTACAGCAGCCAAGGCAATGAAACTTTTAAATTCAACATTCCTGGATTCATCCCAGCTTTCCATGTCTACAACTTATGCATTGTGTGGTTTGGGGCAGATTGGTCAAGCTGTCTTTGACCCAACTCTTGTCTTATAAATTGGGTGTAATTATAAAACCAACCTCAAAGGATTGATTTGAGAATGAAATGTGATTATGTAAGCTCAGCAGAGGGCCTGACTGATGCTCCCTTTACTTGAAAATTATCACCTAATTTTTTGCTCTTATTCTCTTGTTTACTCTTTATAATTCATATGAGATAACACTTCCTCATAGAAGCCTCCCTTGACTGCTACTTTCCCACTCCAGAAGAGAACCATTTCTCCTTTATAACATTTATAGTAATTTGAAGTGACATAAAGGTATAATTTTTGGAGGTATTATTAAATGTTTACTCCAAATCTCCTCTACCAGTTTCTACATATTGAGAGAGCTGGGACAATGTCTGTATCTAGCACAGTGCCTAGAACATAGTAGGAGATTAATGAATGGGTAAAAACAAGTACTAATAAATAGCAGTGATTCTGATCACTTTTATCCTACACACCTTCCTTTGCTCTTTGCACTATGTGTTGGGGAATTGGGTTGATTTAAAGGATTTGGGTGAACCATTGGCAGATCTGGGACTGAAATTCAGGTTTCCCTATTTCTAGTCTGGTGGTCTGCCCTGCTCACAGCACCATCTTCCACTGTGCTCTTCCAAAGCCACAACTTACATAGCTGGCTTGGAACCCTGCCTCTCTGCCCGAGATTAACCAGCCTCCCATTTACCCACCAATGGATGGAACACGCTCCCTTTGTGTGCAGCAGTTTAGCTAGCATTTTGCTTTAACTTTTCTATGCATGCTGTCTGGCATCCCCAAATTGGCCTTTGTGGGGAAATCAATAACAGCTCATGCATGCAAGGCACACGTCCCTTCCACAGGACATTAGGCTGGCTATTGAAGTAACTGTGGCTGGAAAGGAGAATTCTATTTATAACTGAGGCAACTGCAGATGAAATGATGCTTTCCTATGTGTATTTGGGTAGATAACACTAATTCTCCCCCTCCTCATGTCTCCAGCTGTTGGCAGTCCTTCTCTCATTTTAGAGCTGTCTGCACCAGTTACTTTCTTTCAGGAATTCTTAGTCATACACACACTGCAAATGAGGAAAGAGGGGGTTACTCTCCTCTTGCACTGCTGTGGTCGAATTCAAAGGTCCAGGTCCCTGATCTGAAGTCAGAGGACCTATATCCTATGAGTCTAAATTTGTCCAGGGCCTCACTGAGCAAGCCAGCACAAGTCAGTTCCGTTTTTTAGGTTGTAGTATTCCCATCTGGAAAACAAACGGATTAAATGTCATGACTATCTCTAACTCCCTCCCTCCCTCCCTGTTGCTGTATCGGCTGTCCCATGTTAACAGTATCCTTAAAGGAGTAATGGGGGAAGAAGAATGAACATCTATGAAGTACCCTCTATGTGTCAAACACTTAACATTCATTATCTCATAGAATACTCACAACAACCTTATGATTTTATTTTTCCATACAAGGAAACAGGCTTAGAGAGGGAAGATGACTCATTTGAAGTCACAGAGCTTGGGAGGATTTGAGACCACATTTTCCCCACCACATTAGGTAAGTTGTTGAGATGTTGAGATGATAGCTGCTAGCCACATGTTAGGTGTTAAATTGTGTCTACCAAAATTGATATGTTGCAGTCTTAACCCCCATTACCTCAGAATATGACCTTATATTGGAGATAGGGACTTTACAAACGTAAACAAATTAACATGAAGCAACTTTGCCACAGGAGCTGAGGTCTGAGTTTAGGGTAATATTCTGGGAAAATCAGGCACAAGGTAGATCAGGCGAGATGCAAAATAATATTAATGAGAACAGAATCTCCTTACTATTTAGTATTGATAGAGTATTTTCTCATTGATTCTTTCAATTTAAACTTCACACATCATTATCCAGGTGAGGAAACAAAGACTTCTAGAAACTAAATGCCTTCTGGAAACTACATAAACATACACAAACAGTTAATGATGAAGTTGGGACTCCAATTCGTGTTTGACTCCATGCCCAGTGTTATTTTCTTAAGTACAGCTCCTAGAGTCACAGAGCTCTTCAAAAGAGGCTTGTGCTACAATGATGATGATAATGATGATGATGATGATGATGGCAGTGCTAACGGTATTGCTAATAATCATGTTGATAATGATGACAATTATGATGTGATAATGATGAAGGTGAAGATGATGGTGTTATTGATAATGACAATGACAATGGTGATAGTGAATCTCACTTGAATCTAGGTCCAGGGTGGCACATGACACATATGAAAGAGTCATCTTTTAGGCAACTTCCTGAATGATCAATAGTCTAGCCTCTATTTACCTTTCCAGTTTTATCTCTTCTCACATTTCCTCACCCTCTGCTCTAGAGGAATTTGCTTGCCCTCTTCAAAACCGTATTTCCAAATCCAGCCTCCAGCCTTTGCTCTTACAAAATCCCTATAAATAATGCGCTTTGTGGCACATTGATCAACAGAGATGCTCTGCGATGAGAAAAAGCTTGCAAGGTCCCACACATTTGGGGAATGCTAAACATTTTGTCCTTCTCTGGGAGAAGCACAGTGTGTGTTAGCATGGGAAAGGTTCTGAGACATCTTGTATTAATGTACCTATTTCACTTTGTCTAATACATATTTCCAAAATCTTTTTTGACTTGAGAACCCCTTTCTTATGTAATTCTTATCTATTGATACCCCAAAGAACAAGTGTTCTTTATAAAACCTTTGGGAAAACAGTACCCCAGCCTTTTTTGTCTCCTTAGCTAATCTTTTAAGACCAACCTCAACCCAAATCATTCAGCAAGTCTTCAGAGATACCTCCATGGGGCTCTCCTCCCACCCAATAACTTGCCTAGAGTCCTTCACTGGACACATATCCTAGACTTTTCCCACCCAAGATGGAGTCGGTGGAGAATATGGAGCCAGGGTCACAGGCTTCATTCACCGAGGCTATCCACAGGCTTTGTATCCACCGAGGCTAAATACAAAGCCAGAGATGGCTGCTGTAAGGGGCATCTTCGACCCTATCCTAGAGTGGGCTGGAAGATGGATAGCAGGGAATGGGAATGAGGAGGAGATATGGATGAACTGGGATACCAATGCTAAAGGTCAGCTTCAACAGAAAAGATACCAGGGCAATGAGGCAGGGACCACAACATGGAGCATTTGGTCACAGATAGAAACCTGTTTGGGTCAAAACTCATGTTCCTCTATCAAGCCCTGATATGGTTTGGCTGTGTCCCCATCCAAATCTCATCTTGAATTGCAACTCCCACAATTCCCACATGCTGTGGGAGGGACCTAGTGGGAGGTGGTTGAATTATAGGGGTGGGTGTTTCCTGTGCTGTTCTTGTGACAGCGAATGAGTCTCATGAGATCTGGTGGTTTTAAAAATGGGAGTTTCCCTGCACAAGCTCTCTCTTTGCCTGCTGCTCTCCATGTAAGAGGTGACTTGCTTCTCCTTGCCTTTTGCCGTGATTGTGAGGCCTCCTAGCCACATGGAACTGTAAGTCCATTAAACCTCTTTTGCTTCCCAGTCTTGGGTATGTCTTTATCAGCAGCATGAAAATGGACTAATACAGTAAACTGGTACCAGTAGAGAGAGTGGGGGCTCTCCTGAAAAGATACCTGAAAATGTGAAAGCGACTTTGGGACTGGGTAATAGGCAGAGGTTGGAACAGCTTGGAGGGCTTAGAAGACAGAAAAATATGGAAATGTTTGGAACTCCATAGAGACCTGTTGAATTGCTTTGACCAAAATGTTGATAATGATATGGACAATGAAATCCAGGCTGAGGTGGTCTTAGATGGAGATGAGGAACTTCTTGGGAACTGGAACAAAGGTGACTCTTGTTATGTTTTACAAAAGAGACTGGCGGGTTTTTGTCCCTGCCCTAGAGACTTGTGGAACTTTGAACTTGAGAGATGATTTAGGATATCTGGCAGAAGACATTTTTAAGCAGCAAGGTATTCAAGAAGTGACTTGGTGCTGTTAAAGCATTTCCATTCAAAAGGGAAACAGAATAAAAGTTTGGAAAATTTGCAGCCTGACAATGCAATGGAAAAGAATATCCAATTTTCTGAGGAGAAAATTCAAGTCAGCTGCAGAAATTTTGCATAAGTAACAAGGAGCCAAATGTTAATCACCAAGACAATGGGGAAAATGTCTCCACTGTCTTCATGGCAGCTCCTCCCATCACAGGCCCAGAGGCCTAGGAGGAAAAAGTGGTTTTGTGGGCCAGGCTGAGGGTCTCCAAGCTGTGTGCAGTCTAGGGACTTGGTGCCCTGCATCCCAGCCACTCCAGCTGTGACTGAAATGAATCAATATAGCACTTGAGCTGTGGATTCAGAGGGTGCAAACCCGAAGCCTTGGGAGCTTCCACGTGGTGTTGAGGCTGCAAGTACACAGAAGTCAAGAATTGATGTTTGGGAACCTCCATTTAGATTTCAGAAGATGTAAGGAAACTCCTAGATCTCCAGGCAGAAGTTTGCTGCAGGGGCAGAGCCCTCATGGAGAACCTCTTCCAGGGCAGTTCAGAAGGGAAATGTGGGTCAGAGCCTCCATGTAGGGTCCCTACTGGGACATCACCTAGTGGAGCTGTGAGAAAAGGGTCACCATCATCCAGACCCCAGAATGGTAGATTCACCAACAGTTTGTACTGTGTGCCTGGAAAAGTCACAGACACTCAATGCCAGCCCATGAAAGCAGGAAGGAGTGGGGCTATACCCTGCAAAGCTACAGGGGCAGAGCTGCCCAAGGCTGTGGGAACCCACCTCCTGTGTCTGTGTGACCTGGATGTGAGACACAGAGTCAAAGGAGATCATTTTGGAGCTTTAAGATTTGACTGCCCTGATGGATTTTGGACTTGCGTGGGACCTGTAGCCCTTTTATTTTGGTCAATTTCTCCCACTTGGAATGGCTGTATTTACCCAATACCTGAACACCTCATTGTATCTAGGAAGTAACTAGCTTGCTTTTGATTTTACAGGCTCATAGTTGGAAGGGACTTGCCTTGTCTCAGATAAGACTTTGGACTGTGGACTTTTGAGTTAATGCTGAAAAGAGCTAAGAGTTTGGGGGACTGTTGAGAAGGCATGACTGGTTTTGAAATGTGAGGACATGAGATTTGGAGGGGCCAGTGGTGGAATGATATGGCTTGGCTGTGTCCTTACCCAAACTTCATCTTGAATTGTAACTCCCACAATTCCCACTGTCACGGGAGAGACCAAGTTAGAGGTGATTGAATTATGGGGGTGGATCTTTCCTGTGCTGTTCTCATGATAGTAAATGAGTCTCACAAGATCTGATGGTTTTAAAAATGGGAGTTTCCCTGTGCAAGCTCTCTCTTCTTTTTGCCTGCTGCCCCATGTAAGACGTGACTTGCTCTTCATTGCCTTCTGCCGTGATTGTGAGGCCTCTCCAGCAATGTGGAACTGTAAGTCCATTAAACCCCTTTTTCTTCCCAGTCTTGGGTATGTCTTTATCAGCGGCATAAAAACAGACTAATGCATGCCCCATACTCCTTTTACTCATTTCTGGCAGCTTCCCCTGGACCAATGATCTACCTTGAAGCTTCAAAACTGACCCAGACTTCAGCAGGAGGAGACAGAATTGGATAATGATTCTCCATTATCCACAATGGTTCATGTCTTTGTATCTTTTAGTATGACACAAAGCTGGATCCATGGGAAATGGTTGGTAAAAAGTCTTGACTTGTTGTTAATAACAGTAATACTAATAATAGTGGATTGCATGCTGAGAATGGATAATGTGACAGGCAGGCACTGTACTCTGTACTCTACATCTATCTTAGAGTTAATTCTTCCAACAGCCCTGTTACATTGTTATTATTATGGTTATGTTTAGATGAGGAAACAGACTCTGTGATGTGCAGTAGCTTGCTCAAGAAAACCAGCTTGAAGTGCGGCAGCCAAGATTTGAACTGAGGTCTAATAATAAAGGCACCTACAGGATAACTAGCTAATCAAAGCAAAAGCATGCTCTGATTTTTCTTTTCCAGACTTCTAGTGACTCAGTATGTCACAGAGCACAGGAAAAGCTGGAATTTAAGGTGGTTTTATCAGAGGTGACTTTCCACTGGACTGAGAATGGAGCTTTTGCCTGACTTCTACTTGGAGAGGTCATGCTTGGAGGCAGGAAGAGACCCCTTGGCAGGGACTCTGAAACTTCCCCACCCACTGAGACAGAGCTGGGACTGCCTGTCACTGGGACAGACAGGTAGAACCCAGAAATCATGTTAAAACTACAGACCAGCTATGGGGGTTGATATAGTTTGGCTGTATCCCCACCCAAATCTCATCTTGAATTGTAACTTTCATAATTCCCATGTGTTGTGGGAGGGACCTGGTGGGAGGCAATTGAATCATGAGGGAGGGTCTTTCCTGTGCTGTTCTTATGATAGTGAATAAATCTCATGGGATCTGATGGTTTTAAAAAGGGGAGTTCCCAGGCACATGCTCTCTTGCCTGCCACCGTGTAAGATGTGACTTTGCTCCTTATTTGCTTTCCACCATGATTGTGAGGCCTCCCTAGCCATGTGAAACTGTGAATCAATTAAACTTCTTTCCTTTATAAATTACCCAGTCTTTGGTATGTCCTTATCAGCAGCTTGAGGGCAGATTAATACAGGGGTCCACAAAGTGGTGCTGCTTGAGAATCTACTGAACGTGAGAAGTGAGGGCAGCAGTTGGAGTGACCTTTCTAGACAGTAGAACCATCCATAGCCTTAAAACCTATCAGAGGCTTCCCTTCTGCTCAGGATAAAATCTTAAGGGCTGACCACGACCTCTAAGACCTGCCATGACCGGGCTTCTCTATCTTCCCAGCCTCATCTTTCATTACTGCTTTGGACTGAATTATTTCCCCCTAAAACCCATATGTTGAAGCTCTAACCCTGAATGGGACTCTATCTTGAGACTGATATTTTAGGAGTAATTAAGGTTAATTATGTCATAAGGGTGGGCCCTAAGCAGATAGGATTATAACCTTATAAGAAGAGGAAGAGAGAGGTTTCTTTCTCCCTCTCAGCTATCTGAGGACATAGCAAGAATGTGACCATTTGCAAGCCAGGAAGAGAGCTCTCATCAGAAATGACCGTGCTGGCACTCTGATCTTGGACTTCCAGCCTCCAGAATTGTAAGAAAAAAAAAACAATTTATCTTGGTTAAGCCAGCTACTCTATGGTATTTTGCTATGGAAACCCAAGCTAACTAAGATAACTTCTTCACTCCTCCCCTTTTATGCTCCAGTCAGATCAAACTCCCTCCCAGTTGCCTGAATTTACCATGCTCTTGCTCCTTTTTGCTTCCATGATTTCGCATATGTTATTATCTATGTCCATCATGCTTTTTTCTCTTCTTACTCTTCACGTTGCTAACTCTTGTAATCCTTCAGGACTCAGCATTGGATTATGTATCAGTCAGGATAGACTAGTTTATGCTGTGGTAACAAACATACCCCAGATCTCTGTAGCCTACAGAGCTTGCTTCTCACTCTGTGACATGTCTGATGTGGGTAGGCAGGAGGTCTCTGTTTACTGTAGCCACACAGGAACCCAGATATATAGAAACACAAGACTTCTATAATCTCTGAGGCAAGAAAAGAGGGTATGGTGAGTAGCTCACTGGCTCTCAAAAGACTTTTGCCAAAAAGTGACATGTACCACTTCTGGTCACATTTCACCTGAGCAATCTACACAGCCATCCCTCACTAACTGTCATAGATGGCTGCAGCATGGCCTGTGACTTGTTATTTCCTCCCTGTATCCATGCCTTTGGGTAGTCCCCACCCACAGTGACTCTGGGTGGCTCTGTGATTTGCTTTGGCCAATGGGAAAATAACAAATTCAATGCAAGCAGAGACTTGAAAAGTGCTTGTACAGAGAGCTTGCCCTCTCTTGCTACTCCTGGAAACCCCATAATCAACAATATGTAAATAAGCTCAGTCTAGACTGCCAGAGACCCATGGCCCACAGTCACTCCAGCCAACAGCCAGCACCAGCCATCAGGTGTGTGAAACCATATTGTAGAGCCCACCATCCCCTATCAACCTGCCAGTCAGTGGAAGTCACATGAGAATGTAGGTGAGACCAGCAAAGAACGGCGCAACTGAGCCCAGCCCAAACTGCCAATTCATGGACCAATGAATGGTTGTTGTTAGGCTACTAGGTTTTGGAATGGTTTGTTACACAGCAAAAGCTAATTGATAAACTATTTCAAAGTGTATGGGGAAGTGCTATTTCTGGTATTTAGAAAGAGAGGGGAATAGAGTTTTGTTAAATAATACTAATGACAAATTAATAACTACCATAAATCCCTTCTCCTCCATCCAGTAAAGACTTTGAGTCTCCTGTGAAAGCTAAGGTGGGGCTCCTCTTCTGTCCTCTTTCAGTTTCCTGGGCTTCTCTGACACCCCTGCAACCCAGCACTGCTCTCACTTTGTAGCAATTGACTGGCTCCCTTAGAGCATGTCAACCAGCAGGCTCTGAATGGATAACAGGAGGCTGAGATACTGGGTTCCTTAGCCCTTGGAGTGGCCAGGTGGGCCCTGGGTCCATCTACTTCCTTCAGCCACAAGTAGCCTCTTCTGTTTACTCTAGTGGGTTGTGCAGATTCATTAATTAACTATGTGTAACTTGACATAAGGAAGGTTGACTTCTTGTCTGGTGTACGCCAGGAGGCTGCAGGTTTTGAGAGAGCAGGGTTGTGTTACATTTACTCTTTCTCAGATCCTAGCACTGTGTCTGACTCATAGTAATTGTTCAATAAATACTTGCTGAAACAAGGGACAGTGATTGAAGGTAGCTAGGAGTTGTTATCAGGGTGGCCTGTCTGTAGTTAAGGCACCAGAACTGAGGAAGGGGATCAGCTAGACCTGCACTGTCCAATATGGTAGCCACAAGACACAAGTTACACGTTGAATTCTCTTCTCCCAAAATCCATATGTTGAAGTCCTAACCTCCACTTCCTCAGAGTATGTCTTTATTTGCAGTCCCATAGGACTCGTATCCTTATAAAATGGGGAAATTTGGAGACAGACACACACATAGAACATCATGTGAAGATGAAGACAGAGATCAGGGTAATGTTTCAACAAGCCAAGGAATGCTGAAGATTGCCAGCAACTCACCAGAAGTTAGGTGAGAGGCATGGAACAGACTGTCTCTCACAGAATTCAGAAGAAAGATGCCCTACCAACACTTTGATCTTGAACTTCAAGCCTCCAGAACTAGGAGACAATACATTTCTGTTCTGTCAGCCATCTAGTGAGTGGTACTTTGTTAAGGCAGCCCTGGAAAACTAATATACCATATGTGGCTATTTAAATTTAAATTAATCAGCATTAAAAATTTAGGTCCTCAATCCTACCAGTTATCTTTCAAGAGCTCAATAGCTGCACGCAGCCAGTGGTTACTGTATTATAAAGAAGATAGAAAACAGTTCCATCACCACAGAAATTTCTCTTGGCTAGTGTTGAGCTGTAGTAATCATTCTGAACTCTGATTGCATGTTAGACTGTCCAAGGAGATTTTTCTTTTAAATTAAAGGTCTCAATTTGAGATCATTATAGATTCACATAAAGTTATAAGAAATAATACAGAGAGATCCTGTGCATTCTTTACCCAGGTTCCCCCAATGGTACCATTTTGTAATACATTAGGAAAAGATCACAAGTAGAATATTGACTTTTGTATAGTCAGATGTAGAACAGTTCCATCTCCAAAGGGATCCTTCCTGATGCCTCTTTTAAATTTATTGTCATTGACAAATACGGTGCTTAACATGATGTTTTGATACAGGTATACATTGTGGAATGGCCAAATCAAGCTAATTATAATATGCATTACCTCTGATATTTATAATTTTCTATGATGAGAATGCTTAAAATCTATTATCTTAGCAATTTTCAATATACAATACATTGTTATTAACTGTAGTCACCACGTTGTACAGAGATCTCTTGAATTTATTCCTCCATCTAAATGAAACTTTGTACCCTTTGACTAACATCTTCCCAATCCCTACACCCCCCAGCCTCTGTGACCATGATCCTACTCTCTGCTTCTATGAGTCTGACTTTTTTAGATTGTGAGTGTAAGTGAGGCCATGTGGTATTCATCTTTCTGTGCCTGGCTTATGTCACTTAGCAGGTTCATCCATGTTGTCGCTTATGACAGGATTTTCTTCTTTTTAAAGGCTGAATAGTACTCCATTGTGTATATATGCCATTTTGTCTTTGTCCCTGATGACCCCTTTTATAGCCAATCCCAACTCTCCCTGGCTAAGAGAAGAGAGACATATTCTAGGCACAAAGAATAACATATGAATGACCAGAGGGGAAGAAGACCTTTCTGCGTCCTATAATTATTCCAGCATAGAATAGAGCATTAGAGGTGGGGAGATGACAGAATTATTCCCTAAGAGATGTGGACTAATATGGACCAAGACAACACCTTCCCTACTTCCCAGAAGAAAGCCATGAGCAGAGAGAGTATTCCATCTAGAAAAGAGGTTTACATCTTGACTTCCCTGGGTCCTGGTTCACTCAAAGTTTGCTGGTTAGCAATTCCTTGTAGCTAAAAATACTTGTAACATGATCGATCAATTACTTTTTACTTGGAGGAGTTTTTGACCATTTGGGAAGGAGGGGAAGGCATTGGGGTTCTTGAAGTCTTTCTCATTCTTGGGGGTGTTCTGGGTGGGAGGGTTGAATGAAGGGTCTCTCACTCTCCTTTTGCTACTGTAAGTTTTCTATGATCTCACTTCCCAGAGGGAAAAAAAAGCAGAGAAATAGGCTGTAAATCCCATTTATATTCATTAACACCCTAAAGATGAAAAATACCTTTCCATTATCCCTGGGATAATTCAATCCCATTGCATAGGAAAATGTTAGAAATCTTTGTCACTACAGTCTCAGGGGCATGGGATTAGGATGTACTGTGCAGAGCAAACCAGTATGGTCCTGCCAGAAACCTTCCAGTCCTGTTGATGAGCTGGGTTTAGAAACCAGTGTTAAGGCATTTAAAGTACAGCCTTCCCAAAGAGGCTCCTGGAGATGTACCAGGGTCCTGAGCTTAGCTGAGGGAAACCCAAAGAGCCAACAGAGGGGCTTCTGCTCTTTGAAGCTTAGGCCATAGGCTCCTCACAGTCACCAGATAATAATAAAATGTACCTAACATGTAGTGAATTCTTCTTCCACGCTATGAACTATGCCAACCTAATTCTACCTCTTCCATGCCTCCGTTTCACCTTTGTTGATTTATTTATCTATTTAAGATTTTTTTTTCATAATTGAGGTACAGCTTACGCACAATAAAGTGCACTTATTGGGTCTGTGTCAAGTATCCACTTCAGTGAATGTTTACCTATGTGTTCTCCATCTGATCACCATCCAGGCCAAGACATTGAATATTTGCAGTGCCCCAAAAGTTTCCTTAGGCCCTTTCCAGTTAGCATCACCCTCAGGTAATTACTCTTCTGACTATAATCACCATCTCTTAGTTTTGCCTGTTTTTGAACTTCATATAAATGGATGCTTCCAGCATGTACTGTTTTGTTTTTCTCTGCATAATGTCTGAGATTCATCCACATTTTGTGTATCAGTAATTCATTGTTTTTGTTGCATTGCACTAATCCATTGCATGAATAGATCTCAGTTTATTCACTGTTCTGCTGATGGATACTTTGGGTGACTTCCAGTTTGGGGCTATTTGAATAATTTGTTGCTTCTTTTTTTCTTCATTGTATTTATCATTACTTGACATACTAAATGTCTTACTTCTTTATTTGTGCTGTTCTGCCCTAGCTAGGATATAAGCTCCATGAAGGCCAATTTTTTTTTCTTTTTTTTCCCTATATCTCCAGCATCAAGAACACTGCCTGGCATACAATGGACACTCAATCAATATTTGTTGAAAGAAAGAACAATGGAATGAATGGTTGTATTAACCATCATATCTGGTGACAAACAAAACTTGACCAGGTTTGCCTGGGACTTTGGCATTTAGCACTGAAAGTTCTATATCCTGGGAAACCCCTTTGCCCTGGGGAAACTTATGTGTGGCTTTTATTATGATGCCTGATTTGTAGCTAAGGACATTGGCTCAGAAAATTTCAGTGACTTGTCCAGTTACTCCATCAGAGAGTGGTAGAGCCAGGGCCACTCAAGGCCAGGTCTTTGATGTGAAAGATGGAATCTTTGCCCTTCAGGCTCCAAGGATGAGAAGACTGTCCTCTAACAAGGAGGGTTATAGGACTCATATCTACTAAGCTGAGGAAATTTGAGAGTTCAAGCATGTTGGAACTAATAGTTCTGAGTTTGATTAATATTTATGTATTTATATTTTTTGAGACAGAGTCTCATTTTGTTACAGAGGCTTGAGTGCAGTGGTGCAATCATCGCTCACTGCAGCCTCAAGCCTCTGGGCTCAAGCGATCCTCCCACAACAGACTCCAAGTAGCTGGGACTACAGGCATGCTTCACCATGCCTGGCTAATTTTTATAATCCTTTTAGAGATGGGGTTTTGCTATGTTGCCCAAGCTGACCTTGAACTCCTGAGCTCAAGTGATTCACCCACCTTGGCCTCCCAAAGTACTGGGATTACAGGTGTGAGCTGCCACACCCAGCCCTGGGCTTGAATATTAGCGCAACCATTTGCTGTCACTGTGAGCCTGGGGAAGTCACTACATTTCTCTAAGCCTTGCATTGGTGATAAGGGGATTCAAATTCCTCTCTCACAGGTCACTGTGAGGATTCTATAATTTGATGAATGGAAACAGTCAACTCTATCCTGACACATAGGGGCTTTCATTATTATCACTAAAAACAGTTGTATTTGTTTGTTCATGCTTCTATGAAAACATACCTGAGACTGGGTAATTTATTAAAAAAACAGGTTTAATTGACTCACAGTTCTGCATGGCTGAAGAGGCCTCAGGAAACGGACAATCATGATGGAAAGGGAAGCAAACATATCCTTCTTCACATGGCAGCAGAGAGAAGTGCTGTGCAAAGGGGGAAAAGCTCCTTATAAACCATCAGATCTCATGAGAACTCACTCACTATCACGAGAACAGCATGGGGGTAACCACTGCCATGATTCAATTACCTCCCACCAGATCCCTCCCATGACGTATGGGGGTTATGGAAACTTCAGTGCAAGATGAGTTTTGAGTGGGGACACAGCCAAACCGTATCAACAGTTTTTTGAAATGCACTTGTTTCTAATACATCCTTATCATCCCACATATAGTGTCATACTCATTGGTGAAAGACTGGAAGACTTTCCTCTAAGATCAGGAACACTCACCCACTTCTATTCAACATAGTACTGGATATTCCAGCCCTAAATAATTGAAGAAAAAAAAGAAAGAAAAGAAGCCATTCACATTGGAAAAGAAGAAGTAAAATTATCTGTTCTCCCATGACATAATCTTTTTTATTTTTTAGAAGTTCAGAGTTTTATTTATTTATTTATTTTTTTTAATGTTATTATTATAATACTTTAAGTTTTAGGGTACATGTGCACAATGTGCAGGTTTGTTACATATGTATACATGTGCCATGTTGGTGTGCTGCACCCATTAACTTGTGATTTAGCATTAGGTATATCTCCTAATGCTATCCCTCCCCCCTCCCCCTCCCCCCACCCCACAACAGTCCCCAGTGTGTGATGTTCCCCTTCCTGTGTCCATGTGTTCTCTTTGTTCAATTCCCACCTCTGAGTGAGAACATGCGGTTTTTGGTTTTTTGTCCTTGCCATAGTTTGCTGAGAATGATGGTTTCCAGTTTCATCCATGTCCCTACAAAGGACATGAACTCATCATTTTTTATGGCTGCATAGTATTCCATGGTGTATATGTGCCACATTTTCTTAATCCAGTCTATCGTTGTTGGACATTTGGCTTGGTTCCAAGTCTTTGTTATTGTGAATAGTGCCGCAATAAACATACGTGTGCCTATGTCTTTATAACAGCATGATTTGTAATCCTTTGGGTATATACCCAGTAATGGGATGGCTGGGTTAAATGGTATTTCTAGTTCTAGATCCCTGAGGAATCGCCACACTGACTTGCACAAGGGTTGAACTAGTTTACAGTCCCACCAAGAGTGTAAAAGTGTTCCTATTTCTCCACATCCTCTCCAGCACCTGTTGTTTCCTGACTTTTTAATGATTGCCATTGTAACTGGTGTGAGATGGTATCTCATTGTGGTTTTGATTTGCATTTATCTGATGGCCAGTGATGATGAGCATTTTTTCACGTGTTTTTTGGCTGCATAAATGTCTTCTTTCGAGAAGTGTCTGTTCATATCCTTCGCCCACTTTTTGATGGGGTTGTTGGGTTTTTTCTTGCAAATGTGTTTGAGTTCATTGTAGATTCTGGATATTAGCCCTTTGTCAGATGAGTAGGTTGCAAAAATTTTCTCCCATTCTGTAGGTTGCCTGTTCACTCTGATGGTAGTTTCTTTTGCTGTGCAGAAGCGCTTTAGTTTAATTAGATCCCATTTGTCAATTTTGGCTTTTGTTGCCATTGCTTTTGGTGTTTTAGACATGAAGTTCTTGCCCATGCCTTCATCCCTGGGATGCAAGGCTGGTTCAACTTACGCAAATCAATAAATGTAATCCAGCATATAAACAGAACCAAAGGCAAAAACCACATGATTATCTCAATAGATGCAGAAAAGGTCTTTGACAAAATTCAACAACACTTCATGCTAAAAACTCTCAACAAATTAGGTATTGATGGGATGTATCTCAAAGTAATAATAGCTATCTATGACAAACCCACAGCCAATATCATACTGCATGGGCAAAAACTGGAAGCATTCCCTTTGAAAACTGGCACAAGACAGGGATGCCCTCTCTCACCCCTCCTATTCAGCATAGTGTTGGAAGTTCTGGCCAGGGCAATCAGGCAGGAGAAGGAAATAAAAGGTATTCAATTAGGAAAATAGGAAGTCAAATTGTCCCTGTTTGCAGGTGACATGATTGTATATCTAGAAAACCTCATTGTCTCAGCCCAAAATCTCCTTAAGCTGATAAGCAACTTCAGCAAAGTGTCAGGATACAAAATCAACGTACAAAAATCACAAGCATTCTTATACACCAATAACAGACAAACAGAGAGCCAAATCATGAGTGAATTCCCATTCACAATTGCTTCAAAGAGAATAAAATACCTAGGAATCCAACTTACAAGGGATGTGAAGGACCTCTTCAAGGAGAACTACAAACCACTGCTCAATGAAATAAAAGAGGATACAAACAAATGGAAGAACATTCCATGTTCATGGGTAGGAAGAATCAATATCGTGAAAATGGCTATACTGCCCAAGGTAATTTATAGATTCAATGCCATCCCCATCAAGCTACCAATGACTTTCTTCACAGAATTGGAAAAAACTCCTTTCAAGTTCATATGGAACCAAAAAAGAGCCCGCATCACCAAGTCAATCCTAAGGCAAAAGAACAAAGCTGGAGGCATCACACTACCTGACTTCAAACTATACTACAAGGCTACAGTAACCAAAACAGCATGGTACTGGTACCAAAACAGAGATATAGACCAATGGAACAGAACAGAGCCCACAGAAATAATGCCGCGTATCTACAACTATCTGATCTTTGACAAACCTGACAAAAACAAGAAATGGGGAAAGGATTCCCTATTTAATAAATGGTGCTGGGAAAACTGGCTAACCATATGTAGAAAGCTGAAACTGGATCCCTTCCTTACTCCTTATACAAAAATTAATTCAAGATGGATTAACGACTTACATGTTAGACCTAAAACCATAAAAACCCTAGAAGAAAACCTAGGCAATACCATTCAGGACATAATCTTATATGTAGAACCTAAAGGTTCCACAAAAAAGCCTGTTAGAACAAATAAGCAAATTTACCAAAGCTCCAGGATAGAAAACCAACACACAAAAATCAGCTGTGTTCCTATACACTAACAATGAAAAATCTGAAAAGGAAATTAAGAAAACAATTTTATTTATAATAGCATCAAAAGGAATAAAATATATAGGAATAAATTTAACCAAGATGTAAAAGACTTGTACACTGAAATCTACAAAATGTTGCTGAAAGTAATAAAAGAAGACACCAAAAATGGAAATAAATCCCCTGTTCATTGATTATAAGCCTTAATATTGTTAAGATGTCAATACTGCCCAAAGCGATCTACAGATTCAGTGCAATTTCTATCAAAACCCCAATGATGTGTTTTGCAGATGTGAAAAAATTCATCCTAAAATTCATATGGAATCACTAGGGACCCCAAATAGCCAACCAATCTTGAAAAAACAAAGTCAGAGAACTCACACATCCAGATTTCATAACTTACGACAAAGCTATAATAATAAAAACTGTGTGGTAAAGGTATAAAGAAAGACATATAGACCAATGGAATAAGATAGAGGGCCCAGAAATAAACACTCATACATATGGCCAAATGATTTTGACAACAAGGATGCCAAGACCATTCAGTGGGGAAAGGACAGTCTTTTCAACATATGATACTGGGAAAATTGATAACCACATGCAAAAGAAGGCAGTTGAAACTGTACTTTGCATTATATACAAAAATTAACCCAGAATAGATGAAAGGCCTAAATGTAAGAACTAAAACTACAGAACTCTTGGAAGAAAATATAGAGGAAAATATTCATGACATTGGATTTAACAATGATTTCTTGGATATGACAGTGAATACACATATAACAAAAGAAAAAATAGATAAATTATACTTCATCAAATTAAAAACATGTGGATCAAAAGACACTATCAACAGAGTGAAAAGCAGAATGGAGTAAATATTTACAAATCATATATGTGATGAGCAATTAATACTCAGAATAGGTAAAGAGCTCCTACAGTTCAACAACAATAAAAAAAACCAGTTAAAAAATACACAAAAGACTTGAATAAACATTTCTCCAAAGAAGAATTTCCAAAGTTAGAGGATATATTAGAGCTGCATTTTTCAAATTTCAGATTGGGATTTTTTTAGTGGCCATGAAATCAGTGGAGGGGACCTCTGACTAGAATAGAAGAGGAATTACCAGATGTGGTAGCACAGTGGATGAGGCCGACTAGTTGGTTTTGAATCCTGGCCTCGCCATTTTCTGGCTGTGGGACCATAGGCAAGTTACTCAAGGGAATTTGAGTCTTACTTCCTTTACCTATAAAATGGGCATAATAATAGTAGTTACTTCATAGGGATGAATTAATATTTATTAAGGGTTTAGAATAGAGCCTAGAACATAGGAAATGCTACATGTGTTTGCAATTATTGACACAACTTATTTCATAATACTTAATGTTTTTGTCTATTTATGTATACATGTACATGTACAGGGCTATGATATAAAACACAGTTCTTAGCATGAGTTGTGTATTTCTTATTCTGATCACCCAGTTTATGCCTCTTTGGGGGAATGTATGGAACATCACTTACTGTTTCATCTCACTCTCCTCCGAACTATGTACTGATATTAGCATCATCCCATAATGCAGGTGACAGTACGAAGACTCACAGTAGTGGGGAAGTCCTGTCCTCAAGTCCATGCAGCTCAGGAGTGGGAGAACTTGGATCTGAGTGAGCCCTGATTGTCGCCTTGAGGACCACTGTATTTTCAGAGCCTTGCCTTGCTTCTCAGAGGTGAGAGCCACCTCCATTTCAACACGGCCATTGCTGGAGCTGAGGCAGCCTCCTAGCGCCCCAAGCAGGACAGATGCTCTTTGGCTCCTTTGGGTTGGTGAGTGAGGCTGCAAAATGGCTTTTCATTTCATATTTGTGTGTTGATGTACACATGTCTTTTCTCTCTGAGCCTTTGGTTGTTGTCATCTTTCCTTTTTCCTTCCAGTAATAAAATCTAATCTAATTTCCAGTAGATGTAACTGAAATTTTATTTCCATAGTTGGGTCCCGCACAGCTGTCACTGACTCTGGGGACCTCAGAGAGAGATTCAGGCTAGCATGGGGGAACAAATAGATCCAGGCCAGGGAATTGCCCTAATATCTGTGCTGATTATGGCACACAAATAATAAAGATGCATCTACAGCTGGCTGGGGATCAATATCCCTGAAGAGGGGAGTGGAAAGAGGCTGCAGCCTCGGCAATGGGCAGGATCTACAGGCATGCACCATTATGTCCTAGCTAATTTTTATTTTTGTAGAGATGGGATCTCACTGTGTTGCCCAGGTTGCCCTCGAACTCCTGAGCTCAGGTGATCCTCCCACCTTGGTCTCCGAAAGTGCTGGGATCCAGGTGTGAATCACTATGCTCAGCCAGTTCCAGGGGTCTTACAGGACATCGAGACATTTGGGGACTAGGTGGGCATTTAGTACCAGGTATGTCATCATCTATCCATGCTGCCGGCTGCTGGGACATCCTGATTCTCAGCCCATCTCAAGAGCAGGATGCCTCATAGCTGGTCTGAAATGATGACCACACTCTGATAGTAGAGACAAGATGCTGCCCTTCCATATAGGCAGTGACAGTTTTATTCATTCCAGAGCTATTCGGTCCTCCCAGAATAGCAGAATGTCAGGACAAGAGGGATCCTAAGGCTGTAGTAGAAAGGTGCAACCCCACATTTAGCATAAATGGGGCCACACTATCCTAATAATTTACACTGCTACTTGCAGAATGGCCAAGACATGCAAGGGCTCTGTTGAATTATCTTTAATCTTCACCTATACAAACTTTCCAGTAAGAAGTTATATATAGTCCCACTTAATAAAAGATGACATGAAGGCTCAGAGAGGTTATTTAAGTTGCTTAAAGTCACACAGCTACAGAGTTGGGATTTGAACCTAGTGTGTCTGACTCTAGATCCTCTAGATGTGGTCCATGGGTCAGCAAGATTAGTATCACCTGGGAGTGTATTAGATATGTAGAACTCAGGCCCTTTTTCCATACTTTGGATCAGAATCTCTGTTTTAACAAGATCCACAGATGATGTGTGGGCACATTAATGCTTGAGAAGTGTGAATGTAAAGGATTTTCCTTCTCATTGTTGTTTCATAGAATCTGGCTGTTACTAAATAAACAAACTGATTAACTAATTAACTAATGAACAAGCAGACACATACCAACTTGAATTCCAGGGTTAAAGAGTAATCTTCAGCAAAGCATTTAATTTTCACAGTAGTATCAATAAACATTTGCAGTCAGGAGGAGAGGAAAGTGATTTCTTCACCTGGAGTTAGATAAAAGATCATGGTGGGTGCAAAGAGTAGTGAGCAAATCTACTTCATCTCCCCATTTTGTTTCTCTCCTAGGGAGCACAGATATCAACTGGACATGAAGGGCTGGGACAGGAGAGAGCCTATGTGGAGAGGAGGTTCTTCCAGGAGGTGGTAAGAGAACCAGTTCTCATTCATCAAGTGTCCACTTTGTGCCAGGCACTGGGCTGAGTGCTTCACATATGCAATAGCTGTGGTTTCAGTCTATAAACCCAGATGAACAAGAACTAAAATAAAACTCCCTTTCCTTTTCCTTATCATTTTGAGCCCCCAGTTTGCTAAATAGGAGAAACCTAATCTCAGTTCATTTGGGTCCTACCTTGCCTCAGAATATGTCTAAGTTCCATGGATCTTTTTAAAATGTAAATTTAAATGTTTTAGAGACAGGGTCTCACTCTGTGGTCCAGGCTGGTGCAGTGGCATGATCATAGTTGATTACAGCCTAGAACTCTAGGATTCAAGCGATCCTCTTGTCTCAGCCTCCCGAGTAGCTGGGACTATAAACATGCACCTCCGTGCCCAGCTGTATTAGTCCATTTTTGCACTACTATAAAGAAACACCTGAGACTGAGTAATTTATAAATAAAAGAGGTCTAATTGGCTCATGTTCTGCAGGCTGTACAGGGAAGAATGGCAGCTTCTGCTACTGGGAAGGCCTCAGGAAACTTTCAATCATGGCAGAAGGCAAAGGTGAAGCAAGATCATCTTACGTGACCAGAGCAGGAGAAAGATAGAGAGGGGAAAGATGCCACACACTTTAAAACAATCAGATCTAGTGAGAACTCACTCACTATACAGTACCAAGGGGTATGATACTAAACCATTTGTATAAACTCTTCCCCCATGATCCAATCACTTCCCATCAGGCCCACCTCCAAATTCAACATGAGGTTTGGGTAGGGACACACGTTCAAATCATCTTATTCCACCCCTGATCCCTCCCAAATCTCATGTCCTTCTCACATTTCAAAATACAATCATACCTTCCCAACAGTCCTCCAAAGTCTTAACTCATTCTAGCATTACTCAAAAGTCCAAAGTCCCAAGTCTCTTTGAGACAAGGCTAGTCACTTTCACCTATGAGCCTGTAAAAGTGAAAACAAATTAGTTACTTCCAAGATACAATGGGGTTATAGGCATATTATACTTCCATTCCAAAAGGGAGAAATCAGCCAGAAGAAAGGGCCTAAGGCTCCATGCAAGTCTAAGACCCAGTAGGACATTCATTAAACCTTAAAGTTCCAAAACAATCTCATTTGACTCTATGTCCCACATCCAGGACACACTGGTGTGAGGGGTGGGCTCCCAAGGCCTTGGGCAGCCCTGTCCCTGTGGCTTTTCAGGGTTCAGTCCCTGCTACTGCTTCCAAAGGCTGGCACTGAGTGCCTGTGGCTTTTCCAGGTGCAGGGTGAAAGCTGTTGGTAGATCTACTATTCTGGGGTCTGGAGGATGATGGCTGTCTTCTCACAGCTCCACTAAGCAGTGCCCCAGTGAGAATAACTCTGTATGGAGGCTCTGATTCCACATTTACGACTCACACTGCCCTAGTAGAGGTGCTCCATGAGGGACCCTCCCCTGCAGCAGGCTTCTGCCTGGACATCCAGGCTTTTCCATACTTTCTCTGAAATCTAGGTGGAGGACCCCAAGCCTCAGCTCTTGCATTGTGTGCACTTGCAGGCTTAACACCATGTGGAAGCTGCAGAGGCTTACAGCTTGCTCTCTCTGGAGCAGTTGTCCGAGGTGTACCTTGGCTCATTTGAGCCACAGCTGGAGGTGGAGAGGCCAGGATGCGGAAAAGTGTCCTGAGGCTGTACAGGGCAGTGGAGCTCTGAATCTGGCCCACAAAGCCATTCAGTCCTCCTAGGCCTCTGGGCTTGTGATGGGAGGGGCTGCCATGAAAGTCTCTGGAATGCCACCGAGGACTTTCTCCCATTGTCTTGGCTATCAGCATTTGCTTTCCTTTTAGTTATGCAAATTTCTGCAACCTGCTTGAATTGCTCCCCTGAAAATGGGCTTTTCTTTTCTACCACATGGCTGTGCTGCAAATTTTCCAAACATTTATGCGCTGCTTCCCTTTTAAATATAAATTCCATTTTCAGATCATTTATTTGCTCACACATAAGCATAGGTTGTTAGAGGCAGCCAGCCAAATCTTGAACAATTTGCTGCTTAGAAATTTCTTCCACCAGATACCCTAAATCATCACTCTCAGGTTCAAAGTTCCACAGATTCCTTGGGCAGGGGCACAATGCCTCAAAGTTCTTTGCTAAAGTGTAACAAAAGTGATGTTTGCTCCAGTTCCCAGTAAGTTCCTCATCTCCGTCTGAGATCTCATCAGCCTGGCCTTCACTGTCCCTGTTACTATCAGCATTTTGGCCACAACCATTTAACAAGTCTCTAGGAAGCTCCAAAATTTCCCTCATCTTCCTGTCTTCTTCTGAGCCCTCTACACTCTTCTAATCTGTGCCTGTTACCCAGTTCCAAAGTTGCTTCCACATTTTCAGGTATCTTTATAGCAATGCCCCACTCCTCAGTACCAATTTTCTGTATTAGTTTGTTCTCATACTGCTGTAAAGAAATACCTGAGACTGAGTAATTTATTAAAAAGAGGTTCATGATTCTGAAGGCTGTACAAGCAGCATAGTGGCTTCTGCTTCTGGGGAGGCCTCAGGAGACTTAAAATCATGGTGGAAGGCAAAGGGGAATCAGGCACATCTTACATGGCTGGAGCAGAAGGAAGAGAGAGAGAGGGAAGATGTTATACACTTTCAAACAAGCAGATCTTGCGAGAATTCACTCACTATACAGTACCAAGGGGGATGATACTAAACCATTCATGAGAACTCCACCCCCATGATCTAACCATCTCCCGCCAGGATCTACCTTCAAAACTGGGGATTACAATTCAACATGAGATTTGGGTGGGGACACAGATCCAAACTACATTACTGGCTGATTTTTATTTTTGTAGAGATGGGGTCTTGCTTTGCTGCCCAGGCTGGTCTTGAACTCCTGGGCTCAAGTGATCCTCCCACCTTGGCCTCCCAAAGTTCTGGAATCCCAGGTGTGATCCTGGCCAGTTCCAGGGGTCTTATAGGAAATTGAGGCATTTGGGTACTGGGAGAGAGTATGGCATGTAGTGTCAAGTATGTTATCTATCCATGGTGCCAGCTGCTGGGACATCCTGGTTCTCAGCCCGTGGGTCCTGTGGGTTGCTGCTGGGTTCTCCTTTACCCTGATTGCAAGGCATCCTGTAACACCCTCAGTTGTGTCCCCACTGCTCTGGCCCCCAGGATCTTTCTGTAGTGCCTGAACTGTCCGGGGAGCACGAATGCTGGGAGGTAGTCTCAGGATCTTCTGCCTAGATCTGAGACTCAGCTACTTCTACAGAGAAGATTTCTGAGCTGTGGTTGGGGACAGAAGCCCCCTTTGCTTTCAGATTTCTGAGTCTATCTAGAACATCTGTCACCCTCCCTCCGATCTACCACACACAGAGATGTGTGCTGCTGGGGAGGATGGGACCTCCTTCTCTGAAAGCCTCAACATCTACTTACTCTTTGCTTCTGAGGAATCTTTTCTTCTGCTTGGGGGACAGGAAGCCTTGTTTTGACTCCACATTGTTTTCCTCAAATCAGTGTTAATATCCTAGCTCCCATAAGGTCTAAGCTTTCAAATCTTTTCTCTGAATTCTTAGCTTGTATCCCTTCCCTGCAGCAATGAATGCCTGGGAGAGTAGCCACCTTTCTGCCTGGGTGAGAAGGGCTAAGCACCATGGAGAACAAAGGAATATGGGTAGAAACATCCTTAGATTGTAACTCACCGTGTTATTTCATTTAATCTTGCAAGTCTGCAAGAGTTAATATTAGCTACTAGTATTACTCTGAAAGACAGAGAAACGAAGCCATAAAAGAGCAAAAGATTTGCCCAAGGACACAGAGTTAACAAAATCTGGGGCCAAGACAGAAACTCAAGACTCTTACCCAGGTCTAGAGCCCAGGAATGTAAGACCATGAAGGTTTGACTCTTAGTGTGGCCACTTCCCAGCTGTGTGTCTTTGGCCAGATCCCCTAACCTCCCTTAGCCTTCGTTTCTTTATCTTCAAAATGAAGATGATAGTGGTGGGACCACCTAAGGGAGATGACCTATAGGTAATGATTACAAACATTTCTAGCACATGTAAATTCTCAATAAAGTTCAGCTATTATTAGTATTGTTTTGTCATTATATTGCTTTCCAAGCTGATAGAACACAGCATCATTTAAAGTCCTGGGATCTTAAGGTAAATCTCAAGATGTCATAATTGAAAGAAAGGGGCTTTAGAAATAAATCACTCCCACTTCCTTATTTTACAGATGGGAAAATCTGAAGCCCAGGAAGGGAAAGAAGGATACCCAATGACACAGTTTGATGTTATTAAAAAGAAGAACAGATTTTGGTGAAAGGTAAAGAGTAAATTTTTCAGAGGATGAATCAGAGATGCCTGGGAGATATTCTGGTGGAGATGCCCAGCAGCAGTTAGACATACAGGTTTTCGTTCAGCAGAGTCATCTGGGCTAGAGCCTGAGATTTAAGAGTTGCTAGCATTTGGGTGGCTAAAACCCCATGGGGTGGCTGAGATTACCCATGGGAAGTGTGAGGATTGGTAAGAAAGGAAGGTAGAGGTGGAGTTTTAGGATTTACCAACATGTAAGAAGATAACAGAGATAGTGGCCATTGAAGAACTCCAAGAAGGGAAAGAAGGAGACACAGCAGAGAACCAGGAGAGAAAGGGGCTGCCAGAAAAAAATAAACGCAGCTTTCAGTTGCAAGAAGAATGAGTTTTGGAGAAGCCAAGTGGAGCAGGGAAGGAAAGGAAAGAAGGTTAAGTCAGGAAGTAGAGTTTGGTTAAGGCTAAGTAGGGGCTTGAGAAGTGTCTCTGAACATGATCAACCTAAGCGAGGGTTAATGATGGCCATGCTGTCTGTTGAGGACCATAATGATGAGCAACTTTATTGAGCACCTTCAATCATTGGAATTATAATTAATTATTCACTCATTTCTTTGTTGTTTGGAAAAATAGAGCTTTGTTGTAGATTTTCTTTGTTTCCTGCCATGGCATCAGAAATGAACCAGGTGACAGTTTCCCAATCAGCAAGGTTTTGGCTGTGCATCCATCTATGCAATTGTTTTCTTGGAAGCTCAGACTATGAGCCGGAAGAGGTCTTGCAAGGTAAATCATTTGCCTGCTAGTAGAACGCAGAAATGTCTACAACATCCTTGGCACGTGGTCCTCCAGAATCTGCTGGAGCACTTCTAGGGAAGCTCATTGCCCACCCCAGGCATTCTATTTATGATTTAGTACCTGGAACTCCTACCTAGTTCTTCCTTACATTGACCTGTCTCTGAACTTCCACCTAAATGACCTGTATCTGTCCCCTGGAGTCACATTGAAACATCAATTTCCCTTTCCAGTGGCTTTTCTTATTTGAAAACATCTCTCATGTTACCCCTTCATACTTCTCTTTTCTTGTTAAACATCTCTGTTCTGTCATCCTTGGGTCATTCTTTTAGCCCCCATGAGGCATATAAGGACACAAACTAAAGGACTGTCCTGGCACCAGCCCAGCTGTTACAGACTTAGTTCTGAATCAACCCAGTCACTTGCTTGTACCTCTCATTACTCTTTCAACCTTTTTATTGCTGACTCTGTTCTCTTATCTTTCTGATCTTGGTCTTTACTTAACTGATTACTAATTTGAACCTTGGCTTCCCCATATACTAGCTGTGTGATTTGTGCAAATTTTTCAAACTTTCAAAGCCCCATTTTATTTTATTTTACTTTTCTAATTTCACCTTATATCTTAGATTCAGGATGTACATGTGCAAGTTTGTTACATGATATTAATATATTGCATAGATGCTGAGGTTTTGGATACAAATGATCCTGCCCCTCAGTAAGTGAGCATAGTGCCACTCAGTTAGCTTTTTAATACTTGTCCCCGTCTAATAGTCCCCAGTGTCTATTGTTGCCATCTTTCTGTCCATGAGTACCCAATGTTTAGCTCTCACTTCTAAATGAGGACATGTGATATTTGATTTTCTGCTCTTGCATTAACTTGCTTAGGATAATGACCTCCAGCTGCATCCATATTGCCGCAAAGAACATGATTTTGTTCTTTTTTATGGTGCATAGTATTCCATGGCTTATAGGTACCACATTTTCTTTATCCAGTCCACTGTTGATGGGCACCTGGGTTGATTCCATGTTTTTGCTATTGTGAATAGTACAACGATGAACATGTGAGTGCATGTGTCTTTTTGGTAGAAAGATTTGGGATTTTTTGGGATATATATCCAGTAATGGGATTGCGGGGTCTAATGGTAGTTCTGTTTTAAGTTCTTTTAGGAATCTCCAAACCACTGTCTACAGTGGCTGAACTAATTAATTTTCCCACCAGCAGTGTATAAGCATTCCCTTTTCTCTGCAGCCACTCCAACATCTGTTGTTTTTTGACTTTTTAATAATTATCATTATGACTGGTGTGAGATGAGATGGTATCTCATTGTGGCTTTAATTCACATTTCTCTGATGATTAGTGATGATGAGCATTTTTTTTTCATATTTTTTTGTTGGCTGCTTGTGTGTTTTCTTTTGGGAAGTGTCTGTTCATGTCTTGCCATTTTTAATGGGGTCTAATCCCCATTTAAAAAATGAAGGTAATAATTGTACCAACCTCATACGATTATTGTGAAGAGTAAATGAGAGAATGTATGCAAAGTTTTTAACATGTGGTAAGCGCTCAAAAACAGGTGAGGTGTTATTGATGGATTTATTTTAATTTAACAAACACTTTTGCCTAATTACTATGCATCAGACACTGTTCTAAATATTTTGTAAAAACTAACTCATTTAGGTTTCATAATGACTCTGTGAGGGATAAATATTATTATGCCCTTTCTATAGATTAGAAAACTGAGAAGTGAAATAAATAATTATGAGTTGTGTTAATACTTATTGCTCATGGTATCAATTAGCTTTTGCTCACAAACAACTTCAAAACTTCAGTGACTTCTGCCAGAGCCAACTGATGTGCATTGGATTCTACTGGGCAGTTGTGCTGATCTCATTTGGGCTCACCCATGTGCCCACACTTTTACTGGGGACTCTGCTCTAGGTTGGGTTTTCCTGGGGGTTTAATTCTTGCCATGCATCCCTTATGCTCCTTCTTGAACTAGTGGGTTACTCAAGGCAAGAAAGCCCAATTGTACACGTGCTTCTCAAGACACTGCTTGCTACATTTGCAAACATCCTATGGTAGGCAGTCTTCTAAGATGGTCCTCAATAATCCCGGCCTCCTGAATTCATACCCTTGGGTAATCCCCTCCCTTTGAGTGGGGCAGAGCCTGTGACTTGCTTTGAACTGATAGAATACAGCAAAAGTGATGGGCTGTCAGTTTTGTGATTAGGTCACAAGAGATTATGACTTCTGTCTTGCTAGCAGATTTTCTTTAGTGTCTCCTTGGCTTATGTGCTTTGATGAAGTGGCCCGCACAGCAAGAATGGAGGGCAGCCTCTGGCCAACAGCATGGATGGAACTGAGTCCTGTCCATAAAGCACATAAGCTTGGATGTGGAACCTTTCTCGGTGGAGCCTTGACATGACACAGGTCAGCTGACTCCTTTATTGCAGTCCTGTGCAATGTGAGACCCTGAAGCAGAGGACCCAGGTGAACCATACTGAGATCCTTGTCCCCAGGAACTATGATATAATAAATGTGTGTAGTGTTAGGCTTTTAAATTTGGGGGTAATTTGTTACATAGCAATAGATAACTAATGCACATTCCTTTGGCCAAAGAAAGTTGCATGGCTAGGTCGGGGGTAGGGGATTATGATTTGTGTATAGAAAGAGAGCATTGTGAAGCTACAAGATAAAGTGGATGGAAGAAGGGTAGGGTGGAGAATTGTAGTCAAGAATGCAATTCACCATGTGCACTAACTGCATGCCAGGAGACATGGACATGGGAGATGCAGAGCTGAGTATGACCTTGGCCTTGCCTCAGGAAGCTGATGATCTTGTGGGAGAACCAGAACAGCCTTTTGGAGTCCAAGTAATAATGTGCTCAATTGGCACTTGACACTGATTCCATGTGGAGCTTCCTGAAAATGTCACTACCTTTACCAAGAGTCCATAGAGGGAGTCTTACAATTCTGGGAGCATCCCCAGGCACTCTCAGGAGTGGAGAGAGCTCAGGTGCTTTGGAAATGCAGCTTCAGTGGCCCAGCTTTTGCCAACTCCAAGCAGAGACCTGCAGGCTATGAAAGTCATCTGTCCAATAAATAGGTCCGGGCAACCATGGAAACTGAAGCCTCATTCATCACTGATGGCAATCAAGCCAATAGGAGGTGGTTTGGCTGGGAATGAGGCAGGGAGGGAAGTGGCCACCATGAGGAGCCTGGTGTTGGCATGGGTAAATCTCTGCATACACTGTTACTTGGTCTGTGTTGGGCACTGTGCCAGGCATCATCTCATTTGAGCATTACAATGGCTCTATAAAGGAGGCATTATTATCTCCATTTTGTAAGTGGGAAAGCTGAGGACCAGTGAGTGAAGTCACCTGCCAAAGGACACACAGCTTTTAAGTGTTGGAGCTAGGATTTGAACCTAGGGTCACCTCATGCTAAGCTGCTGTTCTTTCCATAGGATGAGCTTTTTATGTCATCTTCCTCTTATTTCCTGTTCACCTTGATTCTAAGATTTTAGAACACTGATTCTGGTGCAGTAGAAAGAACACTGGAATAGGAGTTAGATTTTAACTCCCAAGGTTGGGACTTCTTGTATGATTCTGGCTAAGTCACTCTCCTTCTCTAAACCTGTTTTTCTCCTCTGTAAAAAGATAGGTTTGGATTTTATCAGCGATGTCAAATAAGTTTTATTTTGCATGCCAACTCCAATGGATAGTGGTTGCAGCCTGACTTGGGATATTGATGAGGACTATGAAGCTGTATTGGGGCTCAGTGGGAAGGAGTTTGATGCTAGGTCAGTGAAGTCTGCAACGGTTGTAGAATAGGAGATGATCTCCAAGTTTCTTTGAATTCTTTGAGTGTGTTTCCATTTTTCTATGTTCCTTTTATTCTTAATGGGATTTCAATCAGGCTAAGCCAATCAAGAGAGGTCCCATTTGCCTCTACTGAATATTAAATTGATTTATGCAAATAGCAAGCTGGCTGGACAGCCCAAGATCTGCAGGGGGATGAGACCACACAAAGACACATATGTTGCTGCTCTGATGGTGCCATTCTACTGCCCAGCATAAAACCCCATCTGTAGTGGGTGACCTGTGAGAGCACTGAGGGCAATGCTTAACCCTGAAAATCATTGGCTAAAGGGCCATAACCTCTGTTAGGGCCATCAGTTCTTGAATGCTGCCCAGAATGCACCTTTCACCTGGTATTCAACCAGAGGCAAATGTGAATGCTAAGTTTCCCTAGTTCAGTTTCAAGTCTCCTGCCTAGAACATAGGCAGGGGAGGAACCTACTCTGATGCCAGCCAAGGGCAGCTTTCCCACTGGTCACTGTATGCTGTCTTTCTGGATCTTTGATGCTTTGGCCAGAGTTGGAGACTTGTAGTCATTCCGTAGACAGCAAGGTTGAAGGCCTGAAGGCAGTCCTTTGCCCAACCTGGTGACATGATGAAACATCCAAGGATGCTGTGAAACAGTCATGGAGTGCTTACTCTAACCTGCTCCGCCCCTGTCTACTGCAGTGTCAGCCACACAGCACCAGGGGGACCTCCCATCCCTCCCTGCCTCCCCTGTGCTGATCCTTCAAGCTAGGGAGAGACCGCAGCTGGAGAGTGGTGTGAGCCTGCAGCAAAGTCACCTGCCAGGCTTCCCCCAGGAGAGAAAAGGCCCCCTCAGGGCCCACCAGAGATGCAGTTCCCTTGAAAACATACTTTGATGGCTTAACGGAAGTGATTGTATCAAGAAACACTTTCAGTCAATCAAAAATAACTTGCTGACTCTTGCTTCATGAAGTGGTTATGAGTCTGAAAACACAAATTGGATGCTTCGGGTAGAAAAGTATTTTGAGTCACCTTCATTAATAGGCATAGAGGGCTGAGGGGCATGGAATCAGTGTAATGGGGGATATTCATCACCTTAAATATTTGTCTTTTCTTTATTCTAGGAACATTTGAATTATTTTCTTCTAGCTATTTTGAAATGTACACAGATTATTGTAAACTATACTCATCCTACTGATCCCTTGAACACTAGGTCTCATTTCTCTGATCAAACTGTATATTTGTATTCATTAGTCAACCTGTAATAATCCCCCTGCCTGCTATTATGTTTGTTTTATATAAATTATAATATTCCTTCTCCAAAAATTTATAGCAGAATGGGAAGCTTTGCAGGTTCATGCCTCCAGGGTCTTATTTTCTTTGGGTTGGTCAAAACAGTGCAGCAAAGCTCTTTTCTGATGTTTCAGACCACCTCCACCTTCCAGATCCAAGAGAGTCCTGTTTTAGTAGCTACAAATGGTCTAACTGTTAAGTTAGAAGCTTGAGTTGCATGGGGATGAAGTTTACGATCTTGTTAGAAGTCATAAGAAGCACAGGGAAGAGAGTTATAGAAAAAAATGGGAATTTCTTAAGCAACAGGCTGAAAGTAGAGAGAAAGTGCATGGGCAGATGTCTGCCTAGTCAAGTTCACCGCTAATGTTGTGTCACTGGTGGTGAATGGGAAGAGCTATCCTTTTCCCTGCCTGCCTGGAGCCACATCCTGTTCTAAATTAGTACTAAGGCACTCTATCCTCAACACAGACGAGCACTTGTTTTCTTGCAGACGTTTCCATGTTTTATATACACGTATGTACACAGATTCTCACTGTATCTTTATGTGGGCTCATTCTGCCTTGTAAACTGCATTTTTCACTTAACTCTATGGTTGAACATGGCCTTGCTCTCTTTGGATTCATTTTGCTTGCTGTCTCTGGAGGCTATGCTGCAAAAATAATACTTTCAGTGCTGTCATAAATTTGACCTCTTTTATTCCAACCCCTAAATCCTTCCACCCTGTGTCCCTCCAACTGATATTGTCATTGTTTTTAGAACTCAGAATCCAGCCTTACTCTGTGTTGGCTGGTCTGAATCAGTCCAATGATCTCATTTGCATCTGAGCTTCTGTAGGGGGCTCTACATTGGGAACAGGTCTCCACTTGCTTCCTGGTAACAGGGAAGTCTCAGCCAAAGAAAGGACATTGAAACCAGCTGGAAGAGACTCATCTGGTAATGACCCTTCTGGTGCCAAGAGTTAGAGGCTCAGCTCTCTGAAACCAAGAGGAATGCCAGATGCCTAGCCTTCAGAGAGGACTTAGAAACACCATTTCTGACCAGGCTTTGTTCCCGCATCTTAGCCATCATAGGGGTGACAATTGCTGCTGCTTCTCTTTTGGAGGTGTCCAGTGGGGTCCTCATAAAAGAGAAAGAACAGGACAGGAGGAGAGGACAAGAAGGAAAGGGGAAAAGGAAAAGAAGTGAACAACTGCTGAGATATCAAAGAGGGAGTCTGTGTGGGACACAGGAATGGTTGGTTTACTCCTCTGTCTTCCCAATCGGATCTAAGTTTCTTCAGCACAAGCATAGGGACATTCTTTTCTGTGCCCCACTTCCTAGCACATGCTCTTGGGAAAATGTTTGCTGAATGAACAAGTGAATGAATTAGGTAGTGCTGCTGGGTTCCAGTACTGTGTTATGAGAAGTTTCCACAGGATTCCTGTCCAGTGTTTCCCCTTTCTCCCTGCATTCCCAAACTGAGCTCATGCAATGTCTGGTCCTGTCAAGAAGGTGGCAGCTCAAGGTCATAGAAACAACATAGGCTTTGGAGTTGGACAGTCTGGGTTCAGACACACCCTGTGCTGTGAACTGTCCTTGTGTCACTGAGCAGGAGGTTAGCCTTTCTAAGCCCCTGAGTTTCCTTTTCTGTAAAACGGGGATAATAACAGGGTCAGGCCTGAGGCAGTCATTGTGAAGAAGAAAAGGGATAATGATGTGATGCACCGGCTACTTCTCAAATTTTAAGGTACATAGGAATTGCCTGGAGATTTGGTCAAAAAGCAGATTCTGGTTCAGCAAGTCTGGGGTGAGGCCTGGGAGCCTGCAGTCTGAACAGTCCCCCATGTGATACTGATGCTGCTGGTTCATTAACTACTTCTTGAATACATTCCACCAAATATGTTTACCCTCCCTTTCCCCTTTGCTGGTCCATTGGAACCTTCCTGAATATTTTGTTTCTGAATGAGTCTCCAGGGAAGACCCATCCCCTAGTCTCCCCCTCCCAACCTTCCCACCCAGGGCTTATTTCTTTTTCCCTGGAGCCCGACTAGCAAACTCTCCCATAGCTCAATTTGTCTGATCATGGGAGTGAGGGTTGAGGGAGGTCAAAGCCTTAGAACCCAGCTTCCCAGAAGTTTCTCCAAGGTATTACTGCCTCTTCTTTCTGATGTGTCAGTTAAAAGATTCTCTGGCTACTCTTCCTGGGGCAGGCACAGGGATGCCAGAGCTAGGGATGGCTCAAAAAACCTGCCCCAGGGCAGAATAACAGCCCTGAGGTCAAGCCTCATAAGATCTGTGTTCCTTGCTCTGTGGGGGATAGGTGTGCTTATCTGATTGGGTCCCGGTGTTCTCATTTACAACAAGAGAGGGTTAGATTTGATCACTGGCTGTCAAACTATTTTCGGAGGAATCCTAAGAGCTCAAGGATGTGTTTCGGGAGCTCCAGAAATCCAACTCAGAGTAAAAATATAATTTAAGTCCTTAAAAAACACTGTAAGAATCACAGCTAACACTTTGATCATATTCTGTTTCCAGGGCACATTCTACAGGCTGCCCATGGATTTACATATTTAATTCTCATGCCCATCCTATGAAATAGGGACTCTAATAATTCCCCATTTTTCAGATGAAGAAATTGAGGCTAAGAAGAGTTAGATGACAGGCCCAATGTCCCACAGCTGGTTCAGGGATGGTACTCTTAATCTCTGTACAAAATAACATATGCATTTCATTGTATTGTTTTCTGAACTTTAAAACATTTGTAGGTCCCTAGAGTGTTATCTCAGCTTCCATTAGGGCTTCTGTCTTATGCTCCTTTTCCTCACCCACGCTCTCAGCTGATGCTGCTGATGATTGCCTGCCTATTCTATGGAGAAAATGGAAGCACTCACAAAAGAACATTCACATCTTCCCCACTTACCTCCGACCTGCACTGGGGGTCATTTACTTTGTCAACATACTCGAACCTTTGTAAATGAATATTTAGTTAGTGAAATTGCAGCTGCCAATGTCTCTTTTAAAATTGCTTCTGTGTATGTCTGCTCCTGTGAAAGTTTTTCAGTATATACACTAGTGCAGCACTCACGGGCTGAGAAAGAATGTTTTTCTAAGGTCAACTGAAATTCCAGGCAAGGCTTGGGTGCGTCTCAGGCACCTGCTCATCTCACAGTGTAATAGTTGTGCAGTGAACATCACATCATGTTGTGATAATATCATGTTATTGTATGTTTCTGGTGCTACTTGACTGACTTTTAGTTGTCATAGTACTGACAGCTGCTAAAGTGTCAGCAGGAAAATTGAAACTTAATGTTCAGCCTTAACATTACAAAAAAAAAGATAAATTAGACTGGAAATTTTGAAGGTGTATCCAGTGGAAATGGACAAGATGAGATTTAAAACATGATTTTGCTTAATAGCTCCTAATGTTACAAGATACATTTCACAAGGGTTTTCTGCCAAACAGTGAGGATTTTGACTGGTGGAGAAACCCATTTGCTGACTCTTTCAAACAGTACTGGTAATGATAAAAGTTAACATTTACTGAGAGCTTTTAATATGTGAGGTACTGTTCTAAATACGGTATGTACACAAGCTCATTTTATCTTGACTTAAGGACGTGGTGAACTGAAGCACAGAGAGGGTAGCTAACTTGCTCAAGGTCACACAGCTAGTGAGTTGTGGATCAAGGATTTGTAACCAGGTATCTTGCCTCCGGAGTCCACACTCTTGCCTCCTGTCCTTCTCATAGTTATATGGCAGAACCACAGCGCAAGTCATAACCAATACTCTGCCTATTGGGTACCTGCCCCAGAGCAGTCGAACAGGCTAGAGAAGAGTGCATAGCAGGCTGGCTGCCTCCCTTGTGATTCATGAGTCCTTGTCTTCTGTGGGCTGTTACGCTGCCTGGCAACCATGATTCGTTTCCCTGGTCCATTCACCCTCCCTCTCGTCTAGATGATTTTTTTTCATGACTTCTCCTTCCTCCTTGAACCTTCAGCACATCCTCCCCCTCCCTCACTTCTATCTCATGACCAGTTTGTCATTTCACAGAGATAATAAAAGCAACCAGGAGAGCCTCTGTGGGTCCCCACTAACTGCAGTCGCTTTGCCTCAGTGTGTCGTGCCTTGCCTTCCTTCCTGTTACTGCAGATGCACTGTCCCACCCTAGAGGCCAACCTCCCTCTCCACACGCATCCAAGGGCACTGCTTCAGCAATTCTCCCCCTCCCGCCTACATTGTAACATGTTCTCTCTCTCCTGGATCCCCGACATCACTGTACAAACATGCTAAGATTTCCCCTGTGTGAAAACAGACAACAAACAAACATCCCCACCTCACCTCCCCCTTCAGCTGCCATTTCATTTCTCTGTTCCCCTTTATAACAAAAATCCTGGAAAGACCCATCCTTACCACCATCCCAATCCTTCTCCTCCATTTCCCTCTTGCAATTGCCTGGTTAGGCTTCTGCTCTTACTACTCCATCAAAACTGGACTTACCAAGGTCACCCATGACCCATAACCTCTGTATGGCTAAAGCCTGGAGTCTGGTCTTAGGCCACCCCTTATTTGTCCTGTTAGCATTGACCGTCCTCCTTTCTGATCTCATTTTCTACAGCTCTCCCTCTTGCTCAGCCTCCCCCATCTGCTCAGTTTTCTTTCTCTTCCTTGGGCCGGTCCAGCAGGTGTCTCTCCGTCTCTCTGGGGCCTTGGCACTGGCTGGATTGCTCTTGCCCCAGCCTCAGGGCTGGCTCCCTCACTCCTTCAGACTTTTGCATAAACCTTCTAAGTGAAGGCTCCTTGACCTATTTCAAATTGACCCACTCTTGACCCTGGAGTCCCTAAGCCCCCATTTCTGCTTTATTTGTTCCCATAACACTCATCACCATCATCCTATAGATTTTACTTAGTGTATTTATTTTACTGATTTTCCATCTCTCACATGCCAAAGCTTTAAGCTTCAAAGGACAGGAGTGCTTTTGTTTTCCTCCCTGCCATATCCCCGGCGCTTAGAGCAGTACATAACCCATCGTAGGCACTCAGGAGGTATTTGCTGAATAAATGGGTGAATGAATGCACCTCTGCATCGTGGATATGATCTGGAATAGGATAGTTTTTATAATTCAAGTAGGTCTCTTTGGCTTCCTTTTAAAACCTGTGAGTCACTTTGAAAAATATTAGAAGATTGTATAACCACCTTTACTCTTTCTTCTTCTTCTCCTTTTTTTTTTTTTTTTTTAACCTGTCAGCATTTGCAGCCACTCATCTGTGTAAATAGTGTTTTCAGGATACTGTACAACCAAAACTAATGAAAATTATCAGGCTGTTTTGATAAACACAAAAAATGTGAAGTCAGGGGTTATGAGTGACAATTGCAGTTTTGTATCAACCTGAGCATCCAATTTATTTAATCAAAAGAGACTTGTTCTTATTGACTGACTTTATAATAAGTAAAGATTATAATTTGTATGTATAAAATACATTCACACAAATAAAATATTGCTTTAAAAACTCAGCTTTATTTGCACCCTATGAAAGATTTTAAAAACAGCTTAAGCTAAGTGCAAAAACCATTGACTTACACCACAACCTCTGAGAGATCTTTCTGCTTCAGTATTGTCCTGAAGCTATGCTGGTTGTTACATAATTAGGATTGGGTCCCAGTGAAGACATTTGCATTTCCCCTGGCCTGTGACTTACTCATTTCTTGTGACATTGGCCTCAGATTCGGTCTCTAGAGGATCCTGACTCCTCCCTTTTCTCTCTATCCCAGACCTTCCTGCCTAAACTTTGAGAATTGGTTCTCATTTGCATAATTTAACATCGTGAACATTTACTCCCTACACTCCTAGAAAGCCCCAGAACCAGAGCATATCAAAGCTGGAAGGACTTTGTGGTTCAGATGGGGAGTGCAGGTCCAGGGATGGAAAGCAACTTGCTCCAAGCTGCACAGAGTTTCAGAGGTCAAGATGAATCTAGAATTCAGGCCTCATTTACTTCAGCCCAGAGTTCTTTCTGCCGTATCATCAAGCATCCTTTATTGCCAGTTAGGAGTCTAACTCATGCCTGAGGCTCATAATTAAAGACTGACTTTTTTTTTTTTTCTATACTTTAAGTTTTAGGGTACATGTGCACAATGTGCAGGTTTGTTACATATGTATACATGTGCCATGTTGGTGTGCTGCACCCATTAACTCATCATTTACATTAGGTATATCTCCTAATGCTATCCCTCCCACCTCCCCCACCCCACAACAGGCCCCGGTGTGTGATGTTCCCCTTCCTGTGTCCATGTGTTCTCATTGTTCAATTCCCCACCTATGAGTGAGAACATGCAGTGTTTGGTTTTTTGTCCTTGCGATAGTTTGCTGAGAATGATGGTTTCCAGCTTCATCCATGTCCCTACAAAGGACATGAACTCATCATTTTTTATGGCTGCGTAGTATTCCATGGTGTATATGTGCCACATTTTCTTAATCCAGTTTATCATTGTTGGACATTTGGCTTGGTTCCAAGTCTTTGTTATTGTGAATAGTGCCACAATAAACATATGTGTGCATGTGTCTTTATAGCAGTATGATTTATAATCCTTTGGGTATATACCCAGTAATGGGATGGCTGGGTCAAATGGAATTTCTAGTTCAAAGGGCTAATATCCAGAATCTACAATGAACTCAAACACATTTACAAGAAAAAACAAACAACCCCATTAACAAGTGGGTGAAGGATATGAACAGACACTTCTCAAAAGAAGACATTTACGCAGCCAAAAGACACATGAAAAAATGCTCATCATCACTGGCCATCAGAGAAATGCAAATCAAAACCACAATGAGATACCATCTCACACCAGTTAGAACAGTGATCATTAAAAAGTCAGGAAACAACAGGTGCTGGAGAGGATGTGGAGAAATAGGAACACTTTTACATTGTTGGTGGGACTGTAAACTAGTTCAACCATTGTGGAAGTCAGTGTGGCGATTCCTTAGGGATCTAGACTGACTTCTTTTATCAAGGGCACTGTGGTGCAATGCTGAGGTGCATGGGCTTGGGAGCCAGATTTTCTGGGCTTAAAAATCCAGATCCACTGCTTAGTTAATCTTTGCAGTACCACAGTTTTCCTATCTGTAAATTGGGAAAAAAGAGTAGGATGGTGGTAAGATATCAATCTACCACAGAGGGTTGTTGTGAGTCTAAAGGAGTTAATAAAAACAAAGTGTCCTTTTCACATGGTAAGTATTTTCTAAATGTCACTTATTGTTGTTATCATCAAAGGAATTAGCCTTCATAAAGTAGCAAATATTCCTAAGAAAGTGGCAGGTCATATTTGAAGACATATGAGTCACTCTCATGTTAGTATGAATGTCTATCTATGATGCTATCTCTCAGCTCAAAATCCTTCTATGGCTCCCATGTACCTAAAGGAACAATCCCAAGCTCCTTAATGTGAAATGCAAGATTTTTCACATTCTGGACTCTGTTTGCCTTTTTTGCATTACTTCTTGCCACTTTGCCCCTACTTTGAACTTTATCATTCAAATACATATACCAGTTTTTCCTTCTTTACACGTGAAAATCTTTCATGCCTCCTTGACTTTGCTTACACCATCTACCTGTAATACCCTTCCTCCATATCTACCAGGTTGCCTTTTTCTCTTTTCCCCGAATTTAGCTCAGGTGTATGTCCTCTTTCAGAAAAGCTTCCCTGTCTCCCTGCCCTTCTCATACCACCCTCCTCCATGTTCTAAATGTTTTTCTACAAAATAATCTTAATGGTAGTTGGCTTTTATTGAGCATCAACCATATGTGCCAGGCCCTGGGCTAGCACTTAACATGAATTTTCGTATTTGCGCTCCACAAGAATCCCTAGAGACAAATACAATTCTTATTCCCATTTTACAGCTCAGGAACTTGTAGGCAGAGACAGAAGTAAAGTACCTTTCCCAAGGTCACATGGTTAGCAAATGTGAGAGTCTTCTTCAGAGACTGTCTGAGTCATTTTTGCAACCTCAGTGGCCAGCAAGGGTTGGCTACTGAGTAGGGACCGAGTGAAAATTTGTCTCTCGGATTCAGATTCCATCTGGTCTCTCTGATTACTGAGCCCATTGAGTGTGTATTGGCCTGGTTGGTCCTCTGCAGGGTGTAAAAATTCCCCTGTTCCCTTTGCATCTTTCCTCTGCTATTGATAAACTCCTTGAAATAGGCCTCTCTGAACAGTCTCAGAGTTCCCACGCATGTAGGAGCTCTCATTTTGTCCTGAAAATTGTGACAAGAAATTTCTGAGCTGTTGCTGTGTCGGAATGGAGTTTATTATCACTAGCAGACCTGAGGTTGAGAGCTGCGCGAAAGATCTAGTAAATAATATGACACCAACTGGAACTCATTCCAGCCTGTGAGCCCCAGGCGTGCCCACCAGGGAATATGGGAAGGGCTATGGGTGGTTCTCTTGCGTAAATGCTGTGGCTTTATTTGAAGCTGCTCCTGCATTTCACTGGGAATGGGATCATGAGGAAATGTAATACAGTGTATTGGAAAAGACTTTGGGGGAAGATGCAGAACAACTGAATTCAAGTCTTGCAGGGTGAACTTGGCAAAGCCACTATTCCCCTCTGTGCTTCCCTCGGAGGAGAGCATTTAAGAATCTTGGGCTCCTACAGGCTATCTAGTTTAATACTTGTCCTGAGGCTTCAGTATCTTTTCCTTGTCTGTCTCCTCTCTTTCTGTGTATATATGTGTGTGTGTGTGTATGTGTATGCATATGTAGATATGTATTCATATACACACATACATATCCATATACATATGTGTATCTACATATACACATATCTACAAATGCATATACACAGATAGTATCCCTGTGGTATCCCATTTGTAAATTTAGTTGAGCGGTGAGTACAGGAGTGTAATGATGCTGTGGCACTGACTCTGTCTCAGGCAGTTAGTGGCAGGGCAGAGATAGAAAGGCGCTTATGTAGACAGAAAGGCCAGGATGACGATGATGGGTCCTTTTCCCATGGTGTAAGCTGATGGAATGAGAGAGGAAGAAACCTATATCTGGGTAGGGGATGTGGAAGTTGGCAGGAGGCATGAGAGGTGAGGAGTAAGCAGATGCAAGGGAACAGCCAAAAACCCCTACAAAGTGAGAGCTTC
The DNA here is from genome assembly GCF_000001405.40 of Homo sapiens. Lineage (NCBI taxonomy): Eukaryota > Metazoa > Chordata > Mammalia > Primates > Hominidae > Homo > Homo sapiens. Next base: position 120,099,708 of record NC_000009.12, on the reverse strand, counting down.
AGAGCGAAGATCCAGACTTCATAGTTGACAGTCAAAGCCCACCTTGGTCCCAGTGGTGTCTCTGCTTGTTCGCTGCTCCTTCTGAGGCCTGGCTGTTGCATTCTTTTCCAGGTATCTAACTTTTAGTTGAAATTGCCCAATACCTAGTGTTTCAGTTAGCTGCTGCAGTATAACAAACAGCACATTACTTCTCCCGTGTTTCCAGGGTTGACTGGGTGGTGCTGGGCTTGCTTGCATGTCTGTGGGCAGCTGGTGTGTCAGCTTGCCGTCTGGTCTGGCATGGCTGTGGCTGTGATGCCTCATCTTTCCTCTACATCCCTCTCACATCCTCCAGCAGCCAGGCCATGGCAGTGGCTGCATCCAAGCGAGAGAGGTGGAAAAATACAAGTGCTTTTTCCAGCCTCTGCTTGCATCAGGTCACTACTCTCCCATTGGTGGAAACAAGTCACATGGCCAAGTCCAGCCTGCAAGTGGGAGCAAACTGCAAAGGCTGAGGACACAGGAAGGCCATTATCTGGGGCCATTAATGCAATCAGTCTATTACCCTTGAAGCCACTTACGTGAATTTCTGAAGAATACCGGTAAAATTAATTAATGAAACAAACATTTACTGAACCTCTGCTATGTACCCAACTCTTTTCTACTATTTTACATGCTGGGGATTCAGAGGCAAATGAAAGATTATATGTATCAACCCAACCTCTTGTTGAAAGTGAAGTCCTAAAGGGGACCTCCAAGAACTTCCACTCCAACCCCCTTATTTTCAGATGCACAAACTGAAGCCCAGAATAGGGTCAGGGATATGTGGCTGGGCACAGAGTGACTTAGGGGCAGGGTTTGAATCAAACCCCAGGACTCCTGACCACCAGTTCACTCCAGCTGGTTGCTCTCCAACTGTGCAATTGTGTCCTCCATTGTGACTGCAAAAGGACCCTCTCCACGTGTGACCCCACGCAGCTAGCCTCCCGCCCCCATGCTCCCCTGGAGGCTCCCTTAACATTTGACTTATAACAGAACCCCAGGCTTCAGAAACATTACCAAATGTGTGTAGAAGCGTGAATCTCCGAAGCTGAGGAGGGAAGGGCCTGGAGAGGAAATCTATATTCGAAAAATCATTAATTTCACTTAAAAATCACGTCTGTACTATTGACTATGTCTGCTGCTTGGAATTTAGTTTATGCTTCCACTTTGTGGTTTGGTTGCTTGGGCTGCGAGGAGGAGATCCAGAAGTGGGGAGCTGATATATCAATGTCATTTTTTTGTGCAGCCACATTTGACACCTGCTCAGAACAGGGTAGTTTGAGGAGGAGGGAACTAACATTTGTGGAACCCCAATGTGCCCCAGTGGGGATTCTTGTCCCGAGTTTATAGGTGAGGAGATAGGCATCAAGGTCATGACTCACACAGATTCAGAGAGCTGCAAATGGTGGAACCTAGACTGGGTTGGATTCCTGGTCCACTGTTTTTACCCCTTGTTCCACTGGCCGTCCTGCCATTTCAGGGACCTGTTTCTGCCCATGGGCTTGTAGGTACCATCTTCCCACCCCACCCTCTGTCTTTTTTTTTCCCCTCCCTGGCAGTGCAAGAACTTTATTTTCCGAAGGCACAAACTGTTCCCGACATAAAATCATCCCCGAGAAGATATACTTTCCTGGGTGACTTATCGTTCTTTGTGTTTTTAGTGCTTTAAGATTTTTATGTTTCCAATAACCCAAAGAAAGATGATGGATATATAATAACACTGAGCAATAACAGACTGTATTTACAAACACATATATATGCTCCATCAAATGTACATATTTTTATACCTCTCACCCATCTTTCTAGGGCAGCTGCATTTTTTGAATTACACGGTGTAAGCAATGAGCCCATCATCCTGTTCACACATCCATAAATTACCCAGAGGGAGCGGGGCATCCTGGAAGCATCTCTGCTTTAAATCACCTGCAAATATATTTCCCTCCCTCCTTTTCCCTGGATGGCTCACTTGGGAACAGAGTGGTGGGCATTTTAGAGTGGTGGGAAAAAGGTTGCCCTGGGAGGGAAAAAACAAGTTCTGGTTCTCTTTCTGGCTCCATTTTTGGTTGACTGTGTGACACTAACTGGATGGGAGAATTGTTTCTCTACTCTGGGCCTCAGTTCTTCCATCTTTGAAGTGGAAAACTAAAACCAGAGAGGAGAAGCCCTTGATCTGGGTGATTCAGCCAGGCATTGACAACAGGGAGAACAGACTGAGACGAGGCCTTCCTTGTATCCCCATACCGTGTGAGCTCTTGCAAGACCAGCAGGTTGATAGTATAAATAGCACCTCTTCTTTTTCCTACCTCAATGGTGCCTGATGACACCTTTGTCCAAGAATAGACTTTAGGAAAACTCACAAAACTATAGTCTGGTGATATTGCATCATTCATCATTACCTGCATTGCATGAAGTAGTTGTTAGGCTTAAGTTTAATTTCCTAATAATCTGTAGAGGAAATGGAGCATAAGAAGGGTAACGTTTGAAGGCTGCTGAGGAACAAGGTCAGAACTGAGGCATTGCAGAAGTTGGCGGGCCAATGTGGAGGACTCTACATTGCAGAACCTAGGGAAGGCGGGGCATGCATCTGAGGTGGAGCATGGAGAACCACTAGATGGATCATGTATAGCAGAACTGCCTGCTGTGGTCACAGCTGAATTCAGCTTAAGCATCCAGGTTTTTCATGCTCATCTTTAATTTACCTGCCTGGAGTTTTTTAGGTCACCATGCATTATTCATGAGTCCCTTGTGAATGTAGCATCCAAGGCTCTGGATAAAGAGATGCCAGAACCAATGAAACACAAAATTCTATCCCTAAAGAATTCAGAGGCACAACCAGGTGACTCTGAAAAAAAAAAGAAGTTGCTGCTGGACCCAGTCTTTGGGGAACTCTTCTCCAGCTTTTTCCTGGGCTGCATCTGCCACTGAATCTTCATTTAAGGGTCCTCCCTTGGAAAACAGCTGATGAATAATTGAATCCTCATCCCCCTACTCCCTCAGCAGAGGAATGCCAGAGCCCCCAGTTGTCATTGGAGAGAAAAATGTACCAATTGGTATATTTGCATGAAGGGTACCCAGTGGGACTAAAGTAGAAGGAAAGGTGGAATAAGAAGAAAATGAGCCACTTTAATAGTTTGTTGAAGAAGTTGTTTTGTCCAGTATCTCAATTCTTTCACCTCTCTGAGCCCTCACTGTCTATTGGCACCAGGTACAGCACTTCACTGTTAATGCTTACAGCAACCTTGGGAGGGAGGGGTGATTATTATTCCCATTTTACAGCAGAGGAAACTGAGATTCAGGGAGGGCAGGTTATTTTTCCAAGCCAATTTACAGGGAGGTAGTTTATTTTGGAGAGTGATTCTCAGGGAATAGAGAATGGAGGAGGGCTGAAAATAATGAAATAAGGAAGGTGGGAGAGGCCCATCCAAGGGTGTGTTACTGACCTGGTTAGCACTTGGGGCAACTAGGGCTCAATTCTACTGGAGATCCTTTGAGAAGTCATGTAGAATAGGCATCAAAATTGTCTACTGAAAATACAGAAGGAGGAATATTTATGTTCTAGTTTCTGTCCCCTTTTGGTCCATAGTTGATAATTTCCTCACACTTCCAGGTTTGTGCATTGTGAATGTTAATTTTTTTGTGTCAACTTGACTGAGTCACAGGTCCCAGATATCTGGCTAAATATTATTTCTTTGTGTTTGTGAGAGTGTTTCCATAAGTGATTAGCATTTGAATGGGTAGACTGAGTAAAGCCAATGGCTCTCCCCTGTGCAGGTGGGGATCATCTAATTCATCAGATATATCTTGAAGAGAACAAAAGAGTGGAGGAAGGAAGGGTTTTCTCTTTATGCCTGACTGCTTGAGCTAAAACTTTGATCTTCTGCCCTTAGACTGGGACTTACCATTGACTTTCCTGGTTCTCAGGTCTTTGGACTTTGGGTGGAACTACACTATTAGTCTCCTGGGCCTCCAGCTTGTAGATGGCTGTTTGTGGGACCTCTCAGCCTCCATAATAATTGTGAGCCAATTTCTTATAATAGATCTCCTTTTATATGTATATGTATCTTGTATTGGTTCTGTTTCTCTGGAGATCCCTGACTAACATGTATGCACGACAATGGTTGAATGGGCTTCCAAA